>NC_000014.9:27111713-28361713 GCF_000001405.40 Homo sapiens
CATATTTTGAATTCAGGCCTTTTGTCAAGTATTTTGTATTGCAAATATTTTCTCCCAGTATGTGGCTTACATTTTTATTGTTTTAATAGTGGGCTTACATTTTTATTGTTTTAATAGTGCCTTTTGAAGCACAAATTTTAAAAATTAATTCCAATTTGTCTTTTTTTCCTTATGATTTGTGCCTCTTTGTGTATTGTCTTAGAAGTATTGTCATACCACAAAGTCATGATGAATTTCTGTGTTTTATTCTATGTATTTATTTTATCATTTTAAGAATTTGATTTTTCTTATTGTTTCTACTTCTCTTCTCAGGCTTCCAGTGTTTTCTTATTTCTCATTTTGTTTTGTTTTGTTTTTGAGATATGATCTCACTCCAGGCTGGAGTGCAGTTGTGTGATCAGGGCTCACTGCAACCTCCACTTCCGAGGCTCAGATGATTCTTTTTTTTTTTTTTTATTCCAACTTTTCTGTTAGCTTCAGGGGGAACACGTGCAGGTTTTTTACATGAGTAAATTACTTGTCCCTAAGGTTTGGGGTATGAAGGATCCCATCACCCAGGTAGTGAGGACAGTACTCAATAGGTCGTTTTTCAAACCTTGTCCCCAGTGCACCCTCCCCACTTTAGTAATCACCAGTGACTATTGGTCCTATTTGTCTCATCTTTACGTCCATGTGTACTCAATGTTTAGCTGCCACTCATAACTGAGAACACGTGGTACTTAGATTTCTGTTTCTGTGTTAATTCACTTGAATAATGGCCTCAAATTGCATCCATGTTGCTGCAAAGAACAGGATTTTGTTCTTTTTTATGGCTGCATAGTATTCCATGCTATATATGTGCCACATTTTTTTTTAACCAATCCACTGTTGATGGATAACTAGGTTGATTCCATGTCTTTGCTATTGTCAGTACTACTGTTATGAACATATGCATGCATTTGTTTTTATGATAGAATGATTTATTTTCCTTTGAGTATATACCTGGTAATAGGATTGCTGGGTCAAATGGTAGTTCTGTTTTAAATTATCTGAGAAATCTCCCAACTGCTTTCCACAGTGGTTGAACTAACTTACATTCCCACCAAGTGAATAAGCATTCCCTTTTCTCTGCAGCCTTTCCAGCATCTTATTTTTTAATAACAGATTTGACTTTTTAATAATAGCTATTTGACTTTTTAATAATATTTGACTTTTTAATAAATTTTTAATAAAATTTGACTTTTTAATAATAGCTATTCTGACTGGTATGAGACGGTATCTCATTGTGGTTTTGATTTGCATTTCTCAGATGATTAGTGATATTGAGCTTTTTTTTTTTTACATATTTTTGGATGCATGTATGCCTTCTTTTGAGAAGTGTCTGTTCCTGTCCTTTTCCAACTTTTCTAATGAGGGGAGTAGTTTTTTGCTTGTTGAATTAAGTTTCTTATAGATTCTGGATATTAGACCTTTGTCAGATGCATAGTTTGAAATTATTTTCTCCCTTTCTGTAGGCTATTTACTCTATTAACAGTTTATTTTGCTATGTAGAAGCTCTTTAGTTTAATTAGGTCCCATTTGTCAACTTTTGTTTTTATTACCATTGTTTTTCGTTACTTAGTCATAAATTCTTTGCTATGGCTGATGTTCAGAATGGTATTTCTTTGGTTTTTCTTCTAAAATTTTTAGAGTTTTAGGCCTTTCATTTAAGTCTATTTTATCTTGAGTTAATTTTTATATATAGTGAAAGCTAGGGGTCCGGTTTTATTCTTGTGTACACAGCTATCCAGTTATCTCAGCATCATTCATTAAATAGGGAGTTCTTTCCCCATTGCTTGTTACTGTCAACTTTGTAGAAGATCAGATGGCTGTAGATGTGCAGCTTTATTTCTGGCTTCTCTATTCTGTTCCAATGGTCTATGGGTCTGTTTTTGTATCAGTACCATGCTGTTTTGGTTACTGTAGACTCGTAGCATAGTTTCAATAAGGATAAAGTGACTCCTCAGGCTTTATTCTTGTTGCTTAGGATTGCTGTGGCTATTTGGGCCCATTTTTAGTTCCATATAAATTTTAGAATAGTTTTTTTTTTTTTTAGTTCAGTGAAAAATGGCATTGGGAATTTGATAGGAATCACACTGAACCTGTCTATATCTTTGGATGTTATGGCAATTTTAATGAAATTGATTCTTCCAATTCATGAGCATAGAATATTTTTCCATTTGCTTGTATCATCTATAATTTCTTTCAGCAATGTTTTGTAGTTCTCCTTGTACAAATCTTTCACCTCCTTGGTTATATGTATTCCTAGGTATATATATATTTTTCTGGCTATTATAAATGGGATTGCATTCTTGATTTGGCTCTCCACTGGGATTTTATTTACACATAGCAATGCTACTAATTTTTGTAAATTGATTTTGTATTCTGAAACTTTACTGAAGTAGTTTATCAGCTATAGGAACCTTTTGGCAGAGTATTTAGGGTTCTCCAGGTATAGAATAATATCATTAGTGAAGACAGAAAATTTGATTTTTTATTTTCCTATTTTGATACCTTTTATTTTTTTCTCTCACCTGACAGTTCTGGATAGAACTTATAGTACTATGTTGAATGGGAGTGGTGATGGTTGGCATCCTTGTCTTGTTCCACTTCTTGGTGGGAATGCTTTCAACTTTTGCTTATTCAGCATGATGTTAATTGTGGGTTTGTCACAGATGGCTCTTACTAGTTTGAGGTATGTTCTTTCAGTGCCTAGTTTCTAGTGCCTAGTTTCTAGAAGGTTTTTTTTTTTTTTTACCGTGGAGAGTTGTTAGGTTTTATAGAAAGTTTTTTATTCATCTACTGAGATGATCATATGGGTTTTGTTTTTAATTCTGTTTATGTGGTAAATCCCATTTATTGACTTATTGATTTGTTTTTAATTCTGTTTATGTGGTCAATCCTGTTTATTGATTTGTGTATGCTGAACCAGCCCTGCATCCCAGGAATAAAGCCTACTTGATCATGGTGATTTAACTTTTTCATTTTCTGCTGGTTTTGTTTTGATAGTATTTTGTTCAAGATTTTTGCATCTGTGTTCATCAGGAATATTGGCCTGTAGTTTCTTTTTTGTTGTATCTTTGCCAGATTTGGGTATTAAAGTGACGCTGGCTTCATAGAATGAGTTGGGGTGGAGTCCCTCCTTCTCAGTCTTTTGAAATAGTTTCATTAGAATCGGTACCAGATCTTCTTTGTACATCAGGTAGAATTTGGCTATGAATCCATCTGGTCTAGAGCCCTTTTTGGCTGGTAGTTTATTAAACTACCAATTTTATTTCAGAACTCAATATTGGTCTGTTAGGGTTTTGATTTCTACTTGATTCAGTCTTGGGAGGCTGTGAGTTTCCAGGAATCTAACCATTTCTTCTACATCTTCTAGTTTGTGTGCATAGAGATGTTCATAATAGTCTCTGAGGAACTTCTGTATTATCAGTTGTAATGTCACCTTTGTCATTTCTAATCACACTTTTTTGGACCTTTTCTCTTTTTGCCTTTGTTAATCTAGCTAGCTGTCTATCAATAATTAGGTGTATTTTTGATTCTGTCTTTTTCCTCTGAAGATTATTACTTCCTTTCCTCTCCTCTCCTCTCCTCTCCTCTCCTCTCCACTCCTCTCCTCTCCATTCCTCTACGCTTTGCTTTGCTTTGCTTTTGAGACAGGGTCTTACTGTGATGCTCAAGTCATAGCTCACTGCATCCTCAGCCTCCCTGGGCTCAGGTGATACTCCCACCTCAGGCTCCCGAGTAGCTGGGACTGCAGGTCCATGCCTTCATGCCCCGCTAATTTTAGTATTTTTTATAGAGACTGAATTTTGTCATGTTGCCCAAGCTGTTCTCAGACTTCCGGATTCAAGCTATGTGCCCACCTCACCCTAGCCAAGTGCTGGCATTACAGGCATGAGCCACCATGTCTGGCCATTTCCTTTGTGTGTGTGTGTATGTGTGTGTGTGTAGGTGTTTTTCTTGGCTGTACTTGATCTTTAAGTTTTGTTTCTTGGGAAGCAAGTCTGGTCTGATCATTTCAGGTCTCTTTTTCTTCAGTCAAACTTCCTTGAATCTGTTCCACACAGGGGCTTTAAGTGTCAGTCACAGCTATGGGTAGAAACAGTTTGGGGACACCTGTCTCTGGCTCTTTCCCATTCATTATTCCATTTCTATATTTGTAGCTCCTGGCTTCAGTTTTCAGTTTCCTTAGTCCAGAAAAACTATGTTCATTTCTAAGATTTCCTTCCTCTCACCAGCATGTATATTTTGTAGACTATACTTAAATCTAGGCGAAAGTTATGGAAATTGTATCTGGCTATCTAGATACCTATATTTGATCCTTCAAGGAAACATACTTCCAGAGTCTTTCTGCTTCTGTTCAAATAGTTGTTTTCAGTATTATGTGCAGATTTTATATTGTTTTCTGCTTTGGAGTTTATCTGAGAGAGTCTTAGTGCATCATGACCAGAAGTGGTGATTCAATTTAATGTTTTAATTTATTTTTTAACTAGCAAGTATTATAAATTCTGTTACTAATTTCAATAATGTACCTGTGAACACTGATGATTCTGAATAGATAATCATCTGGTCTGGAGTAAAGTCAGTTGCATTTCTTTCTATCAATATTTATACAGCTAGGTTAAATCTATATTTTTTTTAATGAATAGGTACTCCAGTACAATTTTGAATAAAAGTCATGAGAGTGAACATTTTTGTCTTGTTCCTGATCTTAAAAGGAAAGCTTTCTATATTCCACTATGAAATATAATGCTTACTCTATTTTTAGGTGTGTTTTACATGATTAAGAAAGATTCTGTGATTCTTCATTTGCTGTGTTTGTAAAATTGTGAATATATATTAAATTTTATCAAATATTATAATAAATTATTAATGATAGAATTTTTATCTTTTCTGTTTATGTTCCAAACTATACTTATTGAATATCTAGTTATATCCTTGAATTTATCATATAAAATTAGTATTCATTTATTTGTAATTAGTTTTAATTTGTTATTTGTTAATATGGTTTTTTACATCTAAATGAGTGTGTGATTCGTCAATATATTTTCTTCTTTTTTGGGTTTTGTGATTGATATGATACGAGCCTTCTAAATGAGCCAAGGAGTTTCCCCAGTACATCTCTCATATCTAAAGTTGTTTTTGAATTGAAATTCTTTATTCCTTGACTATTTGGTCATTTCAATTTAATTGTTTTATGTTTAGTATTTTATTCATTCATTTAATAATTGTACATTATTGCTAGCTTTTTGTCAGCCTCAAGTTATGGAAAAATATAAACAAAAAAAGACATTATTTTTGCCATCAGGAAGTACAATCTACACATGTCTGTTTCCCCGCAGTAAAATGTAAGGTAGGTGAAAATAAGAACATGCAAATTATTTATAGACATTTAGAATGAAAGGATAAGCCCTGAAAAGATTTAAGTGAATTCTACCTAAAGAGAAATGGTGTTTTCTTTTCCTTTTTTTTTTTTTTTGGCAAAATCACATACAGATTCATCTAACTTTTGCAATGTAGACAGTCTAATGTACCTAGAGCAAATTTATATTTAGTTTCTTTCATTAATCAAATAAAGAGTGAAATAATTCTCTTTTTTTCTCATTAAAATATACTAGGTAACTATACGTTGGAGTGAATAGAAGTGAGTAATATTACCTGTGCTAAAGAAGTAAAGACCTGTGGAAAATTACTCTTTCTGTGGCTTCGGCATATTTGTGATCACATTGATTATCTTGTTCTCAGCTGTAATATTTTGTTCTGTGGGTTTGAATTTTCATCATTTTGTTGCAGACTAATTATTATTTTATTTAGAAACTTATAGAAAGTGCTTTATTTTTCTTTAATTCATCTTGAAGTATGAACAATCTTATAATCACAAAATTACCTAGTTTGCTATTTAAATCTTTGTTGTCAATTCTGGTGTGGGTTACAATTCAGCTTACTGATTCTTCTGAATTGGTTTTGATGGTAAGAGGTATATTAGTCAGGGTTCTGTAGAGGGACAGAACTAATAGGATATATATAGAGAGAGAACTAATAGGATATATATTATATAATAGGATATATAAATACTAATAGGATATATAAATATATGAGTTTACGAAGTATTAACTCACAGGATCACAAGGGCCCATAATAATCTGTCAGCAAGCTGAGAAGCAAGAAGAGCCAGTCTGAGTCCCAAACCTGAAGAATGTGGAGTCCAGTGTTCTAGGGAAGGAAGCATCTAGCACAGAAGAAAGATATAGGCTGGGAGAATAGGCTAGTCTAGTCTTTTCACATTTTTCTACCTGCTTTATATTCTGGCACTGCTAGCAGCTGATTGGATGGTGCCCACTCTGATTAAGGGTGTCTGCCTTTCCCAGCCCATTGACTCAAATGTAATCTCCTTTGGCAACACCCTCACAGACACACCCAGGATCCATACTTTGCATCCTTCAATCCAATCAAGTTGACACTCGGTATTAACCATCATAAGTCCACCCCTTGTCAACTTGAATCCACACACATCACCTGAGACTATACATAATCTTCAAATAAAGACAATAATAAGGTCATAATTACGCCTAACATAATACAACTATCCTTTGTACAACCAAAAATCCACCAATCCCCAACTCAAATACTATTACATAAAGTTAACAATACTTAAATCCTGATATGAAGTCAATAAATCTTATGTCACATGATAAAATAAAAAGGAAATAAAATGAAGATATTTTCTTAGTACATGTGTATACATGCACAAGCGTGTTTTTAACAAAAGAAGGAGGAAATACTCATGGTAGTTACAGTCCTCATTTCTGCACCTGGTCACGTGGTCATAGCTGCTATCGATGACTACCCTCTTCTACTACCCATTCTGTATTCCCTTTGTCTTCAGCAAGCACCTCAGCAAGTTGTGGTTTCTTTCCTGGTGGAGTGACCCAAACCTTCATTCCTGAGGAGTCTGGGCCATTTGTAGTCCTGCCTGGATTGGGCTGTTGTAGTTTCCCATTGACCGTAATCACAGGGCATGTTAATACTAAGAGACACCTTGATGGATCTCCTGTATTCCATGCATACTCTTCCTTAACTCTGTTGTGGAGTAGTAGACTGATTACCTCTTGATAGTCTGGATCAATCACTCCAGCCAACATTGTAACTCCATTCTTAGCCTGTTGACTTAAAGGTAAGAGGACCCCAAAGTGTCCAGATGGCAATCTTAACTTCCAGTTTAATGGAATCATTGTTGTGTCTCCTGGTGGCAGCGTTCCTCCCTCTGGAACTAAGATCTCTAGGCCAGCAGAAGGTAATGTCGCAGGAACAGGAAGCAAAAATTTTACTACTGGATCACTAGGGGTGATGGGGAGTGGTGCTACTTCCAGTTCCACCCCTTGATCCTGGACCCATGAATCCTGGCTATGGGAGAAACAGCACCATATATTGGACTGTGATTCAGAGCATACACAGCGTTCTGGTGAACTTTGTCCCAGCCCTGCAAAATGTTGTCACCTAGTGGGCATTGTAATTGTGACTTCAAAAGGCCATTCCACTATTCTCTCAACCCAGCTGCTTCAGAATGATGGGGAACATGGTAAGACCAGTGAACTCTATGAGTATGAGCCCACTGCCACACTTCTTTAGCCATAAAGTGAGTGCCTTGGTCAGAGTCAATGCTGTGTGGAATAACATGATGGTGGATAAAGCATTCCATGATTCTGCGGATGGTAGTCTTGGCGGGAACAGTGCTTACAGGATAGGCAAACCCATATCCAGAATAAGTGTATATTCCAGTGAGGACAAACCTCTGCCCTTTCCATGATGGAAAAGGTCCAATATAATCAACCTGCCAACAGGTAGCTGGATGATCACAACCCTGAGGAATGGTGCCATATCGAGGGCTCAGTGTTGGTCTCTGCTGCTGTCAAATTGGGCACTTAGCAGTGGCTGTGGCCATGGCAGCCTTGGTGAGTGAAAGTCGTGTTGCTGAGCCCATGTGTAACCTCCATCCCTGCCACCATGGCCACTTTGTTCATGGACCCATTGGGAAATGACAGGGGTGGCTGAGGAAAGAGGCTGAGTGGTGTCCACAGAACGAGTCATCCTATCCACTTGATTATTAAAATCCTCCTCTGCTGAGGTCACCTGTTGGTGAGCAGTCACATGGAATACAAATATCTTCACAGTTTTTGACCACTTAGACAGATCATCCACATACCTCTTCCCCAAATTTCTTTGTCACACATTTTCCATTCATGCTTCTTCCAAGTCCCTGACCATCCAGCCAAACCAATGGCTACAGCCCATGAATCAGTGTATAATCACACATCTGGCCTTTTCTTTTTCCAGTGCACAACCAGGTGCACTGCTTGAAGTGCTGCCCACTGGGAAGATTGTCCTTCACTGTTGTCCTTCAGGGATTTCCTAGAAAGGGGCTATAGTGCTGCAGCTGCCCACTTTTGGGTGGTGCCTGCGTATTGGGCACAACCATCTGTGAACTAGGCCTGAGTCTTCTCTTCCTCTGTCAGCTGATCATAGGGAACTCCCCATGACACCATCAGTGCAGGCTGGGGGAGAGAAGGCAGAGCGGCAGGAGTGAAGACCATGGGCATTTGAGCACCCAGTTCATGATAGGCAGTTCAGGTCACATGGTGACTTGATGACCCATAGTCAAACGCTTACTACCAAAGACAAGTAACAGGCCAATAGCTGTCTCTCATAAGGAGAGTTGCTATCTGAAGAAGATGGCAGGGCCTTGCTGCAAAATCCTAGAGGCCTCTGCTGTGATTTACCTATGGGGGCCTGCCTGAGGCTCCAAACAGCATCCCTATTTGCCACTGACACCTCAAGCACCATTGGATATGCTGGGTCATAGGGCCCAAGTGGCAGAGCAGCTTGCACAGCAGCCTAGACCTGTTGCAGAGCCTTGTCCTGTTGTGGACCCCACTCAAAACTGGCAGCCTTTTGGGTCGCTTGATAAATGGGCCAGAGTAACACACCCAAATAAGGGATGTATTGCCTCCAAAATCCAAACAGGCCCACTAGGCATTGTGCCTCTTTCTTGGTTGCAGGAGAGGCCAAATGCAACAACTTATCCTTCACCTTAGAAGGAATATCTCAGTAGGCCCCACACCACTGAACCCCTAGAAATTTTACTGAGGTAGAACGTCCCTGAATTATAGTCAGATTTATTTCCCATCCTCTGGCACACAAATGTCTCACCAATAAATCCAGGGTGTTTGCTACTTCTCGCTCACTGGATCCAATCAGCATAATATCATCAATGTAATGGACCTGTGTGATATCTTGTGGAAGGCAAAGTGATTAAGGTCTCTCTGAATAAGAATATGACACAGAGCTGGAGAGCTGATATACCCCTGAGATAGGACAGTAACTGTATATTGCTGGCCTTGCTAGCTGAAGGCAAATTGCATGGGCATTATGAACAGGAGTGGAGAAAATTGTGTGGGCATTATGAACAGGAGTGGAGAAAAAGGCATTTGCCAAGTCAATGGCTGCATACCATGTATCAGGAGATGTATTAATTTGCTCAAACAATGGAACCACATCCGGTACAGCAGCTGCAAATGAAGTCACCACTTGGTTAAGCTTACAATAATCCACTGTCATTCCCCAAGATCCATTTGACTTCTGCACAGGCCAAATGGGAGGGTTGAACGGAGATGTGGTGGGAATCACCACCCTTGCATCTTTCAAGTCCTTGATGGTGGCACTAATCTCCACAATCCCTCTAGAGATGACATATTGTTTTTGATTTACTATTTTTCTAGGTAGAGTCAGCTCTAATGACTTCCATTTGGCCTTTCCCACGACAATAGCCCTCACTCTACCTGTCAGAGAGCCAATGTAGGGGGTTCTGCTAGCTGCTAAGTGTGTCTATGCCAATTATGCATTCTGGCACTGGGAAATGACCACAGGATGAGTCCAGAGACCCACTGGATCCACTGTAAGTCAGACCTGAGCTAAAATTCCATTAATTACCTTAACCTCATAAGCCCCTATTTTAATTGGAGGGCCACAATGACATTTTGGGGCCCCTGGAATCAACAACAGCTTGGAGCCAGTGTCCAGCAGTCAGCAGAATGTCTGATCATTTCCCTTTCTCCAGTGCACAGTTACCCTTGTAAAAGGCTAGAGGTCTCCTTGGGGAAGGATGGGAGAAAGACTCGCTGCATAAATTATCAGTAATGCAGTGGGTTCCTTCCGCAAGGGGACTCAGGCTCCCCTTCATTCAAGGGGTTTTGCATCTGTAAAACGACTCAAGTCTGGAAATTGATTGACGGACCATGATTTTCTGTTTTTATAATTCAAATTAGTCTTTTGTCCATTTGACCTATAAGTTTTCTGCTGACATAAATTAAGTAGGAATGCAGTAGACTTCCTATCAATTTCACTTCTAGGAACACCATGATTAATTAGCCAATGCCAGAGCTCCACATGAGTCAGACTATTCAGACATATAGTCTAAGCTATTATGTATAGAGTCACTAAACTTCTTGCCTCTCACAAGTGGTGAATCAGCAGTGTCAAGTGTGCTTATTTTGCATAACTCTCTAAACAGTTCACACCAAGGACTATCAGTGTTCTCCATACTATTGGAAGTTGAGTCCTTAACATTTTGGGGTTTAATCGTATTAAGCAGCCAACCCCAGAAACCCCAAAACTAACATAAGAACTCCATCCTTAATATTCAGTTCCTCTAGAGCCACCCCACTTCTGGTACCAAAATTAGTCAGGGTTCTCTAGAGGGATAGAACTAAGAGGATATATATAATAAACTCATATATATATATGAGTTTATTAAGTATTAACTTATATGATCACAAGGTTCCACAATAGGCAAGCTGAGGAGCAAGGAGACCCAGTCTGAGTCCCCAACCTGAAGAATGTGGAGTCCAATGTTCAAGGCAGGAAGCATCCAGCATGGGAGAAAGATGTAGGCTGGGAGGCTAGGTCAGTCTAGCTTTCTCATGTTTTTTTGTTTGTTTTTGTTTTTCTGCCTGCTTTATATCCTGGCTGCACTGGCAGCTGATTAGATGGTGCCCACCCAGATTAAGGGTGTGTCTGCCTTTCCCAGCCCACTGACTCAAATGTTAATCTCCTTTGGCAACACCCTCACAGACACACCCAGGATCAATACTTTGCATCCTTCAATCCAATCAAGTTGACACAGTTTTAACCATCATGAGAGGAAAGTACACTTATATTTACATAAACTATTTTTTTATTTTCCTCTTTTTACAAAACATGTTTTCAACCAGGACAGATATCTTCATTAGCTCTCCCTTTTCATTACTTGTATTTTCTCACTGTCATTCTTTTTCATTTTCCATGTTAAATTGTGTGAATAATTAAAGTTGGACTTTTAATTTTCTTTTCTGGGCATGATTCCATTGTTTTATTTTATGAAAATTCACAGTGGTTAATATGGCAAAAATATCCCTAGAGTCTAAAAATTAAAATCAAACAAATCCTATCCATCTTGTGCTCTAATGAAACATTGAACTCTAGCAATTGCTTCCTTCTAGCAGCAGCCTTCTAGCAGTGTATGTCAGGTGTGTTACAATTTTATCATCCTCCTTTTCAAACTCTGATGGCTCCGTGTTTTGACAGATAACCGAACTTGGTGTTATGTGTTCAGCAAATGATGTATTCTTCATGGGAGACACTCACAAGTTGACAGTCAGTGTTGGGTCACATGATGATACTTTCTACCTAAATAGAAACACAATCCAACCGTTTCAATAAAATGAAACGATTTGATTCTATCTAAGCCTTCTCAAAACACTGCTAAATATTCCAACTGAAATAGTATCCAGTTTTAACTCACCAAAATGCTTTAAGGGGTACTGCTCCAATGTTAAAATTGATATATCATTGTAACTATTAATCACAGATGAAGTAAATTTAAGATATTAGTTAAAAGGTCATAAAATTATCTGCTGTGATACCTGTACATGAAAATCATTGTAAGCCTCCAGTGAGGCAGTAAAATACTGGAAGTTCCACTGTGTCACACACGTGAAACTGTTAATCTGATCTGAATTGAAACAATTGTAAATATAGGGAATATTTTTGAGAGTTAGTAAGCAGATAATTTGAGTGACGAATTATGTATAAAAAACAACTTTTAAGCATTTTTAATAAAGATCATTTACTACAGTCCTAGCAACAAGATTATTCAATTATATCCAACAATCAGAAATATGATCATGATCATCATTATAATCAGTAAGATAATCACTTTGTTTTTCCTTTGGCACGGAGTCTCACTCTATCACCCAGGCTGGAGAGCAGTGGTCCAATCTGGGCTCAATGAAACCTCTGTCTCACTAGTTCAAGCAATTCTCCTCCCTCAGCCTCCCTAGTAGCTGGGACTACCAGCGTACACCACCACACCCCGCTAAATTTCTCTATTTTTAGTAGAGACAGGGTTTAGCCATGTTGGCCAGGCTGGCCTCAAACTCCTGACCTCAGGCGATCCACCCACCTCGGCCTCCCAAAATGCCACTTTGGGATTTAAGTGGGAGTGTAAGAGCAGTTCAAATCCAGCACATTCAGTAAGACCATACATTTGTACTTTATGTGTTATTTGTGAGTATTATTGCTAGGAGCAAAGCCTCAATTTCTGAAACACTATTATTTGCCCTATCTTAAAATTGATTGATTCTTTTTTAACTTCTGGGAAAAAGTGCAAAGCATTAAATTAGCTGATAGCATATATTTGTCTTTTAAAAATCAACTTTATTGCTATATATTGTGTATAATAGAATGCATCCATTTTCACTGTACAGTTCAATGTTGATACATATATACACAATTTTAACCATCACTTTAATCCAGATTTAGGTAATTTCCACATCCCATAAAGCTTCCTATTGCCCCTTAACTGTCTTCCTCACCCCCCTACCCTCATGCCTTTCTACCCTAGGTGACTACTCATTTGATTTTTATTACTAGAGATTCATTTTATCTATCCTAGATATTCATATATGTGGAATCATAATTTGGTGATTTGTGTCTAACTACTTTTGCTTAGCATAACATTTTAAAGATTCATTCATTTTTCTGCATGCACCAAATGTTTGTTGCCTGTAATTGCTGAGTACTATAAATATACCACTATTTGGTTATCTATGTTTGTCTTCTGTTTCAGATAGTTTTGTTTCTGAACTCCCTCACTTCTCTTTGGTATCTTAGACTGAACATGTTTTAAATTTGATTTCTAATCCTTCTGAAAGCTCAAAAATTTGTATCCAATTTTGTACTTGAATTTCCTCTTGAGTCTTCCTGCTCCTTCACCCTTCTGATAAATTACCAATAGTGCAGACTAAACCCCTCAAATCTATATCAAACATGTGCTCTATTTCTCAAATATCGATTGAGACAATTCCAATTTTAGCTACCAGCATGTCTTACTAGGTATTTGGTAACTGTTTTATAACCAGTCTCCTCAAATATAGTCTTGGGACTATATTGGAGACCCAATCTATTATTTCTCCATCTACCACAGGGTCAGTTTTTAGAAAGAAAATATTTCCCTGCTTACAGTCTTTCAATCATCTATTTTAATCATAGAAGAGAGTGAATATCATGAATAAGGTGTATATAGCTCTTGATTAATTCATTATTCTAGTGGACTGTCATCCTTCCTTACTAAATTTCACCTTTGGTTCCCTTATTCAGTACCTTCCTCCCACAGGACCATTGGACAAGTTTCCTACCTTATTTGTATGCATAATTCCTACTTACTTTTCAAATTTCAGCCAAAAATTACTTTGTCAGGGAGACCTTTCTTGAGACTACTGTTTACATGAGCCTCTTTTGTGAAAGGTCACGTATCATCCTGCATCTTGTTTTTTTCTCATCCTTCTTTTTGGCCATAACACAATTATTAATGCATTTGCTTAATATCAATGTCCTTATGTAAATGCTTGTATCTGTAAGGAGAGATGTCATGTTCATTTCATTTATCTCTATATACATTGCACTTAACAAAGTACTGAAGTATTTTCATTTCTTAACAATTGTTTGTTGAATGAACTGTGATGGAGATGGGTATTTGCAATTGGCTATATCAGTGACCTGTGCTGAGAGATCATGGGAGAAAGAAAGAAGGTAAGACCTGAAGAAATATGGAGAGAAATACAAAGAGAATGGACCCTGTGGCGATGAAGAAAAAAGTGTTATTATGCCTTTAAAGAAAAAAAAAAAAACTCACATTCATTTGTTACTATCATCCGATGAGGGAATGCTCCAAAATATCCACATTAAAGCACCTCCCTCATCCTTAATAGTGGTAAACTAATAATCTATGTTATTTAGAGAATAATGATATCAGAGTTTATAGCTAAAATAATGAGATAGTTGTTCATGTCTTAAATAGAGCATGAACATTATCCCGTTTTGAACAACAAAATGAGTGGAGACCAGCACATGGGCTAAACTATAAATTAGATCTCTGATAAACAGTACTACCTGTGAAACATAACGTGTTACACTGGCACTTACTAGCTATGTGATCTAGGATTGTTATTAAACCCCTCCCAGACTGAGTTTTATGATTTGTGTAAGATAATTTTCATTTCGTAACATTGTTTATGAGGTTTAGGTGAGGTAATATCCTTATTAAGACCATGACACAGAAATTTCACATATATATTTAGAAATGCAAGGCTACTGATACTGCTATTGTCATTGATAGTATTATTGTGCAGATGTTCCTGTTCTGTCACTATCATTGCCATTATCACTAGAAGAACACTTGGCTAAGGGTTAAGAAATTCTGTTCTTTCTCAAAAATGGACAGACGAATTGTTGGGCAAATTCATTAACCTCAAATTCAACGCTATTATCTTTATTTATTTTATTTTATTATTATTTTTTTGAGACAGAGTCTTGCTCTGTCTTCCAGGCTGCAATGCAGTGGTGCAATCTCAGCTCACTGCAAACTCCTCCTCCTGGGTTCAAGCAATTCTCTGCCTCAGCCTCCCGAGTAGCTGGGACTACAAGCACCCACCACCATGCCCGGCTAATTTTTGTGTTTTTAGTAGAGACAAGGTTTCACCAAGTTGGCCATGCTGGTCCTGAATTCCTGACCTTGTGATCCACCCGCCTCGGCCTCCCAAAGTGCTGGGATTACAGGCGTGAGCCCTGGTGCCCAGCCCAATGCTATTATCTTTTTAAAAAAGTGATTAGTAGTATAATCACTCAAAATAAAAGTTTTTTTGTGTGTGAATAAAATGAGTAAACTAATGTGAAGGCAATTTGAACATTGTACATTACTATTGTTAGAGTTAGACCACAGCTTGGAATCACTAATTTGAAGCAAAGCTCTAGTAAGAACAAGTTCATACATTGAATTCATTTTGTCCAATGGCCTGGAAGGGTGATCTTAACTGGGCACTAGCCCTTGTGCATGTTTTCTGTAGATAACAGAGCAAAAGTGATACTTTAAAAAAATGTACGTATTTATTAGCACAATCTATAAACCATTTTGGGTGAAAACAATATTCTAATAGAGAGGTTCTAAAAGATATTAGTTACTTTGGCTTTAATGTGCTAATTTTATTACCTCCATCACTTCATGTAAATATTCTTGTGTTGCCATCTACATTCATTTTCGTAAGGGAATCCTCAAGTGTTTGCAGGCCTAAGTTTGGTCTGTAAACCACTGCCTGGTTACCTCCCTGACTGATAGCTTTGAAAATGTGTCAACAGTTTTCGTGTTTTACATTTTATCATAGTGCCAAGCATAATATAATATTTATATTCCCTGTACATACAGGTTTTTTTTTTCATTGTAGAAAAGAAAACAAAATCTGGTTTAGTTAATTTTGTTCTTGCAGAATTTAATCAGTTTCACATGGAACTTCTTTACTTATTTATGGGAGACAATGTTTTGTGGTGGAAAAATATGGACCTGAAGTCAGCGGAACCTCTGTTTGAGTACTAGCTCTGCCACTTAATGATTTTGGACCTTAAGGAAGTTACCTGTGCTTTTTAAACTTTTGATTCTTTTTTCTGTAATAGTGGGACAATAATAATAGCCACTTTACACATGGATAATAGCCACCTTAGGCATGGATATTATAAGTAAATAAATAAATAAGATACTATGAGACATTCAAACATAAATGCCACACAGGAACTGAGACTGCTCAGGGAACAAGAGATCTAGATTCATTGTATCTTTGCTTGGTTGGATATGCATACGGAAGGGAATGGTGGTCACAATGCCCACACCCATTTACTCATAGAGCAGTCAAATGCTAGCACAGTAAGGAATTGACTATTCAGTTCTAGAGATAAGGGAGTGACACGTCACTTTACAGAGCACCATTGCATCCACAGAGCAGGAAGAGAGAAGGTGTTAACTGATATACATAAAAGTCATCTGAATGTGTGCCAGGCAGTTGGAGCCCTTGACCTACGTAGAGTAATATATTTGTATAAAGACTACTTACAGACATATGGGGTCTTGTAGTTTGAGTCTGCAATTTAAGATATACTGCAACTTACTGCTTTTAATGTGAAGAGGGTCCAGTCATTTTTGTAGTAGTACTTCAGTGTTGGGACAACACTTACCTACCTGCTCCTTGTACTTAGGCAGGTGTTAGAGAAAAATATCTGTCTACTGTAAGGGGAGGAATGGAAAAGGATCCATTCTGTAGATCCACTCAAACGATCATGGCCAGAGCCATACATACTATTAGAGGACATACTTAAAACTTCATATGTGACGATGAATTTATCTCATGTTTCAGAAGGCTCCTGAAAGCAAGGGCATTAATATTCACATCTTATTTATAGAACACTTAAAACTTGCCAGGAAGTGTGGTAAATATTTTTCATGACTTCTCTAATTTATAAAATTTGAGATATAATTATAGCATTTTTACAGAAATATAAATGGATTCTTACATCAATTTGTAATAATTTACATAAATTTTACATGGTGGAAACTGGTGGCGCTAAAATTTGAACTCAAGCAACTTGGCATGAGACCCTGTTTTCTTTTACTCGGCTGTCAGGGAAGAATTCAAATGACCTGGAAAGGGACGTCACCATAAGCAAGAACACAAGGTGGACTGGGCCTTCGTTGTTTCTGGACGTATCATAAGCAACAATTTAAATAAGTCAGAAAACATTTACATAATATTCTAACATACCAACTCCATATGCATTCATATGGATCGGTATATATACTGTATTTCAAGAAAAAAATACAAGATGTAGTTTCATGTTAAAATTTCAGTGAAATAACATTTGTGTATGCATATACTATTTCTGGAAGTTCATACATGAAACTGATGTGGTTACCTATATGAAACAGTACTAGGTGGACAGTAGTGGGGGTGTACAGAGGAGGTCCTGGCTTTTGTTTTTTTCCTTCAGTTTATTATTTATACTTAAAATAGTTTAGCCTAAAATTGTTTAGTAAAGGAAAGTATATTTTAAAATTGAGAGAGCACTTTAAACCTTATCTCAAAGTGGTCTACGTTTTTCAAAAACCTTTGTGTTTTATGTCTAAAGAAGATTAGTAATATGGGTAGAGGCAGTATTGATTTATGCATACTGCTATCCCCTTAGTATTCTAGGTAATCTCTTGGTTTATTCTATCTTTGTCAGCAGAAAAGTATAATTAGCATTTAGTCAAGGTATTATTTTTCATCTGGAAATTGAAAATGTGAACTATTTAAAAAAGAAAAGGAGAGACCATTCACCTATTTTACCCAAGCAATTTACACTTGCAAAGTGGTAAAGAGGCCAGATTGATAACATTGAACTTGTACATCAGATAATTAAGTTTTAATCTCCTATTCAAAGACTTCAGCTTAGGGGTCACAGGAATTAAGAAAACTTTTTCTCTTTAATCAGTCTTGGATGATTAGTGACTTTGTTTGTGGAATGATCATTTTCCAAGTACAGCATTGCAGTGTTAAAATAAAATAGGGGGAAAAGATTAAGGAGTTTAATTTACTTGGCATGTTATAACTGTGTTTATTAAAATACTAAGAATTATAGCAAAACTTTATCATTTGTTAATATTACTTTTGCCTCAATAGGGGTTATATTGAGAAAACAATATTCTAGACATAAAGGCCATTGCCAAGCAGTATTTTTCTTAAAATTTATTTTAATTATTTTTGTAAAATAACCCCGTGGGTACTTAAAATGAAATCTATTTCTTTACTGAAATGTAATTCTTCTCTCACCCTCAATAAGCTTTCCATCTCTGGTTTATTATGGCACTGTTGTTCAGGATAAAAAGACGTGTTTGGAACACTGATATATTAATCAGCATACCTTACCCCATAAGAAATAGGATAAAGGTGACTGTGTATTATTTCTCAATAAATATTATTTTTGTGTAATGACGCACTTGGGATCCTCCTTCTGGATTTATCATAAAATTAACTGAATTTAGCAAATATATGCAGAAACTGTGCTAAATGTAGAAATACATGTCAAATTATGAGAAAAAATACCTTCCCTAAAATAGAATTGAAGTTTTTATAACAAGATCAATGATTTTAAATCACCAGGTCTTATAATGCTTGCTTTTTAGGAGTTTGTGCTATCTTTTGAAGAATCACTAGGTAATTTTTGCTTTGAAAGCATGAAAGTCACCAGCAAGTTGGTTTTCACAGGGTTGTAAATAAATACCAAAGAAATATAGAAAGTTTCCTAAGCTTTTGTCATGATGGTGGTATATTATGTAATAATAACTTATAAGGTAAACTATCTTTGCTAGGAGAAAAATAGTACTACATTTAAAAAGGGCAAGAACATGTTTATCAGGCCCAGAATAATACTAGGGTTTCCTGAGAGTTTCAAAATGTACTAAACAGCTTGGACAAAGATGTCTTCTATGCTTCCAAGCAGCAGCTTGTATTACCAGCCTCCTACTGAGATCTCTGCCCTGTCTAGTAGGATCCATAATGTTTTTGCTGTATTCAGAGTTTTATGTCATATAGTAATTACATGAGACACATATCTTTTAGTTGATTAATTACTGCTTGTTAGAATTTCCCCAAGTGACCAGATAGACTACTTTGCACGTTGGAAAAGAGCAGGGAACACACGCTGACAAACACAGGACTGAAATATAGGTCTGTAAGGGGTATGGCTTCAATTGTCTGTTTGCTTTACTCACAATATTCATAAAGTCATTGTGATCTAGGGTCTAACAGATACAGAAATCAACTTTAAACAAAAAACAAGATAGTTTCTTTATCTTCACACATTGCGAAGACCACAGAAGGATTATATAAAAATTACTAAAGTCACATCATTAAATAGGATCAATTTACTGTGTTATCTACCCTTACATTAACTCAATATAATTTTTGTAAATGTATTTATAAAACATAAACACTACATAGTTGATTTTTACTAAAAGCTATATGTGCATACTTTAAAAATTCAATCATGACCGATGGGGTAAGTACAAAACTTGTCCCATAAGACCTCAGGGAATGCTATTTTTCTTTCTTAATTCTCGACTACTTCAATATTTCTAAATAATATAGGTATATATTTTTAAAGTTTTATTTTGGGCTCAGGGGTACATGTGTGGGTTAGTTATAGGTAAATTGAATGTCACAGGAGTTTGGTGTACAGATTACTTCGCCATCCAGGTAATAAGCATAGTACCCAATAGGTGGTCATTCGATCCTCAGCTTCCTCCCTTCCTTAAACACGCCCTGGTGTCTATTGTTCTCTTCTTTGTGTTCATAATGTACTCAATGTTTAGCTACCACTTATAGTTGAGAACACGTGGTATTTGGTTTTCTGTTCCTGCGTTAGTTCATGTAGCTCCATCCATATTGTTTCTCATTCTAAATCAAGTGTATACAACCTCTGTTGACTTCTTATTCTACTATTTCCACATCAGTTTTTCTTGCTCTCATCATCGATAACATTTAATCATTTATGTACTATGCTTGAAAATTCCCCTGTTAATTTTAATTTATGTATTTTAACTTTACATGCAGTGAAATTCACTCTTTGGGATATACAGTTCTTCTACGAGTTTTGACAAAGGCATAGAGTTGTGTATACCACAATAAGAAAAGTATGGGGCAATCCCTCACCTAGAACATGCCCTAGTACTGTCCCTTTGTAATCAACCCTTTCCCCGGTTTCTAAAACCTGGCATCTATCAATCATTTGTTCTCGTTCCCTATAGTTTCGTCTTTTTCAGTATGTTATACAAATGGAATTTTGCACGACGTAGCCCTTTGAGCCTGGCTTCTTTCCCTTATCATAATTCATTTGAAATTCATGTTTATTATTACTTGTATCAGTCATTTGCTCCTTCTTATTGCTGAGTAGTATTCACTGCATGGATTCATCAGGGTCTGTTTTTCTTTACACTGGCTGAAGGGCATCTAGTTGTTTTTTTTTTTTTTATTTTTGGAGCTTATAAATTAAGCTACTTTAAAAATCCCTATAAAAATTTTAATGAATTAAAGTGTTATTTCTTTTGGGTAAACTCCTAGGGAGAAAACTCATGGCATCATAACGTAAGTATATGTTTAGTTTAATAAGAAAATGCTAAACTCTTGGCTGTATCATTTTTGCATTCTTACCAGCAATGTACGAAATTTCTGGCTGCTCTGTAAACTTGCCACCAAATGTAGCTTTGTCAGGTTATTCTTTCAGTTATTGTTGTTTACCAATCTAATAGGTGTCTATTGTTATCTCCTTATGCCTTTAATTTGTATTATCCCAATGACTAATCATATCAAACACCTTTTCATATGCTGATTTGCCACTGATATATCTTCTTTGGTGAGTCTCTATTCAAAATTGTGCTCATTTTTTCATTGGGTGGTTTTTGTGAGTTTTTAGAGTTCTTTTTATACTATGGATAAAAAGTTCCTTGGGAGACACCACCTTTGTAAATATCTTTCTCCAGTATATAGCTTGTCTTTTAATTCTCTTAACAGTGTTTTCACAGAAAAAAAATTAATTTTGGTAAAGTGCCATCTATCAATATTTTCTTTGGGGAATCATACTTTTGGTATCATATCTAAGAACACTTTTCTGATTCAAAGTTCACTAAAACTATCTCTTATGTTTTCCTTTAGAAGTTTCGAGTTTTACATTTTACATTTAAATATGTCATCTGTTTTGAGTAAATTATTATATAAAGTAAAAGGCCTACACCAAGGTATTTTATTTTTAATTTTTAAATTTGCATATGGATATTCAAATGCTCTAGCAACATTTGTTAAAAAGACTTGTTTTTTATTTTATTTTTGATTGTACATATTTATAAAGTATAGTGTGATGTTGTGATACATGGCTAACTTGTATAATGATCAAGTCAGGGTAATTAGTATTTCTGTCACCTCAAACATGTATCAGTTCCTTATGGTAAGAACATTTAAATTTCTCTCTTCTAGCTTTTTTGAAATACACAATATGTAATTGTAAATTATAGTCATCCTACTGTGCATTGGAACGCAGAAGGCTTTTCTCATATCTAACTGTAACATTGTACCTGCTGTCCTACTTCTCCCATCCCCCTTCTCCTTACCCTCCCCTGACTCAGATAACTTGTATTTTACTCTCTACATCTATGAGCTCAACTTTTAAAACTTCCACATAGGAGTGAGATCATGTGGTATTTCTATTTTTGTGCCTGACTTATTCCAGTTAATTTAGTGTTCTCTAGATTCATCTATGTTGTCACAAATGGCAAGATTTCATTGATTTTATGGGTGAACATTATTTCATTGTGTATAACACATTTTCTTTAACCATTCATTTGCTAATTGGACAACAGATATCATTGATGACACTGATACTACTGGATAATATACTATATCACTACCAGTAGAATGACTTGTAGAATTGTGGATAAATTGCTAATTACCCCAAGAATCACATAGTAACAGATTTCTCAAATGAAGTATTATAGGAGGTTCAGATGCTGAATGAAAAAAAAAAAAAAAGACAACTACAGACAAAAATTTTAAATATGTAAAATTTTTCTAGGTACCTTCTGTCTTGCTTCCAATGTAGACTGATTTCTTTGTAGGCTGCCTATTCCCATCCAGGAATATTTTTTATTATATGTAGAGATGATGCCAGCTGTTTCTTTGATGTTATGTTGTACACATTAATGGGTTACTTTTAATGTTTGACTGAGGGACATCTCCAAGTATTTATCATATTATACATGGCTGATACTGGTTTTCTTTGTTTTTCTGTAGGTCAGCTTCCCCCAATATTTTTCTACTTTGGATAGGAGGACTACCTCTCAGCATTTCCTGTAATGGCATGTGAGTAAGAAGCAGATAGACAAGCTAGTTTTCACCGTAGTTTCCGAAAGTAAAAAAATACATTAAAACTAATAAATGGAAAAATTCTGATGGGTTAATACTTCCACCAGGATCCCTAGTTCTCCCATATATATTGTTCAGTTTCTTTGGGGAGCAGTTCTTCAGCTTTGGTCTGGAAGTAACCAGTATCTCTGTCAATGCTGGGCTTGCATATGAAGAGTGAAGACTGCCTAGTTGTGCAGTTGCATAGAAAGCCTTTAACAGTATGAACATTCAATTAATCACTATCATAGTTTAATATTATTGATAATATGATTAATAAAATGATTTATGTTTCATCCAAACTCTCAGACCACGTGATCATTGTTGCTAGGCTCGTAACCTTTTTAGACTTCTTTTTTCCCACTGAAGGGAATTGCTGTCTTATCTACTGTTATCTTGTGCCTTTTTGTGAACTTTGCTATGTTCATTCTGTTTCATCAGTTATTGGAAAATTAGATAGCCACATGCAGAAGAATGAGGCTGGATCCATATCACTTACCATATACAAAAATAAACTCAATATGGAGTAAAGAATTAAATGTAAGATCTGAAGTCATAAAAGTTCTAGAAGAAAACCTAGAAAAAATTCTTCTGGATGTTGCCTAGCCAAAGAATTGATAACTAAGACCCCAAAGTCAGATGCAACAAAACTAAAAATAACGGGAAGTAATTAAACTAACAAGCTTCTGCACATCAAAAGAAATGATCATGAGAATAAATAGACAACCTACGGAATGGGAAAAATATCACAAACTATACATCTGACAAAAGGCAAATATCAACAACGGGTTCAAACAAATCTGCAAGAAAAAACAACTATTCCCATTAAAAAGTGAGCAAATGACATAAAGAGACATTTATCAAAATAAGATTTTGAATTGGTCAAAAATATATGACAAAATGTTCAACATCACTAATCTTAGGGAAATACAAAATAAAACCATAATGAGATACCACCTTTCCCTAGTCAGAATGACTTTCACTGAAAAGTGAAAAAACAGTAAGTATTGGCATGGGTACAGTGAAAAGGGAATGCATACACACTGTTGGTGGAAATGTCATACGCTGTTGTTGGGAATGTAAATTAATACGACCTCTATGAAAAGCAGTATGAAGATTTGTCAAACAACCAATAGAAGATCTACTATTCAATCTAGCAATTCCACTACTGGGTATCTACCCAAAGGAAAAGAAAGTCATTATATAGAAAAGATATCTGCACTCACATGCACAGTTCACAATTGCAAAGATATGGAGTCAACCCTAGTGCCCATCAACCAATGAATGGATAAACAAAATGTGATATATATATACACACACACCCACATACACACACCATGGAATATGACTTAGCCATAAAAAGGAATGAAATAATGTCTTTTGTAGCAACTTGCATGGGATGGGAGGCCATTTTCCTAAGCGAAGTAACTCAGGAAGGGTAAACTAAATATTGCATATTCTCACTCATAAGTGGGAGTTATGCTGTGGTTATGCAAAGGCATACAGAATGTTATAATGGATTTTGGAGACTCAGAAGGGGAGAGAGTGAGGGGGGTGAGGGATGAAAAATCACCTACTAGGTACAGTGTATACTATTCAGGTGACAGGTACACTGAAGGCCCAAACTTCACCACTATACAATTTATCCATGTAACCAAGAACCATTTGTACCCCTAAAGCTATTGAAACTTAAAAAAAAATCATATTCACAGTCCTGATATCTATCTCTGTCCTATTAGTTCTGTTTCTCTGGAGAATACTGACTAATACGGTTAATTTGTCTTCCAAGCTGCCAGTTTTACAACAGGACAATAGCTTACGGACAGGGAGAACACATATCAATCCATAAACTCCTCTAATTCCCAAACTAGAAAGTACCAAGGTGCAGCTGTAGCTCAGCCTCACTTTTTCACACATGCTAAAGAGAAACCTAGAGGCTAAGTGATGTGCTCGTGTGCTTAGTAAGTGGAAGAACGACAACTAGGTCTCAGTTTTCTCATTATCATCCCCATTGTTTTTCTAAGACTTCGATTTTCATTATTTTTCTTCAGAAAAAACAATAGCCAACAACAATAAACCATACACTTTTGCCTCATAAGTCTATTGCTGCACTCTGTATGGATATACCAGCATCTTGCTACTAGCTGCCTGAGGGTAGGTAACTAAATTCAGGCCCAGGTCTCATGTAGTTTGGCCAGGAGTGTGTAAAATGCTAATTTATGTTTACATAAAGTATTTCCGATCTAGTGGTTTTCTGAATAGCACTAGAATCTGTGTCATGTTTACATGTTTTAGACTTTATGAATGTGTTATTTGCAAATGTTTGAGCAATTAAATAATATAATTATAAAATACCTTCTGTCAGGATGCTCAAAGCACTATGTATATATAGTAATTACTACATTATAAAAATGTAATAAGCAATCACCCACTAAGATAAATTTAGAGGGAAAAAAGTTTAGGATAGTGTTACATAAATGTAGAAAGGATTAATTGTAAATTCAAAAAATGACTGCAAACATGATTAAATGCAAAGACAAACACAAATCAAGCTAAGCACATTTGTCTTTGGAAAAGGAATTATAAAAATGTTTGGCAATAAAATGAAACTGCTTATAAGTCATTTCAAAATAATGGTACACCCTGGGTGATTTTATTCGTTCTATAACTTTAAAGCTGTGACCCAGTGCCTTGTATGTGCTTTCTTGTAAAGTTATAACCTAATTATGAAGTGACCAGATATGAAAGAGTTGCTATGAATCTGCTGCAGCCTCCAAGTGTGACGTCTGATGTTTAAAACTCTTCTAATGAAAATTGCACGGAATAACCATCAATAGAAAAAGATTAGATACTATGGTGCAGTAAAGCGAAATAGAAATTGGTTTTACTCCCTGTCAGGTTATGATTGGATTATCATGGACTCAATACTGGAACCAGAGAAAATTATTTCTTTCTTTAAATATACAATTCAGTAACTGAATAGGCAAGGTTATTCCTGTTAGTTAAGGAGTTTTTTTTAAAACCATTGGAAATAATTATATATTGTACCTTTCCTTCTATTCAAAATGCCCTTTTACCTCTATTGTTATTTTATGAAAATACTTTACAGTGCTGCAAGAGAAAAACAAACAAACAAACAAACAAAAAAACAAGTCTCTCAACTCCAGAAACTCTCCAGGATATTGTCTTGTATTTCTATGCAGACGTTTATGTGGGGGGGGGGGGTGGTGGGTGGGGAGGGGGGGGGTGGATGTTTGAGTAATTGATAAAGGAGGGGGTCAATCTAAGATCCGGTTAATGTAGCTAGCTCAGTACTATAACTCCCAGCCTATAAGAAAGCTGTTTTACTTTGGGAGGCCGAGGTGGGCGGATCACAAGGTCAGGAGTTCGTGACCAGCCTGGCCAATATGGTGAAACCTCGTCTTTACTAAAAATACAAAAATTAACCGGATGTGGAGGCACGTGACTGTAGTCCCAGCTACTTGGGAGGCTGAGGCGGAAGAATCGCTTGAACCCAGGAGGCTGAGGTTGCAGTGAGCCGAGATCGCACCACTGCACTTTAGCCTGGGTGACAGAGAAAAATTCCATCTCAAAAAAAAAAAAAAGAAAGAAAGAAAGCTGTTTTATGATTTGTCATATACTCTATCCAATTCATTCTACTTTCTAGCACCCCTTTCCAGAGTGCCAGGTTTAAGTATTCCACCCAGGGATCTCTATAATTTTCTACAGGGAAATCGTTGTCTATGGTATAAAATTACAGCATCACTTAATATTTTCATCTCTACATTTCTCATTACTAAAGTGCAAATATGAGTTTTTAAAAGGTAAGATTCTGACTTTACAAATTCACACTGAAATGTGAATGTTAATCATGACCATATTGGCATGTTTAGGAATATTTGTCTAATAAAAGAATATACTTACATATTCTAGTAAATATACCTTTGGTGATGACATTTCAGACAAGCTGGGTGCAACAGGAGAATTGTATCCCAAGAAGATTCTACCTCTTAATTCCCAGACTATAAGTATGTTATTTTACATGTGTAAAATAACTTTGCAGATGTAATTAAACTTACTAATCAGTTGAATTTAAAACAGAAAGATTGCCCTGGATTATCCAGCAGCAGAGGCCCAGTATAATTTCCAAATACCTTAGACACAGAAGAGTAAGACATAAAGGGAAGTAAGAGAAATTGGAAACACAAGAAGGATTCAATGTTTTTTGTTTGCTTAAATATGAACAGGACAATATAGCAAAAAAAAACAAAAACAAAACAAAAAAACAGGGACCTCAGTCCTACAGTCATAAGAAACCAAATTCTTCCAATAATCACCAACCTTGGGAGAAGCTGATACAGAGCCCTAGAAGAGAAGTGTAGTACTGACCAGTACCTTAATACCCGAATAGCACTGCTCTATTCATTCATTTAAAAATATTACTGATTAAATTATTGCAATTTTAAAAATAAAGCATCTAAGCTCCTGCCCGTAAGAAATTTCTATAGGAGCTGAAGAGATAAAGCGCATGTTGAATTATATGGAATGATTAAAAGACACTTTTTTTCATAAAAGAGGTATGAATAAATTGAGACATCAGAAAAGTGAAATGTCACTCACAGCTGTTGATGAAATGTTGGGAGGTTTCCTGGAGTAACTGGCATCTAGGCTGCTGAGTTGACTCAAACTTCACCATTTTATTTTGACAAGTAACTGAAAGTGTTAATTTCTATATCTTTGGCACAACCAAAACAGGCTATTTACTTGACTATTAAATAGTTACATTTAATGTTTGTCTTTTTTTTGCATGTATTATAGTCTTCTATTTTGGTCCTAAAATAAGATTCTAAAGCTATTGTCCTTACTAATATGTATGTGTGTTCTTAATAATACATAGAATAGTGAAGTTTTGGGAGAAAGTAATAAGGCACATATGGATATATATTGTTAGTCTTGAGTTGACAAAATAAGACATTTCAATACATTAGTATTCTTTATTAATTTGTACTAAAAATATTAATGCCAAAGAGAAAATGGCATTACTAGCTAAGTAATATTAAATTGAAAAAGGAAACTGGTCATGGTATATCTGTAAGTTTTTTTTTAATTGATTAATCTTCTCTTCAAGGTAGATAGTCTAATTCAAGTTATTATTCAGTAACTGGATACAGTAGTAATGAATTCAGAATGTGCATAGAAGACACATTAGCCAATTCTTGACTTCTATCCGTTTTTCTTTTTTAATAGAACAAATTTCCCATAGCACCTCAGGTGCGAAGAGAAGCAGAGGCAGGTGAATTTCCTTGATAGCCCATGCCTATATCTTTAACTCCCATTTTACTTGTGGAGCACAGTCAGTGTAGATACTATTGTTCATGTTTTCTGGATTTATCTCTAACATGTTTTCATGTGCGTAATTTCATACTTGTGTCTCTTGTTGTCCAATATTATCTTGGCCAATAGGTTTATTCACTTCTGAAGTATACAATGAAATATATAAATGTTGAGCCTTTGTTTTTGCCAGCTCATTATTATTAATCTGTTTATTTTCCAGCATCTTTTTATGCTTTTTTGCAACTTCGTTACTTTTCTATTTAGCTGTAAAGACTTAACAAAATCAGAAGGCTGATGTTTGCAGAACACAGGGTTTTCATACTACAAGTCTTCCTGGCAGCATATTTTCAAATTTTATGCCTCATCTGCCAAAATCTCTCTCAGCATAAACCCCTACTGGGCAGCTGTATAAATCATGTGTTCCTGTGACCAGGTGTGCCAAGGATGACTGTGGAGATACCCCTGTTAAGTAATCCTCCCACTAGAAGAGATACTGATAACATTGATTTTCAGATGTTGACAGGCTGTCTGACTTAGGAGTCAGTCAGTTCAAGACTGTTCCAGAATATTTTCATTTAAAGCATGATGGCTAACAGTGAGCTATCAGCTTGGGAACAGTGGGAGCACCTTTTCTGTGCTAAAAATTACTGGGAAGCATTGCCCTCTGCAGACTTCAGGAATCTTTAAAACGTGGGCTGCTCCTACCCTGCTAATATTTTCGTTTCCCTTCTGCTCTTGCCAAAAGAAGCCAAACCATAGTTTCTGTCTAACAAGCATCAATTACTCCATGCAATCAAAAGAAGATATTGATTGATTGCGGAGCTGCCTTGAAGCCGTCAGTCATGCAAATTATTATCATTATTAATATCGTTTTGGTTTAGTTTTACAAAATGATGCTTGAGAAGTGGTTACTTTAAGTGTGCCTGTGATGGCCACATTGAAGAGAAGTAAGACCTCCTTGAGTTGAGAAGAAATAGCTGGCTTTTGTTATGAAAGAGCAATTTATGCTAGCTCTTCTTTCACTTAAAATCTAATATGAAAAGCGGTGTTATAGGTATATTTTAAATCGCTGTCATAGAAAAGTACATATTATTCCAGCAGTTTGATTTTTAGACATATATTACATACTTGCCCTTCAAAAGAGTGGAGAAGTAATAAATGTCTTTTGTTTTGTTTTCTGGGTATTTTTAGCCAATGTATTAGCACCTTTGTTCATGTCTTTTATGTAATGTTGTTTACTCTGAAGTCCTCAGAAGTTAAAGAGAAATAATGTTTTCAGTAGCAGCTAATCATCTGTCCAAAAATAGCAGAATACCACCAGCAAAATATGAAGTATTCAGTGAATAGGAGAAGAAATGTCAAACATTAGGTTTTTATCAGTAATGCAAGCTAGGAAATAGATTAATAAGTTAAAATTTGCGATTGCTTGGATTCTGATTTTATTTCAGAAGTCACTGAATTTCTGTGTGAATTTTAGCTACTCTTATCAACTATTAAACAGAAATAATACCATCTATTTCTAATTCATACCAGAGAAACATTGTTGTGAGGATTAATGCAATAATTTCTATGAAGATACTTTGTATAAATAAAATGTGCTGGGTGAATACAAGGTAGTGCTATTGTTTGTTATTACATAGTGAGAAGGCATTCTGCTTATTTTGTTTTGTTTTTGTTTTCACCTAGTTGTGTTCAATTTTTTAAATGCCCTAGTTCTTGTTTTCTTTAGTGTTAGCTTCTTATGGTCTCCTTAACTCAATGGTAGATTATTTTCCCTTATGTTTATTTCTGTTTTTCTACCTACCATTTCTTGTTGAAATAGGCCTTACTCTATAGTCAAGAAAATGTTGCATCTGTAGGCTTGGAAAAGCCTTTGCAGGCTATTTCAATACAATAAAGAACATATGAAATCTTAATCATGTCCAACAATATAGTATATGAAAACTTGCAATTACACTTGTATTACTGGAAGCTGTTGGTAATTTCAGGAAGCATAATCTCTCATGAATTTTATTATGTGATATAATTCCAGTATAATAGCTAAAGCCTATACTTTTTGTTTCTATTTATCAATCTATATCTTAATCTATTTATAGTCTTCTTCATAATTCATTTTGACAAATAATGAATTTTTTTGTTTTAATAATTGTTCTTATTGTTCATATGCTTAAAACTAAAACTTACAAGCTACTTCCAGAGCTGTAACTAGGATTTTTATATTGTAATTAGTGAACGTTAAACAACTCATTGTTTTCTATATCTGTGTATTTGTTTACTTGTTTTGAGAGTTGGTTAGGGAAAATTACAATTTATTGTGTATATTCTTTCAATGAACAATAAGAGGTAATATTCCATTAATTCTGTTGAAAATACTGTTATTTTTTGTAGCTTTTATATTTGATAAAAATAACTTTATAATCTACACATTAATATTTATATTTATATAAGAATTTATGTTTCAGTAACCGGTAACTTGAGGTTCTTTTTTATTAAAACAGTTGTTTTTAGGCAAAATCTTAAGAAATTCATTGTTATGTGGGCTCTCAATTAGTCTCAGAATAAATTGTTATAATTTTTATAAGCCAGATTTCCCTAATCTTTTCCCAATGCAGTGTCCTTCTTCCGTAGCACTGTAACCACTCATTTGTAAGGGATGTAATTATTGTGGAGGTGCTGATGCTGATGGTGTTTCTTTGAGCAGAGTGGGGAAAGATTAACAGGAGACACTCAGCTACAACATTTGCCCTTTTATTGTGAGAGGTTCCTATGTATCACATTAACTAAAATATATGACAAACATGTAGCTTGCTAAACAATGTGATACATTAACATTTCTGTTATCTAAACTTTATATAAAAGTTAAGGATAATATCCTTTGCCACCATTTTTGTTCACCTGAGCTCTAGCTGACTTTAAATCCTAGACTTGTAGATATGTAATTAGGACTGAAAGAAACAAAGGATTGGTCATTCATATTTGTTCAGTGCTAAAGAGCCTATTCTGAAACTCAACAAAAGCAGTCTGTTTGAGTTTTCTTTCTACACTTGTATACATTAATTTTTATGTGGACATGACATATAAGAAATATCATTATTCCTTATGATAATAAAAATGACAATGAGGACAATTTCTTAGCGCTTGATAAGTGCTAAAATTTGGAAGATACCTTAGAGTTCATCTATTTCAACCTCTTAAACACTGAAAAGTGTTTTTTTCTAATATATCAGATAGCTTTTTCATAAAAGGTACACTTTCATAAACATACGTTCATAAATAGAAAGCTCATTACCTGTGGAGGAAAATATATTTTTAAAATATATTGTTAACTCACCCAGGTCCTTATAATTTCCCATTACTTTAAAACATTCTTTTCAGGAAAATTTTGTAGTTATTATACAAACATAAAAGTGATTTAACTGAAACAAACTTAAACTACCAGGGTTAATATTTGCCTGTCTCTTTCTACATTTTATATTTTACTGTAGGCCCAAAATATAGTCAACAATGATTCTCAGTAATTCTGCAATGATACTGCTTTTATTTCCTTACCTCAGTTATTTAAGTAGTCTTAGTATAAGTCTATAAACTAACATAAAATAAAGGTAGTCTTTTATGATGCTCTTCTCTATGTTGGAATTGTTCATTTTTCATGCTGATTTTGCTCTTTTCAGTGTAATGTTCATTGGAAGAAGATACAGATAATTTTATCGTCTCTGTTCTTATACTGGCAATAAGCTAAGGTATGCCATTTGGTTGTCTTAGCTTGTCAAATACTTGCTGACTTGTTCTGTTAACATAAGAAGTCATTCCAGCTTCTGCCTTTGTGCCTTGGATTATATGATATGGACTTTAGAAGTTTTAGATTCTCCCTAAAATGTGCCTGTATCTGGTACCAGTTGTGTAGAGCTAGCTATTTCTATTTCTCTTTTCTATGACATGAGCTTTTATTTGTCAATAATTTAACCAAGATTTCTACTGTGAACTTCAACCTAAAATAAACTAGTTCACAGTCTGACAAAGTTGGTTAGAGCCACTTAAAATATAGTTCATTGACTTTATGCACAGAAGTTTTTATTGCCAAAGCAGAAATTACATAAGTAGAAAGCAAAATTATGAGACCCCATTACCTGTTACTATTCTAGATGTACCCAGTAATAACATTGTCTTTGACCTATGAGAAATTATTGGTTTTCATTTCAAACCTAAATGCCCTTCATTTTCCCCTCTTTAACAGCTACAGTAATCACAATAGATACCAAATGGTTAAGCCTCAGCCCCACTCATTCCTTTTTGTGGGTGGTGATGTCTCCTTATCTTTATTCTTTATCTATAAGTGACCTTAAGTCTAGCTAATATTCGCTAGTTTCATTTATGAAAATAACCATGGGCTGGGCACCATGGCTCACATCTGTAATCTGAGCACTTTGGGAGGCCGAGGCTGGTGGATCACTTGAGGTCAAGAATTTGAGACCAGCCTGGCCAATATGGTGAAAATCCATCTCTACTAAAAATACAGAAATTGTCTGGGCGTGGTGGTGGGTGCCTGTAATCCCAGCTACTCGGGAGGCTGAGGCACAAGAATCACTTGAACCCAGGAGGTGGAGGTTGCAGTGAGCCATTTATTCATTTAAAAAATTTCTTAACCATGTCTTTTAAAAAAGGACTTTGTTTTTTGTCAAAACTATAAAAACTGCACCTTTCTTTGCTTTTTTTCTTTATCCTGGGAATATTTTTCAGCCTTTTGTGCAGAATTTCTTCTATCTCATTAGGATCTCTGCATACTTTATAATGAATCAGAAGATAGAACGTTGTCTTTTAAACATGTTTACCTCCCATATCAGAGCGACCAGCTTGTATTTATGGCAGACATCATTGATACCCGCCTCAGGCAGGAAAGACTTATGCAGTAGATATCTTGAAGGTCAATGGAATAATAATCTCACTGTTTCCCTATGGGTGACATCACACTACAGTCCTCTGTGGCTTCCCCTGGAGGTCCCAGGAAACATTTTCCCCTAAATCTTGTCATAGCAACAACTTAATCACTTCACCTGCTTATTGGAGGCTTTTTGGCATGCTGCTTTTACTCTACCCTGATCATTTTTCTTTCCCTTTCTACTAACTCTGCTAACCCTTTATGTTTTAGAAGTTTGCAGCCATTTGCCAATGCAGACTAATTATTAATCAGGGTTCTTCAATAGATACCAAAAACAAAGAGCATACAGTCATGTGCTGCATAATTAGCTTTGGTTAATAATGGACTATATATGTGATAGTGCTCTATAAGATTATAACCACTGTATTTTTCTGTACTTTTTCAATGTTTAGATATGTCTAGAAACACAAATACTTGCCATTGTGTTACAATTGTCTACAATATTCAGTACAGTAACATACTGCACAAGTTTGTACCCTAGGAGCAATAGGGTATACCAAATAGTCTAAATGTGTAGTAGGCTATGCCATTTAGGTTTATGTAAGTATGCTCTATGATGTTCACACAATGATGAAATCATTTAATAACACATTTCCCAGAACATACCCCTGTCATTAATAGCACATGACTGTATAGACTAAATTATAATTCTCTTTCTTTGTACAAAAATTTCTGGATTAAGGTCTTGTGTATGTTACTCTAGTCATGCCATTTACTATTTTTTTTAGTCATGCCATGTCAACTTTTATTTTAGATTCAGGGGTAAATGTGCAGGCTTGCTACCTGGGTATACTGCGTAATGCTGAGGTTTGGAGTATAATTGATCCTGTCACCCAGGTACTAAGCATAGTACCTAATACTTAATTTTTCAACCCTTTCCCACCCCGCTCTCCCACTTTCTACCTCTAGTAGTCTCCTGTTTCTATTGTTGCCATCTTTATATCCATGAATACCCAGTGTTTATCTTCAACCTATAATTGAGAACATATGGTACTTGGTTTTCTATTTGTATGTTAATTCACTTAGGATAATGACCTCCAGCTGCATCCATGTTGCTGCAAATGATATGATTTCATTCCTTTTTTATGGCTACATAGAATTTCATGGTGTATATGTACTACATTTTCTTCATTCAATTTACTGTTGATGGACACCTAGGCTGATTCCATGACTTTGCTAATGTGAGTAGTGCTGTCATGAGCATACAAGTGCATGTGTCTTTTTGGCAGAATGATATACTTTCTTTCGGATATACCCAGTAATGGGATTGCTAGGTCAAATGTTGTAATAGGTCTCTTTCACATTATTTGATAAATCTCCAAATGGCTTTCCACAGTGGCTGAACTAATTTACATTCACATCAACTGTGTATAAGCATTCCCTTCTCTCTACAACCTAGCCAGCCTCTATTGTTTTTTGACTTTTTAATAATAACTATTATGACTAGTTTGAGGTTACCTAGCTTTTCTTCTAACATTTATATATTTTTAGCTCTTACATTTAAATCTTTAATCCATCTTGAATTAATTTTTGTATGTGCTGAAATGTAGGGGTCCAATTTTATTCTTCTGTATATAGCTAGCCAGCTATTTCAACATCATTTATTGAATAGAGAGTCCTTTCCCTGTTGCTTACTTTTGTCGACTTTTTTTAAGATCACATGATCATAGGTATATGGCTTTATTTCTGGGTTCTCTATTCTGTTCCATTGGTCTTTGTGACTGTTTTTGATCTCAGTTTGAATGTTATTGCTTTATAGAAATGCTACTAATTTTTGTACATTGATTTTGTCTCCTGTAACTTTACTGAAGTCATTCATCAGTTCCAGGAGCCTTTTAGCAGAGTCTTTAGGGTTTTCAAGTATAGAATCATATCGTCCACAGACAGAGATAGTTTGACTTCTTGTTTTCCTTTCTGGATGCTTTTTATTTCTCTCTCTTGCCTGATTTCTCTAGCTTGCATTCATAGTATTTTGTTGAATAAGGGTGGTTATGGTGGCATCCTTATCTTGTTTTAGTTCTCAAGGAACATGGTTCTAGTTTCTGTCCAGCCAGTATGATATTGGCTGTGGTTTTGTCATAGGTGGTGTGTTTAGAGTTTTTATCATAAAGGGATGTTGGGTTTTACTCAAAGATTTTTCTGCATCTATTGAGATGATCATATGGTTTTTGTTTTTAATTGCATTTATGTTGTGAATCACATTTATTGATTTTAGTATGCGAACCAACCTTGCATCCAAGGAATAAAAACTGCTTAATAATGCTGAGTTAACTTTTGGATGTGCTGCTGGATTTGACTTGCTAGTATTTGTTGAGGATAATTGCATCTATGTTAAAAAGAAATATTGGCCTGTAGTTTTCTTTTTTTCATTGTGTATCTGCCAGGTTTTAATATCAAGGTGATGCTGGCTTCATAGAATGATTAAGGGAAGAGTCCCTCCTGCTCAATTTTTTTGAATAGTTTCAGTAGAACTAGTAGAAGCTCTTTTTGTGTGTCTGGTAGAATTTGGCTATGAATGCATCTGGTCCAGGGCTTTTTTGGTTGGTAGGACTTTTAATACTGGTTGAATTTCGGAACTCAGTATTGGTCTGTTCAGGGTTTCAGTTTCCTTCTGTTTCAGTCATGAGAGGTTTTATGTTTCCAGGAATTTATTCATTTCCTCTAGATTTTCTAGTTTGTGTGCATAGAGGGGTTCATAATATTCTTCAAGGATCTTTTGTATTTCTGTGGGATTGGTTGTACTGTCACCTTTAACATTTCTGATTGTGCTTATTTGGATCTTCTCTCTTTTTTATCTTTGTAAATCTAAATAGTTGTTTGGGGATCTCGTTTATCTTTTAAAATGACCAATTTTTTGCTTCTTTGACTCTCTGTATAGATTTTTGGGTCTCAGTGTTGTTCAGTTCTTCTTTGATACTAGTTATTTCTTTTCTTCTGCTAGTTTTGGAGTTAATTTGTTCTTTAATTTTTAGTCCCTGTAGGTGTAATGATGGATCATTAAGGTGAGATCTTTCTAACTTTTTGAAGTAAGCATTTAGTGCTATAATCTATACTCTTAACACTGCTTTTAGTGCATCCTGGAGATTTTGGTATAGTGTGTCTCTGTTTTCATTTATTACAAATTTTTTTTATTTCTGCCTTAATTTTGTTGTTTTCCCAAAAGTCATTCAGGAGTAAGTTGTTTAATTTTCATACAATTATGTGGTTTTGAAAGATCTTCTTTATGTTCATTTCTATTTTTATTCCACTGTGATCTGAGAGTATGGTTGGGAAGATTTCATTTTTTTTGAATTTATTAAGGCTTCATTTATGGCCAAGCATGTGGTCAACCTTGGAGTATGTTCTATGTGTGAGTGAGAAGAAAGTGGATCCTGTGGTTGATGGGGTGAGTGTTCTGTAGATGGCTAATAAGTCAAATTGTTCAAGTGTCATATTTAGGTCCAGAATTTCTTCATGAGTTTTCCGACTGGATGATCTGTTTAATGCTGTCAGTGGGGTGTTGAAGTCTATTATTGTGTGTCTGTCTAAGTCTTTTCATAGGTCTGGAAGTACTTGTTTTATAAATCTGGGTTCACCAGTGTTTGGTGCATATATATTTAGGATAGTTCAGTCTTCTTGTTGAATTGAAACCTTTGTCATTATATAATGGCCTTTTTTTGTCCTTTTTACTATTGTTGATTTAAAGCCTGTTTTATCTGATATAAGAATACCAACCCCTGCTCTTTTTTTTTCCATTTTCATGGTAGAGCTTTCTCCAGCCCTCTACTTTGAGCCTATAGGTGTTATTACGTGTGAGATGAGTGTCTTGAAGACAGCAGATGGATGAGTCTTATTTTTTTTATCCAACTTGCCACTCTGTGTCTTTTAAGTGGGGCATTTAGACAATTTACATTCAAGATTAATATTGATATGTGAGGTTATGATACTAACATGAAGTTGACAGCTGGTTCTTTCCAGTTTCTGTTTGTGATTGCTTTATGGTGTCTTTGGACTATGTACTTAAGTATGTTTTTGTGGTATAAGGTATCATTGTTTCATTTTCATGTTTAGAACTCCCTTAAAGATCTCTTGTAAGACTGGTCTAGTGGTAATGAATTTCCTTAGTACTTGCTTGCTTGGAAAATATTTCATTTATTTTTTGTTTATGAAGCTTAGTTTGGTGTGCTATGAAATTGTTGGTTGGAATTTCTTTTTTTTTTCATTATTCAGTTTTTGTGGGTACCTAGTAGGTGTGTATTTATGGGGCTTATGAGATGTTTTGATACAGGAATGCAATGCATAATCACATCATGGAAAATAGGTTATCTATCCCCTGAAGCATTTATCCTTTGTGTTACAAATAATCCAACTATACTATTTATTTTAAAATGTAAAATTAGATTATTATTGACTATAGTCATCCTGTTGTGCTATTAAATAGTAGGTCTTATTTATTATTTCTAACTATTTTTTGTACCCATTAGCCAGCTCCACCTTCCCTTGATCTGCCACTACCCTTCCCAGCCTCTAGTAATCATCCTTTTACTCTCTTATCTCCATGGGTTTAATTGTTTTGATTTTTAGATCCTACAAATAAGTGAGAACATGCAATGGATGTCTTTCTATGCCTGGCTTATTTCACTTAACATAATGATCTCCAGTTCCATCCACGTTGTTGCAAATAAGTAAATGTCACTCTTTTTACGGTTGAATAGTTCTCGTTTGTGTTCATGTATCATATTTTCTTTATTCGATCATCTGGTGATGGACATTTAGGTTGTTTCCAAATCTTGGCTATTGTGAACAGTGTTTCAACAAACATGAGAGTGCAGATATCTCTTCAATACACAAATTCTCTTTATTTGGGGTTTATATCCAGCAGTGGAATGCTGGATCATATGGTAGCTGCACTTTTAGTTTTTGGAGAAACCTCCAAACTGTTCTCCATAGTGGTTGTACTAATTGACATTCCCACCAAAAGTGTACGAGGGTTCTCCTTTCTCCACATCCTCACCAGCATTCGTTCTTGCCCGTCTTTGGGCTATAAGCCATTTTAACTGGGATGAGATGATATCTCATTGTAGTTTTGATTTGCATTTCTCTGATAATCAGTGATGTTGAGGGCCTTTTCATATGCTTGTTTGCCATTTGTACGGCTTCTTTTGAGAAATACCTATTCAAATATTTTGCCTATTTTTGATTGGATTATTAGGTTTTTTTCCTATAGAGTTGTTTGAGATCCTTATGTGTCCTAATAATTAATCCTTTGACAGATAGATAGGTTTGAAATATTTTCTGCCATTCTGTGGGTTGTCTCTCCACTTTGTTCATTGTTTCCTTTGCTGTGCAGAAAGTTTTTAACTTAATGTGATTCCATTTGCACATTTTTGCTTTGGCTTTCTTGTTTGTGGGGTATTATTTAAAAATATTTTGCTCAGAGCAATATCTTGGAGAGTTTCTTCAATGTCTTCTTATAGTAAGTACCTTCATAGTTTGAGGTCTTAGTTTTAAGCCTTTAATCCATTTTGATTTGATTTTGATTTGATTTTTGTATATGGCAAGAGATAGGAGTCTAGTTTCATTCTTCTGCATACAGATATCCAGTTTTCCCAGCACCATTTATTGAAGAGTATGTTCTTGGCAACTTTGTTGAAAATGAGTTCACTGTAGGTGTGTGGATTTGTTTCTGGGTTTTCCATTCTGTTCCACTGGGCTTTGTGTTGTGTTTTTATGCCAGTACCATACCGTTTGGGTTACTATAGCTGTGTAATTAATTTGAAGTCAGGTAGTGTGATTCCTCTGATTTTGATATTTTTCCTTAGGATAGCTTTGGCCATTTTGGGTCTTTTGTGGTTCCATATACATTTTAGGATTTTTTTCTATTTTTGTGAAAAATGTCTTTGGAATTTTTATAGGGGTTGCATTGAAACTGTGGGTTGCTTTGGGTAGTATGGACATTTTGACAATATTGATTCATCCAATCCATTAACATGAAATATTTTTCCAATTTTTGGTGTTGTCTTTAATTTCTTTCATCAGTATTTTATGGTTGGAATTTATTGTATCTAAGAATTCTGAAAACAGGCTGTCAATCTCCTCTGGCTTGTAAGGTTTCCACTAAGAAGTCTGCTGTTCCCTTTGTGCATCATCTGACCTTTCTCTCTAGCTACCTAGAATATTTTTTCTTTAGCACTGACCTTGGATAATCTGGTGACTAAATGCTTTGATGATGTTGTGTAATATCTGGCAGAAACTGTCTGCATACTTCAGTCATTTTTTTAAATTCTTCTTGCTTTATTTTTGTCTAACTGAGTTAGCTTGAAAGACTGGACTTCAAGCTCGAAAATTCTTTCTTCTGCCTGGTCTAGTCTATTGACAAAGCATTCAATTGTACTTTTAAATTCTTTAAATGAGTTTTTCAATTCCAGAAGCTCTGAATTCTTTTTAACATGTTTATCTCTTCCTTCGCTTTCTGATGCTTTAGAAGTTTCTCTGCATTGACTCCTTTCAACCTTGTCTTGGACCTTGTTGAGCTTCCTTTCAATTCATGCTTTGAATTCTTTACCTATCATTTCTGCATTTCCATTGTGGTTAGGGACCATTGCTGGAGAAGGAAGGTGATCCTTTGGTGATATCACTACATTCAGATTTTTCATGGTGCCAAAATTCTTGCTCTGTTTCCTTGTCATCTGGAAACACCAGCACTTTTAATTTTTGTAAGTATTTTTGTGCAGGTAGGTAGGAATTTTCCCCTTCCTTTTCCTATATTTTTACTTTGGTATTTTTTTTGGTAAATTTGGTAAATTCGGTAATTTTATTTTGGTACTTTTACTTTCTCTTTCCCTTATACTCCCTTGCTAGGGGTTGAGATCATAAAGAATGGTAGGGCCATTTGGCTTTGCTTCTATAGCTCTATGCACTCTGTCAGCAGGTTGTATTTTGGGCTGTGCAGTTTGACCTACAAACCAGTAAATGGTGCTTATGGGTAAGAGCCAGCTGAGGCCAATGTGACTGGGTATATACTAGATCCTTGATTACCGGAAGAAGCTCTCCGTTGCCTCAGGCAATGAGCTGATTCCTGGAGTGCACAGTGGCCTGAGATCCCTCCTCCCCGCTTAGGGTGGGGGCCAAGATGGGTGGGGCCAGACTGCAAAGGACCATCTACAGATCCTTCAATGGCAAGCACAAGCACCATTACCAAGGGAGAATCCAGTGGCAGCCACCAAGTGCCCACAGGTATGCCTAGGCATAGAGCTGGGAAACCTCATTGGTTCCAAGTTATCTGCGTGGAAATGAGAGTAGCTAACCTCGTAATCCAGGAGAGTATGTGCTCCAGATGCCTGAAGATCTGCCTGGATGTTGAGTGGAGAGGGCCCCCCTGCACCCAGGTCTCTGCATAGTAAGCATGTGGGGAGCTCAAGCTGCTTTCCAGGTGAGTGGATGCTCTAAATGCCTGGATATCTAGGTAGGTGGGGAGCAAAGAGGGGGCCCCCTGCATCAAGATCCCTACACGGGAAGGATGAGGCAACTCAGACTGCTGAACCAGGCAAGTAGGTACCCTGAATGCTTGGAGAGCTGCCTGGGTGCAGAGTGGAGAGAGCCTTGCTGTATCACAGTCTATGCCCAGATGGGTGGGTTGGCTCAGGCTGTTGATCCAGTTAGAGAAGGAATGCTATGAACACCTGAATTTCTGCCTGGAGATTGGAGAGATAGGACCCCAGTGCACCACAATCTCAGGGGAGCAGGCTTGGACACCCGGAAATGGCACACAGAGACAAGTTTCAGGTCACTAAGCTGGTTGCTAGTCTTGGTGCACAGGAGAAACTGCAGCTGTAGCACTTCTCCTCTCATCCCAGGCCTGTGACAGGGGAGAACACAAATCCAGCACCTATTGTTGAGGTGCTTTCCACAATCGTGCACTCCAATCTCTAGCCCAAGACTGAAGTGCCTGCACAGCCACACGACTGGGTGGCCAAAGAATGGCTGAGTTGCATGTACCTGGATTAAAAATACTGACCTGCTCTTGGTCCTGGGTCTGGAAAAACATCTGCAGGTTTTCCTAGTGTCTTTCTTTTACAGCATCTCAAGTCCCTCCCCAGATTAGCTCCACAGTTTGGGTGAAACAAAGTACTCTATCTTGGCTAGAGTTGCTCGGCTCCTCAGTGGAAAGATGAATCACAGAAGGTGGCTCTCCGCCTCCCTCACATATGGGGGCTTCACCCATTTTTATCAGTTAAATGCCATCATGAGGGATGTTTGCCCACATTCTCCTCCCTGGTATCTGGAGTTTCCTTCGTGATTCTGATAGATTAAGATTACCTTCTCCTTTTTGAAGTGAAGCTCACAGACTTGATCTTTATGTAGGGTCTTGCTATTTCTAAGTGGCTGAGGCACGTTAAAAGCCTCTAATCTTCCATCTTGGGAAAAAAAGCCAAACATTTACTGTTTCGAATTTTCAAATTTCTTTTCTGATAAAAAGTGTTAGTGAGACTATACAATTTCTAGGTATGTAGCATAAAGGAAGTGCAAATTTTTGGATCTGTAAATATGTCTATCTGTATATAAAGCTTGATGCAATTTATAAATTTTTCAGTCATAAGAAATTTAATTGGCTTTTTTTTCGATTTTAGGGATAGTAATACTTATGTCATAAGTAATTTAAAAATTAAGCTGGGTAATATTTTTAAAGTGTGTAGGACTGGCTCTGAGCATAAATTTAGAAAATATTAAATAGTATAATTCTCTTAATATCCCTTACGGCTCTGTATATTCCCAGATATTCACTCATTTGCTCATGTATTTGATACGCAACGATCTGCCAACTGCTGTGCCAAGTGTCATCATACAAATGCTTCCCATATGAGGTCTATGTATATTTAAATAAGGTAATTGAATATATTGTGGTAAGTGCTATAACAGAGGCATATAATGATCCATATGGAAGGGTATACATTTTCTACTTAACAACACTGATTGACCATATTATTGGCTTCTAAATAAATATTGCTTGTTAATTCTGATTTCAGGGTAAACATCTTATGCTGAATCTCCACAGCTAAGTAATACTCTTTGCTTCTAACAATTTAGGATACCTTCAGACTTTCTCTTCTATGCAATATATTTTGCTCAGTAATTATGAGCTAATATATCGAGTTTACTGATATGAAGTATATATATTTTAGTTTATATTGTGCAAATAATCATATTTGCCTGAGTGATCTTGATGTAATCATCTATTCTTCAGTTAATGCCATAAATTTGATTAATGCAATTGTTGCTTCAGCATTAATTTTTAGGCCTGACATAAGTTGTTTGCTATCCAGGTAGACCTCACCACCTTTAGCCTAGTTAAAGCTTCCTCTCCTTGTGTGGTTGTGATATAGCCCATCTATTCTTCACCCCATAGACCTAAATCCCAATACATCCCACAGCTTCCAACCATGATAAAACCTAAGGGTCAATACCAGAATCATGTAAATACATTCCCCCTTTTCTGATGTTTTCTTTAAACTAGCCAATCCACAACCCCCAGGGGAAAACCTAAGAGGTAACACCCATGGGCCTTAATGAAGACACAGTTCCACAGGCTCCCTGTCTCCCTGCTCAGCCTGCCCAGAGATACCTCTGGCCTCCTGTTGGCACCATTAACAGCACTGGGATCTGTAAGTGATACATTTCTTCTATTTTATACACATTCATTTCACCTCCTTATGTGTCTCACCTAATTCACACACTTGAATCTAACACTCCCCTGGGTGGAGCTCTCCTAGAAAGTGGCTATCTTGGTTTATGGCCACTCTTCTCTTGACAGAGAGACACTAGCACCAAATTAGAAAGAAACAACAAAACCAAAAATCACAACAGTTAGTGATTAGTTTTCTTTAGATATTGTTTAGAGCTCATCTGAAATGAATAACCTTACCCGAATTACAATCCATGATTTTTTTTTTGCTTTTGTTTTCTCCCTATTTTGTAGTGTAATTCATATTTTTAGTAGTAATCTGGAATTTTAAAAAATGTTCTACCTATGATTTTAGGACATGCCTCTATTTTAACATTTACTTTGAAATTTTTGTCACCTCTAACTGAATGTACCCAAAGCTAACCCTTTATATAATTATCTTAACAAAAATTTCAATTTTTTCTGTGCCATCGCTGTTAAAATAATGTATCATTAGAGTATTCTGCTTTACTTTATAAAAATATATGCACTTCATATTTTGTAGCAGTTTTTACTCACGAGAATATTACAGAGATTTATATATCCTTTTCTCCCACTGATCCACATTTTGCCACTATAAATATCCCACATTGAAAGCACACATTAAAAAAATCTGAGCTACGTAGACTCGCCATATTCACAAATGTCCATAGTTTACTTTAGGCTTCACTCTTGGTGTACATTCTGTGAGTTTTCACAATTGTATAATGACATGTTCTTCCATTATAGTATTATACAGAGTAGTTTATCTGCCCTAAACATCCTGTGTGTTTTATCTATTCATGCCTCCCACCTTACCTCTGGCAACCGCTAATCTTTTTGCTAGTTCCATAGTTTTGCCTTTTCCAGAGTATCATGTTGGAATCATACAGTTATGCAGACTTTTCAGTTTGGCTTCTTGGCTTCTTTCACTAGTAATATGCATTTAAGTTTCCTTCTTGTCTGTTCTTGGCTTGATAGGTTTTTTAAGTGTTGAATATTATTTCACTGCCTAAACATACCATGATCTATCTATTCATTTACCTACTGAGGAACATCTTAGTTGCTCCCAAGTTTTGGCAATTATGATTAAAGCTTCTATAAACATTGGTGTGCAGATTTTTGTGGGAACATACATTTTCAGCTTATTTGGTTAAATATCAAGGAGTGTGTTTACTGGATTGTATGACAAGAGTATATTTAGTTTTATAAGAAGTTGCCAAACTGTCTTCCAAAGTGGCTGCGCCATCATGCATTCCCACCCACAATGTGTGAGTTTCTATTGGTCCACACCCTGGCCAGTGTTGTGTTGTCAGTGGTTTGGAATTTTGATATTCTAATAGACGTGTGGTGGTATCTCATTGCTGATTTAATTTGCAATTCCCTAATGACATATGATTTAAACAACATTTTATGTGTTCGTCTTTCACCTATATATCATCTTTTGTGAGGTGTCTGTTCAGATATTTTGCCATTTTGTAATTGGGCTTTTCATTTTCTTATTATTGAGTTTGAAGGATTCTTTATGCAGTTTTGATGGCAGTCCTTTCTCAAATATATCTTTTGAAAATATTTTCCCCCAGTCGGTGGCTTGTCTTCTCATTCTCTTTTCAGTGCCTTTCTCAGAGCAGAAGTTTTAAATTTTAGCAAAGTTCAACTTATTAGTAATTTCTTTGATGCATCCTTCCTGTGATGTTGTATCTAAAAAGTAATTCCCAAACACAAGGCCATCTACATTTTCTCCTATGATATTTTCTAAATGTTTTCTGTAGTTTACATTAGGTGCCTAATATTTTTAGTTAACTTTTGTGACGGGTGTAAGGTCTGTGTGTGCACTCTCTTTTACAATATTATTTTTGCCCTTGATGTCAGTTTTCCTGCATCATTTGTTGAAAAGACTCTTTTCCTCATTGGTTTGCCTTTACTCCGTTGTCAAAGATCAGTGTTTTACTTTAATCTCTTTCTTTTTATTTATTCTCTATATCCCAAATACTACTATGTACTTTATATATATTTTATAATTTTAACTTAACAAACTTGCTACTGTAGTAGCAGTAACTATCCAAATAGCCAACAGTCTTGCTCTTTGTATTTATTTTATTCCAAATTCATTTAGTTTCATTAGGTTCAAAACAGCAGCTAAGTAGTGAAAGAGGTGAATGGAAAAACCAGCCATGCCTAAAAGGAGAGGAGTCTTATTTTTAAATGAAGAGTCACATATTGGTTACTGTCTTGTAATAACTCTTAGTATTTCTGAATTTAAACTGGATGCTATAATCTAGAATGAATGTAGTGCGTTAGAGAGTGAGGAGTGAACTGAAAACTATGGAGGTTGCTGAGTTTTCATACAGTGGCATGGGAAACCTCTTCCACTAGATGCATTTTAAAGTGGCAGTGAGAAACCAAACAAATTTGCATTTGATATCATCCAAAAGAAAATCATTTTTCAGTGTTACAAAAGAAAACTAAATGTGGTAATTTTGTCACAATTAACTTAAAGCCAGATAAGGTATCAGGAACAGATAATGTGACTGAGGTGGAATGCATGTCCAAGATTGTTAAAAATAAGACATGTAAGTAGTGAAATGTGATGTGGAAAAGGAGTGGTCTGGGAGTCAGTAAACCTAGGATCTAGAACCAATTATCTGTCACTTAGAGTCATCTCTCATTTATGTTATGTTTCCTCAACCATTAAATAGAGAATAAATAAGTAGTAATTTTTTTAGTCTTCTTCAATTCTAAAGTTCAAAGCTGCTAGTACAAGAAAAGTCAAACACAGTTCTGAGTTAATGTGGTTCAACTAGGTGTCTTAAGTGAATAAATTAAACACATGTTTACTTATAATTAAATACATTCTAATAAAATTATGTATAAGAAATGTAAATCTGAAGTGGAAGATAGAAGCAGACTTTTCCCACTGTTTAATTTTTTTTAAGTCAGTAGTAAACACACATGCAAGAGATTGCAATGATTTGAATGTTTTCTTCGTATACAAATTCATTATTTTATATTCTGCCTTTATTTTTTGAACTGTAACTCAATAGCTTAAAATTATAGGATTTTAAAGTGAATAGAGGCTTTTCAAGTTCCATATCATCCCAACCTCAATTTATGAAAGAGTAAACCAAGGTCCAGAAAAAAAAAATGATTTGTACAGGATCACATAGTTAATTTACGGCAAGGCTAGAAGAACATGCTGGATTTCCTGAACTTTGGCCCAGTGACTTTTCCACAATAAGTTTTAAGTTCTCAGTAATTAGTATATTTTTAGTAAACCATTGATAAAATATTTTGTTTTATTTTGTAGAAATAAGTTTTGACACCTATTAATTCATTTTATCCTATTAACATTTTTGCAAAGTTATTAATATTATTATCTTTATTACACACACACTAGAACAGATTAAGTAATATGCCCGAAATCATGTAATTAAAAAAGAATGAAGTGTGAATTTAGCTTCACTTTTGCCTGACTCCAGATTCTAACTTATTTCAAGACATTATGTTAACTTCTTGAAGTTTCCATTGAGCTATCCATTCAAGTTAACATTCCATTTCAGAATGATAACATTCTGAAGGACACCTTAACTTACATCTTTGGTATTGCCTTTATCAAGATGTGGTATAAAGACCATCAAAATTTATGATTCTTTTTTGTACTGCTTCATCATGAGGCTTATGCTAGGCTATATACCACACTAAATGTTTGAGATGCATATAAATGATTGACTAAGCTTTGTATGCTTGATTACTTCAGAAGTTATTCACTCATTTTTTCACATTCTGAACAGATTTTTATTGTATTTGTGTGTGTGCACACGTATCAGAATTGTACTGATTTCCTTTTTACCCTATCAATCAACAATGTCTTAAATGCCAATCCAAAGCCCAATGTATAACTTTTACTGGAATCTTACCATCAACTTTCAGAATCAAAAGTTGTCACTAGAGGTTTCTCAATGCCTGTCTACTGCATTTCTAAATTAACAACAAATGCAGATTTGTCTGTGATGGCTCTTTTACTGCTGCATGCAGCTGGAGAAAAACCAACTGCCAAGGGAACTCAATTTTCTTTATCATCAACTTGACATTTGTTAACAGATGGCTTCTGGATACCATGGTAGTCTTCTTAATTTGTCTCTTTATATAGGCTGCAAACACCCTTGGTTAATTGCCTGATTATTACGTTTAATTCTTTGTCAACAATATACATCCTTGTTTTGGAACATATCCTAGGAGATAAGTTATGAAAGGCAGGGTTTTGAGGGTAGAACTGCTACCAGCCTCTTGAAACATAAAGTGGCACACCTGAGGGTAAGCAAATATGCTAAAATATCCCCTGACTTAAAATCCAGTAGGCTTTCTCTGAAGTACATCATGTATCCAGAATACAGTGGATTAGCCTGAGCTAATGTTATACAAAAGAATAGTAGAAAAAATGTCAGCAAATAGGTGAATAAATAAATAAATAAATAAATAAATGGTTAAAACACTCTAAGGCAAAACATCTTTCCAATTGAACATAAACCTAAAGCTAACAGCAACTGAAGTCTATTTTTTTCTCTTTTTTAATATCTAAGTAAGTAGGATTTAAATATGGCACTTGGGAGAGTGAAAATTTCTCCAGTGTTTCCAAGGGGATGCAAAAATACGCTTAAAATTGATTGACTCTGTCAGCATTCTTTTAAGTGCAAATATACACCTTTCTTTTCTTTGCTTTGGAAATCCAAAGAAATGAACAAACTTAAAATCTGTATAGATCGAGAGCTCTGATTCAATTAGAAAACAAAATACATAGTATTATATATAGTACTGTGCACATATACATACTTTTATATACACAAGATGTAGAATTCAGTGTACAATAAGTGAGTGCATTTATCAATATAAAATCACCTCATGTTGTCAGTCCTAAGAGTAGCATATTGACCACACAAACATATCAATTAAAACCACTATTAATTTTGATTTTTAATCTTAGTTCTTTATTTTCGTTGCTATGGCTGTCTTGAAAAATAATGTGAAATTATAGTCCTATTCTTTCAATAAAATAAATTACTCACGACTGTCCTACATTAAGATTTTTAAATAGATTCAAAAGATGGACTCAGTGGAATCAGAAAACCCTCAGAATAGTACTTTTGCTGTTATTATAGAAGAAGATCTGAGCTAATGTTGCTAGTAATGAATATTCTATTGAAGTTTATGCTGCCACCTATGGGGAATGAAAATTCTTAGTAATTAATCTAAAATGTAGAAATTACTGTTGCCAATTATGAATGAAAATTGAAACATCTAAGTGAATTTTATTACTATTTGACTGTCAAAGGAAAACCTATTTGGAGAAAGCTGTAAGTTCTTGTATTGTTCCTTTTAAAACCCAAATGTGATAGGTGCCCATGGAAATTTATCTACATAATCAAAAAGGGTCATTTCTAAGGGATAACTTAAGTGTCTAAATTGAGTATTTGCAATCAAGTAATTAAAAGTAATATAAACTGAATTAACTGTATTTATTGTGAAAACTTATGTGAGTTGATTTAATATCTCTGTCCATTTTTTCATATTCTTTTCATTTTTGCCTCTTTTAACATGTACTGTCTTGTTCAAACTGGGGAGTAAATGAAACTAGTTTACAAACTAGTTACTGGGTTACAAACCCCCAGTCTATTAATGTAGTAATGTAGTAAAATGAAAGAGAAAAACCTTTGGATTAAGGAAGGTCATTGGTTGAAATTCACACTCTGTAATTTGCTATTTATACCACACAAGAAAGTATAATTGAGTCCGAGTTTTCATCAAAAAGTAGAACTTGTACTACCCATTTTATAGAAATGCTGTAAGAAACATGAGTTTCTTCTAGTGCTGACCAAAATGCCTGACACAAAATGATTATAAAAAAAATTGTATTATTTTCTTCCAAAATACAGTATCTGCTATATCATGAACATCCAGAAAACTGAGTCATAACTCACCTGGTAAGATATAGGGTAAACCAGAGTGTAAGACATCTGGGTGAGTAGGATGAGAAGTAGGAACGATCTTGTTGAACTGTGTCAGTGAGTGCAGCAAACAGACTCAAAGATGGCCCACCCATGGTTCCCATGCACATCTTTGTGTGATCCCCTCCCTTTGAGTGTAAAATGGGAGCTATGACTTTCTTCTAATCAATAGAATAGGATAAAGGTGATGAAACGTGATGTTTGTCGTTATGTTATATAATACACCCTTTCTGGCTTTGGAGAAGTACACAGCCATTTTGGGAGAACCAGAAGGCAAGGAACCAAGGGACACTTACAGGAGCTGAAGGCAACTTCCAACCAACCTCCAGCAAGAAGTCAGGCTTTCAGTCATACAATCACAAGGAAATGAATTGTTCCATCAACCTGAGTGCGTCTAGAAGGTGACTCTTCCCTAGTTGACCCACCAGATGAGAATCCATCTTTGGTCAATACAGTAATTTCATCTTTACAGCAGACCTAGTTAAGATGTACCTGGTTTCCTGACCCACAGACACTGTAAGATGATAAATGTATTCATTTTAACCTTCTAAACTTATGCTACAGATTACCAATAGAAAAGCGAATCTACTGGGTTTTCTTGAATAAGTTAGATTTTTGTTCCTTTATTATTCTGTACACCTTTAAAATTGTAAAAATCTAATTTATGAGTCTGAATTTTTGAAAAAAATAAAATTACAAAACTTTACACAATGTAAATGAAATATTCCTCCTACTCTACAAACCTATATTATGCTCCCTCAGAGCCAATTGCTATGTTCCATATCATGTTTTCACCCCGGGTGAAATGATTTTCCAAACTCATAAGTATACACGAAGATTTAAAAGTGATTTAATTTTATGTCTTTTCTAATATTTATAATATACAAAAGTGAAATAGTGATTAATTGGCCCTTAAGTCTGAAGAGATTTCAGAGCTAATTTAACAAACTGTATTATATTTTGTAACATTAAATCTTACATTTTATGGTCTATCTGTGGAAACTGAAGGAAAAGGAAAGCATGAGCTCAGCCAATGGAAGACTATTTTTAGTAAATCTAGGTAATTTTGCAATATTGCTACTACCTGGCCATGTAGCTTCACACAAACCACTTTCTCTGTTTAGACTCTTAGTTTACACATTGCAGATTTCAAGTTATGTGTTTTTAGGCACCTGTGTGTTATCCTTTGTGTGTGTTTTGCCTTTCACAATGTTGACTAGTAACTTATAAACCTGACTGATCATAAAATCATACTCCAAGTTTGTTATTATTATTATGATTTGTATTATTAATGCAGATAACTGGTCATCATGCCTAGGTATTCTTCTTCAGTGAATTTGGGATATGGTTATGGAATTTATATGTCAAGATATTTTCACAGGTACTTCTCACTACCTTGATTGGAAAACAATTTAGATATATGTATGTATCTAAATTATAAATATAAACATAAAATATCTAAATTATAAAATATATCTTTCAGTGTTATTTTATCAACATACATTAACATACGTATAACACTGTTTGAAGGAGAGTGATCTGAAATTCACCATAAGCAACATGACAAGGACAGTAACCACTGCAGCTATGAGCTATATTAAGAGGCAATTACGAAGGAACACAGTGTAGGAAGTCTTTATTTAATTCTGACCCCCATTTTCCATTTGCCTTGTATTTTATTTGTTCTTGGTCTTGGTATCCTTAACAAAGCACATCTTTTCTTTGTATCATATTCATAAGTCTTGCTGGTTCACTTGAAATGCCTGGTACTGGGAAGATATGAGAGTTCTTTGGAATTGTTTAGAGTATACAGTCTTCCTTCCTTGTCTTTGGCTTCTTTTTCCCTTGGTGGATCAAACCTGGGAGCTGACAGCTTCATCTGGTACCCTAATGCAATCAAGTTCTTTAGCAGTATTTTTTGCTCAAAAGCTGTTTTTTGACTCATACATTGTTAATGTATGTTAATTTTATTTCACAAATACATTCTTCAGGCAAAGTAAGAGTGCCTCCACTTTGTCATTAATATGCATTTTTTTGACTGTACATGACCAAGGAATGAAGGAGGGAATGGGCTATTCCATAGTTACAGAAACCGAAGCAATGATAGGAGCATCTCACTTGGAATGTAAGAGGCTGTACCTGCCTTTCTCTCATCTTCCTGAACCTAATTCCTTTAGTTAGATAGGTGGCTAGATAGCTAGCTAGATAAATATAATGCAAAAACTACAAAATTCTCTTTTAAGTGTAAAACTTTTTGATTTTTTAGTATACTCACAGAGCTGTGTAATTATCACCACTCTAATTTTAGAACATTTTTACAACTCCAAAATGAAACTCCATATCCATTTGTACTGTCTCCAACTCTCTCCCCCAGCCTCTGGCAACCACTAATATATACACTGTCTCTATAGGTTTACTTATTCGGTAAATTCCATATAAATGAAATCACACAGTATGTGGTCGTTCATTAATGCCTTATTTCACTTAAGATGTTTTCAAGGTTTATCCATATCGTAGCATATACTAGCACTTTACTGCTTTTTACGGAAAAATAATACTGCACATCATGGGTATATCACATTTTATTCATCCATTCATTAGTTAATAGGCTTTGGGTTGTTGCCATGTGTTTACCATTATAAATAATGTCATGATGACTAGTCATCTGCAAGGTTTTGTATGGACATACGTCTTTATTTTTCTTGAATACATACCCAGGAATGGAATTGCTTGTATAAATGGTAACTCCATGTCCGACATTTAGGAGAAATGCCAAACTGTTTTCCAAAGTAGCTGTACTATTTTACATTCACAGAAGCAATGTACCAGAATTGTAATTTTTTCACACCCTGTCAAGACTTATTGACTTTTAATATTAACCCTTTTAGTGAGTGAAATTGGTATCACATTGTGGTTTGTATTTGAAATTATCTAATGACTAATGATATTTAAAATCTTTGCACATGGCCATTGATCATTTGTCTCTCTTTTTTGGAACTTATGGTGATATTTTTCTTTTTTGGAAAAACATCTATTGGAAATATTTGTCCTTTTTAAGTTGTATTTATTTTTATTGTTAATTTATAAGAGTTCTTTATATAATCTGGATATGATTCTCTTGTCTTTTCTCATTTTCAGTGGTTCCTTTGAATAAAACAATTTTAATTTTGATGGAATTCAATTTATTTGCCTTTTCTTGCATTACTTGTGCTTTTGATATCATATCTAAAAATTCTTTGGCTAATCTCAAATCATAAAAACTTACAGTTAGGGTTTCTTCTCAGAGGTTTATAGTTTTAGCTCTTTCATTGAGGCCTGTGATCCATTTGGACTTAATATTTCTTATGATATGAGGTAGAGGGTACAGGCTGATTCTTTGGCATGTTTATGTGCAGGTCTCCCAGGACAATTTATTGAAGAGATTATGCTCTCATGATTGAATTGTCTCAGAATCCATGTCGAAAGTCAATTGCTCATAAATTGATATTTATGTTAGCCTTTCTATATTTACCACGTGTATGTTCCTTTCTATATGTACCAAATTTTCTTGATTACTAGCTTTGTAGTAAGTCTTATAATTGAAAAGTGTGTGTCTTCAAACTGATAGATGCAGGCAAGGGTGAGTACCTGGTGAAACCCCACCTTCAAGCCAAAAAGTTTGAAACCCTTGGCCCAACGTGAGAACTTCTATCCCTGTTTGCCTGCTCTCTACCAATTAGTTCTTTCTGAATAATGTCTTTTTATGAATCAAATGTTGCCTTTTCTAAAACTACCTATGGCCTGCCCTGCCCCCCCCATCCTGTGGCTATGAAAGACTGCAGACTCTGTTGCTAGAAGAGAGAAGCAGCTTGAGTGGAGAGAGGTGACTTGACTTCACAGGTATGGCTTGACTTTAGAGGAGAGAGGGCTTAACTTCGGAGAAGAGCTGCCTGGAGAGAGCCGAACTGCAGGAAAGATTACCTGCCCATCCCATCTCCTCTCCAGCTCCTCTCTTCCCTGAAAGCCATTCCCACCACTAAATAAATCATCCTCCTCCACCATCTTTCAAGTGTCCACACAACCTCATTCCTTTTGGATGCTGGACAAGAGCTCAGGACCTACCAAGTGCAGGTACTCAAAAAAGTCTGCTGTCACATTAGCCCTTTATCCTTGCTGGTAGAGGGCAGCTGCCCCATGTGATGAGGCAAGGGGCCCACTAAGCTGATAACACACTACGGTCCATGGACAGTGGAGATAAGAGAGCATTGTAACACAACTTCTGAGGCTGCAGGGGTCATAGGCACCCCCACCTGGGTGCCGCCACAGGGCCCACATGGAGCCTGCTCCTGCAGGCACCCAAAGCAGCCAGCCAGATCCCGCACTCGCTCGCTGAAGCGCTCCCTCCTGCAAGAGGTTGAGTGCTGCAGGTTGAGTAAACCGAGGACCCCATTGAAAGACGGATGAAAAGATTGAGAAAAAATCCTGCATCAAAACTTTGTTCTTCTTTATCAAGGTGGTTTTGGCTATACTGGGAACACTTGAATCACCATAAAAATTTTAGGTTAAGTTTTTCAATTTCAATTAAAAATGCAACTGAGATTTTGAAAAGGATAGCTTTGAATGTATAGATTAAGTTGGGAAGAATTGGCCTTATTTATCAATATTGAATTGTTCAATCCATGAAGATGGATTGTAGTTTTTATTTAGATATTCTTGACTTCTTTCTTCAGCATCTTATAGATTTTTTTTGCCTAGAGATACTGTGCATATTTTGTTAGATGTGAAAGCAATAGAGTTTTGTATGTGGACTTTGTATCCTGGGACCTGCCAATACTCAATAATTAGTTCCAAGTTATTTGCACATTTATTTGGAATTTTCTGCAAAGAAAATCATATCAACTGCAAATAAAGACTTTTATTTTTTGCTTTTCAATATGCATATTGTTCATTTCTTTTTATTGTCTATTACCCTAGTTAGGATTTCCAGTACAATATTGAATAGGAATGGTGAAAGAAGAGACCATTATATTGTTGTCAGCTTAGGTGGACACTGTTCAGTTTTATATTAAGTATGATATTAACTGTAGGTTTGCTGTTGATGTTATAATTAACTTAATATGCTGCTAAATTTGGTTTGCTAGTATTTTATTGACAATTTTTGAATCTATGCTCACAGGAGAATTGGTGTGTAGCTTTCTTTTCTGTGATGTCTTTGTCTGGTTTTGTTATTAGGATAACATTAGCCTAAGAGAATGACTTGAGACGTGTTCCTAGTGCTTCTACTATTTGAAAAAAACTATGAGAAAAGTTGATAATAATTCTGCTTTAAATGTTTAGTAGGAGTCACCAATGAAGACATCTTGGACTAGGGTTTCTCTCTGGAAAGTTTTTAAATTACAGATTTAACTTCTCGTAGTTTTATTCAGATTTTGTTTTTCTTCTTGAGAGTGTTTCCGTTGTTCATTCCTTCCTAGGAAACTTTCTATTTGACTTTGTTGGCATATAATTGAACATGGTATTCTTATAATTATTTCCTATTTCTATAAAGTCAGTAATAGTGGCTTCTCCTTAATTCCTGATTTCAGTAATTTGATTATTTTCTATTTTTTTCTTGGCAAATCTAATAAAAAATTAGTAAACCAACCTTTGATTCTGCAGATTCCTTTTTTCTATTAATTATTTAATTCACATCTATCATAATCTTTATTATTATCTTCTTTGTCCTTGCTTTGGGTTCACTTTACTCTTTTTTTTCTCATTTCTTAATGTGGAAAGTTAAATTAATTTGATATCTTTCTTTTAATTTAGATGCATGCATAAATATAAATTTTTCTCTAAGCACTATTTTTACTGAATTTCTTAAGTTCTGGGATGTTGTTTATTCATCTTCATACATCTCCAACTATTTTGTAATCTCCCTTTTGTTTAACCTATTGGGAATTTGAGTGCATTGTTTAATCTCCAAATATTGTTTAAATTATCAAATTTGTTTCTTATTCCAATTTGTTGTGGGAATAGAACGCACTTTTTATGATTTCTCCTATGTTAATTTGTATGATTTCAATTATTTTAAATTTATTAAGATTTGTTTTATGGCCTGATATATGTTTTTTCTTAAAGAATGTTCTTGGTGTACTTCAGAAGAATGTGTTGTTCTCTGTTGTTAGGTGGAGGGTTTTAAAGATGTTTGTTGGGTATTCTTGGTTTATAGTGCTGTTGAGTCTTCTATTTCCTTGTCAATCTTCTGCCTAATAGTCCTATTCATTATTTCAAATGATGTATTGTAGCTTCCAACTATTATTGTAGAATTGTTTATTAACTTCTTCACTTATGTTAGTTTTTGATTTCTGTATTTTGGGGGATCCATTGCTAAGTCTATATATGCTACTTCTTAGTCCATTTATGCTTCCATAGCAAAATATCTAAAACTGAGTAATTTATAGAGAACATGGATTTATTTCTTACAATTGTGGAGGCTATGAAGTCCAGGATCAAGGTGCCAACATTGCTGCCTGATGAGAGCTGCTCTCTGCTTCCAAAATGGTACATTGTTGCTACGTCCTCACATGGCTGAGGAAGAAAGGCAAAAGAGCATCCCTGAACATTGAGCTATTTTATAAAGGTAACCTCATCCATGATGTTGGAGTCCCTATGATTTATTCACCTCCAAAAGGCCACATCTCTTAATACTGTTACATTGAGGTCTAAGTTTCAACATAAATTTTGAAGGGGACACGATTATTTAAACCATAGCAGCTTATAATTGTTATGTCTTCCCAATGAATTATTCATTTTTTATTATAAAATGTTATTCTAGTAAAAGTTTTGTCTCAAAGTCTATTGAACCTTGTATTAGTCCATTTGCACATTGATGATGAAGACATACTCAAGACTAGGCAATTTACAAAAGGAAGAGGTTTATTGGACTGACAGTTCCACATGGCTGGGGAGGCCTCACAATCATGGTGGAAGGTGAATGACAAGGAGCAGCAAGTCACGTATTACATGGATGGTGACAGTCAAAGAAAGAGCTTGTGCAGGGAAACTCCCCACCCCCCCTTTTTTTTTTTTTTTTGAGACGGAGTCACGCTCTGTCGCCCAGGCTGGAGTGCAATGGCACAGTGGCGCATGATCTCAGCTCACTGCAAGCTCTGCCTCCCGGATTCACGCCCTTCTCCTGCCTCAGCCTCCCAAGTAGCTAGGACTACAGGCACCCACCACCACGCCCGGCTAATTTTTGTATTTTTAGTAGGGACGGGGTTTCACTGTGTTAGCCAGGATGGTCTTCATCTCCTGACTTCATGATTCACATGCCTTGGCCTCCCAAAGTGCTGGGATTACAGGCGTGAGCCACTGTGCCCGGCCAGGAAACTCCGATTTTTAAAAGCATCAAATCTCTTGAGATTCATTCACTATCATGAGAACAACACAGAAAAAACCCACTCCTCCATAATTCAATAACCTCCCACCTGGTTTCTCCCACAACATATGGGAATTGTGGGAGTTAAAATTAAAGATGAGATTTGGGTGGGGACAGAGCCAACCCATATCATTCCTCCCCTGACCCCTCCCAAATCTCATGCCCTCACATTTCAAAACCAATCATGCCTTCCCAGCAGTCCCCCGAAGACTTAACTCATTTCAGCGTTAACTCAAAAGTCCACAGTCCAACCTCTCATCTGAGACAAGGCAAGTCCTTTCTACCTATGAGCCTGTAAAATCAAAAGGAAGTTATTTACTTCCTACTTACAATGGGGATACACTCATTTCAAATGGGAGAAATTGGCCAAAACACAGGGACTACATGCCCCAGGTAAGTCTGAAATCCAGCAGAGCAGTCAAATATTAAAGCCCCAAGATGATCTCCTTTGACTCCATATCTTGCATCTGGGTCATGCTGATGCAAGAGGTGGATTCCCATGGTCTTGGGCAGCACCACCCCTGTGGCTTTGCAGGGTACAGCCTCTCTCCCAGCTGCCTTTACAGGCTGGTGTTCAGTGTCGGCAGTTTTTCCAGGCAAACAGTGCAAGCTGTCAGTGGATCTACCAATCTGGGGTCTGGAGGATGATGGCTGTCTTCTCACAGCTCCACTAGGTGTGCTCCAGTAAGGATTCTGTATGGGGGCTCTAAGCCCACATTTCCCTCTGCCCTGCCATAGCAGAGGTTCTCCACGAGGGCCTCGCCCCTGCAGCAAACATCTGCCTGGATATCTAGGCATTTCCATACATCCTCTGAAATCTACAGGGAGGTTCCCAAACCTAAATTCTTGACTTCTGTGCACCCACAGTCTCAACACCACATGGAAACTACCAAGGCTTAAATAGATGCAATAAAAAATGATAAAAGGGATATCACCACTGATCCCACAGAAATACAAACTACCATCACAGAATACTACAAACACCTCTATGCAAATAAACTAGAAAATCTAGAAGAAATGGATAAATTCCTCGACACATACACTCTCCCAAGACTAAACCAGGAAGAAGTTGAATCTCTGAATAGACCAATAACAGGAGCTGAAATTGTGGCAATAATCAATAGCTTACCAACCAAAAAGAGTCCAGGACCAGATGGATTCACAGCCGAATTCTACCAGAGGTACAAGGAGGAACTGGTACCATTCCTTCTGAAACTATTCCAATCAATAGAAAAAGAGGGAATCCTCCCTAACTCATTTTATGAGGCCAGCATCATCCTGATACCAAAGCCGGGCAGAGAAACAACCAGAAAAGAGAATTTTAGACCAATATCCTTGATGAACATTGATGCAAAAATCCTCAATAAAATACTGGCAAACGGAATCCAGCAGCACATCAAAAAGCTTATCCACCATGATCAAGTGGGCTTCATCCCTGGGATGCAAGGCTGGTTCAATATATGCAAATCAATAAATGTAATCCAGCATATAAACAGAACCAAAGACAAAAACCACATGATTATCTCAATAGATGAAGAAAAGGCCTTTGACAAAATTCAACAACCCTTCATGCTAAAAACTCTCAATAAATTAGGTATTGATGGGACGTATTTCAAAATAATAAGAGCTATCTATGACAAACCCTCAGCCAATATCATACTGAATGGGCAAAAACTGGAAGCATTCCCTTTGAAAACTGGCACAAGACAGGGATGCCCTCTCTCACCACTCCTATTCAACATAGTGTTGGAAGTTCTGGCCAGGGCAATTAGGCAGGAGAAGGAAATAAAGGGTATTCAATTAGGAAAAGAGGAAGTCAAATTGTCCCTGTTTGCAGACGACATGATTGTATATCTAGAAAACCCCATTGTCTCAGCCCAAAATCTCCTTAAGCTGATAAGCAAGTTCAGCAAAGTCTCAGGATAGAAAATCAATGTACAAAAATCACAAGCATTCTTATACACCAACAACAGACAAACAGAGAGCCAAATCATGAGTGAACTCCCATTCACAATTGCTTCAAAGAGAATAAAATACCTAGGAATCCAACTTACAAGGGACGTGAAGGACCTCTTCAAGGAGAACTACAAACCACTGCTCAATGAAATAAAAGAGGATACAAACAAATGGAAGAACATTCCATGCTTATGGGTAGGAAGAAGCAATATCATGAAAATGGTCATACTGCCCAAGGTAATTTATAGATTCAATGCCATCCCCATCAAGCTACCAATGACTTTCTTCACAGAATTGGAAAAAACTACTTTAAAGTTCATATGGAACCAAAAAAGAGCCCGCATTGCCAAGTCAGTCCTAAGCCAAAAGAACAAAGCTGGAGGCACCACGCTACCTGACTTCAAACTATACTACAAGGCTACAGTAACCAAAACAGCATGGTACTGGTACCAAAACAGAGATATACATCAATGGAACAGAACAGAGCCCTCAGAAATAATGCCGCATATCTACAACTATCTGATCTTTGACAAACCTGAGAAAAACGAAAAACGAGCAATGGGGAAAGAATTCCCTATTTAATAAATGGTGCTGGGAAAACTGGCTAGTGATATGTAGAAAACTGAAAGTGGATCCCTTCCTTACACCTTATACAAAAATTAATTCAAGATGGATTAAAGACTTAAACATTAGACCTAAAACCCTAAAAACCCTAGAAGAAATCCTAGGCATTACCATTCAGGACATAGGCATAGGCAAGGACTTCATGTCTTAAACACCAAAAGCAATGGCAACAATAGCCAAAATTGACAAATGGGATCTAATTAAACTAAAGAGCTTCTGCACAGCAAAAGAAACTACCATCAGAGTGAACAGGCAACCCACAAAATGGGAGAAAATTTTTGCAACCTACTCATCTGACAAAAGGCTAATATCCAGAATCTACAATGAACTCAAACAAATTTACAAGAAAAAAACAAACAACCCCATCAAAAAGTGGGTGAAGGGCATGAACAGACACTTCTCAAAAGAAGATATTTATGCAGCCAAAAAACACATGAAAAAATGCTCATCATCACTGGCCATCAGAGAAATGCAAATCAAAACCACAATGAGATACCATCTCACACCAGTTAGAATGGCAATCATTAAAAAGTCAGGAAACAACAGGTGCTGGAGAGGATGTGGAGAAATAGGAACACTTTTACACTGTTGGTGGGACTGTAAACTAGTTCAACCATTGTGGAAGTCAGTGTGGCGATTCCTCAGGGATCTAGAACTAGAAATACCATTTGACCCAGATATCCCATTTCTGGGTATATACCCAAAGAACTCTAAATCATGCTGCTATAAAGACACATGCACACGTATGTTTATTGTGGCACTATTCACAATAGCAAAGACTTGGAACCAATCCAAATGCCCAACAATGATAGACTGGATTAAGAAAATGTGGCACATATACACCATGGAATATTATACAGCCATAAAAAATGATGAGTTCATGTCCTTTGTAGGGACATGGATGAGATTGGAAATCACCATTCTCAGTAAACTATCGCAAGGACAAAAAACCAAACACCACATGTTCTCACTCATAGATGGGAATTGAACAATGAGAATGTATGGACACAGGAAGGGGAACATCACACTCTGGGGACTGTTGTGGGGTGAGGGGAAGGGGGAGGGATAGCATTAGGAGATATACCTAATGCTAAATGACGAGTTAATGGGTGCAGCACACCAGCATGGCACATGTATACATATGTAACTAACCTGCACATTGTGCACATGTACCCTAAAACTTAAAGTATAATAATAATTAAAAAAAAAAAAAAGAAACTACCAAGGCTTGGGGCTTGCATCCTCTGAAGCCAAAGCTTGATCTTTACCTTGGCACCTTTTAGTCATGGCTGGAGGAGCTAGGATGCAGGGTACCAAGTCCCTAGAATGCAGACAGCACAGAGACCCTGGGCCTGGCCCACAAAACCATGTTTACCTCCTAGGCCTCTGTGTGTGTGAGGGGAGGGGGTCCATGAAGATCTCTGACATGCCCTTTAGACATTTTCCCTATTGTTTTGGGGAACAAAATTTGCTCCTCATTAATTATGCAAATTTCTGCAGCCAGCTTGAATTTTTCCTCAGAAAATGGGATTTTCTTTTCTATCCCATTGTCAGGCTGCAAATTTTCTGAATTTTTATGCTCTGCTTCTCTTATAAAACTGAATCCCTTTAACAGGACCCAAGTCACCTCTCAAATGCTTTGCTGCTTAGAAATTTCTATCAGATACCCAGAATCATCTCTCTCGAGTTCGAAGTTCCACAAATCTCTAGGATGGGACAAAATGCTGCCAGTCTCTTTGCTGAAACATAACAAAAGTCATCTTTGCTCCAATCCCCAACAAGTTCCTCATCTTTCATCTGAGACCACTTCAGCCTAGACCTTATTGTTCATATCACTATCAGCATTTTTGTTAAAGCCATTCAACAGGTCTCTAGGAAGTTCCAAACTTTCCACCATTTTCCTGTCTTCTTCTGAGCCCTCCAAACTATTCCAACCTCTGCTTGTTACCCAGTTCCAAACTCGCTTCTTCGTTTTTTGGCATCTTTTCAGCAATGCCCCACTCTACTGGTACCAATTTACTATATTAGCCCCTTTTCACGTTGCTGATAAACACATACCCACGATGGGGCAATTTACAAAAGAAAGAGGTTTATTGGGCTTACCATTCCATGTGGCGTGGGAGGTCTCACAATCATGGTGGAAGGTGAAAGGCAAGGAGGAGCAAGTCACATTTTAAGTGGATGGCGACAGGCAAAGAGAGAGCTTGTGTAGGGAAACTCCTATTTTTCAAACCATCAGATCTCATGAGACTCATTTACTAACAGGAGAACAGCGCAGAAAAGACTCACCCCCATGATTCAATGACTTCCCACAGGGATCCTCCCATGACGTGGGAATTGTGGTAGTTACAATTCAAGGTGAGATTTGGGTGGGGACGCAGCCAAATCATATTAAACCTGATATTAATATAACCATTCAGCTCTCTTTTGGTTAATGTTTGCATTGTGTATAGGTTTTCATGCTTTTTCTTTCAGTCTCTTTTTATGTTTGATTATAAAGCATGTCTCTTGTAGATAGGAATTGGTACTTTATTTTTTCAAATTTATTCTGTCAATTTCTGCCTGTGATGGAAGTGCCTAATCCACTTATGCTTAATATTAATTCCCTTGTTGTTTATTTTATTGTACTTTGGTTTATTTTTTAATTGTTGCCCTGGGGATTATAAGCAGCATATTAACTTTCATCAGTTATGTTTGATTAATGTCAAGTTAGTTTTAATAAAATACAAAAACTGTGGATCTAAATGCTGGATATAGAATTCTTATTTGTTCATTTAAAAAATTTTAAAAAATGTTTGTGGGTATATAGTAGGCATATGTATTTATGGGGTACATGTGATGTTTTGATACAGGCATGCAATGTCAAATAAGCACATTATGAAGAATGGGGCATCCGTCCCCTCAAGTATTTATCCTTTGAGATACAAACAATTCAATTATTGACTGTTAGTTGAGAGTCTCTTTTTATCCAGTAATTGAATATATCATCCCATTGCCTACTGACTTCCATTACTACTAATGCAAAGTCAGCCCTTAATCTTATTGATGATCCCTTATGTGTGATATTTTCTTCTTCTTGATTTCTCTCTGCCTTTGACCCTTGTCAATTTGACTATAATGTGTCTGAGTGTGGATGTCTTTGAGTTTATTACTTGGATTCATTGAGCTTCTTAAATGTATAGATTAATGTTCTTTATCAATTTTGGAAAATTTCAGCTATTATTCTGTATAATATTCTTTCTTCCTTTTTCTCTTTTTTCTCCTTGACTACCATTATGCATAGGTTGGTACATTTGATGGTGTCACACAGTTTTCTGACACTTCCTTAATTATATACATTTCTTTTTTCTTCCCATTCCTCAGAAATAATTGAGAAATCTCAGTTGACCTATGTTCAAGTTTGTTGTTTCTTTCTCCTGTCAGCTCAGATCAGCTGTTGAGCACTTCTAGTGAATTTGCATTTAGTAATCTTGCTTTTCAACTAAATAATTTATACTTTGTTCTTTTTATTGTGTCTCTTGATTGGTATTATCTATGTGGTGAGGCATAGTTCTCATACTTTCATTTAATTCTTCAGATATGGCTTCCTTTAGTTTTTATTTTTTGAGTATATTTATAATAGCAGAATTAAATATTTGTTTAATAAGTCCAACATCTGATTTTCCTCAGGGACAGTTTCTATTAACTCCTTTGTTTTTTCTTTCTTGTGTATAGGTAATATTTTTTGTTTCTCTACATTTCTCACATATGTGTGTGTGTGTGTGTAAAAACGAACATTTGCAATAATCTAATGTGAAACTTTGGAAAAGAGATTCCTGTTTCTCTCCAGGTTTTGTTGTTGCTGTTTGTTTGTTTAGTGACTTTCCTGGACTAATTCTTTAAAGTCTATATTTTTTCATTGCATGTGGCCATTGAAGTCTCTGTTCCAGTTAACTTAGTAGTCAACAAAGAGTGTACAGAAACTTTCTTAAATTCCTTAAATCAGTAAATCTCACAACCTTTGTAGAAGGTATCTGTGTGTATATTGGGGGGGGCGGCGACTTTAGCTCTTCAGGAGTTTACAATTATGCCTTATCCTTCATTTCCAATTTGCGCAGATCCTTGAGGTCAACTAGAGGTGACAGAGCAGGGCACTTTCAGGTGTTTCTTGGCATAGAAATAAACACAGCATACTTGGGAGCTTATCAAAATCCCACATGTGTGTCTCATTACACTTATTTTCCTTTTAGGGTTGTTGACTACTCTCTTCTTTGGCCCACCTGGTATGCCTGCCTCAGGCAACTTCAGTGTTAAATAATTTGCGCTGATTGTTTTTCAAAAACACTCTAGAGTAGAGCTGTCTTCACTGAGCAAGCTGCTAGTCAGGTCAAACAATGAAAAGCCTTGCAAGTGACTCCCTGAGATCTTTCAGGCAGGTCAAATAGTGGCAGTTCTTTGGGAAAGGGGCTTTATGTAGGCCGCACATCCACTTTGCTTCAACTGTGGCTGTTGAGCTTCTGGGTTTTGAGGCTTTGCTGGTGATGTCAAGAGGAAAATATGATGGGGTAAGTTAAAACGCCATAAAGTTCACTTTTCTTATTGAGATTTACCATTTTTCTCCCTAAACAAATGTTTTGTGGATTGTTTAGTCTCTTTATTAACTTCCAGAGTTCTGAAAAAGTTGATTTTGACATTTTTCTAGTGCTTTTATTAATTTTCACCAAGAAGTAATTTTTTTCAGAGCTCTTTAGTCTTTCATTCCAGAGGTGCTTTTCTTTTCCTAACTCATTTCTAAGGTAAAAAATAATAAGTCTCTCCTTACATGTAGGAATTTGAAATTATTGATTTCAAATTATTTTCAAATAATTATTTGAAATTATTGACCCCAAATTGTATTAATAGGAAAGAACTTGGTAGATAATTCAGAGTAAGCCTTAATCACAAAACTGAGCAGCAAAGCAAACCTCTTCATTTACTAGGCTAGTCCAGGAACACTACCAGTGCTCTGTGACTCACAACTCCACGGAGCAAAGAATACAATAAACATAACTGAGTATTCAAAGTTTATATATGGTAGTTCTGGTTTTGTTGGTATGATTTTTCAGGCCCATCATTTTACTGCTTAAAATATGCACCTTGCTTATTTAAATGAACTGCATATATCTGTATTCTATTCTCATTACTAATTAGTTAGATTAGTTCTCAGTATGAATAAACCCCTCCATTAGACTGTATTTTCTTCTAGAGTTGGACCCTCAATTTTTTTTTTTTTTTTTTTTTGACGGAGTCTCGCTTTGTCACCCAGGCTGGAGTGCAGTGGCTCAATCTTAGCTCACTGCAAGCTCCGTCTTCCAGGTTCAGGCCATTCTCCTGCCTCAGCCTCCCGAGTAGCTGGGACTACAAGCACCCACCACCATGCCTGGCTAATTTTTTTTGTATTTTTTTAAAAAGATATGGGGTTTCACCGTGTTAACCAGGACGGTCTCCATCTTCTGACCTCGTGATCCGCCTGCCGCGGCCTCCCAAAGTACTGGGATTATGGGCATGAGCCACTGCATCAATGTACTTTATTTTTAATGCTTCATGACGTGTAGAGTGCCTGGTACTTTTTCTTAATTAACCAATTCAGGAAATATACCAAGGACTTAGTACATACTAGTCTCTGTGAATTATTCCAGGGACATAAGATGAAAAGTCTACTTTTGATGACCTCATATCCCTTAGAATTTTAATGAATATTTTTCATTTATGTAATTAGCACATTATATTACTGCATGAGGTATTTCATTTTTCTGCATCCAACTGGCTCCCAGTGGTGGCCAGGGAGACAAAGTGAGAGACCATGACAGAGCATTGAATGTACGGAATCACTGTCTAAGAAAGTATTAGAGTTAATCAAGGTTTGCTTAATGTGTACATTAATGAAAATTTATTCATCGCTCAGAAATCCATAGAAAGACTTGTTCTAGGTATTGAAATTATTACTACGTTAAACTGAAATACATCAGTTAATTGCAGATACATCTGTAATAATAGTTTGACTCTTAAAATAATGAGCATATAAGTATGAATAAACAAAATAACATGGTAAGGAAATTAGATATACATTAATAGTTATTAGATATAAATTAATAAAAATATTTTTGGTGTCCTACACCAAGTTTTGTCATTAAAAATGTCCACCTTACACGTAAATGACTATATTCTGCAATTAAAAGAGACAGAAAACATTACAGCATTTTGTATTGTTATTTTTTCTTTAAGAGCAGAGTCAAGAATATGGTATTAGAGTTAGTATTTCCTAATAATTGTCATATTTCAAATCATATTCCCATGGTATTATCGGGTAGTATAGTTGTGTACATGAAGTGGATGTACAGCATAAGCTGCTATAACAAAATACCGTGGATTGAGTGGCTTAAACAACAGACATTTCTCATAGTTCTGGAGGCTAAGATATTCAGGATCAAGGTGGTAATAAATTTGGTTCTAGGTGATGGCCGTCTTTCTGATTCGCATACATACATGTTACCTTCTCATTTTATCCTCACATTGGGAGAGAGGAAGGGAGCTCTGGCCTCTTTCTCTCCTCATAAAGACTCTAATTTCATTCTGAGGGCTCCATGCTCATGACCTCATCTAAACCTGATTGGCTTCCAAAGACTATGCCTCTATCACATTTCATGTTAGAGTTTCAACATACGGATGTAGGGGGTGGCAAATACAAACGTTCAGTCTATAACAAAGCACAAGGGCAATAAACATCCAGAGGATTTTTCTTGAACATCAATATTTTGTGAGACATTGACAGAAGCAGATAATAATCAGATAGCCAAGTAAATGAAAGGCACCAGCTTGGTCCTTGAATTTAGTGTTCAATGTAATGTTGAGATGGAAAGATGGCAGAATCAATCACAAAACACAGTATCGTAAACCACAATATTAATACTGTGATGCTTAGGATGTGGATATACTAGGACCCATCTTGGAGTTTACCATTATTATGTTGCAGGAATCCCTTCTAACTTTCCCCTTCTCTTTTTTTCCCTCCCTCACATATCTCCTCTTAGAAACAAATTTCTCAGTCTACAGGAGAACATATCTAAAATGAATTAGTAAATACTTTTCAAATATTAAAGAGAAAGTGTTTGTTTGCAGTCTTGTTTTGCATAAGTTTGCTAAAATGTTTTATAACTTTACAGACTGCTTAATTTGACTTTTTATTACTGTAATATTTTCACATTATCTGAATAATGTGATGAAATACAAAACTATATTCATGTATTAAATGTATTTCTCCTTCAGCTTATTATTTAATATATGCTTTATTATAGATTTCTAATCATATTTTCCCTGTATTTACATTTACAAAACTTTAACATAAACAGAGTTTCTATGAGGACATTTGGAATATAGACTCTCAGCAAAATTCCTCCTTCACTAACTCCCTTTTGAGTCAATAGGAAACTACCTAACGAAGGTAAAGCAGTTTAAAACCTCACATTTTGTACATATTAGGATTTTCTGTGAAGTGATACATCTACATTTGATTTTTTATGTAAATGAATATAATCCACGTATTGAAAGTATACCTGTGGGTTTTCATGATGCAAATTCATGTAATATTTGAGATCTTTAAGACCATACTTATTGTTTAACTAATTCTTGGGTACATCTTTTGAAACTATTAGCTGTGAAATTTACAGGTGTTTCTAAACACCGTCTTTCAACACTGAGGAATATCTGAGACATGCTGTGAGAAACTTCATTTCACATGGTTGCTTTGAAATGAACACTACAGGCATTTATTAAATATAAAATATGGAAAGAGAACTTTCAAAAACTATAGTTGAAGGACATAATGGAATTTAGTACACTTAACTGCTCTAGGTGATGAGTGTGAAACTTAATTTGTGCTAATCAGTGTGAGGTGAAGAGAGCACAAATTAATTTGACATGCAGATTTCGTACTTCAGTAATGATGCTGAAAATATTTGGGGCCCAAAGAAAGACAGCATATTCATCTCATTTGTCAGTGGAATATATTATGTCCTGCCTGTAGCAACATTGTACATATCTTCATTGAGGCTGAATGAAGTAAAATCTCTAATCTAGTCCTTTTGATATTTTTGATAATAAACTGATAAGGAAAAAATGATGTCTTGCCTCCCAAAGCTCATCACACCACAGTGTGGGATGGAGGGAATGACACACTGAATCCTGAGAAGCTACAGAAACAGCTGCACCTTGTTGAGCAGTTGTCTTTAAATTAAACAAAACCTTGAGTCTTTTGTCACTACTTCCTGAGTTTTTAGTGAAAGCAAAGATATCCTTGACTTCTATACATCTGATATCTGCAAATATGATGTTTGAGGAAACTTATTTTTCCATAATGAACAGACCATTACGTTAGTAATTGTGTGTGTGTTTATGTTATTAAAAGTTACTGTGTGCTATCTTCAGAGTACCTTACAAAATATTGCAAATATTTTATTAATGCTTCTGTTTTCGCTTTCAAAAATATATTGAGTTAATAAACTGGGGCGAAAACAGAGCTACCTAACATAATGCCTGTTCAGTTAAAAACTATTTACTCTAGTAGTTCTTGAAAATTTGTATTATATTTTTGACAATGTCTCCTTTTGTTCCAGTGTGATGACTTTTTCAGTTAAAGGACAATAAATTAATATTCTGTAAAAAGTGATACTTTGACATTTTAATTTCAGGCAAAGATACACTCAATAATTTACATGACAAAACAGTTCTTAGAAAAATTATGGAAAAATTTGAATTATGTTCCATGTTTGGATGAACCCAACTGTTTTGCTTTAGTATGTATGCCAAGTAAAAGGGATGAAAATAGAGCATCTTATTTGACTTTGCATCTCTTGTGTACATGAGCTATTTCTATGTGTTTCAATGTGCTCTTGTGATTTATTGCCTTTTATTTTTCTCTAAATGTATTAAGTGGAGTTTGAGTGCAGAGTAACCCCAAAACCCAGGAAGGGTGACAAATTGCAAATGAAAATGGCGCAGTAAAATAATGCACCATCAAAATAATGATTGTTTCTCATATCTTTCCCATCAGTATTCAGTCTTCCTTCTTAAGATTAATAAACCTATTTGTTTGCTCCTTATATAAACATGTCTTCTTGTCATTTGACACGTTTTTATGCCTATGGATTTTTTTTTATACGTATGAACTTTTCGCGTAGCTGTGGGGTTTCCAGCGATGAATTAAGGCTATTAAAGGAATGAGTTAATTCCAATGCTCATAGTGGAAAGATTTTTAAATTCCTTTTTATCTTGAATCAGGCTCTGATTCAGTCTGAATGAGCCGTTATGAAGAATTTGCCAATATATGTCCATGCTTTTTTGTCATGAAATTATTGAGATATATACATCACTTTTGATTAGCCAAACTGAAGGAAGAATAGAACTTAAATATGCTTCAGTAGATGCTTTATATCCTTTTGCTTTTTAAAGTCAGGATGCCTTACGAGTAGTTAAAGGGGAAGCTTAAAAGAAAAATTTGAATTGAGGCATCAAAGTTTTATGCTTACACTTTTCCTCTCCAGACTAGCACTTGTTCTCTCAATGCAGCAGCACTTACAGAAGGTAGTTTCAACTGTCAGGACACTGTCTCTTTGCTTATAATGGCTGAGATAATTTTGAAAAAGCCAATGGCACTATACCATGTTCCATAGGTGATGAGGTACATCAGAGCTAAAAGACACAGTTATTTCTTCAAAAGAGTTTTGTGAACTTGTGGTATAAAGATTGACATAGACAGTGTTATGGCTTTACAATGTGAAATTTATATGTACAATGTACAATTAGTTGTGCTTATCAGTTTCATTGCCACAAAAATTTTCTCCTTGATTAAAGATTAAATGATACATTATGAATCTTCAGTAGGTGCAATTATTTGACTTTCAGAGTTAGCAAATTACGAAACTTAAACTTACTTGGGATCTTTAATGTCTTGGTAAAGTAATGTTATTGCATAAAAAGGGGTATAGGTTCTATCACAGTAATTTGGGGAGCATTAAAAAATACCAAACATATAATGAACAGTCATATATTCCAGACACAAGCAGATGTGCATTATTATCTAATTTTGTCCTTGCAAAAATATTACGATAGAAGTGTTATGCCCTTTCTATAAATGAGAAAATGGAGGCTCACAATGATTAAGTTTATTGTGTAGTCTCCTACAGCTAATGTATTGTAGTGACATAGCCAAATTTATTGTTTTAAATTTACTCTAGAGGCCTGATAACCACACACCATATTGTGTCTTCTAAGACTTGATCCAACTCTGCCATTAATGTTTCTTATGTAATTCTCTCAGGTGAAGCCTTCTTATTTTCGTAAAATTTCTCATCTAGTTATCACCTACACAAAGGACCAAACCATCTATGAGATCAGATATTCAAAAATTACGATTAAACAGTCATCATGTGGAAGTAACCATGCAATGTGGTAGGGTGGGAGGGATAGATACATCAATAAATGAGACAAACAAGTTACCAGTCCAAGAAAATGTCAAGTATTAACTCTGTGTAGGAAGCTGATTTTTAATCATAGCCTCCTGTTTTTGTACCTTTTTCACTCCTTTACTGGATCGCTTTGACTGCATCAGGATTTTCATTTCCTTGATATATTCATTTTCACATGATCTAGCCATACAGTCTTTATCTAGTTTCACATTTCTTATCCAGTACAATTTCTATAATTTGACATGTCAACAACTGTCTACTTAACTTCTTCGTTTCTCCTATTCTTTCCTTCTTTTTTTTTTGTTCTTTCCCTACTCATATCTAACCTTGGGCTAAAACAAACGCCTGCTTTCCAGAGAAGTATTATATGATGCTGTTTAAGTTATTAAAATCTATCATCTCTACTCTCATTTGGGCCTTTAGCATTCCTCAGTCATTTTTGTATTTCATATTTGTCTCTGATCAGCTCTTTCTTCCATGTTGCCATATAGCTATTGAAAACATTATTGCTTTTCTCATAATCTCTTCTACTCCTCAAAATAATTAATTATTTCCCTACTTGGCTTTCAGAAAACACAATAAATATAATGTATAAATTTCTCAACAATGTGCTCCAACATCAGTGACATTTTTTATTTTTTTCATTTCCTATTTTCTTCCTGCTCTGCAAATTTTAGAGGAAACACTGTCCTTCTTTCAATCTGCTTATGCTATAACTCTATGATCTTCTTTCTGTCCGTTGGACTTTACCCATCCATTATGTAACTTTTTTCTCCTAAACCAGTACACGAGCTTGTGCCACTCTCAAAAAAATAAATAATAATAATAATAATGAAATCCTCAACAATTATTCCCATCTCATTTTGGTCTTTTTTTCCTTCATTTTTCCCTGAAATTAAATGTAACTGGGAAGGAGTATTGGTTGAGTGACCTTAGTGCCTGAGGCTATGGAGTGCTGCAAGCCAGATGCTTCTGTTGTCACTGCAGGGTGGAGGCTGTTAGGTTAAGCAGAAACTTGTATCTGCTGGCTGGCGCCCACCTCCCCTGGGCAATGCTGGAGAAAAACAGAGCAACGCTTGCTTTTTGGCTGACCTTTTAATAACCACACTCCTTCCTCACAGAACACACCCCTCTATAGTTTCAAACTTCACTACGCTAACTTAGGTAATATTCCTAAATGTCTAGGCTCATGTATTTATAGATCATCGACTTATTTGCGTTGACACATAACTATTCTTCTGTATAAAAACTATTTTCATTCATACTGGTACTGATAGTTCTAGATTATTCATTCGTGTAGCTATCGACTATGAAATTACTTGTACATACAAATATTTATTTACCAAATTTCCTGACAGATGTTTCAGATATTTAAGATCACAATCTCTCTCTCACAAGCTATCCAATTGTGAAGATTCTTATTAATGAACTCTTGTATTAAACATCAACTTTCACTGTAGATTTCTATTTGTAGATACTCTCTTTTCCCTTCAGCTACTCTGAGTCTGCCAGTATAGTAATACTAGCCTAGATATATATTCTGTTTACCTGTGTATGTTTCAAATCTAATATTTTATGTTTTTATTCAATTATGCAAAATTTCCAGTCATTATTTCTATAAATAATTCTTTTTCTCAAATTTTCTTTTCTCCTTAGAACCCTAAAAGCCTTTCTTTAGATCTTCTCATTATTTTCTCGATGTTTTTGATGTCTTTTTAAATTTGTTGATTGATACCTCAATTCTAAATTTTAGAAAATGCTTCAGATTTATTCTAGTTGTTATTTTCAGTTGTATCTATTCTACCGTTACATAGCTTTTCAACTTAGAATGTTTAAAGTAATATCGTTTCATGTCTAGATTTATATTTTGCTTCTCTTGGAAGTTTGAAAATTGAAAGCCTCTATCTTGCTGTCTTCTTTCTGAATGATGAGGATTTTTATTTTAAAAAACATTATATCTAAAAAATTCTGATATACCTTTGATTATATTAGCCCTTTTCATTCTCTCTGCATCATGGATGACAGATGGGATTTCTAGACCTTTTCTCTGTAAATCTTGACTTTTCTTTTTCATTATGTTAATCACTGATTTTTTCCATCTTGTTTTTCAGAAACTGCCATTTGAATTTTCTAAGTTACTAATTCTATTCAGCTGCATCTATAGTTTTTATATTAAAATGACTTTATATTTTTATTTTCAAAGTTCATAATCATTTATTTTGTAGCTACAATTTTATAAATGCAATGTTCTTTTTTAAGCGATTAGTTGTATTATATACAGTTTTTTAAAAATTGTATTATTGTTCTAAAGAGTTTTTCCTCCGTTAGCACTTCTGACTATTGATTTTCATGTAACTCTAATAATAATACTTCTAGAATTTTGGTTGTATAGTCATCTTGTTTTTTAAGCTCTCCACTCTCAGTTCTCTGAAGCCATACTAGTTTCTTGAAACCTGTCTCAAAGGGTCATGGAGAACAGTGAGAGATGCTGCCAGATGCTAGAACTCTGAATCCTGGGCTTAAAACCTCATTGCTCTTCCCAACTCTTGCTAGTAGCCTGTCTCTGGCAGCAATGCTAAAACCATTGCTTCATCCTCAACCTAAGGGTTTCTGTTGCCAGTCCCTAAGAAACATGTTTAAAAGGGGCTGAGCTACCCTGCTCATCTGACATTCTCACCCTCTAGTTTGCTGATATTACTTTGTTTGCTTATTTGTATTTCAGGTTTATTACAGATTTATTATATATATATATATATATATATATATACACACACACACACACACACACACATACACATACACACACACACACACATATAGTTTTGAAGCTACAGACTAAGAGTGGGAGTTACTCATTTGTATTCATTTCGCCATTTTAATCTGCTCTTTGTGTGTTTTCAAGATATTGCTAAGGATACTTAAACAGTCATTTGTTGCTATAACATCATTTATTTTGTTTCTACTAAGACCACTTAAAATGTCTCTTAATTTCTAAAGGTTCTTTAACCCACCTTTCTTTACTTTGAGCCTTATGACTTGTGGATTCTTGTAGCTCAATTATGTTTTAGTTAGTTTGTTTTACTTTTACTTCTAACTCTCTAGTGTCATTTATTTCTTTTTTCCTCAGAAGTTTTTCTCAACATTTTTCTCTATGTTAATAAATAATAAAAGTTCTCTGAATTTAATTCTTCAATTGGTCATCATTATTTTTTTCATGCTCAATAATCACCTTTGATGATCTCCTCCATAGATATGAATTACCACCTTAATGTAGATCTTATTGTCTAGTACAGCTTAAACTCAATATATTACAGTACTCTATATTATTATTCATTAATTCTGAAAATCAATTTAAATATAATTGTATAATTACATAACAACTTTCCAATTCCTAAACTTGTGTTCATATTATAGACACTGAGATTGTGAGAATTTCTCTATATAACAGCATATCCACAAAAAGATAAAAGTATCTGAGGAGTGTTATAACAGTATCTGAGGAGTTTATGAGAACTAAGTTTTGTTTGGGGACGAATACTGACTTACCTACAGACTGGGAAATTGCCAAATATTTCTGTTCTTCAGTTTCCATAATGGAAATGGCTCTTACAATATTTCAGTCAAAAATATCTACAACAACCATGGTTATCAGTAATAAATATCATTTTAAATAGCAAAATCCAGGCCTTATTTTGATCTTACTGAACTTCACTAGAAGGAAACAGTAATTTGAAGACACAGGTGTAATATAGGTAATGCATTGCTACACATATTTGTGTATGACAGATGCCTCCTTGATGGTATTGTTCTCTTATCCAAAACACCATCAAAGGCATTCTTCACAAATGGCCCTGTATTCCTTGTATATAATCCGTGCAACTGAGCAAAATACTTTGGGTAGGATTTTCAGGGACAGAGCATTGGTATTCTTTTTATGAGGGACGCTCTCCTTTCCTTTCTTAGTCTGTGGTTTTCTCTTCTCTCTCATCATAAGCTGTTTGCAATTTCTTTGGGCAGTGAGCCATTCTGATGTGGTGTATAATTTGTTTTGTTCAGTGGTTTCTTATTATGCATAGATGAAGTGCCTTTTTTATCGCTCATTTAAATTATTGTTTTCCTCTGGTGATGGATTTTTGCAGCTTCTGTGTTTACTTTATTACTTGTGACTAAGGCATGCTTTCCTATCGGGAGCCCAGCAGAGGTTTGTGTTTAGTATTACTTCATCATCATTCAGCACTACACTCCCAGCAACATCACTAGGCAAAGAAAGAGACAAGTAGTCTATAAGTTAAATAGCTTCTGCGAAATAACTCCTACTTTCCTTATAGCCTCAGCCTGCATTACAAATGATTTTAGACCTTTACAACCTATATTAACATAGTTAATTTACTTCCTATGTCAAATATTTCATGTGGTTATGCTTTTGCCTTGAACAAAAAGAGGGAAGCAATAAAATGACATGAGCATTTTCTTCCCATTCTTTCTTTCCAATTTCAAATATGGATGTAAAATATTTATGGAATATAAAAATTCATCCCTGAAGACTTAAGTGAGTGAATAAGCTATAGCCAGACCTTGGAAATTTCTGTAAATTGACTGAATCACTTGCGTCACTCACAAAAATAATAACAATATTTTTTTAAAGGCAGAAAGAAAGAGAAAGAAGATTAAAAAAAAATTGCTGGCTTATGTTTTTGTAGTTGTAATTCCTCTCAAATTTCTTCTTAGTTAATTCCAGTGGGCCCAAATTTTATTCTTCACTCACAAAATTAAAGAATTATAAATTAGTTTTAAGTGGTTTTGAATTTCATTCCTGTTCTTCAGATAGAACCACTTGGAAATTCTCATGGAACATAAAGGTATTCTGCTTGCTCAGAAACTCCGAGGGAAAAATGCCACTTCTCTTCTTAGTAACCATTTTACATCTATTACTTCTTACTAACTATATTTTCTAAGGCATAAGTAAAGTCCTGCTAATAATTTAGGTCTATTTATTTTGTTCATTCAAAAGCAAATATAACACAATTCTTTTCAGCAAGTCACATTTGAGTCAGACACTGATCTTGTCAACATAAAATATTTTAACCCTCTAAGAAAGATAAACTGACTAATTGAACAACTGTGGAAAGTAACCCATGGCAAACAATACACACAAAGTCGTCTCCTTGTTAAGAGAAAATATTCAATTTTGTTCAATCAGAGGGGAAAGAACAGATTTTGGAGATGAACTAAAGCTGAAGAAATATCAGTCCTGCAAACTTATATAAAATTCAGGGCATTGGAAGACATTGTTTAAGATTTTACATGCCAGAAGAAAAAACTTGAAGTTTATTCTCGAATTAGAAGACCCAAAGCTTGTTTGAATCCAAGTTCTTGTTAATCTACAGAAATCTAAGTCTCAGTTTCTCATCTATAAAATAATGATAACAACATGTAGATTTCAACATCCGTGTGAGGGTAAAGTGAGATAGAATATACAAAGTGTTCACCATATCTCTCGGCACACATAAAATGCTCAGTAAAGTAAAGCTGATATCAATGATGGTAATTATAATAATGTGTTATGCTGACAATAGAAAGTCATCAAGAAATTTTGAGCAGTGGAGTATGACTATAGCTACATTTCAAAAATTCTAATCCAGGGATAGTGTGTAAATGTAATTAATTAATGGAGACATGAGAAGTAAGATTAGTTTTATGAACAATAATATTTATTTTAAATAAATATAAATAATAAATATTAAAACATGGTTAAAATATTTGTTTAAATAGGCATAAATAATAAATAAATAAATTTTAAAACTACCAACTTAACCAAGGATCTCCACAATGGCGAAGAATGGATGTGGAGAAGATTATGGAGACAATATTAGGTCATAGAAAAAATTTATTATGTAAGCATAGTGATATTTTATATAATTAGTTTTTGATGCAGTTTTTAAAATCCAGTTCTTTTGTTTAATGCTCATTCTAACTCAATATTTGATCGTTCTTGTAAACTCTTGCCATGTTTCTCTTGTATTATGCATTGGAGTATTTAAAACGTTCATCTCAATTTCCATAAGACTTTTCATAGATTGGCAGACGGTAAGTAATAATTGAGTAGCTGAGTTTCACAAAATTTAATTAATTTAGGACACATATTACTATTAAGCAGATGAGAATACATTATAATTTTACTTTGGTTCCATTCTTTCAATAAATAGATATTTCTAGTATCTGCATGGCAAGGAGAATTCATTCTGGAAAATTCTTCTACAAATGAGTATATTAAACTTTGGGGATTTTGGTAAATGTATTTCATAGCAGTTGAGAATTTGTATTCTGGAGTCAAATGGACCTATCTTCAATTTAGAGACTGCCATTTACTGTATATATAACCATGGATCAATTATCTTGTCATCTAAGTCTTAGTTTATTAATCTTTAAATTACAGGAAATGGAAGTACTGAACTTATAGGATTGGTGTGAGCATAAAATAATATACAATTTTATCATATCGCCTGTTAAACAAGTATACAATATTATAATTATCATGAACACTAAGCTTCAAATGATAGCAGCTAATCTTCTTACGTTGTATCTGAATTGCTCATGGTCTTATTTCCCCCTATTTACTTCATTCTTCACCACTAATTTACAAAAGATGAGAAGCAAATTAAGTTTTGTGATGTCAAGATTTTTTTGTAAAAAAACTCAACTAGAAGAGCATATGTTATGTGTTGTCAAGATCCAGGATTGTTGAAGAATTGTTCAGCTATCCAGAGTTCATCAGTCAAATTTCTTCCATATTAGTGGCTAGGGAAGGAGTTAGCTTCCAAGTAATCTTGGATTCAACAGTAAAGAAGTGATATTTTCAGACATGAACTCAGCTAACTTTGAATTCAACTCTTATTCTGTGTCCTGAGGACAAAGTATGAAATCATTGTTATTGTTTTGAAATTTGTTGCTTTTCTTTCTCCTCTGACTGTTCAAGTATCATTACCAGTTTGGTTTCTAGTTAATCTCCTCCCAAGAAATCTTGTGCCAAATGTTGTATGCAAATCATCAGAGAGATATAAGGTGGGAGGGACCTACGAACAGATCTGTACCTAAACAACATCAGGCACATGGTAGCAACTTCATTATGACCTTTGGTGGTCGCATCTTGTAAACTCTTTTACAAGGGTTTCTTTTGTACTCATTTTTCCTTGCCATCTGAAAGTTATGTCTAGCCTTGATCTCTCTAGCTGCTCTTGAAGCTAATTTGATCTTATTATTTCCATTGTAGAGATCAAGAACATCTGGTTATCATACCCTGCTTACTAGCCCTTTACACGTTTGAAGACTATTAATACATTACCACTAGATTTTCTTTAGTACAAGCTGAATTATTTCAAATCCTTCAATCTTACTGTTACTCAAATAAACTATTTAGCAACTTCTTAATTATTTTTGTGCCTCGGGCATAGCCTCTTGTTTATTTCTCCAAACTCATTTAAAGTTAGAAACTTTAAAAATAATGTCTTTTTCTAAACATGATAGTCATCACTGATGAACATGTAGAGAAATTAGCTTATACTCCAGAAAAATTTTAAACTGTGACCTAGAATATGCTGTATCAACTCCAGCATAATTCTTCTCAGTATGTGATTTAAAAAAATTTCCTACTTCTATTATTTCCTCAGTTCCTAATTCCATAAGCTTCAATCTGTACAGAGACTTAATGAATGGCACATTTGAAGAAAAGAACTATTTAGCTGAAAATCTTAAATGTTCATACTAATGTATAAATTTTATAATATGCAATCCTAGACAATGGAATAGAAAAATTATGCACACTCATTAGAGGTTCGGGTTAAAAAAGATACTTGAATTAAATATAAAAGCATTTCTGAGTAAATCTCACTTTGTTTTTCTGCTCACTCCAAGTCTTACCTTTGAGATTGTTCACAGAATCCTGTACTTTATAGAATTTAGAACAGTTTGGAATTTTGTATTTCTTTGTGTAGTTAACATTTAATCTCCCACCAAACTTTAAGTTTCATGAGGGTAAGTAGGGACCTTGTGCATTTTTCTTAGAATTAATATCTGGTATATAGTAGATAATCTAGAAATGTTTATTGTGTAAATGAATAATATGTAATTTGCGATTGAACCTGAATACATGTGCAATTGCTACGTTCCTAAGTCTGAAAGCCCATTTTATTTATTTGATTAAAAATATGATTAAAAGGAAAATACTGCCTAGAGACAGGATATATTAAATCGTTACTGAAATTACATGTATTAACTCAAATTTATTGACCTATTGTCAAGAACAAAACAAAGACTTTAGAATTGGGACATAGCAGAGGTCTGTTTTGATGAATATGTTGTTGGAACAGAGGTTTGGGAAGATGGGAAATCAGTGATCCTTTCCTATGTTAGATTCTGTAGCAGGAAAATATAGATAGCTAGCCAGATACCTCATCTGTGAAATGCCTTCTCTCTTTGGAGTAAATGGATCTGGAGGGTTTTAGAGACGGGGTGAGCACTATAGAGCTGGTGAATACAGGTAAAACTTTGGTATAAAAATATTGTAAGTGTGAATGGCTTTTTGTCAAACAGTCAACACCAAGACTTTAAAAATAATTATTCTATAACAATGTATCTGCTTATAGTAACTTTTCTATGACAAATATCCAAATGAAAAGTTCAAAATCTGTATCAGTAGAGAGTAATTTTCTTCACTTTCTAATCTTTTACAAGAATTCTACACATCTTTTCTTGTTTATGTTTTCTTTCTACAGGCTATATATGCAATTTCCAGCAACGTCCTTATAGTAACAAAAGTATGCTGTAAAAATTTTGTAATATAAGACATATTAATAAAAACAACTAAAGATATGAGACCCTAGATTCCTAATCTTTATGCATTGCAATGAATGGGAATATTCTTAATGTATAAAATATGCATTCTTATTAAAATATGCATGCATACATTTATATGCAAATAGTTTGGTCAAAGCTGTCACTGATGCTTTGTGACCTTGAACACATCTCTGACCTTTCCTGTGTTTTAGTTTTCTAATCAGAAAACTGGTTTTAGAAATATTGTTTTAAAACTTTACAGGTTGGAACATGCATGATCTTTGCTTCTCCCTATCGTTTAACACCTGTGTAAAATGGCATTGTGTTCACTAGCTACTTCCATGGGAATATCTCCACTACTGTGTCTATGTTTCTATTATCAGCACACAAGAATAGGTTCTTACATTATACATGAGACTGCAGCATTGTTGCCGGTCATTCTCCTCCCTCCTTCCATGATTGCCTTTCTCTATTCATATCACTGCTGCCAACTCAGTTTTATGACCCATTACTTCTCTTCCAAATTGCCTTGTTAAGGAACTTGTAATAGTCCATTATTACTATCACATTGCATCTATTGTTTTTTGTATTGAAACTTCTTTTGGAAGCAAATACTGCAAGTTACTTTTGCAATATACACTTTTCCTTTATTCTTTCTTCTGTGATGTATAAGTCTGCCAATGTAGTCAGTTCAAAGTAAAATAAAACAGAACATGATTTCCCAAGTCCCTTGCATGTGAAAGGGGCCATGTGACATGATTTTGGCTAGTGAGAGACAGATGAGTTTATTGCATGGAGCTTTCAGGAAATGTAGGTTTCTTTTTGCCCTTCATCTACTTGGAGCACTTGCGTGCAGGAACTTTGCTGTAACCAACAGTGCTGAAGATGTAAGAAGACTGGCAGAGCAGAAAGACAGAAGGACACAGGAGCTCATGCTGCTTTAAAAAGCTGTCATGGCATCTCTGAGTTGTCTACTTTCAGGATCCTTGATTTGTGAGAAAAACAATGTATTCTTTAGTTAAGCCACTTCAGTTGAGTCTCTGTTACATGCATCTGAACATAATAACAAGCTGATACATGCTCCACTAATTCAGCCTCATTTTCCACTAGCTCCACTTATTCATCTTTCAGTTACAACACTGGAATTCCCTTGTGTCCATTTCTGAGTTTGGGCTTATGTACTTTCACCCCCACTGACCAGTCTGAAGAAAGTTTCTTGCTCTTGACATCAGCCTTTCCGTATGTTAAACATTCTTCCAGCCAAGTCAAGCCTCATCTCTGTGAAGTCTCCTCTTCCAACCAAATAATTTTTGAATTTCTACAGCAAATATCCTTTCTACTACACTGAACTAAACTGTTATTTTCCTGTAACTTTATATGCTTTTGTTAAATTTAATACTCTGATTAGTTTATAAATTCTTTAAAAACCGATATTATTTCTAAATTTATGGGAATATACATTCTTGAAAGTCAGAGGCAACTTTTACATATTGCACCATTCACTGTTTCTTCCTCAAGCACCTCTATTCATCACACGGGTTAAGGTCTGAATGTTGGTGTAGCTCCAAAATCCATATGTTAAAATCTGAATCCCCAAGTTAATAGCATTAGGAGGTGATGCCTTTGGGTGATGATTACGCCATTAGGCTGGGCGTGGTGGCTCACGCCTGTAATCACAGCACTTTGGGAGGCTAAGGCAGGCGGATCACCTGAGGTCGGGAGTTTGAGACCAGCCTGACCGACAGGGAGAAACCCTGTCTCTACTAAAAATACAAAATTAGCCAGGCGTGGTGGCACATGCCTGTAATCCCAGCTTCCCGGGAGGCGGAGGTGGCGCTGAGCTGAGATTGCACCATTGCACTCCAGCCTTAGCAACAAGAGTGAAACTCCATTTCAAACAAACAAACAAACAAACAAAAAACACCCTTAAGGTGGAACTCTTATGGTAGGGATAGTAACATTATAAAGGAGCCTCCAGAGAGCTAGCTGGTCCCTTCCATCACGTGAAGACAGCAAGAAGATGCCATCCTTGAACCAGGAAGTAAGTCGTCCCCAGACACCTAATCTGCCAGCACCTTGATCTTGGACTTCCCAAGCCCAGAACTATGAGAAATAAGTTTCTCTTGCTTATAATCCACAAAATTTATGGAATGTTGTTATAGGAGGCTGAAAGGACTAGGACAACAAGTTCTCAAAAATGTACTTTGGGTATGTGTGCATCTACATTTCTCCAGTAGCATCCTTTATTTATGATGTTTTCACTCTGAAATATTTTGCATATGATTAAAAACAAACAAAAAATAAAACCTGTGTGTTCTCTTTCCTCCTCTCCCACCTACTCTACTGGAATTTTGTGAGGGACTATTTATGAGGTTGAAAAAATTAGCATTTGTATATAGTTACTGGCCAAACTCAGGAAAAACATAATGAAAAATAATAAATTATGTGTTTCTTTACAAATCTATCAATAAATTGCATTTGCATAAAAAGATGCATTGAATATAAAGCTTTGGAGAGTAAAATGGCTGCAACTTAAAGATTTCCTGACAATCTTAAATCTTTCTAATAAAATATCTTTTATATTATTTTAAAACTCTAATCACTGTCTCTCCTAGGTTTGGATGAACTGAATGTGTCAGTATTAAAATCACAGCAGTCATTCTAACATAAAAATCACCAAGGGAAAAATGAAGATATGAATGCAATAGGATTTTTTTTCACACGCTATAAAGTTTTCCTCTTGTTAAGCTTTAAAGATTTTCTAGTGTTTGCCCACATTAGCACTATTTCTAACATACCTGACAGTTGTTAGACTGCCTACAATAAATGAAGTAGTGTTGAAAATAAAAGATGTGCCTACGTTAGCCATTTGAAATGAAATACTTTGGGCAAAGTGGAATTAAAATCTATATGGACACCTATCTCATGTGCTTTGTATTATGCAAGTTTAGAATATGTTCCTTCTATTTAGTTCTCTTGTTTTAAGCACACTCTGGCTCATTTTGAGGGAGAGATCAGTACAGAGTTCATGGTGAATATAAACCTACATCTCTCTACGTGGTCCTTACCTGGCTTCTTGGCTAATCACATGTGAACGCCAACTCACTTTTCTCTCCCTACACCCACTGTCTTCTTTATCTTGTTTTCGTATTTACTCTAGGTTTAAGTCCACACAACAAAGCTTTTACTGTTGCCTTATTAGCTTGACATTAATCTGTATCTTTCTAGAAAAGTGTCTTTCTGGTCCCACAGGTGAGTAGTAGTGCACCAGGAAAATCCATGAAGTTTTCCCTAGAATAACATACAAAGGGCAGGTGTACACAGAGATGAGAGAAGGAAGTGTTGAACCTTCTCTCCTAGAGCTGGCAATCATGGGACTTCTGTGGCTCCATGGCTTCATGTTCTCCGTGGAAATCACGAGATAGAACTGTCCACAAGGACTTTATCAATTTTTATAGCAGCTCTGACAGATTGAAGCTTCTTTTGTGTGAGTGTGTGTGTGTGTTTATTATACTTTAAGTTTTAGGGTACATGTGCACAATGTGCAGGTTTGTTACATATGTATACATGTGCCATGCTGGTGTGCTGCACCCATTAACTCGTCATTTAGCATTAGGTATATCTCCTAATGCTATCCCTCCCCCCTCCCCCCACCCCACAACAGTCCCCAGAGTGTGATGTTCCCCTTCCTGTGTCCATGTGTTCTCATTGTTCAATTCCCATCTATGAATGAGAACATGCGGTGTTTGGTTTTTTGTCCTTGCAATAGTTTACTGAGAATGATGATTTCCAATTTCATCCATGTCCCTACAAAGGACATGAACTCATCATTTTTTATGGCTGCATAGTATTCCATGATGTATATGTGCCACATTTTCTTAATGCAGTCTATCATTGTTGGACATTTGGATTGGTTCCAAGTCTTTGCTATTGTGAATAGTGCCGCAATAAACATACGTGTGCATGTGTCTTTATAGCAGCATGATTTATAGTCCTTTGGGTATATACCCAGTAATGGGATGGCTGGGTCAAATGGTATTTCTAGTTCTGGATCCCTGAGAAATGGCCACACTGACTTCCACAATGTTTGAACTAGTTTACAGTCCCACCAACAGTGTAAAAGTTTTCCTATTTCTCCACATCCTCTCCAGCACCTGTTGTTTCCTGACTTTTTAGTGATTGCCGTTCTAACTGGTGTGAGATGGTATCTCATTGTGGTTTTGATTTGCATTTCTCTGATGGCCAGTGATGATGAGCATTTTTTCATGTGTCTTTTGGCTGCATAAATGTCTTCTTTTGAGAAGTCAGACTGAAGCTTCTTAAGTGCCTTTGCTTCGAATACTGAAACAAAGCATTATCTGTTACTTTGACTTTAAACTGTACCCCCTTTTAAAGCAGTCTACCTCTCCAAAAAGTTAGAAAAGAAAAGCTTGTATTGATAATGTAAAAGCATGAGTTTACGTAATAATCTTTGCTTAAATTTCTTACATTTAAAATGCTCAAAATCCATATGATTTTGTTTTTCACCTTGGCTATTGGTGATAAGCAAATAAGAGGCCATTAAGAATCTCATAGCAGAATGAGATACCATCTTACCCCAGTCAGAATGGCTACTACTAAAAACACACACACACACACACAAAACAGATTTTGGTGAGAGTGTGGAGAAAAGGGAACTCATATACTGTCAGTAGGAATGTGAACTAGTACAGCCACTATAGAAAACAGCATGGAGATTTCCAGAAAACCTAAAAATAGTATTACTACTTGATCCAGTAATGTCACTTTTCTTATCTATCCAAAAGAAAATAAATCAATATATCAAAGGGATACCTGCCCTTGCATGGTTATTGCCACACAATTCACAATAGCAATGATAAGAAATCAACCTAAGTGGCCATAAATGGAGGATAAAGAAAATGTGGTATATATACACTATGGCATACTATTCAACCATAAAAAAAAAGAAGTCATGTTATTTGCAGCAACGTGGATGGAGCTAGAGGTCACTAAGTGAAATAAGTCAGACACAAAAAGAATAATATTGTAGGTTCTCGCTCATATGTAGGAGGTAAAACAATTTATTACATGGAGACAGTGGAAAAATAGATAACAGACTGAGCAGGGTGAGTGGTGGGTGAGAGAATGGAGGCAACTGCAATAAATGGTACAAACATACAGTAAGACAGAAGAAATACATTGTGTTTGATAGCAGAGTGACTATAGTTAATAAAAATGTATTATGTTTGGGCAATAAACACCTAAATACCCTGACTTGATCACTACACATCATATACATGTAACAGAATGTCACATGTACCTCATAAATTGTTAAACATTTAAAAAAGTTTCATGGCAAGTGGTAAAGATTAAGAATATTTAGGAATACCAAGTTTTGGCCACAGAACTGGGATTTAGATGCAAGACTCCGATACTTGAATGACCTTGTTCAAAGGACAAACACTCAGTTCCAAAAGGAATTGGTATAGTATTTGGTAGGTTAAGTCAGGTATTCAGGAACAAGATCCTGAGATGCCAGAAGGACATTTTTTCAGTTACTGTGTTCCCAGAGCATAAATTCAGGGCCAGATTATGAGCAAGGAGACTTCAGTTTTGAAATAGAGCTAAAATTCCCTCCGTATATAAACGTGACTACTTTGTGGGTATATATTAGGGATCAAGATGATGAGAGATTCAGTGGCTAAAACTAGGTGTGTATGTATGTGTGTGTTTATGTCCATATATGGACATATTACACATGCTTTGGCTTTTGAGTGCTTACATTCCCCACCAAATAAGCAACTAGGATAATTAAAGTATTATACTAATAAATATACATTTTTTCATAATCTTTACAAGATAACATATTTTAAAACAACCTTAATTTTCTGAAAATACAAACTATTTGTGTGAAACTCATAAGTTTTTTCTGATTTTTAATTACATATAAATAAATCATTTTTATTATCTCTAAAAGGTGAAGATTCTTAAGGTCAAGTTCTGCCAGCAGAACGGCAACAGAGATAGAGTGCATGGTTAGTATGGTTGCAATCCTAAAGCTGCACATATCTTTAATGCTTTTCTTTTGCACTCTTTGTTGGAGACTAATATTAGGGAAAAGTGATTGTTTTCTTTCTTTTATCAGTTTCTATTTGTGTGGTAAACTTTGCTTTCTTATCTTTCCTAATTTACTAACCACAATGAGTTTAGCTTACTTGCTGATGATTGCACAATTTTCTTATTTTTAATAATGCCATCTATGATAACAGGAATAATCCTGAAGATCTTAAAGTGCTTTCTGTAATTTGAAAACAAAAACAAATCCTTAGTTTCCCTGTTAATTTAGGGCTTTGCCACTCATCAAACTTTCTCCTAATTTACTTCTTCCATATCTACATACTCTATTCAATGTCATCCAGAGTGGTTTAAATTTTTTTAAGTTTATGTTTTACACATGAGGCTTACTTTCTTCATTAAATTGTAAACATCTCAAGGGTAAATAACGATATTTATGGTATGGGAGGTGTAGGAAAGATCGAAATCTACATACATTGGTGTTTTAAGATCTAGATCTACCACTCTTAAAGAGTAGTAAATGGGAAAGATCCTAAGAATTCCTGCAATAGAAAAGGCCAGATGAACTGTTGTTTTTGTTTTTCACCAGTTTTGTAATCACACCACCTTTTGTTGAAATGTCAGTCAAAAATCCTATCCTCAGGACAAATCCCATTGTCTTCTTTTCTGTATTTATACATAGAACCTGTACCTATAAATTGAGATTCACATATCACCTGTTGAGAATACATAATATTAATGATTTCTCTGAAATCTAAATAAAAGCAATGATTAGTTGTCACTTTTGTTTGTCTAACAAATAGACAAAAATAAAAGTTTATTAATAAAAATGTTCATTAAAGAAAAACTTAATGGTGTTTATTTGTAAAGGTGTAGAAAGAAAAAGCTATTCCAATATTGATTTGGTAAGAATATATAGAGAGACAATATTTTAAAAGGCAATTTTTAATCTATAAAAATGTTCAAACTTTATGACTAACAATACTAACAAACTGTCTTATAAAATTGATAATACAAAAATAAAATATAGAAATATATATTTTACAACATCATTGCAGTATTGCTTTAAATACAAATCAGAACTTGCTTAAATTATGGTTGAACAAAACATGGTGCACCCATGCAATGTACTATTCTCATTAAAAGGAATGAATCTACATGTACATACTAATTTAGAAGATGTGCAAAAAAGTTTTTATTTTTAAAAAACACTAAGGAGTATATATGGTTTGAGTCTATTATATTAAAAAACATTGAGGGAGAGTATGTTCAGGGCAACTTAAACCTATGCTCCCGGCTTGCAATCCTCAAATGTGGCCCAAATAAACACTCTATTTATAAAAATAAATAAATAAAAACTCTATTTTAAAAATACTTTGAAAAAGCATATGTGTATATTTGCAAATATATACCTATGCACATTTATTTACAAATACACAAGAATTATAAATTCTGCAAACCTAGAGAGAGAAATGTGGAGTAAGATATATCAAAAACTCAGAAATATTTTTTTTGATGAAGAAATGCAAAGCAAATTTTATTTACTTCTTCTATTTACAGTGGGTAGTGTTTACTCTTGGAAGCATTTGAGTGTGTGAGGGCTGACTTTTCAAGTAATAATAATAATAAATGCTATCAGCTTTGTTCCCTATAAAAATGGTGTTTGAGTAAAAGAAGTTATGTATGTAAAATGCATGGTATATATTTGACTTTCTAATCGACAAACTGCATTATTCTTGGGCTGTTTTCAATTATTATTCGTATGAGAACTATCGTATAATCAGTGTTCTGTTCAAACAATTCACAGTCATTCTCAAGTACCCACAGTAGAAAATTATTTTGCAATTCTTAAGATGATTATTAGAATGCTTCCTCATTTTTTCTCAGAATTTTAGGAACTTTTAAAATCTATGGTTCTTGAGAGTGTGTGTTGAGCACATACAGAAGCATAATCATGTATGTTTTCTGTTCCTTTGACCTTCTAGTTTCCACTAGCAACCTTAATATATGATTCCAAGACTGTCTATTAACTATCACAAGTTAAATTGACTTTAGCAATATCCAGTTTGCAAGAATTGCTTAGTGAAATTCCAACTCTGTTTGTCTTGAACTTCATGTCTCAAAGAACTCGTGTGATCACCAAATGCTCATTTTGTTCATTCAGTTGTACATAGAATCATTCATGTTTTTCGTATCTTTATTCCTTCGCTGATGAAAGATAAGGTATAAGTGCAAATGTAAACTAAGTAGAGGATGACAATAGAAAAAAACCATAATTCAAAGAAGAGGAATCAAGGTAAAGAAAAACTGAAACAGTAAACTCAACATACATAACCTATTTCTATATAAAAGTCACATTTTCTTAGTGTTAATTTTTTTGGAGATCTAGTATTTCATCTTAGATAGAAATAGTTCAGTAACATTAAAAAAATTGTTTTAACTGCTCTGTCAAACCCGTAAACAGACTTAGTCACCCTGATCAAATAGTCAATGTAAGTAGTTTTTGATAGAGATGATTGAGAGAAGTTTCTTTGTTTATTCTGATTTTCTTTCCTAATGTATTCTATACCTGTAGATCCAAAATAGCACTTGTCTGCCAAAATTATTAATAAAATATTATACAATACTTAGTTTCACCATATGTACATGAAATTTTTAAGTTCTTTAAACAATTGTTGATGGATGAAGTTTAACATACTAGCGGCCTTAAGGATCAGTGTCAACTGAATGAGATTCCTCTTCCTGAGTGAGCTCCAAGTCACCATCCAGCTACAGGTTTGGAATATTGTGGAACTCGGCTATCTTCTGAGGTAGCCCCTCTCATCCTTGGAATGAACATACTGTGCTCATTTCTTGGTACCACACTTTAAACTGCATGCTGATAAGCTGAAATATGTGTAGGGAAACTTAACCAAGATGGTGAAGAGTAAGAGCAAGAGCTGAAGATTTTATATATATTTATATATATAATATATATGTAAAATCTATATATAATATACATAAAATCTATACATTATCTATAAAATCTATATATTATCTATAAAATCTATATTATATAAAATCTAGATATATAACATATATATATAAAATCTATATAGAGATGTATCTTATATGTACTTATGTGTATATTGCACATATATACCCTTTGCATAGTCACACACAGATGTATGAAGATATATATCTTCATATATACACAATATATGCATATGCACACTTCATATATATACACACACGTGTGTGTGTGCATAATACATCAGAAGAGAGTGAATATGAATATAACTCTCTTCAAATGTTTGAAGGGATGTAACATAAAAGAAATGTTGAAAGTATTCTTTATAGCTTCAAAGGATCCAAAGTGGACCAAATATAAAAGTTATACAAAAGTAGATAATAGGTTAGTATCTTGATTTAAAAAAAAATTCTTTCTTTCTAATAATGCTCTATTTTCCTTCCAGATATCATAGATGCTCTACCAATTATGTCTATATCATCATCTATGTTTCTTTCTTAATCCTGTAGACAGGGGCACAGAGTTTTATAGCACATTGCTGGAGATAACCTCTTGATATTATTACTAATTGACAATTATATATCTATATATCCTTACTGTTCCCTAACACCATAGTTCCCCCAGGTATGCACAAGGATGCCATCGCAGGAGTTTGAATGTGGAAATATTTGGAAATTGTCCTTAGCAATTTTACAACATCATCAAGATAGGAAAATAGTTAAATCTGGCAACACTTATTATATGAACATATGCTACTTACCAGTGATTAGTTTTTCTTGTACATAAAATATATTCAGAAATGAATTCCATAATGTTTGCTGGGATCCATGTTCCATGTATTCATTTTTACTTTTCACAGTTGAATATATTTTTATTTGTCAATACGGTTTTTTTTTAACCTTTCATTTTCTGACTGCTTACCAGTTTTCAGCCTTATGATCATTGCACAAAAAGATTGCTAGGACAGAATAATTCTAGGGAAACAATATTTCAGGCTTAGCAAGTATTTCTGATGTCTTTTTTCTCTTTTTCCCTTTTCTCCCTTTCTCCTTCCTCACTCCCTTCTTTCCTTTCTTTCTCTCTCCATCCCACACTCATTCTTTCCTTCCTCCCTCCCTTCCTTCTTTCCTTTCCTTCATTTTGTTCTTTTCTTCTTTCTTTTACTTTTCTTCCTGTCAGCTCATAATATGGCTGGGTCCATCTTGAGCTTGAGATCTCAGCTTAGAGGTCACGTCCTGAGAAATGCTTCCCTAACTCTAAGCAAAGCATCTAATCAGCTCACCACTCCCATTTATTGCTTTTACTAAACTTATTGAAACTTGTGACTTTTGGGTCATTTCAAAATGTATCTGCATATAATTTTCCATCTTTATTAGAATATAATTTCCACAACACCAAAGACAATGTATATATTTTTTTTCTTTGTTCTTTTCCTTTTTTTTTTAAGATGGAGTCTTGCTCTGTTGCCCGGGCTGGAGTGCAATGGTGTGATCCCAGCTCACTGCAACCTCTGCCTCCCAAATTCAAGCAATTCTTATGCCTCAGCCTTCTGAGTAACTGGGACTACAGGCGTGCATCACCACACCTGACCAATATTTTTATTTTTAGTAGAGACGGGGTTTCACTATGTTGGCCAGGCTGGTCTCGAACTCCTGGCCTCAAGTGATCTGCATGCCTCAGCCTCTCAAAGTGCTGGGATTACAGGCATGAGCCACTGGGTCTGGCCAACAATGTGTATCTTGTTTTCTCTGCATTTAGCACAGTTACTGATGTATATACAGTTATATACTTGAGTGTGTGCAGATATTTGAATAAATGTTGCATGAACACTTTAAAAATTAATTAGCCTTTTTATTTATTCATTAAACTTATGTTTATTGAGAAGCTTTTTCACCTGTCCTCGTTTTTGGTGCTGAAGATTCGAAATCTGTACTAGATCCAACTAAATTGGCCAGCTAAATGTGGGTGAAAATTTGAGTTTTTGATAGGTTATACCAAAGTTTAAACCAAATATTTTGCTAACTGATCCAACCCATTAATTCCCCCCAAATATTTGAGGTATCTATTTTTAATTTTCAGCCTGATATTTAGTCTAGAAATATCTAAAACCTAAGTTGTAATTTTCTTTCATTTTTTGTTTTATTGCTCATGTATATTATTTAGAAAATAGTGATACACTGTTAAATGCTCTGCTTAAAGGAAAGAGAAACATGTTTGAAATAATTTTAAGTAATACATATCCCTTTTTTAAACCAAGAAATTTTTATATAATCCTCAAATCAGTTAATTACCTGTCTCAAACGCTTGTTTTAATTGAAAGCTTCAAAATATGAAAGAAAATATCTATTAGAAGGTAACTGACGTACTGACAACTTTTCTTGTTTCCAAGATTTTTTTTTTCTTTTTAAATAACAGGTGTGGGGGACTGTCTTTTGCTATAATTAGAAAAAAACTGACTCCTGTCTCTATTAGAGTAAATTAAGTAGATTAAAAAGAAACCCACCCAATCTCACAGATATTCTGGGCACATATCTTACATGGCCTGAAATTTTCTTTTCTTCCAAAAGATCCTGAATTGAAAGAGAAATAGATGCCTACTGACTAATGCAGGAAGAGAACCTTAGGCGTACATTTCATGTGATAATTGCTTTTCTTTTACATTTAGGAACTACAGGCAAAATGAGAGAAATAGAGCTGGTTTTATTACCCAGAGGAAAAGCAATCACTATGCTTGTCAGGTCTATGAGCATTTCTCCCATCCTGGGAAATATTTGAAAAATAAAATTATGTTGGTGGCTATCTTGCAGTGCACTCAATTAAAGTTAAGTTGTTAGATTTTTCCCTGAGAAATGTCAGCTACTGCCATTACCAAGTATCTGACCAGGTCACGTGGAAAATAAACGTGTTCACACTATACTATCTGCGTTTGTCAGAGGCAGAGCTAAAAAGAAAGACTGAGGAGCATCTCATGGATATTCATTCTAGTTTCACTTGGGGCAAATTATATTCACCCTGCAAACTCTTTGACCACAAACTATTCTCTTTTGCTGCTTCATTTCCCTCCGAAATTTAGCACAGTAGAGAATTTTATAATTTAAAAGTGTAGATCAAATGCAACTGGTTTGTACATAGGCTAGATGGAAATTTGAAGAAATCTGCCTTATAAAACATGAATAGAGAATGGATACAATTAGTAACTGGCTGGTCTGTTGAGACTATAACAAAACCTCTGATTTTAGTGACTATAAAGAAGAGAGTGGTAAAAAGAGTGAAAGAGTGAATGAATAAGTTGGTAATTGGGTTTCTCATATTCTCCTATTTGGAAAATGTCACATTTCAGAGATTTTGTTGCCTTTCTTTTCAGGACAGAAGGTTAGATTCAAGAAGGCTTTTGTGGATATAGAAAGGGCAAATTGCCTCATCAGTCAAACACACCATCTTCAACTCCTCTAATAACTCATTCCAACACTCAGCTGAGGCCCAGACCAAAGGCCAAAGTCTACTACTGAGATATATGAAGAGGAACATATGTATTTTAGACTCAAGAACTCAAAAAAAAAAACTAAACAGAAACAGCTTTTCTAGCACAGTCTATGATTTCAGAATGAGATTATCATGATGCATTCTTAATCCTAATCTGTTCACTGATGTTTGTCCTTTGTGACTACGTTATCTCCCATTTCAGCTATTGTATATTACATTACTTCTAGTTATTTCAAATAACTATGAGCATTGTTCACAGTCATCTGTCTCATTAACTATGTAACTTTGTCTGCCCTGCCTCTAATTTTTAATTTAAGGGTGGTGACACCACCTGAAAATGGCTTCAATTCCAGTACTTTTAAATTTAGATTTTTACTAAAGATGCCTCCTTAATTCCTAGAGAGGTGCAACTATGATTAGTTTTGTAAATGCTTAGCAAAGATTTGTTATTATATTTGTACATTCCTAAGAATTTATCTCCTAAGGAGTAACAATTCTATTACTATTTTGTCCATTCATGTATTCATAGGACTCCCAGCTCAAGGAATATCCAGCATAATTAGTTTTATAGTTATTCTGGCTCTATTTGATTTTTATACTATTTTAAGTTATTCTGACTATATTTTCTGGTTTTACAATATTTTGCTTATCATAGGTTTTTATTGATATGAAAGACACAAAGTAGTCTGCACAAATTGACATCCTTTACAAATCTGATTATGTTAAATTCACTTAACAGAGGAAGCAGTAGTGACCAACACAACGCAGGATGAAAAAAAGAATTCATTATTTTCTTATTTTCTCTTAGATGAGTAAGCTTATTTGTATTAATTTGATTTATCACTTGAGATTTTTAGAGCACCATCTATGAATTCATTTTATATGGAGCCACTTATCTCAGTGTGATTGAAAAACATAACAAGGCAACATCGTATTGATGCCAAGACAATATGAAAACATAGACTATTCAGGAAGGAACTAGCTTGGCAAAGGAGTCTTATAATAATAAAGGCATGTATATGAATTATTTAGCCAAACATAGAACTCGTTTAGCTCAGAATGTTCTCTATTGGAAAGCTTGAATATAAATCAATACAAGTATTTGTGAGAAGAAAGTGAGGCTCTGGACTACAAATAATTAGTGGAATCATTGCTTAGTAAAGTCCAATTTCTTAACAATAATGGTTGAAATTAATAATATGGAGTAAGCAATTAAAATGTCCAATTATGAACTACATCTGAAACTTTACTTGCAAAAGATTAACAACAAATGAAATAGTGATTCTAGGTTTTTATTATTACTCTTTGCTTATCATTTTTTTCTTTTTAAAAAATACACAATCAAAGAATTATGGAAAGTTAAAGCTGAAATTGTACTAAGATATCAAATCCAATGTGTTCATTCTAGAGGCAAACACACTGAAACTTCACCTATGTTTACTTTAGTTCTGCAAATGTCAAATCTGATTTCAGACACTCTTCAAATATATGTTTATTTGCTCTTTGAATATGCATAATTCTGTTTCAAACTTACATTGCACATATCTTTGATCAATGTACAGTGTTTAGTAATTTGTTTAATCCTAAAGGTGATCTTCAAATATTTCCATTTCCCTTGTTAAATAAGGGCATGAATTACATACGGGGAAATAGAGGGACAGAATGAGTAAGTGACTGTCCTTGAAGATAGGTAAATGCTAACTAACTTCCATATCTTACACTGAGCCTATATTCCTCTTCAGTTAATAAATAGTAGTATTCATTAGTATTGGTATATTATATGTAACTATGGTATCATATATAATATTAGTATTGGTATATCAAACAATTTGTCTTACAGTGTAACCACAGAAGCTAAGATGGAAACCTGTTTAGATAATTGTCTGTGTAAGCTGCTAGCTTGACGTAAGGCCATTGTGGTAACTGACTATAGGGAAGCAGTAAGAGCTGGGGATAAAACTTTATATTCTCACACAGGATTTAATTGTGGGTGGAGTTTTGCAAAGGGCAAAGCAAAAGAAGTTGGTGAACAAAAGCATAAAAAATGCTTCAGATTGGAATAAGTTTTGTAACTTTTCCAAGTCTTTTTTTATTTCGGGCTACATCATAAAAAGATTGATCTGTATTTCATACCTGTATTGCATATACTAGGTAAAAAGTCTCTGCTGTATAATACGATGTGCCTATAGTTGAAAAATTATATGGTTGAGAAGTCCCCCTTTTACTCGAATACCTTATCATGGAGTTTCCCCTGAAGGTTGATATCTACAGTGAATGAGGTTTCTCCTAGTGAAAGGCCATGAAAAACAGATTTTAATTCTATAAATATATACCTACACCCAAACCCCTCCCCAGACACCTTTAAAGGTGTTGGCAATCAGCATAGGTTTCTGCCATCTGGATTGTAAGAATCTCTTTCTTCAACCAGATTGCTGCTTCTTTCCAACTACACACTTTCCAGTACTATCAAATATTTCACTGACCTGTTCTATCTTTTCATATCCTAGTCTACAGAAATTTCTAGTTTCTTCCCTCTGAAAATTATATTGGTACACAAATATTCAATGGCATGAATTAAGATAGAAGGGCTTACCCTTCTATCTTACCTTATCCTGGTATTTTTTTCCCTTAGTACATGGCTTCTGTCCCTGAGAACAAGTGGTTAGGCAGATTTATTTTGAATAATATTGCATAGCCCTAGAATTCAATATTAAAAAAAAAAGTGAGTCACCACTGGTGATTTGGAATGTTAGGTAGGAATTGAGCAAGTTTATAATCATTGAGGAAGCTGAATGCCAATTTAAATACCTTTTATTCCAGTGGGTCTGGAAACATACTCTTTAATTAGAAGAATATGAATTCACCTATCCCCAGAATATTGTTTTTAAATGAAAGCAAGTTTATTAAAAACCTTGTTACATTCCTGTTTTTGTATGTTTCTGTGTATGCAGGGAACAAATAACAAAGAACTACCAGCACAAACACCAGTTTTTAGGGATTCTGAAATGCCAGAATGTTTTTGTCTCTAATCTCTACTACTATGGAGGATAACTGCCTCTATGTTTTTTAAAAAATAAAGTAACGTGGTAACTTAGTATAAAGAAATGCATAATAAAAGACTTAAGCCAACCTCATACATCTAAGTCTTTTTTAATCCATGTAAAGACCGACATTTCCTCCTTTACTTTTAAGAAGGTTAATTTATGGAAATCTGTATAGGATACTTTCAAACCTGCAGTTCTTGGAAAAGAATGACTTGTAGTCCTTTAAATACTAGAGCTGTGCAAGAATGTCCATAAATAATTCTTATTCTCCTACAAGAAAGAGTGCTAGGAAATGTGCAGACATTGCAGATTTTTAATGTTTTCTCTGCTTGCATTTGTATAACAATAAATGAGAATAGATTTCTAATATCCATTTCTATTACATGCATTAGCTGAAGCTGTGGGGGTAAAATGAAATATTTCCTATGCTTTGAGACAGTGGGGAAACTCATATGCCTACATGTGGGTAGAACATTGAGTATTTCTGTTTTGTTTTGTTTTGTTTTTTTCCAGAGTAGCTTAAAATGTTCTAGGGATTGCTAAATGTTACAGAGCATTTAAGCACCATTTCCACTAATATTTTTGAAAGGATAAATCAGTTTCATTAAAAAAAGCCTTATTGAGGGAAAAGTTACATCAAACTAACATGGACATGAACAGGGTGAGAGTGTACACTTCTTGTCACTCTTTTCTTACCCATGTATAATTAACGTGTAAACAGCACTATAAAACTGAATTGTAACAAAGGTGTTATTTCCTCAGCCACTAGATATTAAAATTAAGCTGATATTTAGAACAATATAGTCTGTTTTCTAAATGTTGATTTGCCTGTCTCTGAGTTGATTTCTTTACTTTGGGGCTTAAGATGTAATTTCCCATAACATATTCTTTTTTAATACAGTGCACACCTGTATACCCAGTCTTTGGCAATACACATTACAGATACTGGCCAAAAAAGAATTAGAAAATCAGTGTCAAAGTTGGATTGTGGTCCCTGAAGACTTAGATTAATGGAATTCTGCTGGAAACATAAAGGTTGTTTCCCTGCTGTTCACATCTGTTGCATCCTGGGAAAAAAACAAAAAGGAAGATGTTATGTGAAGAGCTGATGTTTGCATCGCCGACTCTCCCTGATTTGTGCTGATGATAGCTGAAGCTGCAGTCTTGGCATCTTCTACTGCACATTGTCATCAGCAAGGTAGGAACACATCCGTGAATTAAATTAGAATTCAATGAGAAAATGAGATTTATTTGACAGAAATTCACTTCTAGTCTAATTTGCAAGAATGCAACTGTTATAAAAGTTACAACAACAATATTTGAAAATATTACTAAAGGTAATCTATCTATAAAGAAAGTGACTTTAGAAAATATTTATTCAAAGAAAAGGAAATTATAAATATCATGTGAGGAACTCAGGCCACTGTCAAGGTGAGGAGAGAAAGCCTCATATAGTTACATAAACAAATGTCCTTCGTATTCCTCTTTTTCGTTTTACAAAGATCTTTGCTAGTCATCTACCTTTTATGAATAAAATTAGTGACAAGAAATGTGCTAAGAAATTTTACATGTATTATTAACACTTTATTCTAGGACTTAGACACTACTGTTATCTCCATTTTACAGATAAGGAAACTGAGACGTAAAGAGATTAAATTATTTGGTTAAAGGATCCTTCTAATTGATGTAGAGCTGAAATACCAATTACAAGTCTTTATCAGGACTGACCCTACATCATCTGTTGTAGAAACGGAAAAGAGTGGATATAGAGAAAATACAAGATTAAGTATTGATAGGATGTATTAACCCTGTAATGAGGCATGTGAGAAAGAGTGAACAGACTAGAATAACTCCCAGATCCAGGGGTCTCTGTAACAGGAGAGAGAACACAGAAACATGATGATATGGTTTGGCTGTGTCCCCACCCAAACCTCATCTTGAATTGAAACTCCCAGAATCCCCAGGAGTTTTGGGAAGGACCCAGCAGAAGGTAATTGAATCATGGGGGCAGGTCTCTCCTGTGCTCTACTCATGATAGTGAGCAAGTCTCATGATAGCTGATGGGTTTATCAGGGGTTTCTCCTTTTGCTTCTTTCTCATTTTTCTCTTGCCACTGCCAGGTAAGAAGTGCCTTTTGCCTCCTGCCATGATTCTGAGGCCTCCCTCCCCAGCCATGTGGAACCGTAAGTCCAATTAAACCTCTTTTTGTTCCCAGTTTCTGGTATGTCTTTATCAGCAGTGTGTAAATGAACTAATACAGAATAGAAGACTGGGTAAAATGATGAATGAGAATAAAGAGTCTGTGTGACAGCCAAATCACCTGGAACTCATAGGAGAGTCTTGATCTTGAGATACAAAGGTATAAATAAAATGTAGGTTGTAGTTAAAACTGTGAAGATAGGTGGGATTATTTCATGAAAGATAAAGGTTAATGTAAACTGAGTAAAGAAGAAAAATCACCAGCAACAATACTGAGAATACATAACCATGGTAACAGGAAAATAATCAGTGTCTTGGAAGTTATGCAGTGTAATGCTTACCAGTGTTAAAATCTGTAGAGAGCTTAAGCCAGGAAAGGTTAGGGTTGAAAAGTGGCTATAAGATTTGGACATTAACAGCTGACTAGATAATCATTAGGGAACAAAGTGAGTTAGAATAAGATTTTTTGGGGAAAGAAAAATAATCTTAATTGATCAATTTAAAAGAGTGAGAACAGATTCAGAATATTTGGACAGAGAGATGTAAATGTGAGGTTAATTGACTGATAGAAACTCTTAATATATCATGCATGTAACTTTCAGAGAAAGACCAAGATAGAGGATTTGAAATCTCGAACCCCGGGAAATATGTTCACCAAGCTATTAATTTCAATAACTTGAAAGATACTTGCTATGTTTTTATTACTCCTTTTTATTGCTTGTCACTATCAATTAGGTGACTTTGGAGGGAAGTGTGTCTCGATAGAAAACGAATTTAAAGTGTTAGAAGTAAAGTTTCTAGAATGGATACAGAAAATAATTCAGGATGAAAACTAGAAGGAATGTTATCCTAAAAATGTGCATGATAATCCTTAGCAGCATAACAGATGGAAATTTGGGAAAGTATAAAGACAATAGTGACAAAGAGTGGTATAGATTATTCATCACAAGCCATGGGAAGATTCCAGAATTAAAAACAAACAAACAAAAAAAACTAGCACCTCAAGTTCTGATAGAACAATAACAAAGTTTGTAATCATAAGAAAGCTGGAAGAATTATGTCGTGAATCTCAGGAGAAAAGATAACTAGTGGTCTTGGTTCCAAAGAAAGAGGATACAGACACCTTCTGGGGGAGGGGCAGGGGTAAAAGTTGGAGGTATGTGCAAACAAAGCCATTCATCAACCCTCTTTTATTTCATTATTAGCTTTTATTTTTATCAGACATGTCTAATATTTCTACAGGTTTATTTTGAAACATAGCACCCAACTGTAACTCTTTCTCAATGACAATTGCTTCTATTTCTTCTAACTGATTATTTTCAGAATCAACTCAAGTTTCGAGATAATCGCCTCCTATTATTAGTTCTTGTTATTTTAGTGTTGAAATATTATCTTTTGAGTTACAACTATAAAAAATAAGAGCATAGGTCTTTTTCCTTTCCTACTTTCTATTCCATTTTTCTTTTGGAGTTTATTTTGCTTTCTTGTTTGTGTATGTCTAATTTAATCCTAAACTTCTGCCTACTCTTATGTTATTTCTCAAGGCATTCTGGTGCATCAGATATTCTACCAATCCCATCTTTATGAAAAGTGTTTTTAGGATTCTCTCACTTATTGCAATCTAGGTGGTCTGCTGCCTGTACCTGAGCACAGCTATCACACTGGAATCTCTCCTCTGCATCATCCTGACCATCTTTTAATCCCTCTCCTGTCTTGTCTTTCACTCATTCATCCATTATTTATTTTATCTAGTCATATTTATTGTCTTTTGTGTATGTCAGTGCCATTCCTGATGCTAGCTATTAATATATTATCAGAGGAAGAAAAAGAAACAGCTAAACTCATCAATCTCATTGGCCTTAAATTCTTTCGATAGTTAAACAAATAGCTTCAATAATCTTTTCTACTTCTACATAGATTACTGATATCAAGTACAAGAAAAACCAAGGAAAATTCATAATCCTGGAATATTGTGGAAAATTAAGTGTTTTACTTTCCTCTTGTCTTATTATCCACTTTCTAAAATCAATTTAGTAATCCAATCAACTTTCTTTGCTTCCATTAGTCCGTTCTATATTTTGCCACACTGTCTAAATAGTGTTTGAAATGCATTCAAAGGAGAAACTTTTAGAAACTTTGGAACCTACTTAGTAAGATTCTGCTACAAAAACATTAATGAACTTTTCTGTTTCTTATACAGAGGGAGTTTTGTGAACTTTGAGGACTGTAGAGATGATAATGTTTAATGTTGATGATAATGTTTAAATATGCATATATATATATATATATATATATATATATATATACAGTGTATATAATACACACACTGAAGTAAAAAAAAGTTTACTAATAAGATAAATAGAAAAACCAAAGCCCACAAAAGAGTAAAGTTGCATTAATACTGTATTATTTTTCAATTTTCTTGAAATCAAAATAAAACTCCAAAAGTTAGATACAAATTTGGCTGTAAAAGAATGGCAATATATTTAGTTTTTTAAAATAAGTGTTCTGAAACATAATTTTATCATATGATTCTTTTCTTTCCCATACAATTATCTTTATGAGAAAGGTATTTTTAAGACTGGGTGCCTATTAAAATCTCTTTATTTTTCAAACACAATTATTAAGTTAGGTCACTATAGAGTTTCAGGTAGGGAATATTTTCTTTCAGAAATTATGTCCAGTGTTGTAAAGGAGCATTGCCATTTGATCCTGATCTTCTTTTGACTTATTTTCCCTCCTTGGATCCTTTAAGAACTGTTCTTTGTCAGCAGTTTTCAGAAATCACAGAATGATGTGCCTTACTGTGGGTCTTTCTACGTTTAATGTGGAACTTATGCCCAAGAGTTCTGGAAAAATTTTCTTCTCAAATCTTAATGTTGTCCTTTTTTTTTCTTTGTTATTTGGAAGTTCAGCTATTTGGATGTAGGGCCTTATAATAAGGACATCTAATTTTTTGCTCTTTCCTCATTTACTATTCATCTGCTTGTTTCTTTGCCATAATGTCTGGGAAATATCCTTAGCATTTTCTTTCAACACTTACTGAGTTTTCAGCCATATCATCAAAATGTTAATGTATAAAAATACCTTTTAAAACTTTTGAATATTTCTTTGACAAGGAATCTCATTCTTGTTTCATGGTTGCTGTCTGTTCTCTTATGTATTCATGGTAGATTTTATTTGTGTGTGTGTGTGTTTTTTTTTTTTTTCCTTTTCTCAATAGGTAGTGGCTGTTTTTCTCAAATTTTTCCTTTCTTTCTTTCTGTCTTTGTTTTTTGGTTTTAGTTGGAATTTTTCATATTAGTAGCTTTCTAATCTTTCTAGTCTTCTTTTGTTTTCTGTTTACATTTAAAACTGCAGGACTCAAGTTTGTCAAAAGCACTGAGCTGAGCATGTCACTGAGCTGAGCATATATGTGGAAAGTGCAGAAAATGCCCTTCACTGTGGATGAACTAACTGAATGTTTTAGTTGAGGTTGTTTCATCGAAGGCTTTTTCTTTTGTTTTCTTTTTTTCTTCCTTTTCTTTTACTTCTTCTTATTCTTTGTCTCTTCCCTTAGGCTACTAAGATTTCTGATTCTTTTTTTTTTTTTTTTTGAGATGGAGTTTCGCTCTTGTTGCCCAGGCTGGAGTGCAATGGTGTGATGTGATCTCAGCTCACGGCAACCTCTGCCTCCCAGGTTCAAGCGATTCTCCTGCCTCAGCCTCCCAGGTAGCTGGGATTACAGGCATGCACCACCATGCCCAGATAATTTTGTATTTTTAGTAGAGACGGTGTTTCTCCATGTTGGTCAGGCTGGTCTCAAACTCCCAACCTCAGGTGATCTGCCCGCCTTGGCCTCCGAAAGTGCTGGAATTACAGGCATGAGCCACCGCGCCTGGCCAGAAGACTCTTTAAATATGTTTACTGGACAGTGCAAATTTAGCTTGAGTGTTTTGGTAACCTAAGAAACCCAGAGAAGGAAGAGCACTGAGTATATCTCATATGTATTCATTTATATGTCTATATGCCCACACAGTTATTTTGTCTAAAGTAACTTGCTGAGTTTGCCTGTAAGAAAAATCTATGATTACTTTTTATTAACTTGTTAATCCATAGAATAAGCCTGTAATTAAAAAAAATAAATAAATCAGGAACAAGAAATCACCTATTGAGCAAAACTGATGAAGGGATTTGAATACTGGAGAAATTCTTGAAAAGGTTTTCATCTGGTCCTCTTTAGTTTGGCCTGAGGAGGCTAGGATGGTCTAGGATTGCCTAGTTATTTTCGTGATTCACAGAAAAAAGAAATTTTGTTCTGAGTTGTCTGTTTGTGGACTTATGATTAAGATCTATTGGCTCTGTTAGCCATTTTTACTCATCTAAATGCTTTCCAGCTTTCACAATTGTGATCATTTTGTCTTTTTCTTTTAACTTTTGTGGGTTAATTAATTAAAAAGTCATATTGCTGTTCGTTTGATCGGAGTTCAGTAGATAATAAAATAGATGTGTGTACTCAGTCAACCATTCGTACTTTACTTTCTACTCTCCTACTTTTTAAAAAGTATCTTGGGGAGAATTAAACTAACACCATTATAATGTGTGGCATGAGGTTAATGCTAAATGCACATTTGCTACATTAGCTAATTCATACAAAATAAATGAATAAAGAAAACTTGACTACTTTCTAGTGATATTGATTAGCAAATTAGTCAATGGAATAGTAACTGCAAGTATTTAGGAACATATGTGGAATATTCACCATTTCCAATTGAAAGTTAAAATTTGAAAGAACACATATTTATGAGAAGTGAACAGATGGCTGTGGAAAAGTTAAAAATAGGATTTTAAAATTCTCATTGCCAAAGACATTAGATCTTGCAGTACTCAGAATAATGCAGTCAACAAAACATTCTTATATGAGCAAAATAATTTTAAACTGAATTATCAGAGACAGGAATTCTCAAACAAAACACAGACTAGATTTTGTAAAAGAAAGAGGTATGTCATGTAAAGATTTATTGTGGAAAGAATGCACTCAAAGTGCATATAGAGATATAGAGATGTTGATATATAGAACTTTAGTCACTATATACCAAAATTATGCAAATGAACTAAGGACCTGGTATTTTTACAAAAATAGATATTTTCTCATTATTATCACTGGAAATTCAATGGGATAGTACTTATAATTGGAATATGGCTGTTGCTTTTGAGTAACAATTCTAGTCAAAGGGGTTGGATGTAAGTATATAGGTGCAAAATAATCCACAAACCAGGCAGAGACAATGTTGCTCATCAAATACCCCGTTTGTATTTCAAGTCTTGCAATTAGGCAGGGGTATGTGCCTGGTTCTGGGCTATGGACCATGGGCAGAGTGATGTGTAGCACTTCTGAGACAGAGCATAGAAGAGATCCACATGATTTTCTAGCTGGCACACAGTGAATTGTGACATTCCAGGTAATACAGTTTCTATCCGCATAGGTCTTTGGAAACTAGGTAGAACAGAAGGCTCTTACCACTACCAAGCCTAGATGAATATATATCATGAGCAGTATATTGTTGCTTTTAAGCAATTTAGATATTATGGCTAATTTATTGCTGTAGCATAACCACCCAATCAAGATAAATACCTAAGTGAACTTAGTGATGATTATTAGGATGACAGTAAACACCATCTAGCTAAATTGTGTCAGTAAAAGAACATATACATGTGAAATGAAAAAATCTAATCCATGCTTTGCCTGGAAATTTTATCAAATTAAAACAGAAAGAATTGATCTTTTTTAGTACATCTCTTGATGAAAAGTCAAAAGTTTATAGATCTAATCTGGCTTATTCCTGAAAAATTACTAAAAGATATTAAAAGGTAGCTTGTAAAAAATTACTAAATGATATAAAGAGATCATGATTAACAATAGACAAATAGGATATTAATCTCCACCATCAGATATGTGGACTTCAGTGTCACCAGTGGAGGGTGTGCAGGTTCTTGGCATCATGAACAAGAATTGGACAAAATGCGCAAGCAAAGCAAGGAAGGGATGAAGAGATTTATTGAAAATGAAAGTACACTCCACATTGTGGGAGGAGGCCTGAGCATAGGGGCTCAAGGGCCCAGTTACAGAATTTTGGGGAGTTTAAATACCCTCTTGGGGATTCCATTGGTTACTTGCGGTATGCCCTATGTAAATGAAGAGGATGAAGTAAAGTTACAAAGTCATTTACTCGGCGTACGCCTTGTGGAGAGGATATTTCTTGACATAGCTAAATTATTTATGGACCTTAAGTTCCTTGCCTCCAGACCCTATTTTCCTGCCCATTCCCCACTGAGAGATGTCATTCCCATAAATCTTTATGGGAGGCAGAGGAACCGATAGTCTTTTTTCTGTAACTGCTTCATGCTGGCTTCGGGCGTAGTCTCTTCCTATTAGGGATCACGAAACTCTCACCCTGCTCTGTCTGGTGGAGGCGGGTTAGCTTCTTGATGGCCAGGGGTGGTGTCTTCATCTGGAACTGGCTGGAACCTTTGTTGCATGGTCATCTGAATGTCGATGGTCTCTGGGCAAGAGGAAATAAATTTGGTTAAAAGATATAATGGGAACTTCAGCGGGTAGATACCTATGCTGTCAGGAATGTTCATTATGGAGATTTGCAGGAGAAAAAACAAAAGCTGATCCGTTCTAAGACCTATGTGTTTCCTTAAAGTCTTAGTGCAAACGACTCCATTTTGGTTTGGTTTGGTCTGTTGGGACCTAGTACATGAGCTTAGTCCAAAACAATGGCCTCCCAGAATTTTGTTAAAAAAATTCCCCCTTTTTGGTCAGGTTCTCATTAAGGTGAGAGTGTGACCAAAGCTTAGAGCCTTAGCACCACTCAGTTATCATCATTTTGGGTTTCCAGTTTTAGTACATCATTTATAGGTTATGGTGTCCTTATGGTGCACATTTCTTTCAGCTCATTATTCCAGTTGAAGAGAGACCATATGACATTCTAGAGATGGTTGTATGCAAGCATTTAAAACCTTTGAGAGAATACAGCACACCAGGGAGACTATTATTATGACTATTGGAAGGATAATACCAAGAGTTTGGAGTGTGCCTCTTACACAAGGTCCCCATAAGCCAAACCTCCTAAAGTCAAATAGATCAAAGAATAAGTTAGATAAAGAGTCTACTCACTTAAGTAAGCAGTCTCGTTGTTGATCCCCTCCCACTGAATTTCTATAATCTTCATTTGATGTATTTTTCCATAGGCCACAAGTGCCAGCAGCTGCACAGATACTTCTTTGTTCAGTCAATTCTATCATAACTTTCACAAGAGAATTTAAAATCTGTTGTGTAACTGTAGCCTTTACAGCAGAATTTTCTACAGAGCCTATCATGGGGGATACATTTCTATTCATTGCTTCTTTACTCTGAACCATGGAAAAAGGACTTGACAAATGATGCTCTTCTAAAAGAGTGAAGGCCTCCTGGCAATGTTTTCTTTAACCCATGGTGTGGGTTAAGAGGAGTGAACCAACGTTTTGTTTTTCACTGATTATGAGTCAATGTATGTACCATTAAAGTTTCTTACCTACATTGGGCCTTCGTCTTTTATCTATCAAAGTGTAAGCTTATCCATGTATAAGGCTGGCTGCAAAGTTCTTCACAAATAAGAGTACACCCCATAAGTGCACGTAACAGACCTGTTTTCCACTTCTCTTTGTCCTAGAGGCATAAGCAAGATACAATATTCAAAGATAAGAGTTTCATGATAATAGAAATCTTTATCTGTGAACTTGGGAAAAGCTGTTCACATCAAGGATGCCATCTTCTTCTTGGGAGAATTTTCCCTAGTTAGTTTTACTCTAAGGGTTCCAATGGGTGTACAGTTCCAAGAGTGTGGAGGGACTCTTCTCAGTTGTGAGATTATGAACCCAAAGTTCAAGGTCCTGAAGTTTTGTTGTAGTGTGGATGGCAAAAACAGTCTTTCTCTGATGTTCTCACAAGATTCAAAATGTAAAAAGCTTATTTATCTGTTGAAAATACACTGTAGCATAATAATCTACTGTTATAACATCAGCCCTCTTGCATGGGAAAGCTTTTATACAACCAGAATACATGCACTGAAAATGGCAATTGAATGAAATCCCTTTACAAAATGTTTAAATGGCCCTCCAGGTGACCAAATGTACCTGAAGCTTTAATTGTTTTCCCAGGACTATGGGATTAAACATTGGTTATAAACTATATTAGTAATTTGTAAGTCATCACACCAGTGTATTCAATTTGGATTATTTTATCTTTTCCATGATGAGTCATGAAATGCAAAACTTTTAATAATAAAACCTTTAAGTCTCAGGAAAGAAAAAGTGGCCATCCTGGTTCTCCATGAGTCCATGTTTAATCAACATTACACTTATATCCTCTTGAATACCACTTGTTTTTTCAAATTAGGTGCATAGCACTGATAACTGATGAGTTATCTGACTAAGTATTTTCTTGGTATTTAATGAATTTTTGTTCTACTTGTGTTAGTAGAACTTTACTTTATACAAGTAAAGTCAGTTATTTCTGGAGTTTACAATAACAACATAATAACCATAATTATAATTGGTAGCATATACTTAAACATTCAAATTTTTAAAATCCCATATGATTTTTGAACATATATTAGTGTTATTCACAAAAATATAACCTAAAGATTGAACATCATTTTGGCAATCCCACATACCTAAATATGTCAAATAATTCTGTTTACCCCTTTTCTGGATGGTTTCAGGGACACTCTGATGTACCCAAAAAGCCAGGCATTAGGAAAGACAATTTTTAAACTAAAGTTTGATTTTGGAAATCCAGATTACCATAAATTATTTATTTTGTCAAAATAATGAGTAAGAAATTTTAAAGAAGCAAAAACATTCTATAACCTTTTGCAAAACACACACACACACACACACACACACACACACACACACACACACATTCTACTGTTCTTACATACCTTACATGTAAAACTATTTCTAGTAGCCTTAATTGCATGTTATAATGGTGGTCTTAGCAATTTTAATTTTAACGTAAAACCTGGTACGTTATGTTCTGATAAGATTTGACTATTTCTAGCATAGCTAGGATTGTGGCCATCTCCATATGTCCCCAGGCCTTACTTAGCTGGAAAGTAGGCAAGTTAAATAATTTTCAAAAGCCAAGGAAGCAGTTTATGATCTTAAAACAATTAGAAAACCTAATATTTGAACACAATTTAGACCACATGTTTATATTTTGAAGACAATTGTATTTTACCAATAACCTTTAAAACTGTTTATTTCCCAAAGATTACTAAAGTCATGTGAACTAAAAGACATTACACTTTTTACTTTTCTGACAAAATATTTCATTTAAGCTTTCATTATTATTAAATTAATTAATTTAAAACTTTACAAAAGAGATAAACATTGACTTTTTCTTTTCATTTAATCAGTTTGCATAGAGAGAAAGAGGACAGAGACTGACTCATAAGAAATTCTTACCGTTTTGCCAGCATGCTAGTTTTCTGGGTTCTCTCTCCCTGAGTAGCCCTAATGACCCTGCTTGACTGTATGCAAACAAACACATTGTCATAAATTAAGAATATTCACAAATAGTTTACAAATTTTGGAGAAATTAGGCAGAGACAGAAATATGACACAAATTCTCTTTACGAGAGTATACTCAACACACTTAAAGTATCACAAAGCCTAAAATCCAAAAAGTTAGTTTAAGGATAGAAAGCTGATATACTTCATTAATTCCTCCTGGCCCAACAAAGGTAGCTTAGGAATTCTAGATAAATGGGATGAATGCTTACTTGTCAGAAATGCATAGGATACAAAATAACTATTCACAGAACCAAATAAAAGTCTTCCACTAGGAACTAGAAAATATCATGATTTTATATATACACATACACAAGCAAAGCCAGAAGAGAATAAACAACAAACATATGAAAACTTGAAGCAAACACAAAAAAACAAATAAATAGAAAGTCAACACTAAATTTTCCTACTCAATTTACCCTGGAGGCTACAGTGTTACCTAGGACCCAAAAAACCCACATAATGAATATTTTGTTCCTGTTACACAATTAATAGCCTTAAGTTCACCAATATCATCATGCATCCTGTGCAATCAAGAAATTCACTTTAGGCAAATGATCAATAAGAACTCTAGCACTGTCCATGCAAAACAGTAAACATAGTGTGCAGCAGTGCAAGCATGTATATGAAATTTTGCTCCACACTAAATCCAGCTTCGTTCTTAATTATATTTAAAAAAAAAGAATTGCCAAACTGCTGATGCATTTCTTTACAATACTTTTTTTTATTTTACTTTAATCAAGAGTAAGGGCTTTAACTATGAAAATGTTAATTAGCCAAATGTCCCCAATTCTGATTCAGGTTTTAAAGAATATCTTATTATTTAAACTCTTTCCACATATTTCTTCCCTACTTAATGATTCCTTACCACATTGTTTCATAAATAACCTTTTCAAACTTGTAATTTGAATTAACTTTTAGATAACTTCACAATTAGACAAAATTATTCTTTTTTTTCACTAATATCATAACCCTTTCTGGCATATTTTGTATACAGAATTATGTGTTAACTAGAATTTTTATTCTTAGAAACATAAAACTGTAGTGAAACCCTAAAAAGCAAGAAATGCTCAACTATCAGATATAGGCATTTATAGATAAGAACAATTCCACAATTTTAGAAAAATATTTCCCCATATCACAACCGTTTCTTAACTGGAAATGACCCAGTTGTTAAATGAGCATCAAAAATAACTTTAAGATTTTAATTTACACAAAAAGTTTACTGATAACATTTATACTCATTTCTTTCACTTTTAATAAGGGAGACATGAGACATCAATTAACATATAAAATGAACATTGGTTTAGTCTGAAAAGGCAGGACAGCTTGAAGTCGGGAGGAAGGTTGGGGCTTCCAGGTCACAGGTAGGTGTGAGACAGTTGCATTCTTTTGATTTACTGATTAGCCTTTCCAAAGGTAATAATTAGATATCCATTCATCTCAGTGAGCAGAGGAGCAGCTTTGAATAGAATGGGAGGCAGGTTTGTCCCCAGCATTCCCAGCTTGAATTTTCCCTTCACCTTAGTGATTTTCAGGGGCCAAAAATATTTTCACTTCATAAATTCTATAGTTTCATTATTTGTCAAAAGAAAGCATGCAAACCAAGATTATTTTGTCTTGGCTGGGTTTGTAGTTTTCTAACCTTCCATGCCAAACACTGACATCTCAAAATATTTAGCAAAGACAAACATAAAATCCAGACAAAATGTATGTTGACAATTCTGAAGACATTTCTATTTTTATTCCACCAATAATTTTAAAGCTAGCTTGTTTAGTAAAGTTTTACTTAACTCACGTGAACTTGAAAATTGCTTAGACTTATTTACTTAATTTATGAGTGTTCTTTAATTTATAAGCCAATGTGGTAGATACAACATATAACAATAAGTGTACATACAAATAAATGCATCTGGAAATGTATACACCCATAAACAAAGATCCAATCACTTGGAACCTTAGCCATGAGATAGCAATACAAGCTTGTCAGTTTCACTTTTTTTGCCGGAGTAGATAATCCAATGAAGGCTGTGAAACAAAATTTTGGGTAAAGCAGTCTCCATGGCAGTTTGATTTTTAAAGACCAAACCTCCCCAGACTCCAATAAGCACTGGAGCCAAACAGCACCAAAGGAGAGTGTCACATGTTAACTGGGCTCCCTGCTGAGAACCACAGCACAAAAGCCTGGATACATGCAATGCCATTCCACTTTCCCATTAGTCCATAAATTCCAGATCCCAAACAATGTTGGGGCCAAACAGTATTGCAACTCCAAGAGAAAATTCTAAGGAGGGCCTAATACAAGACCTCAGAACTTGTGCCAAGAGTGTCCTCTTTGGAGAGGTTGAGGTCTGGCAGATCCCTCAGAGCGTTGTTAAATACGGTGAGTTCTAAGTTTCTCTTCAAAGAATCAGTATGTCAGTATGTTCAGTTCTTTGTTCTCCATTTTAAAGTTTAACTTCCTTGTTCTCCTCAGTAAACAGCCTTGCCACCAATTCTTTCTTTCTTTCTTTCTTTCTTTCTTTCTTTCTTTCTTTCTTTCTTTCTTTCTTTTTTGAGATGGAGTCTCGTACTGTCACCCAGGCTGGAGCGCAGTGGCGCAATCTCAGCTCACTGCAAACTCTGCCTCCTGGGTTCACACCATTCTCCTGCCTCAGCCTCCCGAGCAGCAGGGACTATAGGCGCCCGCCACCAAGTCCAGCTAATTTTTTGTATTTTTAGTAGAGACAGGGTTTCACCATGTTAGCCAGGATGGTCTCGATCTACTGACCTCGCAATCTTCCTGCCTCAGCCTCCCAAAGTGCTGGGATTACAGGTGTGAGCCACCGTGCCTGGCGCCCCACCAGTTCTAGTCAGTAATTCACATCTCTTCACCTGGTCACCTGCTCTGTCCTGAGTCACTCCTGGTTACCTGCTCTGTCCTGAGTCACCCGGTCACCTGCTCTGACCTAACTCACCTTTAGTCACCTGTTCCATAACCATCTTTCCTGCAGAAACAGCTCACCCCGCCTCTCTGGCTTGTACCCCTGCTCTCTTTAAAATAGCCAATCGGAATTAGCTTAGACTGTGCGGTCCAGCTCTAGCCAATAGGGGAACAACACAGCAGTAGGGGCTACCCACGTCAGGGATAAGAACCCCTTCCCCTCCCTTGTTCAGGTGTGCTCTCAGCATCGCTCCATCTGTGAGTTGCACCATTCTATAGAAGTAAAATTGCCTTGCTGAGAAAATTCATGTTCCAGTGCTATTTCTTTTGCAGCACCAAAAATTTATTTCTAACAGTGTCCTCCTGTGGGGACCAATCTTAGAGTGTCAGATGTCTCTGACCTTAGGTGGGCACCAGTGCCACATGTTGGTTTCCCTCCAGTGCCTACTATGAGCTTTATAAGAATAGCCATGAACTCTAATGAGAAGAACTGGAAGCCAGGCAGGCTTTTTTGTCCTTAGCTACTTGAGTATAATAAGGGAAGAATTTAGCATAAGAAAAGAAGATGTAAGTTACCTGAAACATGTTTGAGTTTGCTCTGAGCTGCCCTGCAGGTAGGGATCAGGGATCATGCAGAAAAGATTTTTTAAAAAGTCCTTCCCCTTTTTGGGCCGGGCAATTATTCGCATTCATTCCTAGACCTTCATGCAGTACCTGGGAGTGACCCCAGCCAATTGTCCTCAATTTCCGATGAGCTACCAGGAATCAGCGTCTGAAAGACTGAAAAACAAAGAGAGGGCAAAAGAAAAATGAAAAAGGCCCAGGTCCTGTAAGCAAACCGGGCAGTGGCCGTCAGGCTTCTCCACGCGGAAACCCCTTAGTTTGACTGGCCACGCCCAGAAACCTGCAGTTGTCTCCATGTTTAGGCACTGCCCACCAAAGGTCCCGCGTTGGAAAGGAAAAGAGAGAGAGAGAGAGTGATTGCCTGTATGGAGCAGAAAGGAAAAGGAGAAAATGGAAAAATAAATCCCAAACTTTGGGCTTACCTTTTCCTCCTGGCTGGCTCACCAAAATATGTCACCGGTGGAGGGTGTCCAGGTTCTTGTCATCTTGGACAAAGAGTTGTACAAAACGCACAAACAAAGCTGGGAAGGAATGAAGAGATTTATTGAAAATGAAAGTACATTTCACAATGTGGGAGTGGGCCCAAGTGTAGGGGCTTAAGGGCCCCGCTACAGAAGTTTTGGGAGTTTAAATACCCTCTAGAAGATTCCATTGGTTACTTGGGGTATGCCCTATATAAGTGAAGAGGATGAAGTAAAGTTATAAACTCATTTATTCGGCATATGTCCTATGGAGAGGATATTTCCTGTCATAGCTGAAGTGTCAATCGACCTTCAGTTCCCTGCCTCCAGACCCTATTTTCCTGTCTCAGTAAAGAAATATGTTAAGCACTTTGCAGAAAAAAAATAGGCATCACACCATAGATTGAAATAATAATGGAGAAACAGACTGAAGATAAGCAATTGTTTGTATAAGCCAGTCAAAAATAGAAAAGTATCAATAGATCTAAGATATATTAAAACAAAAAGACAGATAAAAATTACGTTAACCATGTAGACTGCTATTTTATCTGTTAAGATTTTTTTTTTTTTTTTTTTTTTTTGGTGACAGAGTTTTGCTCTGTCGCCCAGGCTGGAGTGCAGTGGCGCGATCTCGGCTCACTGCAACCTCCGCCTCCCAGGTCCAAGCAATTCTCTGCCTCAGCCTCCTGAGTAGCTGGGACTACAGACGCCCGCCACCACGCCTGGCTAATTTTTTGTATTTTTTAGTAGAGACGGGGTTTTGTCTGTTAAGATTTTAAAAGGAGGAACAGGCCGGGTGCGGTGGCTCACACCTGTAATCGCAGCACTTTGGGAGGCTGAGGCAGGTGGATTACCTCGCAGGTGGCATAATCTCGGCTCACTGCAACCTCTACCTCCCTGGTTCAAGCGATTCTCCTGCCTCAGCCTCCCAAGTAGCTGGGATTACAGGCCGCCTGCTCCCAGGCCCAGATAATTTTTGTATTTTTAGTATGGATGGGGTTTCACTATGTTGGCCAGGCTGGTCTCAAACTCCTGATGTGTGTATATGTATAATATAGAAGATTATATATATATCTATAATATATAGAAGGTTATATATAAAACATATACGTTATATATATGTTATATATATTATATATATAACATATAGAGAGTGGTACAATTAAAAGAAAAAACTTTAACGAATGGATAAATTCAAGTGATTCAAGTGGATTCTGAGCTCTTTGACAAATACTATTGGGAAGATAACAAATAGATATTTTTTGCTTCATTGTTCTACAGTTGGCCCCTTCAACATTTTTGTTACAATTTTGAAGGAGCATGGAAAGCATGTTTATAGAATTTGATAATGATACATCTCAAAAATCATGCTAATGAACTGAAATACTGAATTCTTCGTATAAATAAATTCTGAATGGCTGCAGTGAAATCAAGCAAGGATAAATCCAAATTTTTTTTTCAGGTAACTCAAAATTCAAACTATATAATAGAAGCATATTGAGCATATATATGGGATATTTAATTCTACTCTGCTTGACATAGGCCACAGATGAAGAAGGTGTCATTTATCTAGCAAATATTTGTTAACTGCCTGCTATGGGCCAGGAACTTTGTCTACTAAAAATCTGTCAAAAAAAATAAGAAGAAGAAGTCTTAAGTCTACAGAAGGAAGAAATCTATACAAAATTTCAAATATTTTAGTAGCTGTCATTCAGAAGAGAGATTATACTATTCTGTTTACTGCTACAAGAGCCAGTGGGTGAAGGCACAAAAAGTATTTCATATAAAGATATACTTTCTATTCATTAAAACTGCTCATCAACGGAGTGGATACTTGGTGAGGTTTCGGCCCCACCTCCTCATCAAAGAGATCAGATTCTTATCTGGTGTGGATGTTGATTTGGTGTGGATACCGATCTAGTGTGGAAGATGCTGCTTTGAGATTTTGACAAGATGATCTTTATTATTCCTTCCTAGATTCTATAGTTTCATTACTCTTAACAGTCACGTACTGAAATGTATAGCACGAATGTTTTCACTGCTTTAAAAATATTGGCTCAAGTCTAGTAGAAAATTGGAGACACAGTGTAACTTAGATGAATATAGCAAGTTTAAGGAACTTGGGTTTCAATTTCTTTAAAAAAGGAGTTGTGAGAAATAAAGCAAGCAGTTGCATAAGAGTATTAAAATTGGCATAGCATTATACAACACTGAAGTGTCATTGTCATGTTTTGTTTTTGCTTCAAGATGTGCATTTAAAGAATGATACATATTAGACTAGGCTCAAGATACAAGATTTTCAATTTATACATTTTCTCAAGAAAATACTGTATGTCTGCATGTGAGTCTGTAGAGACATGAATAAGTTGCTTTAGTTAAGAAAAAATCTGCCATACGAATTGAGTTAGATGTATGATTTTGATTCCCTGCAGGATAGAAAAGTTGCTATCATTAGTATTAAAAACCCATCAACACCCAGCATGTTGCTGAGGCTGTGGTTGGAAATGCTAAGTGATACTGACACACAAATATTTTTGGGGTCATTTGCAGAAAGATTGTAGTCAGAACTAGATAGTTTTAGACTTACTAAACAGAAAAAGAATTAAGAAAAACAAAATAGTTCAGTTTACATGCATTTACAGAGGTATAGTCCCATTTGAAGGTCGTAGATAGTTACAGAATTGACACTAACTCTACCCTTGCACCCCCTGCCCTGTCATGCCACACACAAACAGTACAGAAGAGACATAATGTATGTTAGCTGTTTATTCTTCTAAAAGTTTAGCCAATTGAGTCCATAGAGATTTTGGCTTAAAGGGTTACGTGAACCTTGCTTCTCTAATTCTTATCTCTCAAAGTGACCTAATCTGGAAAACTAGAGTAAAAAAAGAAATATTGGAAGAGAGAGCATAGAAAATTTGAGCAATAATTCCACTTTAATTAGGAAAGTTTATATTTGAAATAGAAAATCCAATGGGAGAATGCAATTCAGTCTATAACAGTTTATTTTATTTTTAAGACCATACATTAAAGTTGTAACTCCTTTACAAAACATACCGATAGTGACTTAATTAATTTAATCCTAGATCTTTTAAAGGTAAGATTCTTAGAATAACATTTTGGATAATTTAACATAATTTGTTAACATCTTATCTCTATACTTTCCTTCCCAATTTTCCAGATCCCAAACTGCCTGTATCTCTCCTTGTTATGCCTCATTCATAAAAAGATTAGGGGAGCTAAATGGAGCACATTTTTGAAATCACTAACTGCCAACACCAATAAATAGTATTTATTACCCAGAAATGCAGAATAACAACTTCCTTACTTGTGTTCATTTATTTGGAGACAAGAATAGCAAGTACTTGCCAAGCAACTTAATGTCTTTAAAGTTTGGAATTGAGGATTTATGACTGTACTTCTTAAGTTTCAAGCCATAAATGCTATTTATTTTGACAATCAAAAACTTTACAAATAAAAGGAATAAAGAAAAGCTCTAAATAGCTTAGCAGTAAATTCATCAGCTTAGCTTCTCATCCCAAAGAGACTTAGACTCCCATACAATAATAATGGGAGACTTTAACACCCCACTGTCAACATTAGACAGATCAACGAGACAGAAAGTTAACAAGGATATCCAGGAATTGAACTCAGCTCTGCACCAAGCGGACACCTAATAGACATCTACAGAACTCTCCACCCCAAATCAACAGAATATACATTCTTTTTAGCACCACATCACACTTATTCCAAAATTGACCACATACTTGGAAGTAAAGCACTCCTCAGCAAATGTGAAAAAACAGAAATTATAACAAACTGTCTCAGACCACAGTGCAATCAAACTAGAACTCAGGATTAAGCAACTCACTCAAAACCACTCAACTACATGGAAACTGAACAACCTGCTCCTGAATGACTACTGGGTACATAAGGAAATGAAGGCAGAAATAAAGATGTTCTTTGAAACCAACGAGAACAAAGACACAACATACCAGAATCTCTGGGACACATTTAAAGCAGTGTGTAGAGGGAAATTTATAGCACTAAATGCCCACAAGAGAAAGCAGGAAAGATCTAAAATTGACACCCTAACATCACAATTAAAAGAACTAGAGAAGCAAGAGCAAACACATTCAAAACCTAGCAGAAGGCAAGAAATAACTAAGATCAGAGAAGAACTGAAGGAGATAGAGACACAAAAAACCCTTCAAAAAATTAATGAATCCAGGAGCTGGTTTTTGAAAAGATCAACAAAATTGATAGACCGCTAGCAAGACTAATAAAGAAGAAAAGAGAGAAGAATCAAATAGACGCAATAAAAAATGATAAAGGGGATATCACCACCGATCCCACAGAAATACAATCTACCATCAGAGAATACTATAAACACCTCTACGCAAATAAACTAGAAGATCTAGAAGAAATGGATAAATTCCTCGATACATACACCCTCCCAAGACTAAACCAGGAAGAAGTTGAATCCCTGAATAGACCAATAACAGGCTCTGAAATTGAGGCAATAATTAATAGCCTATCAATCAAAACAAGTCCAGGACCAGACGGATTCACAGCCGAAATCTACCAGAGGTACAAGGAGGAGCTGGTACCATACCTTCTGAAACTATTCCAATCAATAGAAAAAGAGGGAATCCTCCCTAACTCATTTTATGAGGCCAGAATCATCCTGATCTCATTCTCTTTTCCACTCTAAGCTAAGCCAGTAGCATCACAGTTGCCACATTGTAAATGAAGAGAATAAAGAAAAAGACAAGCTAAAATGAATATGTGAGATATATACATATATTCCAATTTCTGTCTTCTGTTTCTTCTGTTGTCTAAAGGAGTGTTTTTTTTCTCAGTCATAAATGTGCATAGGAATCACCTGGGGATTCTGTTAAAAGATAGATTCTTATTCAGTAAGTCTAGGTGGGGGCCTGGGAATTGCATTTCTAATTAACTCCCATGTTATGCGGATGTTGCTGGGCCCAGGCTACACTTATAAGAATCGGCAATCTCAATTTATTTTTCTCTTGATGTCTTTTTAACATCATAGTTTAAGTTGTTTTCATTTGAGACTCTCACAATTGGACAGTTTATCTTGCTAATTCCACATTAGATAGATTTAGATAGACTTATTTATCTTATTGTAAAAAGTGATCCAAAATTAAAATTTTTGATGCTCTAATTATAGCATTGATTGAGTGAGGCGGAGAGTATGATAGAAGATGATGGTTATTGTGGGTAAAACCTGTAAGTGGATGGATCATAAAGACTGAAGGAAGTTCTACAGTAGACTGTGAAAGTGAGGGACGCTGATGAGTTTCAGCTCTTTTCCTCTTTTGGGTATCAGTTCAATATAAATAGCTCTGGATTATGTTTGTTGAGCAATTACTCTTCTCCATATTCTAGAATAACACTTTTAAGAATATTTGCTTTTAAATATCTTTATTTACATAAAAGTTTATGATACCCATTGTACAGTTAAAAAAAGATCATTTACCCCATTTAAAAGATGAGTATTAAATGAGTCCGTAAAAGGTTAAATACTTTGCAACTCAATTTTTGAGCCTGGCCTTATTCTAATAATAAAACCAGATAAAAGAGAGCAGAAAAACATAAGGCCAATGTCTTTCATAAACCTAGATACAAAAATGATCAACAAAACATTAGCAAATCAAATCCAGTAGTGTATAGAAGAAACAATACACTGGAATGGAGTGAAATTTATTCCAGGTATGCAAGACTGGTATAACATGTGAAAATCAATAAATATAGTCAACCATATCAATGGGATAAAGGAGAAAATTGCATAATTATATCAACTGATTAAGAAAAAGCATTTGACACAAACCAATACTATTAATATAAAAACTAGCAGCAAACCAGGAATAGAGGGAAACTTTCTGAATTTGATAAAGACATCTACAAAAAAAGCCTACAGCTCACATCTTACTTAATGGTGAAAGACTGAATGCCTTCTCTCTAATATTGTTAAAACTACAAGGATGGCCATGCTCACTATCCTTATTCATCATAGTACTGAAAGTTCTAGCATGTACAATAAGCCAAGGAAATGAAATAAAATTATACAGATTGGAAAGAAAAAAAAAAACTGTTCCTATTTGCAGATGACATGATTTTCTACGTTGAAACTCTCAAGGAATATACTCTTCCGAAACACTTAAAAAGACCAACACTGTTTTTCTAACTCTGATTTTATGCCATTAATATTGAAAAGGCCTTTCTCTGGCTTAATTTCAGTTATTTTTCATTTGAGCATGCCAAAGTTGGTTCTTCCTCACCAAGTAATTTTTTTCCCCCAAATTACTAGGTCTGTGGGTTTTTCCCCTTGTTTTCTCTGTTTTAGGCATATAGAATCACATCTGCTTAACTCAGGGATTGCTGAGATTTCATGGGGATTTGGGGAGTAGGAGGCATCTTGGCATGGAGATCATTATTACTTTTTGATCCACCTCCGGTAAGCATTTTGACAATTCCTCCCACACCTTTTACTAAAAGTTTTCTCCTCAGGCTAATTGACTGTTAAGGAAGATAAGTAAGGCTTTTAAACATCCACATCTTCTCAGTATACATGATTTATGTCACCCTCTTAAAAAACAGAATTTAAGCAGCAGTTGTCCTGTTTTTTTCCTCTGTCACATCTGAAAGTGGGTTTGTAGAGTGGATTGGGAAACAGATGGAATTTTTTACTTGAGTTCTTTGAGACTCAGTAGTAAACTGCTAAAGTTGAAGATATGGAAATAGAAGGAGGGCCAGTTTTATATGTAACTAATGTATACTTTGATTTTATTTGAAAACATATTTTTATTTTAAAACAGAGTTAACAGCATAAATATTATTTTTCTGTAAATTTTATTTGTGGATTAAGAGCTTGGTAGATTAAGAGTCTACAAGCATAACATCTAATATCTGAAACAGCTTTTGAGGCATCTTCAACACAACACTTTTAAGGTCATAAATTACACCCTTTAGATTTCCTTGCTGAATAAATAAATGAATAATGGTAAGTTCATCTAATTAGATTTCTTCCAAATTTGCTCCAGAAATAGCTAGTCATTATTTAGAAATGAAGTAGAATCTGTAGAGTAGAATGTAGAGTATTGTTTTACACAGTTCTGTCCCATGGTGATTGTTACAAGATGAACCAAGAAGTGAATGAGTGGCTCCCAGAAGGAAAAGCATTGTGCGCTCATGGTTATCTGAGCCAGTTGTTTGAAAACAAACATTTTATGAATATAAATAATTCAGTTAATTCCAGAGAAAACCCATTATCCTATAAAGTCTCTCAAAGATGTTCTTTCTGTTAAGTTACACTAGTTACTGTTACTGTTTAAACATCAATGGTCTTTTACAATGACATTCAAATGCTTTTCCTAATTTCTCAAAATGCAGGTTATAGTCTTCATCATCCCAAGAGCTGACTTTCTCAAACACAGACCTGACTATGTTATCCCCTTTAAAAATGACTCATTATGTCTCAGTATCAGTGACTGTGCCATGGATTACATTTGCACTGTGGATTGCTCACTTATTCAGCAACATAGGAACTGTGTATCAAACCAGGGCAATTGTACCTATTCCAGAAATGGCAATTTCACTTAAGGACTGGGTAAACTTTTTAAATAAAATACTGATTTATTAAAGAATAGCATAGAATGCCACATGAATTTTATAATAAAACATGAAACATCAAAGCAATATCATGCTTATAAAATCAATCATCTTTGGATTTTGAGTTCAAACACCTTATCATACCATATAATTATCTTCACAACTGGACACCAGCTAACATGATATCCTGTAACTCCTTGGTACTTACATTCTTATGAGATATCTCTCATGGACTACTAGTAGCATTTCTTAAACAGTCATAATTTTCATGCATCTCTAACTTCTCTCATGTTGTCGTCTCTGCCTAGAATATCATTTCCCAACCTTTCTGAATTCTGAATTGCTGTACACTCTTAAAGTTTACAAATTCATCCAAACCACATACATGTATTATTTCTTCCTCTGTATCTAAAATATTTAATACATCTGAGTATATTTTATATTGTATTAGGCTTATTTATGTATTTACTTTTTACTAGTTATGAAATCCTGGAAGTAAAATGATGTGTCCTATTCATGTTTTGTCCCTCCATTGTTAAAAAATAAGGCCACGAATCAAATACTTTGACAATTCTCCCTCCAAAGAGTGAGCTTAGATCCCCTTCCCTTGAGTGTGTGCTGTGCTTTATGAGTGTCCTCTAACAAATAGAAAGTTGTGAAAATGACAGATGTAAATTCCAATAATCAGTCGTAATACAAATTTTAGTACCTGGACGTGGTTTGCTGTGTTGCCGTGACGGAAATGTAAACTCCGGAGCCACTTTGGAATTAGACAATGGACAAAAACCAGTAGATCTTTGCAAATAAAATTAATAAAGGCTTTAAGAACCTTAAGGAAACTCTATATAAAAGACTGATGGAAATTTAGATGGCTATGCATGAGGGCTGAAAATAAAGTTATCAAAATCTTATGAGATCATGGAAGTAAGGGATTCTTTGATGTAGTAGCAAAAAGTTTAGCAACAATGATGCATGCAAAAAGTTAAGAAATAGAAATTATACCTAGTTAACTGAGATATATAGCCATGGAGCTTTCCAGACCAAATGGTGAATATGCCACCTGGTTTCTTCTTGATGCTTATATTAAAATGTGAGAAAAAAAATAAAGTAAGTATCCTTAAACACAAAGGACCAATGACTTAATTGCTTTGAAAATTCTCAACCTTTACAGATGGCAAACATTGCCAGGACAACATGCTGTAAGGATGAAATCAAATTTGGGACTGTAAAATCTTTGCCAGCACCTCATAAAGATCTATGGTGGTGTCTCAGAGCACCATCCAGTAGGAAAAAAATAAAAATAAAACTTTTCTAAAGATTTTAAGGGTGTTTCTCATAATTCTCCTAAATAAAATAGTAGAGTTACTGAGAAGTTTAAGGAAACTACCTCCTAACAAAAGTCTAAAGTACCAAAGGGCGTATATTAAAGAGATTTGTTGGTGTTACTTTTAGCATATGAAGGTTAACAGGAAAGCCAGATTAAAAACAATTATATTAATGGAGACAATGCCAGCTTGAACCAAAATGGGCAATCTAAATGACAGTATTTTTGCTAATGTAATTTTCACCCTCAAAGTTCTTGCTTGCTTTGAATAAGCTACTAGCACATTGTAAAGACATTCCCATTACTATATAAAGTTCACGTTTTGAGGAATCAAGATTGCCTAAAAATAGCCACTGAGGAACTGAAGCCTCCAGCCACCAACTATGTGATTGAGCCAATCTGGTAATAGATCATTTAGTCCAGATAAGCTTCAATGTTATTACTGAAACTCCAGCTAGCATTTTGACTTCATGAAAGACTCAAACCAGAACCACCCAGTTATCAGTTATCAGCAAATATCAGTTGCTTTGATATTTATGACTTTGAGAAACAGTGCTATAAAAAAATTGTTATTTTATGCCATTAAGTTTGAGTTAATTTGTTACACAGCAAGAGATAACAAATACAATTCCTCTTGTCATCTACTATGCTGTTTGGTACATTGTTATCACTTACTAAATATTTGTTGGCAGAAAGAAGTTGAAGAGACAGTAGGTGGAAGGCAGAAATGAAACTGTGTAAAGAAATTACATTTTAACTACTTCAAAATTCTATTGATGAAAACGCATCAATTCTATTTTAAAATTCAGTTGGTTTTAAATGTAAAAATGTTTGAATTTATGTGACGTATTAAGACAAAGATGATGCACACTAACATTTTTCGACTATTTCTACATATCACATAGACACTCTACTATGACCTTAACAAATTCTGTTATTTAATATTAACAAAAATTCTGAAAGTTTGATATCCCCAATTTACGTATAAGAAAACAGCTTCAATGATATAAAATAACTTGCCAAGATTTACTTATCCAGTATATGGCAGAGTCAGAATCTTATTCCACATCTATCTGATTCTAATGTTTCTGTGCATGGGGCTCACTATCACATGTGTTCTAAGCCACAGTTCAGTAGGCTTAGAACTCAGTATTATGAAAATCTCCATCAGAAACAGCATAGTAAATCATTGTCTCTGATACTAAAACTAGACAATTCTAACTTTCCCTATCTTCAAACTTCAGATGGCTTTTCAACTTTGCTTTTTTCTTTTTTCTTCTTTCTTTCTTTTACAAAATATAAATTAATTATCTCTAGAATATTTTATACTTCAGTAATATATTCTGTGTACAAATAATAAGTGGAAAAATCAGATCATTTATTGACTAGAATTGGAAGATCCTTTATTGAAAATAACACTCACTGTTTGATATGGTTTGGCAGTGTCCCCACCCAAATCTCATCTTGAGTTGTAGCTCCCATAATTCCCATATGTTGTGGGAGGCACCTGGTGGGAGATAATTGAATCACGGAGGTGGGTCTTTCCCATGCTAGTCTCATGATAGTGAATAAGTCTCATGAGATCTGATGGTTTTATAAAGGGGAGTTTCTCTGCACAAACTCTCTTCTCTCATCTGTTGCCATGTGAGACGTGCCTTTCACCTTCTGCCATGATTATGAGGCCTCCTCAGCCACGTGGAACTGTGAGTCCATTAAACCTCTTTCTTTTGTAAATTGCTCAGTCTCAGATATGTCTTTGTCAGCAGTATGAAAACAGACTAATACACTGTTATTTATGATGTTAGTACTGAGAATAAGGGTGTTGAATTTGTTGTAATGCACATAGGAAGCAATCTGAGGATAATTCAAAGTAGCACAGAAGACAGAGGAAATCAGAATAAATAGGCGATCTATCACTGTGGGTATGCTGGACAGTTTATGAAGATCATAAAATACATATATTCAAACTGAAAAATAAAAGATCATTCTGAAGCCAGGAAGGCATTAAAAACAAAAGTCAAGATAGAGCAGTTAGCAGGCTTGGTAACTACAAGAGAACATCATGTTGAAGAGAGATGAGGTAAAAGGGATGTGGTAACCAAGATCCTTTCAACAGGTTAATTAGGTCCCAAGATTAACTCAGTACTACCTATGAATTTGCAAAAGGCAGACTGTAACTACAGGCTTCACTTAGGATCTTGTGGCAGCATTCCAGAAAAGAAGACTGAGACCCCAAATTAGGGAGTTTTTGTTAAGAAACCAAACAAATGGTGAATCTCACCAATATTGGGAAGGTAACAATAGAGAACCTGTATAAATTCAGAAACAAAAAATACCACCAAAATATATCGCTTAAGTAGATTACTAAATCAGACCACTCCTAACAATATTTGGCAAGTGGAATGAGAAATCGTTTTAGCAATAATATTAGTATTATATAAAACAGACTGTCATCAAAATTCAAAAAATCTCAGTGTCTTTTTAAAGAAGCTTATTTTTACAGATCTACAGTGTAATACGAATGTTCCTAGTCTGGCATCTCTCCAGAGCTGCTGTGCTTTATGTGGTGTCTCAGGAATCCAGGTTTCTTTGCTATCTAGTCTACATTGAGACTCAGTAGTCTGTGTATTTTGTCATGTGACTACTCCATACGGTAAGGCCTCGAGGTCCTTTCCTTCCAGCTGCATGGGTGGGTAAAAAGTGACATGAGGGTTTCTGTGAGAAAATTTAGCGTCAGATCCCCATATGGCATAAATCACTTTCACTCCTCTTGCACTGGCCAATCAGGAGACCAGAAAATAGGAAGCGAATTAGAAAATTCCAACTTCATAACTACAAGCATAGGAACTGGGAAATGTAGTTATGCCCAGGAAGAAGAGGAAACAAGATATTGATGAATATGAGCAGTCTTTGTTAGAGATACCAAATATAAAAGTTTAAGGGAGATACAGATAAGAGTAGACGTCTATAATTCAGAGACTGCAAGCAGATTAGCCACATTAAAACATTTCTTCTTTGTCAGAGATTATATTTGCAAATATTTGTACTTGTAGGTCTCCTTAGAACTTAATGAACATAACCAGGCATGGTGGCTCACGCCTGTAATCCCAGCACTTTGGGAGGCTGAGGTGGGCAAATCACCTGAGGTCAGGAGTTTGAGACCAGCCTGGCCAATATGGTGAAACCCCATTTCTATTAAAAATACAAAAATTAGCCAGGCATGGTGGTGGGCGCCTGTAATCCCAGCTACTTGGGGATCTGAGGCAGGAGGATCACTCCAATCTGGGAGGCAGAGGGTGCAGTGAGCCAAGATGGTGCCATTGCACTCCAGCTTGGGCGACTAAGCGAGAGTCCGTCTCAAAAAAAAAAAAAAAAAAGAACTTAATGAACATGTTACGGACTGAAGTTAATATAGAGAACCACTCAATTTGTGACCACACATCGTTAACAATGATTGTTCTGGTCCAATTGCTAATCCAGTGTTAATTCATTTCTTACTTTGCCCTGATATTATTCACTAACTTAAATATTGGAGTTTTTTGGATTTATTATTTTCTTCTTACTTGATTAGTTTCTCGTATGTTTAGTCCTTCATTGTATAGCACAAAATTTGTATTAGATGAAATTTTTTTTCTATAGTCCTGTGTACTTTCAGAGTCTCTAAACAATTATGGAGTTTATCTCTAGCATTTATAATTTTGTGCTTTAAATGTCAGCCTCAGGAACATTGTACACATTTGCTCATTCACTGAAAAGCATAATCATTTTACTTTTTGAGCCTGTATTAAAGTCACAGTTGTGTGGTTTTGTGTGGGTATGTGTTTTTTATGGAGTTTTTAGAAATATATTTCCTAAGTTTGAAAAGTTATCTTAGGTCACCCCATTGAATTCTGATGATGTGATTCCTGATTGTGTGATTCTGGCCAGTGAAATTGTGAAAGCATGTTGATGATGCTGAAACAGGAAAAATAATCACTTCTATTCCTAAAGCCCTGAGATTGTTACTTTGTCCTTCTCCTGACTGTTATGACTCCATGATTTGCACTTGAGCTGTTCTCACTGTGGAGAGAGTTCTGGATTCCCTTAAGTCTAATAAAGTCCAATTAAGCACTGCTAGTTCCTGAGCTGCATACCCCAAGGGCACATGTTAATGATGAGTTTCAAATGGTGTCCTGTTACAGGCTTATAAAGTGCCAGCCACCTTAGCACTTCATTTTAAAAATGAGTGATAATTGGTAAGACTTTAATTTTTCTATTTAAAAGGTAAGGAAGTACAGATTCAGGGAACTTCAGGGACTTCATCAAGGTTACGGAGACAAGCCATACTTAGAACTTCTTAGATTCTGAACAGGTTAAATCACTGAAAGAAGAGCTAGAACCCATTTCAGCATGGCCCACTTTATTTGGAGATATATATATATTCTTACTTGATTAGACAAATATACATACACATATATGTGTATGTACATATATGTGTGTGTATATATATATATATGTATGTATGTATGAGATATTTGGATTTGGATTTAGGGAAGAGTATACTTCAAGTTTTAGCTTCATTAATAAAGACTGAGAATTGTCCAGATTTTTATGGAATGAAGGTCACAAAAATACTGACAGAAATTAACTTTATATAATGGAAGAGTGCATCGAAATTTGGGGCCTGGTGCTATGATTTGTAGTGATCATTCTTGTTTTTTAAAGAATCTTAAATTATAAGGTTCTCCAGGAGAAAGAGTAAAACTATGTGGTCACCATCATCCCATTCTTGGAAATGAAATTTGCAGCTTGTACATCTGACACCTCACGCCCTTCTACCACACCCTGCCTCTAAGGGTCCTTTTTCATGTGTGCAATAATACATGAATGTGCCCAACATTACAACAGCCAACCTCTTCTATGTCCCAAGTGACTAAATCCTCCTTTGGCACAATTCTTGTTTAAGCGTAGGAGGAAAATGTCCTCGTGATTGCTTTTTTCTTATACAGTCTAAAGCTGCTTATCACTTATATAGGCATCATAAGTTTATATAGAAAAACATGGAAATATTACAGGAAGATTTTCAGACTCAAAATACTCAGGGATAGAAAGGGGCCTTAAAATATATCCCACAAAATGACTAACATATGTACATAGTTTTTATGTAAAATAGAGTTAGCTAGATGCCTATCTTTTGAAAAAGAGAAACTTCTAAAAAACACAATCTATTTAAATAAAAACATCATAAGGAATAGTGTAATTTAAGTTGGAAGGAGTGTATGTCTGATAATAATATGGTAATTAGAAGAGGAACTCTCCAAATAAACTAACCCATGGATAGTGCAGAAACACAGAAACACTGACATAATGAGAAATGAAACAGTACAGCAGAGATTAGACAAAGCTATTAACTCCTAAACACACACACACACACACACCACACATGCATGCATACACACACAGTAATGGAGCTTAGTCAAGAATCATCAATGTGAAAGTACCTACTGGTGATCTCATAAGTATATTGTTCATGCACAAATTTTAGTTTTTTCCCTAGGATGGTAAGTATGTGTTATCTGCATCCTACAGTTCACACAGTGCCAAATCCAGCTGTGTTTAGGAAGTAAAATAGACACTGAGGCACTTCCTGATGGACCTTCCCTGGTAGACCAAGTTCCATCAGCTTTTTTTGAAGTTTCAGAACAGTAATGGTAGACCCTCAGAATCACCCTTCTGCCACATCAAGATAAATAATAGATGATGCAAGTTAAAAGTTTAAAGAATGAATTTGCCCTACTATACAATTTTAGGGACGTCTTAAGGTGGTTTGGAACTCTTAATTATTTCTGTGATAATTCAACTTTTCCAACTGGTGTTTTCCATATACAACTGGAGTAGATATATTTTAACAAAAGCTAAATGGGTAAGACATTAAATAAATTTGTGGTATATTTTTATATATTTTTTCACACCAAAATTTCAATTTATCTTAAATACATAGTTTGTTGAGGTTTTTTCTTTTTATTCAACCCTTTTAGGTAATATTTCCTAATACAGTAATATTTTTAAAGATATTTCTTTTGCTATTTTTATGTTACTTTATATAAGACATACTATTTGTTAAAATAGAAAATTTGAATTATTTTAGAATTTCACCCTGGAAAGTATTTTGTGAGATATTAATAATTTAAACTATAAAATTCTGTCTTTAGAACAAGTATTCCTTATGGTTCATTTACATGGTAGTGGAAGAAAAAGTATCCTCTGCTAGACAAAATATATATGACTTATTCCAATTTAGAAGCTTTAGGACCTTCTACAATTTATTGACTACAGTGAATTCATAATGATCAGTGTACAGAGGACATCAATACTAAAATTAAGCAATTTATCTGTTAATAAAAGTTAAGGAAAAAATGACACTTAGGATGACTCTAAGGTAGTATGAGTACTGCTTGAATCTTTGAAAATTAAGCAATACTGAGAAAGTAAATATAATTAGGGGATTAAATGAGAAATTTTAAAATATAAAAAGAACAGGGCTGTGAAAAAATTTTCGTTGCCTTACTCTATTGTTGGCTCTTAAACTTTGGTTCCTGTTTTATGCTGTGCATTTTACCACAACAGTCAGCGAACAGGATTCATATATTTAAAATTTTTCTGTTTGTATTCAACAGAACTGTGAAGTGCTTCAGGAAGTGGATGAATATGATTTTATCTTGGTGAATGCTATTGTACTAACATAATGTCTAGTCATGGCAAAGCATGTTTATCAAGACGTACTGCAATACCCATAATTAAATTCATGCCAGAGAGAAGCAAATTTGTTTATCCTGAAATTTATTTGCTCATGTCAAATTTCTCTACATCTTTTCCAGTTTGGTCCTAGATGGCTGCATTTTTTTTTTCTTTGCTACAGTGAAGTCAGTTTCAATAGTTGACATGAAGTAAACAGACTTTGAATATTTAGTAATTGTGAGAATTCCCACAAGATCGTTCTCCACTTACTTCACCTCTTTGTCTTGGGTTTTTGTTTGTTGCCTAAATTCTTTGCATGGCATTTTTTCCAATTGACAATGTCAGAACAGAATCATTCCTTGCTCGCTCTTATTCTCCTGAGTGTGAGTCACAATATAACTGAACTAGTAATACATTACCTTGTATTAAACAATTAAAAAAAACAAAACTCTACTAAGTCTCCATCCTTCTGTGCCCAACTCCCTCCCTTCCTCACCAAAGATATATTACAGCAATTGTAAGGAACAGTTTGTCTCCTTGAAAGCAGAGGACAAACAAGGATACTGGCTGCCATGTTCCTTTTAGCTTACAACTGGATAGGTATGAAGTAATAAAGATGAGCAAAAGCAATGAACATGTGTGTACAGCCTAATATAAAAATAACATTTTACCAAATTATAAAAGTTCCTTTTTTCTGAATAGTTCAATTTGTTTTTATATGTATTTTTATATATATCCTATTTATAGTTACATCAGCCTTTAGAGGAAACAAAAGAATATTATTTGCACTCCTTTGCTAACAGGAGGAAACAAAGGCACCAACTGATAAGGAATTCCCTTGGGATTATGCACCATGATAGTCACAAAAGAGAAGTTTAAACCATTGGACTTCCAGCCTGGTTGGCTGGACACTAAGCCACTTTGCTTCCTAATATATATTTTTTCTCAACCAGAAAAACAAACAATGCCTTCAGTGAGCTGGTACTTTAAGAGGGTAATAAAGGTCTAAAGAGGCTAAACTTCAGTAGAGGCACAGAACAGAATATCTAACTTAACCTTTTGTTGGCATATTTCCAAAGGCAGAGAAATGCTTTATAAACTAAAATAACTCTGCATACAAAGAAATGACTTTCATTTGTCTCACTCACTGCAGATACAAATATAATCTGCTCCTATTTCCCTATCTGCATTTTCTCCTTAGTTACAAACTCAGCTTTAAAATCATATTATAGTTAAATATTAAAATATATCAAGAATATATGAGATACTTATATATGACTATCAATGAAATGGTCATCATTTAAGTGATGGAGTTAATGCACATGAATCTCTTCTAAGAAAAGAATGAGGATATATTTAGAGCTATTTAACATAAAATTGTACACCTGGAGGCAAACTTAGAGATGTACTGAAAATAACAAAGTCCTGAATGGTGAAGTGAGTTTCCCAAGGTTATATCACATCCTCATATCTATCTATCATAAAAATAATTAATAATAAAAATTAGTTGTCTTGCCTCTGTATTATAAAGTTAAGTTTGAACATAAGATAATAATATATTTTTAATTCTATGGGCTTCTGAGAAGACCTGATAGACAGTGGCGTGATAATTTCCCATTTAATAGTATATTTTGGAGGAAGTTTCTTTTAGAAAATGTTTTCATTTATTAGTAGCAGGAAAATCAGGGCTTTTAATCTCTCTTTTTCTTTGTAAGGATGAGTGTATATATGTGTGTGTATATATATATATATATATATAGCACATATTTTAGAATCTTAGAGATTATAGGTATATTGTCTTAAAGGAAAAAAATTAAGTATTGAGGAATTAATGAATTATTCATAAAGTATTGAGGAATAAATAAATTATTGTACTCCAGGTATAATAATGAAGAGAAGAAATATGAACATGAAACAGTAACTTAGGCAAATCATATAAAAACACCAGTTCAGTCATTGTATTTAAAACAAAAGTTTGTCGTTTGCATAGGTATAACTAACAGACAATCAAGTTGAAGATGTTTAAAGACAGATAAGGAAAGGTCTTTTTTGAGAAGCAGTAGATTTGAAACTATAGCTAGCAGTGTCTTTGAAACTACAGCTTTAGTGTCTTTAAGCAGAGGAGACAGGTAGATTTTTTTTTTAATTGTTCTGGCAACAGATAGGGACAGATAGGGGAAAGTCTGGAAAAGAGAAATATTGACAACAGATCATCTAAAATGTAAATTGTAATGATTCAGGCAAGAAATGATGAGAATCTGAACAAAGATTGTAGTGGTGGGAATAGAGGGAAGAAATATGAAATAACATATGTTTTAGTGGGTGAATATATAAGAATTTTTCATGCTGGAATATGGTCTGTGAAGAACATAAGAGGCATCAGGAATGAAACTGACATGTCTGGCTGAATGGATACTCTTATTGAGATAATACAGGAGAGATACATTGGAATGAATATATATGTACATATATATATAGACATATTATACATATGTATATAACGAGTAAAATATGTGATATATTAAGTTTTGGTTGCAAGTGGTTTATTGAATTAGAAGTATTCAAATAGTGGCTGGTTTGGAACTCAGGAGAGAGAACAAAAGAAGAGAAAAATATTTGAGGATCACCAGTTACTTGTTGCAAGAAGCAACTCTTATGAAATTATTTATGTGAATGTGAATAAAGAAATGCAAGAGGGGCAAGGACAAAACCTCAGAGAATATTAAAATGTGTTAACACATGTTGAAAGTGGCATCAATAAATGAGACAAAAACAGTATTTTCAGGTAGACAGTAGGTAAACTAAACAAACATGATATCCCTGGAATTCATGGCATGAGAGTTTTAAAAAGTTAAAATAGTAAACAAGAACAATCTGTTAACAAGAATCAAATAGATTGATGATTAAATAGAGAGCATTAAATCTGGCAATTTGGAGAACATTATAAATTTAATAAAAGCATCTCTAGAAGAATGAAGGATGGAAAACAGTTATTATCTTAGTCTGTTTTCTGTTGCTATAAAAACTACTTGAGACTGGTTAATATATAAAGAAAATAAATTTATATCTTACAGTTCTAGAAGCCAAAAAGTCCAATATCAAGGGGCTGGTATCTGGTGAAGGCCTTTTGCTATGACATCCCATGGCAAAAGAGAGCATGCCAGTTTAGGCCTCTCTTCCTCTCCTTTCAGAGCCATGCAGTTTGAAGGCAGGTAGCCTACTTTTATACCTTTATATCCCAGGCTAGATTTTGTACATTGTTATGTATATACCATACAAGAAATACTATGTTTCTTGTACATCATGATAGAGATCATCACATGGGATAGAAGAAAAGTGTCACAGCTCAAGTCTTTCTCTTCTTTTAAAACCACAGAACAGAGGTCTCAGAAATAATGCCACACATCTATAACTATCTGATCTTTGACAAACCTAACAAAAACAAGAAATGGGGAAAGGATTCCCTATTTAATAAATGGTGCTGAGAAAACTGGCTAGCCATATGTAGAAAGCTGAAACTGGATCCCCTCCTTACACCTTATACAAAAATTAATTCAAGATGGATTAAAGACTTAAATGTTAGACCTAAAACCATAAAAACCCTAGAAGAAAACCGAGGCAATACCATTCAGGACATAGGCATGGACAAGGACTTCATGTCTAAAACACCAAAAGCAATGGCAACAAAAGCCAAAATTGACAAATGGGATCTAATTAAACTAAGGAGCTTCTGCACAGCAAAAGAAACTACCATCAGAGTGAACAGGCAACCTACAACATGGGAGAAAATTTTTGCAACCTACTCATCTGACAAAGGGCTAATATCCAAAATCTACAATGAACTCAAACAAATTTACAAGAAAAAAACAAACAACCCCATCAAAAAGTGGGCGAAGCACATGAACAGACACTTCTCAAAAGAAGACATTTATGCAGCCAAAAGACACATGAAAAAAATGCTAATCATCACTGGCCATCAGAGACATGCAAATCAAAACCACAATGAGATACCATCTCACACCAGTTAGAACGGCAATCATTAAAAAGTCAGGAAACAACAGGTGCTGGAGAAGATGTGGAGAAATAGGAACACTTTTACGCTGTTGGTGGGACTGTAAACTAGTTCAACCATTGTGGAAGTCAGTGTGGCGATTCCTCAGGGATCTAGAGCTAGAAATACCATTTGACCCAGCCATTCCATTACTGGGTATATATCCAAAGGATTATAAAACATGCTGCTATAAAGACACATGCACACGTATGTTTATTGCGACACTATTCACAATAGCAAAGACTTGGAACCAACCCAAATGTCCAACAATGATAGACTGGATTAAGAAAATGTGGCACATATATACCATGGAATACTATGCAGCCCTAAAAAATGATGAGTTCATGTCCTTTGTAGGGACATGGATGAAGCTGGAAACCATCATTCTCAGCAAACTATCGCAAGGACAAAAAACCAAACACCGCATGTTCTCATTCATAGGTGGGAATTGAACAATAAGAACACTTGGACACAGGAAGGGGAACATCAGACACCGGGTCCTGTTGGGTTGCGGGAGGGGTGAGGGATAGCATTAGAAGATATAACTAATGTAAATGACGAGTTAATGGGTGCAGCACACCAACATGGCACCTGTATACATATGTAACAAACCTGCACATTGTGCACATGTACCCTAAAACTTAAAGTATAAAAAATAAAAAAAAATAAAAAAACTACCAGTCTTATTATGGGGGCCTCATGCTGATGACCTTATCTAACCCTAATTACTTCTCAAAGCCCCCACCTCCAAATTCCATCAATATATGAATTTGGGCATTAAATTTCCAAAACATGAAATCTGGGAGACAACTTCAAACTATAGCAGTTATTTTAAAAATGTATTTTCACAAATTATTTTTATATGCAGAGTTGGCTATAGCAAGTTAGAAAGAATTAGCTGACAACATTGTTGTTGGGATGTAAAACTGAATAGTATGTCAAAAATAGAGTATACCGTCAAAGTTATCAAAAAAAAGTCAGCAAAGAGTTATCTTTAGGGAGAAGGTGATAATTGTTTCTAATGGTCTGTAAATTAAGTGACATTTCTGTAGAACATAAAAGCAATCTTTTCAATTCACTGAGTCATTTTGCTTTATTTGTATTTTTTGAGTTCTGTATGTTTCTTGTGCACTCTAAGAAAAATAGAGATCTAGATTTATGTGAATGAGATGGAGAGACTTGGGTAGTTTATCCTGAATGAACTTTGGTACAGGAGCACAGGTCAGACAGCTGGCCCAATAGACAGTTAATGCTGCACACTTGAGGTGGAATTAATGTTTTTCTGTCGTATTTTCCTTTGCACCTGTGCCTAGGTTTTCCACTTTCAGAAGGCCTTTAGCAAATTTGAATCTGTATTTGTATACATCCAGTTTATGAGGGAATGTACTGAAGAGTCTACAGTAGATGGTATATAAAATCACAAGGCTGAATAAAACTGAAGTCTGCAGTTACTAGCTTTTCTCCTTTCCCAATTTCCTCTTCATACATCTTATTCATACACCAGGTTTTCACTGGGCAACTGGTGTATACATAGCACTGTACAAAATCTGGTTAGAGGCAGGCTGCTGGCCTTCAAACTGCATGCAGTCTAGGTGGGATAATGAGGTACCCTCAGGCTAAATAAGACAAGACAGAATATCATTTTGTGCAAATGGGTGTGGCAGGTGATGAATATTATGATGAAATATAGGTTAGTCTCACTTACTCTACTTATGATTTCTTGAACTAAGGAGATTGACCAAACCACAATGAGCCGTATTATTTTCAATTTATGAACCTTTGTCACAGTAGGACATTGACAACAAAGCATTCCATATTCTTAAGAGTGTGAATTTGTTGGAAGACTACATCATATCATTGAGGACACTAGATAATGATTAAGGAATATGGACTCTAGTCCGAGCTCTGTTAAAAACTCAGAAAAGCCAGGTGATTCCTTAATGTATTAAGGATTTAGTTGTCTTTTCATTAAAAGTTTATGACTCAATCATATGTAAGAATCTCTCCAACTCGAAGCTTACTCAAATTACAAAAGCTAGGCCAGAGGTTATTATTTTCTAAAGGAAATAGTGTTAGACTAGGTTAATTAGTTGTTCTTGCTGTTGTTAATGAAATTTCCTGGAATGTAACATAAAATTCTCGCATTATAAATATTCAGTTTGGTGAGTTTTTGCAAATGTTTACATACATGTAGCCAGCACTGAGTCAAGCTATAAAACATTTCCAGCACTCCAGAAAGCTTCTTTTCCCTCTTTACAATAAACATTTCCTGCCTACCTTACACCCTGCTTCAGACATCATGAATCTGATGTATATCTAATCATTACCTAAAAATTAAAAGTTAAAAAATAAATGAACCTACCATTATGTCCAAAAACAATAAAATATTACTGAAGTTTTTCTACCCTAAGCCAGAATTCCATCTTCCAGCAATGCTTGACCTCTAGTATATTTGTTTTGTTCTCAACCCTGTAGCAACACTTTCCAGTATCTATTTTATAGTCTCACTCCGTGTGTTCATAGCCCAGTCCACAGCCAACCATTCCCAGGAGACCTATTCACATGAATTTCTGTGGCTCCAACACTGTAACTTCCTTCTTACCCAGAAAGAAAGCCTGAGCTACCGTGATGCTCACTTGAGTCTCCTTTCAGGGATCAGAGTGTTCCTCGCCTTGCAGTCCAATGCCTGAAAACAATGGGCTCATTTATATATATTTTTCTCCAGCTTTATGTTTGTTTACTGTAAAAGTAGCAGTCTAATACCAGTTATGAATCACAGGTTGCAGCAGAAAATCTAAGTTAGCTTTTAAAGCATTTGCTAGCATCATTTAATGCCATGAGCTTGAATACATCACCTGAAACCCAGTTTCCTAATTTATAAAATGATGCAAAATTCTTCATACTAAATCCATTATATTATCTAAATGAGCTACCTTTTCTACCAAATATTACCCTTTCAACATACATCTGTGAGAGCAACATTTGATAGAAGATATATCAACTATGTTTAGGATTTAATTGTGCAATTGTAAAACTGAGGTTAAACTAGAGTATACGTGAGTCATCATACATCCATATTTTCAAAATGTGTCATGAACTTGTCTAATGCATAGATTTATTCTCTTAATATCAATAATGTTTCACAAAGTTATGTTGTCATTGAGGAAACTTAAAACATCACCACATGTTATAACATTATGCTTTAACAAAAAGAACGATGAAGTCCTACATTATCCTGACACATCTGACAGAAGCTGCAGTTTGATATGAATCATCCCACCAACACAAAAGTAGCATGATAAACAAAAATTAACTTACTTGTTCTTCTGTGAAATTAATACAAATTTGAAAGAAAATTATTAGTTTGCTCTGACAGTCTAAATACATATTTCTCCAGCCAAAAAAATAGAGGCTTAACCAATGCTTTCCTCGAATCAAATTTATTTCAAATATAATTATTCAACTAGAATTATCTGGGATCATTAAATTCCCACTTCAAAGTTACAAGATCATAAAGAAAAAAAGAAAAAAGCAACTCAGAGAAAAAAAAAATCTAACTTAAAGATTGCCAGGTAGTGAAACTTTATATTTTATTTTCACAGAGACAGGGTCTTGCTCTGTCACTGAGGCTGGAGTGTAGTCGTATGATTATAGCTCACTGCAGCCTTGTACTCAAGGTCTCAAGATCCTCCAGCCTCAGCCTCCTGAGTAGCTGGGACTACAGGCACTAATCACTACACTGGGCTAGCTAATTTTTTTTTTTATTTTTTTTATTTTTTATTTTTTTAGAGACAAGATTTCCCTTTGTTGCCCAGGCTGGTCTCAAACTCATGGCCTCAAGCGGTCCTCCCACCTCAGCCCTCTCAAAGTGCTGGAATTACTGGCATGAGCCACCATGCCCAGTGTAAAACTTTATATATTGAATCTTACTGTGATGAAAATGCTTCCTTCTTAGTTGACTGAGGTTTTAGTTATCTTGATTTTGTGATATCTGGTGGGTGTACTTTTCTAAGCAACGTGGTAGATACAAGAGGTATAATAATTAGTACCTGTCCTTAGCTATTTATAATGTTATTAATGACATCAAAAAGGATTTGCATACTTTAAAATCTGCATATTAGATGGCAGATATCTTAGGTAAATTACATGCTTAATGTCAAGTATGTAGTAGAGGCAACAAGTATTATATCTTCAACATTCATATCTACACCTGTTAACTGTGACCCTCATTCCTCTTCAATTCAGTCATTTAAGCAGCAGATTCAAATTGGTAGCATAGCAACAATAAAAACTCTTTAACCTGCAAAATTTTGAATTTGCAATGTTGTCTTTCGATTTTTTTAAATCACAACTTTACTCTCTACCTAACTGGTCTACCTCTTCCTGGCTACAGGCATTTCTGTATTGTTGCTGCATGTCACAGTCAGTAAATATGTCTATCCAAAGGCCAATTTTCTAGTTACTGGTGAGGGGCCAGAAATACATTATTTTTATTCTATCTGAGTTAACTATTATTAAAAAAAATAGACTTGCAAACTATGGCTAAGCTTCAGTATAGGCCCTCAGAACCTGGGCTGCTCAAATAGGGGTCACCAGCACATTAAATATCAAATTAGAAGCCAATGGCACATAGCACTAAGGCCTAAAGGCAAATAACTTGATCATAGTTGCATTATAGTGTTTTTAATGTCTAAGACCTATAGACTTCAACTATTTTAGAAGACAGCCTTAAGACAAAGGGGAAAATAACTTACTTTTAAGCAGTATTAGCTGAGAAGCCTTAGACGACAAAAACAAGATTGTTTCATAATCTCCTAACCAGTTTAATCAAGTGTTTTAATCATTTAGTTACTCAACAAAAATTATTTGTCCTGTCACTATGTAAAACACACAGATTATGATAGCTACAAAGCCCCAAATCAAACTGGTGGTGTTCATTGCATAGCTGAAAAATCACAGACAGATTTAGAAGGGACTTATTCCTCTAGAATCAAAATAGACATGTCAAACCTCATTCCTGGATAATATTTTTTAACATCTGCCTATACATCAGCTTCTTCATCTGTATGTGGTGATGATAATTTTATCTGCCTCATAATACTGCAAAGATAAAATAAGAACATATATACTAAGTTATTATGAGAGTTCCTGTACTATATAAAGTATATAATGTATTTTGGCTATTGTTATTGTCACTATCATCATTCTAGTAAAATATTACAATAATACTAATAATTTAGTAGATAAAGGGAGTTATAAATAAATTTATTCCTAAGTCAGATAAGTTTCATAGAGAACATAGCACTTGAACTGAGACTTAAAGGATATATAGAAGCTTTTCAGATAGATGAATAGAGAGGAAACAAGAACAGGCCAGAAGAGCAGTTAGGAACCTGTCACAACATCTGTAGGGAAATGATGATGCATGCCTAAAATAAGAGAGAAGGAGATAAACTACAGATATATTTATAATGGCGAATACTGACACGAGGTAAGGTTGATAAGATGTTGCAGGAAATAAACAGGAAGAACCTCCAAGACTCTTGGTTTTTGGCTTACGTAATATGGATAATTTTTTATTGAAATTGGTTACATAAGTAAGGAAGTCACAGATTAAAAAATTTGGAAGGTGACTAATATAGTCTGGATCATACTGAATTTACATGTCTGCAGGCTGTTTTGTTTGACATATCTAATTGAATGCTTATGAGGTCAGGCAGGTAACGTAAATGAAGGCGTAGCCATGGTCTGACTGTGCCATATTGAACAACACGTTTTCCTCTAAAGGGCACAAATATGACTCAGCTCTAACGGATGGTTGCCATGCTAGAATATTGGGCCATTTTTGCTGTACCTTCCCATTGGTTTTCAAGAAAATTTATAATCTAAGTTTAAAGGTAGAATTCCCAGACTGAATATAGTATATTTTTAATTGGCTCTCCACCACCCCCCACCCACATAAAATGCCAGTACTTCACATTCATCGTTAACATTTCTAGATTGTGACTTCTCATGTAGATCCACCCATCCAGCCATCCATCCATCCATTGATTATTCAGAACATACTAATTAAATGCCTCCTCAGCTCCAAGAACTGTTGTAGGTGATAGGTAGATATGGATGAGTAATTGAGGATATGTGGAGTTAACATTGTGGAAGTTGAAAATATTGCCTAAGAAAATTGCATGAAGAAAGAAATAAATGATTTGAGTGGGTACCTGGGGAAACATCAATGGGAAAACTAAGGAGTGCTCATAAAAAGAATAGAAAGAGAATCAGGAGGAATTTGCAGGATAGAAAATGATAAAATAATTTTCAGAAAGATGTAGTGGTGAACAGAAGCGAACACTACAAAAAGATGAGAATAATTGGAATAAAAAGGTATAGTTGGTTTGATAATAAGTGTGTCAATGAAGCCCTTAGAGAAAACAGCTTCAGAGAAGTAACCCAGACAGAAGCCATATTTTAGGAATTGGAGAATGAATGGAAGGTGGAGAAGTAGACATCATGAACATAGGTTATTTTTTCTAAAGGCTTGACTATGAAGGAAAGGAGAGAAACAGCGTAGGTAGTGTATGTAGTTGAAAACGTAGGGTTAAAGGAAGAATACTTTGTCAAGACGTGTAAAACTTGAGCATAGTTTTATACAGAGTCAGTGACAAGCACGGGATAATGATACACAAATTGAGGGCGGAGGGTGGGGGGAACTTATAAACTAGGGCTGCAGAAGAGGACCTACTTTCTAGCAACAAAGAGAGTGTTTTCTCTTAATCTTTTGTTATAACCACCAAATGTTAGCTCACTAGGTGACTTACACCATTCTTACTCTACTTATTTATCTGGGACTACTCAATTTCACTCAAGAAAGATGAAAACTTATATATGTGGAAAAAATAAACAAGAGTATCTGAAGAGATTTGAATTGTCTATTTTGTACCACTTAAATGTGTAATTTGGATCCACATTTTCCCCTTTGACTGCAACGTCTTTACTCTACCAATCTGTTGTTTTTCTTTGCATCTCCAACATTCTCAGAATAGATTGTTCCTGATTTGAGGTAGGTTGCTCAACCTCTGCTTCTTTATCTATAAAATAGCCACAATCATAGCTATCTTCTAGAGACTTATACGTGATTTCTTGTTTTTTTGTTTCTTTGTTTTGTTTTGTTTTGTTTTTTGTTTTTTGAAATGAGATATCACATGTAAAGTACAACTGCTAATAACTAGACCCAGGAACTAAATATTATTATTTTATCTGAAGTTGATCATGATTGAGAAGTACTAACTTTTAATAATCAAATTTACAATAAACTGAGTCATAAACCAGATGTTGATTTATGAGCTGTTATCTGACTGAGAGAGATAAGTACGGAACCACCAGGTCATGTTCAGCCAGACTTATCTCTCAGTAAACCAATAATTCACAAAACAGTGTCTGCTTTAGGACTCAATTTATTTTAGGTTTAATTATTAGAAGTTAGTACTCTTCAGTTATAATCAACATCAGATAAAATGATAATATTGAGTTCCTGGGTCTAGTTATTAACAGTTGTACTTTATATGTAATATCTCATTTCAAAAACAAAGACAAAACAAAATAGGAAATCACAGTTAAATCACTAGGACATAGATGTGCTTATGGATATTTCATAGATAAGGAAACAGAAGTTAAGCAACCTACCCCCAGTCATAAGCTAATCAGAGATCTACTGGAAGACACAAACAGGTTTACACATTTTTATCTAATTTTTTAATTATACTTTAAGTTCTGAGATACACGTGCAGAATGTTCAGGTTTGTTACATAGGTATACATGTGCCATGGTGGTTTGCTGCACCCATCAACTCATCATCTGCATTAGGTATTTCTCCTAATGCTATCCCTCCTCTAGCCCTCCAACCCCTGACAGGCCCCACTGTGTGATGTTCCCCTCCCTGTGTTAATTTGTTCTCATTGTTCAACTCCCACTTATGAGTGAGAGCATGCAGTGTTTGGTTTTCTGTTCCTGTGTTAGTTTGCTGAGAATGATTGTTTCCAGGTTCATCCATTCCCTGCAAAGGACATGAACTCATCCTTTTTTATGGCTGTGTAGTATTTCATGGTGTATATGTGCCACATTTTCTTTATCCAGTCTACCCTTGATGGGCATTTGGGTTGGTTCCAAGTCTTTGCTATTGTCAATAGTGCTGCAATAAAAATGTGTGTCCATATGTCTTTGTAGTAGAATGATTTCTAATCTTTGGGCATATTTCCAGTAATGAGATTGCTAGGTCAAATGGTATTTCTGGTTTAGATCCTTGAGGAATCACCACACTGTCTGCCACAATACTTGAACTCATTTACACTCCCACCAACAGTGTTATAGTGTTCCTATTTCTCCACATCCTCTCCAGCACCTGTTGTTTCCTGACTTTTTAATGATTGCCATTCTAACTGGTGTGACATGCTATCTCATTGTGGTTTTGATTTGCATTCCTGTAATGACCAGTGAGGACTTCATCTGTTTGTTGGCTCCATAATTGTCTTATTTTCAGAAGTGTCTGTTCATATCCTTCACCCATTTTTTGATGGGGTTGTTTGTTTTTTCTTGTAAATTTGTTTAAGTTCCTTGTAGATTCTGGATATTAGCCCTTGTCAGATGGATAGATTACAAAAATTTCTCCCATTCTGTAGGTTGCCTGTTCACTCTGGTGATAGTTTCTTTTGCTGTGCAGAAGTTCTTTAGTTTAATTAGATCCCATTTGTCTATTTTCGCTTTTATTGCCATTGCTTTTGGTGTTTTAGTCATCAAGACTTTGCCCATGCCTATGTCCTGAATGGTATTGCCTACGTTTTCTTATAGGGTTTTTATGGTTTTAAGTCTTATGTTTAAGTCTTTAATCCATCATGAGTTAATATTTGTATAGGTGTTAGGAAGGAGTCCAGTTTCAGTTTTCTGCATATGGCTAGCCAGTTTTCCCAACACCATTTATTAAATAGGGAATCCTTTCCCCATTGCTTGTTTTTGTCAAGTTTGTCAAAGATCAGATGGTTGTAGATGTGTGGCATTATTTCTGAGGCCTCTGCTCTGTTCCGTTGGTCTATATATCTGTTTTTGTACCAGTACGATGTAGTTTTTGTTACTGTAGACTTGTAATTTGAAATAGATAGACCACCATCCAGACAAAGAAAGGAGAGAAGAACCAAATAAACACAATAAAAACTGATAAAGAGGGTATCACCACTGATCCCACATAAATATAAACTACCATCAGAGAATACTATAAACACCTCTACACAAATAAACTAGAAAATCTAGAAGAAATGGATAAATTCCTGGACACATACACCCTCCTAATACTAAACCATGAAGAAATCAAATCCCTGAATAGACCAATAACAAGTTCTGAAATTGAGGCAGTAATTAATAGCTTACCAACCAAAAAAAAAAAGCCCAGGACCAAACAGATTCACACCCGATTCTACCAGAGGTACAAAGAGGAGATGGTACCATTCCTTCTGAAACTATTCCAAACAATAGAAAAAGAGGGACTCCTCCCTAACTTACTTTATGAGGCCAGCATCATCCTGATACAAAAACCTGGCAGAGACACACAAAAAGAGAAAATTTCAGGCCAGTATCCCTGATGAACATCAGTGCGAAAATCCTCAGTGAAATACTGGCAAACCGAATCCAGCAGCACATCAAAAAGCTTATCCGCCACAATCAAGTCGGCTTCATCCCTGGGATACAAGACTGGTTCAACATACGCAAATAAATAAACATAATCCATCACATAAACAGTGTAAAAGCTATATTCCATTTTTATATTCCAAACTTACAAAAATTATTAGTGCACATGACAAAAATTACACGTTTATCTCAATCGATGCAGAAAAGGCCTTCAATAAAATTCAACACCCCTTCATGCTAAAAACTCAATAAACTAGATACTGATGGAACATATCTCAAAATAATAAGAGCTATTTATGACAAGCCCACAGCCAATGTCATACTGAATGGGCAAAATCTGGAAGCATTCCATTTGAAAACCGGCACAAGACAAGGATGCCCTCTCTCACCACTCCTATTCGACATAGTATTGGAAGTTCTGGCCAGGGCAATCAGGCAAGAGAAAGAAGTAAAGGGTATTCAAATAGGAAGAGAGGAAGTCAAAATGTCTCTGCTTGCAGATGTTTGTATATTTAGAGAACCCCACCATCTCAGCCCAGAATCTCCTTAAGCTGATAAGCAAATTCAGCAAAGTCTCAGGATACAAAATCAATGTGCAAAAATCACAAGCATTTCTATACACCAATAATAGACAAACAGAGAGCCAAATCATGAGTGAACTCCTGTTCACAATTGCTACAAAGAGAATAAAATATACCTAGGAATACAACCTACAAGGGATGTGCAGGACCTCTTCAAGAAGAACTACAAACCACTGCTCAAGGAAATAAGAGAGGACACAAACAGATCGAAGAACATTCCATGCTCATGGATAGGAAGAATCAATATTGTGAAAATGGCGATACCACCCAAAGTAATTTATAGATTCAATGCTATCCCCATCAAGCTACCGTTGACTTTCTTCACAGAATTAGAAAAAAAAAAACTACTTTAAATTTCATATGGAAGCAAAAAAGAGCCCGTATAGCCAAGACAATCCTAAGCATAAAGAACAAAGCTGGAGGCATCATGCTACCTGACTTCAAACTATATTATCTAAGTTTTTAACCATCAAATTAGAAGTGCAGTTCAGAGTCTGTATGTGGTGACAGTGCAAAGAAGAGATCAATTGTCTGGTGTCTGAGAAGCCAGCTGTAGTTTCTCAGTCTGTCATCCATCCATCTATCCATTCATTCATTTGTCCATATGATTTTCTCTGCTTGACTCTAAGCTACAACGTGATTGAGCAAAGGCACATCTAGGATCTGTCTGCAATACATTGCATTGACAGCACAGCCAAAAACCCCATTTCCTCAGAATTGGGAACTCTCCTAGGGTGAGAATCATATCTTACTTGTATTTCTGTATACATTCCCTTGCATAGAGTAGGCCCTAAGTGAAAAATTTACATATATATATATATGATCTGGTCCCCTTCCTCCTCTCCAACTTTTTCTTGCCGCTCTGCCTTTTAATCACTCATCTTCAGCTCCATGGATTTCCATTCTGTTTCTGGGACATGCCAAGCCTTACCCTAGTACGTTAGCAATTTTTCTTCCCCTTAGTTTGAATATTCTTTCTCTAGAAATGTTTAGTTTGCTAATTCTTGTTCATCACTTCTTAGCTATGACATGAAATCCTCAGAAAGGCCTTTCTTTTTCCTATCTAAAAGGAGACACTCTTCTACTTTCTAAGACATCACTCTGCTTCTTCCTTTATAGGTTCCTGTAAAATTACAGTCTCACCCTGTAGAGCTCTCCTAGCTATCAATGCATTTCCAGAATCTGCCTATCATTGTTTAATTCTAGAGTTTTACAGTATGTGTTTTGTTCTGTTTTGTTTAATTCCGTCCCGAGTTTATGATCGCTATCTGCAGAAAGGTTGCTATGCTGGAAGGTTATTACAAAAATGTTTTGATATTTAAAAATTCTGAACAAATTCTGTATCATTAGAACAGTACATGTTTCTTTAGGTATTTTCTTAGAAATAGAGGGCTAAAAGTATACATTTTCAATAATTATAATCTTCATATTTAACATATTGAAGTCTATTTTCTACTATTCATATTTCCTTTGTAATACGCTGCTCCTAAGCTGCTGCCTTTCTTTTTTTTTTTTTTGTACAAACTGTTATTTGTGGGTCACTTCAATTAACAAAAACCTTAAAGATGGCTAAAAAACTTACAGCATGGCCAGGTGCAAGGGCTCACCTCTGTAACCCCAGCACTTTGGAACGCCAAGGAAGGAGGAATGCTTCAGCCTAGGAGTTCGAGACCAGCCTGGGCAACATAGTGAGACCTTGTCTCTATAATTTTTTTTTCAGGTAGGTAGACATGGTGGCATGTGCCTATAGTCCCAGCTACTCAGGAGGCTGAGGTGGGAGCATCGCTTGAGCAAGGGAGGTCAAGGCTACAGTGGCTGAGACAGCACTACTACACTCCAGCCTAGGTGACAGATACTGTCTCATTAAAAAATAAAATAAAAAAAGAACGAAGAAAAAGAAAAAAAAATACAGGGAAAGTCTTAAGCGTTAAGAGTATCTGAGTCAGTGACTAAAAGACTGCACAGACTGTGATAGCAACACAGATCCTATATTTCCCGAAAACATTTGAGTTAAAAATTCACTGATATATTCTCAATCAAGAAAATCATCCTGTCTATAACCCATTTTTCTCTTCCTTAATTACATTTTTATATTCCAAACTTACAAAAATGATTAGTGCACATTATGAGCAAATTACTTTCCAACTTCATTTTAATTAACGATGCTATTTTTGGAGATACCAGAGCAGTGACACACATAACTCAAATAGCTTTGATATTTATATTTTTGTTACTCTCTTTTTATGTTAAAATGACTATTTTATTCTCTTAGAATTTATCAAAATCATGACTCTCCTGAGCTCCAAGTTAGTGTGCTAAGCTTTATTTTAGAGCAAATTTTTGTAGTTGAGAACATTAGGGGTTTATAACGGCTAAGTCAGCAGACCTTTAACTATAGTTATAATAAAGGGCATCTCAAGCAGAGAGATCATGCTCTCAGAAAAACCTCCACAGTAATATCTTCAAGCTAAAGAGGAACAAGAGTCCCTGATTGGCACTTTGTTACTTGAATGGTCCCCCACTGATGAGGCAGAAAGGACATTAAGGATGATTTTAGCACAATCTGAAATCTCGCTGATGCCAAACTTAAAGCAGTGAAAGCCGTAATGCCATTTCTAAAATATGCTCTGGAATCATGAAAGCTTTGCTTTCCAGGACACCCAGTACATATTCTTCTTCCTACTTATTACTTGTAAAAGACTCTCTTTATCATTATGTCTCCTCCTGTCTTCCACTGCTCAAGAAAAATAGGGAATCATCTTCATTTATATGTAGCACATCCTTTCTACCATTGATGCCACAATATAAATGAGTTTTATTAAAAATTAAAAATATTGGTTTTACCTTCCATCAGAATAAAAAGTGAAGTCTCATTCCCATTTTCAGTCTTGTTTTCTCACTCCCATTTTTCTTGTATTGTACTTCAGGACACTACTATTAACAGAAAGGCCACATTCTCAGAGACTTTAAATTGTGTCAGCCTTTCCTGAACTCTCAGTCATAAGACAATAACAGAAGGCAAAGGACTTTTCAAAAAAATAGGTGAGGAGATGCTATGCTCCACTGGGAATAAACCTTTTTCTTGATCTTGTGTCAGAATGATGCTGAGAAAAATATATGTGGTGTCTTATCATCTTACAGCACATGGCTCTTAAAAGTCAAAAAGGCTTTTATACATTGAGGAAAGTTACAGGCCTAGAGAATTACTCCACTGTATCCAACTCTGTTTAAAATATAAAATAACTAGGCATATCCTGCATGGCGTTCCCATGGCCGTTTGTCGGCTACAAAGCATGATTGTTTCCCCTTGTAATGCTAACTTTCAGGCTTCTGTTAGTATTTTTGGAAAGTAGAGAAGCATGTATTCTTAGTTGCCAAAAGCGGCTCCACAGAGCAGCATGCTTTGCAATTTGAAGGTTAAATTCCTTTCAAAGAGACTTGTTGGAGCTGCTCTTCTCACTCCTATTAACTAGTGGAACTGTCTGACCTTTATAAGTGCAAGTCAATATTCACACTGTCAGAGGAGTATCAGTGGGAGTAATCTTTTCAGTCCTGGAGAGAAACAGTTTGCCACAGGCAGATCATGACTAGAGAAGGGGAGTGGTGAACAGTGACATAAAACACTTTTAAGTTAATTCAAACAATGTCTTTGACACAGCCAGGAATTTTATCCAATTTTAGTTATAACAGTGCCTACTGGTCCCTCTAAACTGCAAAGATGTCATTTTGATATAATAAAGAGATAGAATTTAAAATGAAGCCTGTTAGGTTGACTCATTCCTTTTTTTCCTACCTGGGTTTTCCCCCAAATATATGCATTTCTGAAGGGCACTCAGAAATGAACATTATTATTTTTAATGGTTGCCAGTAATTCTCTTCTCCCTCCATGAAAAATCTGATACCGTGATGGAATTTTAATAATCTTGGGAGAGGGAATTCTAATTTTTTGCCTTTTGCACCACAAGTTGCTATAGGGTTTAAGTCCACAATATTTCTTTCAAGAAAGTTATTTTCCAAGGTGATGCTCACAAAAGAAAGATAAGGAAGGGGACACTATAATGTTGGTTTACATTCTGATTGGCTTTCTCTTGAATAATAAAGCATTATAATTGCATTTGCGATTACCTATATTATAGGTCTTATTTTAATTAAAAAATCTATTAGTAGGCTTATTTTGAAGATTGAGTGAACTGTTTGATTACTATTTCTATCAATAGGTAGAATATATTTTTAAAACAAAAGAAATCTTGAGTGTTACTTAACATGTTTTTGGTAGTGGCATTAGTGCAGTAAGTTTGAAACTAGTTTGATCATGTATAATAGAATTGAGCAAAAGATTTAATATGTTGATTTTGTTGGGAATTAGGTTTCTCACCATGAAAAAACAAAGACTTGAAAAACTTAAAGGAGCTCTCTTTGGACAAATTTAGGACACACTAAGTGTCAAAATAAACAATAATAGAAATACATTAAAGAAATAGCATCATTATTCACAATAGCCAATTTATGGATACAACTTAGTGTTCATTGATGCATGAATTGATAAAGAAATGTGTGTGTGTGTGTGTGTGTGTGTGTGTGTGTGTGTATTATTCAGCCTTATAAAACAAGGAAAGTCTGCCCTTTGCGGCAGGTAGATGAAATTGAAGGACATATGCTTTGAGAAATAAGCCAGACACAGAAAGACAAATATTGCATGAGATCACCTTTATGTGGAATCTAAAATAATCAAACAGAGTGAAACAGAGAGTAGAATGGTTGTGGCCAGAGTCTGGGAGGTGTCAGGGAAATGGGGAGATATTGGCCAAAGTGGGAAGATGTTGATCAAAGAGTACAAAATTTAAGCTGTAAGTTCTAGAGATCTAACGTATAATGACTATAACTTATAATAATATATTTTAGACTTGAAATTTGCTTAAGGAGTAGATCTTAAGGGTTTCCACTATACACGAAAAAAGTAACCATATTAGGTAATGCATATACTATTGTGAAAATCATTTTATACAAGGTACACTTATATAAAAATACCATGTTGCACATGTTAAATCTGCACAATCTCTTATTTGTTGATCATACATAAATAAAGCTGGAAAAATATATTTATCTCAGTCCATTTGGGATGCTATTACAAAATACCTTGGACTGGGTAATTTATAAATATCAGAAATTTTTTGCTCATAGTTTGGAAGCTGGGAAGTCTAAGATTAAGGTGCCAGCAGATTCAGTATCTGGTGAGAGCTCTGCCTAAAATATGATGCCTGTTGCTAGCCTCATATGGCAGAATGGGCAAACAGGCTGTCTTCCTTCAAGACTCTTTAGTGAGGGCATTGATCCCATTTATGTAGTCAGAGCCCTCACGATCAAATCACTTCCTAAAGACTCTACCTCTGAATACAACCACATTGAGTATTAGGTTACAAGGTATGAATTTTGGGGGAACACAAAAATTCAGAACATATCAATATTGAATTAAAGATCAATCAATGAAGGCATACTAGTAATTATTTTTACAAAATAAAAATAAAGATTTGGAGACAAGTATATTTTTTATATAAATACATAAGGTTTGCCAGGCATGGTGGCTCATGCCTGTTATCCCAGCACTTTGGGAGGCTGAGGCAGGAGGATTGCTTGAACCCAGGAGTTCAAGACCAGCCCGGGCAACATAGTGAGAGCCCATGTCTACAAAAAATTAAAAATTGGCTGGGAATGGCTTTTTGGTGCAATCATGTAGTCCCAACCACTCAGGAGGTTGAAGTAGGAGTATTGAGCCTAGGCATTTCAGGTTGCGATGAGCCATCTGGGTGACAGAGTGAACCTCACATCTACAAAAAATTAAAAACTAGTTTTTGGTGAACTCCTGTAGTCCCAGCTACTCAAGGAGGTTAAAGTAGGAGGATCGTTTGAGCCCAGGCTTTTGAGGTTGCAATGAGCCATGATCACACCACTGCACTCCAGTCTGGGTGACAGAGCAAGACCCTGTCTTAAAAAAAAAAATACATAAGGCCAAATAAACTATTAAATATAGAAGAAATTAAAGAGACAGCAAATCACCATTTCATAATCACCATAGCAATAATAGACTCACAAAAAAAGTTTTCAGTAGATGAAAATACAGTGAATAAAATATGTTTGAAAAACAAGATATGCATGTAGGCTCAATGCACTATTTAACAAATTACTTATTAACTGCAAAGGGAAAAAGCACTTTTTAGATAAATTTGGTGAAGAATATTTTAAGTGAGTTAACTTAATATTACCTGTAATATTAAACATTGACGTCATGTGCTTTGCAACGTGATGAACTAATAGCCCAAGTACCATTTGCACCTGAAATTCTTAACCAGAATTTAGAATTTAAGAAACAATAAGACAATTTAAATTAGAACAAATTCTGCAAACAAACAAACAAACAAACAAACTAGAATGGACTCTTTTAAAATATCAGTGTCTGTAATATTTATAAAAGCGAAAAGTTTGTGGGCAGTTTATAGTTTAAAGAAAACTAAAGAATAAACGAGAACTAAATAAAATGCACAAACTCTATTTGGATTCTATATTTTTTAAAAGTTCATAACATATATCATTGGCTTAATTGATAGTGGGTAGAATTTAATATAGGCTGTATATTAGATAATGTCATTGTATCAATGTTAAATATCCTTGGTAGGGCAATTTCATAGTGGTTATGTAAGAGAATGTTCTTCTTCTTAGATGATTAATGTTTCATGCTGAATTAATTAGGGTGAAGTGTCACAATATTTGCAACTAATCCTAAAATGGTTTATTAATAGAATAGAAAAGAGAGAAAAAATGTGATAATATATTAACAACTGACATATATAGTCAAAGGATATATGTGGTTCTCCTTTTGATATAAAATTTGTGAAAAATTCAAATGTTCAGTAATTTGTTTACTATGTTCTCTATTCCCTATGAAAGAATAAAATAATTTTATCAATTTTGTCATATAATCTGTGGATTACTTGCATTAAGATAGTTAACAACAAATTCCCAATAATGCAATCATTTACATAGACAATTAAAATAATCATAGAAATTTAGAGGTGCAAGGGTTTTGAGAGTTAGAAGACATAGAATCATCAATTCTCACTCTTTACATTAGTCTTTTGATCATTCTTTGTCTTTCCTGCATTGTAAATCTCTATCCATTTCTTTTCAATCAGGGTTCAATAAGCTCTAGTTTCCCTTAACATAAAAATCAAAAATAAACTCCTTTCCTCAACTTAAAGCCTGTCTGCTTATCCTGCTCTCCTCTGTCCAACTAAACCTCTGTTCACTCTCCTCAGCTGATTCTTCTTCTACACATGGCACCTACCACTCCAGGGAATCAACTCTTGTCAAGGACACTGATGTCCCCATTGCTGATCCTATAGGTAACTTCCAGTCCTCTTCCTTTTCTTGTGTACCCCCTAAGGCTTATTTAATAAGGTTAACCACTTCTTTCTTCAGGAGGGGGGAAAAAAGAGAGGGAACAAATAAAACAACTTCACTTAGCTTTCACAATTCTCTCATTATTTTCTTTCTGCTTATTTTAGATATTTTCTTATCAGTGTTCTTATCAGATTCTATTGCTTCCTGGTTCTTCAAATGGTTGGGTTTGTCAGATGTCTGTCCTAGCTGTCTTTTCTTCTCCTAAGGTCCATGGGAACTTTTATGTGACTTATATTTTCAAAAATCATCTATATGCTGGTGCCCACGAAATCTTGTCAAAATAAATATCTGTACTAATTATTCCAGTTTACTATAATGCACCTTCTTTTGATATCTTGCAAAGATTTGAAATTAAACACATCTGGCATTTTATACTTTCATTAATGTTTCCTATGTTAATGGAAATATTTTAATTAAAAATATTTATAAAGCACCTAGTATAGTTCAGCTATTTTCCAAGGAACTAGGAGTACATCAGTCAACAAGGAGATAGATTTTGTGTTTGTTTAAGTTCACACTTTTTATTAACTCATACACAATTACTTGTCTTCTGGTTTGCTGAAGCAGTAAGTCAGGCCACATTTGCCACAATAATGTCTATTAAAGTGAATGGCCATGAAAACTTCAGTACTGCATTCATCTGAAGGGCATTGAAGGTGATTAATTTTGCCATTCTTATCTACCTTATACTATTTCAGGAGAGCCAGCCTAACCTTTCTCTTATGCTTATTCTACTTGGAAGTGGTACAAGGCTTCTTCCTTTTCTCGGCACCACCAGGAAGTCTCAGCACAAGATGAAGAGCGGACTTATTTTTAATGTCCTAGTCAAAGTGCCCCCATCTTCCAGTTGCTTACCAGTAAAGATCGGTCTTGGCTGATCAGGAGGAATTCCTTCCTCATGCTAGATCTTGGCCTTTACATTTTCTATTGTATTGGAGGGTTCAACCTTACAGGTCTTCCCTGTAAGGATTTTTATGAAAATTTTACATTTTGGTGGCAGTTGCACTGTAGATGGCAAATCAAAAAAGGAAGAACAAAAGAGATAGATTCTTAACATGACAAATCTCACATTAAGTCATACAAGCCGGAAACCTGAATCACATGCTTAACGTATTCCTCTTCTTTACCACCCCATTAAATCAGCATATGCCCTGAATTCACTTTTTATTTGCTCATTTCTCTCCAAGAATAAAACATTCGTATTCTTTTTTGTCCATAATATTAGGTAATCACCAGAATAACTTTTAAACTCATGCCAATAAATTTGAATCCATGCCAATTGATCAATTACAACTTCATATTAGTAACTATGCTTCTGAAAGCCAGTCAATTAGTAGCAGCCAATTACCAATAGCCATGCTCCACACACCCTCACTTTTGGAAGTCTGCCAATTCCTGAGCATTTAATATTATTTCCTTTGTTTCACTTTGCTTCTGTATAAAATCAGCAATTTGTTTGGTTCAGAGATACTATATCCCTACATGCACAGCTCTCCCTTCAATAGTAGGAAGAAATTCAGTTTTTTAAAAAATATATTAAATGTTGGCTTTTTCTTTACACATTTCTATTCTCATTATTATTACTTTAAAGCATATCCACCTGAGTTATTGCAACAGTCTCTTCATTGGTCTACGGGCACAATCATTTTCTCTTTAATCCATTCTTCAAATCTCAAACAATTCACAATATGAGATCAGTATTACCCTGATAATAAAATCAGACAGAAGCATCATAAGAAAATAAAATTACAAACCAATATCCCTTATGAATGTACCTATAGAAGTCCTCAACAAAATATAAGCAAACTGAATCCAACAACATATAAAAATATCAGACAACATGACCAAATGGGGTATATCCCAGCAATGATGCACTCATTTTACATACGAAAATGAGTCAATGTACTTCGTATTAATGAAATAAAGGAAAAAAAGTGGTCATCTCAATTGATGCACAAAAGGCATTTGACAAAATCCAATACTCATTCATGATTAAAAACACTTGATAATACTAGAAATAGAATACAATTTCCTCAATCTTATAAAGGTATTTATAAGTTAACATCATGTTTAATATGATAGAACAAATACATTCCCCCTAAGATCAGGAATGAGAAAAGGATCCCTACTCTTGACACTTACATTTAACGTTGTATTGGGGTTCTAGTGAGGACAATCAGTTAAGAAGAAATAAACAGAATGAAAATTGTGATGAAAAAGTAAAACTATTACTATTTTTGCGTCATGAATGGCATGATCTGTATGGTCGTCCCTCTGTATCCCTGGGGGACTGGTTCTAAGAACACTGTGGATACCAAAATTGGCACATGCTCAAGTGCATTATATAAAATAACATAGTATTTGCATATGATCTACATCCTCCTTCATAACTTTAAATCATCTCTAGATTACTTAAAATACCAAATATTATGTAAATATTATGTAAAGAGTTATGCTATATTTTAATTGGTATTTTATTGTATCTTTTTTCGGAAAAAAAAAAATCCATGAAGGTAGAAGCTGTGAATACAGAGGGATGACTATACATGGAAAATCCAGAGTAATCCACAAAAACAAACAAAAATCTTTTAGAACTAATAAATTAGCTGTCAAGGTTCCAAGATATAAGATCAATATAGAAAATTCATTGTATTTCTAGACACTGGCAATGAGCAGTCGAGAAATAATATTAATAAAACAATTCCATTTACAATAACATCCAAACAATAACAAGGAATATATTTAACAACAGAAGTGTAATACCTGTACAATCAAAACTATAAAACATTATTGAAATAATTTAATGAAAACCTAAGTAAATGGGAATATATCATAAGGTCATAAATTGGGGGATTTATTGTCATTCAGATAGCAATATACCCTACATTGATTTACAAATTTATTGCAGTCCTTATAAAACCCCAATTATTTGCTATTACAGAAATTGACATGCTAATACTATAACCAAATCCATCTTGAAAAAAAACAAAGTTGGAAGACTCACATTTTCTGATTTCAAAACTTACTGCAAAGCTACAGTGATCAAAACAGTGTGGTACAAACATAAGGATAGATATATAGAACAATAAAATCTAATTGAGATCCCCCAATAAACCCATACATTGTGGCCAATTGATTTTTAACAAGGGTTCTATGACAATTTAATGGGGGAAATCATGGGCTCTTCAACAAATGATATTGGAACAATTGGATATCCACATGCCAAATAATGAAGTTATACCTGTTTACCTCATTCTGTATACAAAACTAAATTCAAATGAATAAATGGTGTACATTTAAGACTTTAAACTATAAAACTCTTAGAAGAAAACATATGGTAAAATCTTTGTGACCTTCGATATAGTTTCTTACAGGTTGATAACAAAAGAATAACAAAAGAATAAGTGATAAAAAATATGAATACATTGGGCTTTATAAAAATTAAAAAGTTGTGTTTGTCAAAGGACACAATCAAGAAAATGAAAACACATGACAGTTATATCCAGAATACATGAATAAATCTTATGTTTCAACAATAAAAGCACAAATTATCCCAATTAAAACACACAAAAGGACTTGACATTTTTCCATAGAGAATATAGAAATATCCAACAAACCCATAAAAGACGTTCAACTCCATTTATCACATGGGAAATTCATGTCAAAACCATGATGAGAAACCACTTCCCACCCATTAGAATGCGTAAAATTTTAGAAAAGATAGACCATAACAAAGAATATCGCGCCTGTGGAGGAAATAATATCCCTCATACACTGTTGATGGGAATAGAAAATGGTATAGTCACTTTGAAAAAAGTTTGTAAGTTCCTCAAAATGTTAAACCTAGAGTTACCATATAACCCGGCAAGTACACTCATAGTTATGTAACCAAGTGAAATGAAAACAGGTATCTGTACAAAATCTTGTCCAAGAATGTTTATAATGGCATTATTCAAAATAGCCAAAAAGTGGAAACAACACAAATGTCCATCAGCTGATGAATGGATAAACAAATGTCTATGGTCATACAATGGAGTAGTATTCAATTATAAAATCGAATGAAGTACTGATACATGCTACAACATGGGTGAGCTTTGAAAACATTATTCTAAATTAAATAATCCTGTCATGACAAACCACATATTATATGATCCCACATATCATGATATGTGATATGACATATCCCAAAAAGGCAAATACATAAAGACAAATAGATTAGCTGGTTTTCCGGGTGGGAGAGAGGAAGGAATAAACAGTGAGTGCTACAAGGAATGAGGTTTCTTTTAGGATGATAAAAATATTCTGAAATTAGATAGTGATGATGGGTAAACAAATCTGTGAATCTCCTAAAAACCACTAGATTATATATTTAAAGGATGAATTTTATGGTATGCAATTTATTTCTCAGTAATTATTATAAAAATAAAAACTAACCCAGAGTAATATATCTAAAATGAAAACTAACCTCATTAATCTTACCTTGTTTAAGATTTTTCAACAGCCTCCCCTTATCAGCTTCTGATAACCCCCACTACAACAATCCAAACTTCCCTCACTAAATGGTTTAATGAGGGACAACTGCTTACCCTGTCCCAAACTGAATCAGTCCACGAAATGTTTGTCTCTCTGTCTCTTTAACTTATTTCTTCCCTTCTCATTTGTCTAACAAATCTACTGATCTTTCAATGAGTTACCTTAGAGTCTTTTTCCTACTCTTAGAAGCACACTTACCTGACACAAGGCAAAAAAGGGTAAAAATTAATCGTATAAGTTACTGAATGTTTGCTGAGGAATTCTCTATATAAACTCATTTCCAAATCACTCTTAATGCCAAGAGAACACATAAACAATACAAGTAGTCAGGCTCACGTGGATAGCAAGAACAACCTAAGATTGTATGTTGTCACACCATAACTCCCTGTCTCAAGTCAGCCTGGTCCTAGAGAAAGAAATAAATGTATGGAATGGCCACAGCTTAGAATAAAAGGAATAAAGAGTACAGTAATGAAGCTCCACAGAAGATTACGAAGGCCCTGCTCTTAGTAATGCCAGTGTTTAGCTTCCAATCCTTGTTTAGACTCAGACTGAATTCTGAAATCTTGAGCATCGTATCCAAACTCCCTGAGATCAGGACATACAATCTTTATCTAATCTTAAATATTACTTCTACTTTTGTAATCCAAGAAAATATAGGTACTTTTCATTTTATTCTAGGATATCTTGTGCTTCTTGGCTCCTTTATATGTGCTTGCTCTGCTCTTTCTGTCTAGTTGACCCTTTAATTGATATTACTTGCTCACATTTTTCATTTTTTCTTCAGTCTGACATCTTACATCCTGCCTAAAAACATGACCAAATTGTTTTTGTCCTAAAATAAATATACATTGACTGCTGGTCTTTCTCTAAACCATTTTCCTACATTTATTCATGCAAAACATTATCTTATAGCATTATTGCCAGGAAGACAGTTGACTAGACATTCTAGAAAACAATTTTTCCCACTGTAGACATCCTAAAAAATGCTAAGGAAAATATAACCACAACTTTTGTGTTCTCAAGAAAATAAGATAATTCTACAGGTGGTGAGAGTGATGAAATAGAATACAATTTTGTTATGAGGATCCTGAAACCACAGGTGTCTTGAGGCTGTTTACAGATCTTATTAACCTTGAATCTTAGGAAAATAAAATCTTTCCTGAGATTTCACATGTGCGGGTCATTCTTTCTCTACTGGCAATTGAAATTTATTATTTATATTACTGATATGGTCCAGGAATGTTAAAACATTTACTTAAAAGTTGTTATTGCCTAGTGCTACCTAGAAGACACAAATGTAAATATTATCTGAAGGAGTTCAACATCAATTCAGAATGCATAAGATTCCCGCATGTAAAACCTACCATAGTTCAACTCACTATAGAAAATTTCCAAAAGTACAAACAAATGGAAGAACATTCCATGCTCATGTGTAGGAAGAATCAATATCGTGAAAAGTATTGGGCCATACTGCCCAAGGTAATTTATAGATTCAGTGCCATCCCCATCAAGCTACCAATGACTTTCTTCACAGAATTGGAAAAAACTACTTTAAAGTTCCTATGGAACCAAAAAAGAGCCCGCATCGCCAAGTCACTCCTAAGCCAAAAGAACAAAGCCGGAGGCATCATGCTACCTGACTTCAAACTATACTACAAGGCTACAGTAACCAAAACAGCATGGTACTGGTACCAAAACAGAGATATAGATCAATGGAACAGAACAGAGCCCTCAGAAATAACGCCGCATATCTACAACTATCTGATCTTTGACAAACCTGACAAAAACAAGCAATGGGGAAAGGATTCCCTATTTACTAAATGGTGCTGGGAAAACTGGCTAGCCATATGTAGAAAGCTGAAACTGGATCCCTTCCTTACACTTTATACAAAAATTAAATCAAAATGGATTAAAGACTTAAACATTAGACCTAAAACCATAAACACCCTAGAAGAAAACCTAGGCATTACCATTCAGGACATAGGCATGGGCAAGGACTTCATGTCTAAAACGCCAAAAGCAATGGCAACCAAAGCCAAAATTGACAAATGGGATCTAATTAAACTCAAGAGCTTCTGCACAGCAAAAGAAACTACCATCAGAGTGTACAGACAACCTACAAAATGGGAGAAAATTTTCGCAACCTACTCATCTGACAAAGGGCTAATATCCAGAATCTACAATGAACTCAAACAAATTTACAAGAAAAAAACAACTCCATCAAAAAGTGGGCGAAGGACATGAACAGACACTTCTCAAAAGCAGACATTTATGCAGCCAAAAAACACATGAAAGAATGCTCACCATCACTGGCCATCAGAGAAATGCAAATCAAAACCACAATGAGATACCATCTCACATCAGTTAGAATGGCAATCATTAAAAAGTCAGGAAACAACAGGTGCTGGAGAGGATGTGGAGAAATAGGAACACTTTTACACTGTTGGTGGGACTGTAAACTAGTTCAACCATTGCGGAAGTCAGTGTGGCAATTCCTCAGGGATCTAGAACTAGAAATACCATTTGACCCAGCCATCCCATTACTGGGTATATACCCAAAGGACTGTAAATCATGCTGCTATAAAGACACATGCACACGTATGTTTATTGTGGCACTATTCACAATAGCAAAGACTTGGAACCAATCCAAATGTCCAACAATGATAGACTGGATTAAGAAAATGTGGCACATATACACCATGGAATACTATGCAGCCATAAAAAATGATGAGTTCATTTCCTTTGTAGGGACATGGATGAAATTGGAAATCATCATTCTCAGTAAACTATTGCAAGGACAAAAAACCAAACTCCGCATGTTCTCACTCATAGGTGGGAATTGAACAATGAGAACACATGGACACAGGAAGGGAAACAACACACTCTGGGGACTTTTGTGGGGTGGGAGGAGGGGGGAGGGATAGCATTAGGAGATATACCTAATGCTAAATGACGAGTTAATGGGTGCAGCACACCAGCATGGCACATGTATACATATGTAACTAACCTGCACATTGTGCACATGTACCCTAAAATTTAAGTATAATAATAATTTAAAAAAAGAGCAGAGAGACATTGAATAATGGGGAAAAGGAGCCCCAAAGCCTGACTAATGATGATGTATGTGATGTTTACCCAAAATAAAAAGTCCAAGGTGAACTTACCACAAATGAATAATAAACACGAAGACAATCACCTTGCCTACAAAACAATAATCCTGAGTACATAAATAATAAAACAGCTTTTGGATATTTCAACTAAAAAAAAAAAAGAAAAAAAGAAAAAAAGAAAATTTCCAAAAGGAGAAATAGACAAGCCACCACGATTAAGAATTAACACAAAGAGGCCAGGCGCAGTGGCTCACGCCTGTAATCTCAGCACTTTGGGAGGCCGAGGCAGGCAGATCACGAGGTCAGGAGTTTGAGACCAGCCTGACCAACATGGTGAAACCCCGTCTCTACTAAAAATACAAAAATTAGCTGGGCGTGGTGGCACGTGCCTATAATCCCAGCTACTCAGGAGGCTGAAGCAGGAGAATCACTTGAAGCCGGGAGGCAGAGCTTGCAGTGAGCCAAGATCTTGCCATTACACTCTAGCCTGGGCAACAGAATGAGACTCCGTTTCAAAAAAAAAAAAAATAGCAGAAATAACAAGTAGCAAAATAAGCTCTTTATCCACAAACTTCAAATTTAAAAATTGGGAAAGAGAATATAAGCTAAGCATGTTCTAAAGATCTAACTAAATAAAATAGTTGAAGAGATAAATTAAGATGTTTTGAAAACATATCTAATATGCAGAATTATTAAAGCAGATTCATGTAATTTCTGACTAAGCAAATCTGCCAAAAAGTTGGTTTATACTAAATTATTTATTGAATGATTGCTAGTAATTGAATGATATTATAAACATATAAATATCAGTAATTAGAGGGCTAAACAGATAAATTAAAGTGTATCCACAAAATAGATTACTATGCATCTGAACCTTGTGCTATGCATCAGAAAGCTTCTTATGTACTGATTGGACACTATAGTCATATATTATTAAGTGCAGAAACAAGTGGAAGGGTAGTGTCTATTGTATGCTACCATTTGTGATAAACGAAAGGGTGAGGACACATATTTTAATTGCTTTATAGGTACAAAAAGGTCTCTGGTATATAGTATTAACAAAAAGTTATTATTAATAGTGGGCAATGGGAAGTGGATGAATGAAGTTCAGAAGAGAGTTTTCGTAATATATTTTTGTATGGTTCAAGGTCATGTCAGGAAAGATGTCAATCATGGTTTAACTGAAGATATACTTTTAACTAAGAGATTTTGGCCAAGTATCAGTAAAGTTGAATAAATTAACAAGGAATGTTGAGGAATCTGGAGATTAGTAACAGTGGAAAGCCATTATCATCCCTGCTATTGATGGAAAAATGGAGGACATAATTTTGTAGGGACTCAGTGAGAGCTGCTGGAAGAAAGGATGACCTGATCAGATCTGTGATTGTAGTGGGGCAGCAACTGAATCCCAAAGCCAAAGTAGAGAGAAGAAGGGAAACAACATTCACATCTCTGTTCCCTTTAGCCCTCCAATTGTCTGGTGCCTTTCACTGGACAAACTCAATCAGAAGTCAGATAACAAGGAAACCTGGTAATGTAGACCATAAGGGTATGCCCTGGAGCACAGAGCAGAAGAGAGAAAAAAATATATGGAGAAATGGATGACAGATGGTAATACACAGCAAAACCCCTTTTATAATGTTTTTGATGTTCAAATTATGTGACTTATTTACTACTTAACAACAATACATTTTATATAGAAGTACACATAGAAGAAATTATGATCTGGGAGTATTATCTTTTTAAGTAAAGTATTGATAAATGCAATACCATCAAAATTTAAAACTTTTGTTCATCGTAAAACACCATCACCAAGTTAAAAACAAAATCTTCATATTGAGAGGACAAATTTATAATGCACATAACTGACATCAGATTAGTAACAAGGATATACAATGATGGTCTTTTAATAACTGACTGAAAATTATAAACAACCCCAAACAAAAATGAGCAAATATTTTAAAATGCAATTTAAGGAAAATGAAATGAAATTAATCAATAAGCAGATAAAAAGCATGCTCAAGCTTGCTATTAATTATGCAAATGCAAATTAATATCAGAATTAGACACCATGCTGCATACAGATTTTTTTTTACACAAGAAGTCTGATGACTTTATGTTAGCAAGACATTGGCACAAAAGCAATTCTTATGCATGGCCAGTGAATAACAGAACATTTGGAAAGCAATTTAGCAATATCTAGTTAAAAGTTGAAGATTTACGTTCCCTCTGAACCAGTAACTCCATCCTGAAATACATCACCCTAGGGAAACTCTTACTCATTTGCACCTGAAGACATCTGCAAGATTGTTCACTGCAGCTTTGTTTGTAATGGCATAAATAATGGCAAATCACTTGAATATTTATTAATAGGACAGTGGAATTTTTTGCCATATTCATACAACAGAAGAATAGGCAGAGTGAAAACAGATGAATTAGAGCTGCACTATCAAACTTAGTGTCATGCAAAAAGGACAAACTGCTGATGATATGATGTATATAAAGTTGAACTGTATGCAAAATAATATTATATATTGTTTTGATATAATAGTAAGGGTAATGCCATATTTAGGATAGAGATTAAGGCATGGCAGATGAGTACACGAAAGATTTCACTGAAAAATATTCCTTTTTTCTTAAACTAAGATGAGTATGATAATGTTGATTTTATCTCTATAAGTACTTAGGTATATCTGAAATATAACTACTAGTAGATAATTTTATTATGCTTTGACATATATTGTCAGTTAACATCTGCAACTACTCTATGAATGTCATATTAGTCACAGCTATTATAGTAGCAATGACTGATAATAATATCAAATATAATGTAGATTAACAAAAAGAAAAAATCATCTCAACTAATAATGAAATACAGAGAGGATCGTAGAGCTAACAACATGTAAAAATATGTTTAAACCCAAATCTTTCTGATTATAGACTTTCTATTGATTCTCAAATCCTGCATATAATTTCCAGCTCTACATTCCATTGACACCTCATGCCTGCCTTTCCATTTTCTTTACTGCCTCATATATTCTCTTTGCCATCTTCTGGGTCACTCAAGCATAAAACCTTTATATCATTTCTACTTTTTCTTGCTCTCCACATGCAGTAAGTAATTTTCATAATCCCCTAGCATTCATTGCCATCTTCCTTTTCCTGTTGGCATCACTTCTTGTAAGGCGTTGAAATCATATTTTAACTAGATCTTTTGTTTCCAGCCCCCTTCCTGCAGTAGCTTAATTACCAAAGTAATCTTCCTAGAGCCTAAGTACAATCCTGTGAAGTTCCTGATCTAACATTTCTATTGCAAGTCCAATATATTTCCAATGCCTCTAAGGAAAATTTATTTCAAGGCCCTGCCACAGTTCCTCAACTGCATCACCAATCCACTGTGATCTTCCATCTATGGTTTCAAATAAGTTCCTGCTTTGCTTCTTGATGGCCTTTCATTTCCATTTGTGAATGCTATTTTGCCCTGGTTAAATAATGTAATTGATTTGTAATTTATTGTAAAACAGTCTAATTTCTGTCTTCAAGTATCTGTGTATTAATATATTTTTGGTTTGTTGCCAGTCACATATTTTTAACATCTCTTGAGTCATGGAATACTTTTTCTACTTGTTTTAGCCACCTGATTATTTGAGGGTGATTCAACAATTGATTTTGGGTTTCATTACATGTAGTCAGCAATACTAGGTCCTTTATAAAACAGATATAATTACATTTTAATATTTTCTCCCACTTACATATACGATTTCATACCTTTTTGTATCACAGGAGATTATAATTTTATTTATATGGGCTAATAGCATAAATGAAAGCAGATTTAGACAATTTAGGTGCACATTTTGACACACAGGTAATTCATTCAAGGCATGCACATTAGTTGCTAAAGCTCACCAGTTAGAAAGACTTTTTTCTATACAGATTAAACATTCCAAATCTGAAAAGCCAAAATCTAAAGTGCTCCAAAATTTGAAGCTTTTTGAGTATTGACTTGATGCTTACAGGGAATGCTCATTGGAACATTTTGGATTTGCGATTTCAGATTTGGGCTGCTCAGCCTGTAAATATAATGAAAATATTCCAAAATCTGAAAAAAAATTGAAATTTGAAGCACTTCAGGTCTCAACGATTTTGAATAAGGAATACTCAACCTGTGTTATATATTTGGTTATTGAATGCTATAGATAATAGTTCAACTTAAAAAATAAAAGAAAAAAGTCAACAAAAGCAATAGTTTTAATATTTGTGGCATTTGTCACAGGCTTAGAAATGTTAATTGATTAATTACCAACATTAATTGATCCTAAGCTTGTGAGTACAGGAAGAATGCCACTGTCACTTAACAATTCATTGTCAAGGGGATTATTCCTTTATACAGTCTTTCTCTTCATTGTAAGATGCCAATGATTATAAGACATTCCACCTCTTTAATTATAGCATGTTGGCAAAACATTTTTAAAAGTTACATTAAGTGCACTATTGCTGTATAATACCGCTCAATTTCAGAAATATTTAAATAAAAAGTTATGTCAATTGTATAGTCAAGAATATGCAGAGCTTAGGAATTAGCCATTTATTTAAGGGTTTATTTAAGGGTGATTATATTTTGTACTTCTTTGTTTCTAGGTAGCATTTTCCGGTAGACAAAAGTTTTTAATTTGCTTCTTTCTAAGTAACAAGTGTAGAGGGTGTTAACAAAGTGAAAGTTAAAGTAGGTCTCCAAGTAGGTATACTTATCTGTTAAAAAGCCATGCAGGAAATACGCAAGGATATAGGACAGGAAAATATTCCTTTCCAATCCTGGTACATACAATTGTCCCTTTTGTACATATGTGGTCTCCATTAGAAAGAATTGGAGCTTCATGTGTGTGTTCCTGTACCAGCACTGAGGCCCCAGTTGTGAAAGATAGGTTCATTGCCTGCATAGTATATGTACATTATCATGTAGAGTTTCAACGTTTTTAATACTATTAGTGGCAAACATCGATTTTCTTTACTTCTGGGGCCCTGCTAGGGTTGCATCACTACGAATTCCAGATGAAGAAGGACTATTTTCAAGCTCATGAATGGAAGCCCGCCAAAGTTTAAACTAATATTCGTTGGGAGTGAGGAAGACCTCGGCAGTCTCCTGGAGGATTTGAAAAATATGTTTACACCTCCTGCTTTGCCAGCAGTGAAGCAAAACAAATAATTGCTCCCTTCACATAGCCAAATGAAAACATATTTAACTGAGGGGAAGTTAAAAACAAAACTGCTCAGATTACCTCAGAACAAGGCATTTTAAGAAGGCTCTTCATTTTTATCTGTTAATTTTTCAGAGATAACAATATTCTTCACCACATTTTTTACCTCTCCCCCATGCTATTCTAAACAATATACTGAGCTCATAAAAATCTCTTCCCTAATTCCTTTTCTCCAATCTTTCTAAAAAAGTAAAAAGTTAGAGTTTACAATTCCATAGCAAAGATATCATTGACATTTTGTAATTAGCAAAAGGATGAAGACATGAAGCTGGATTTGGTAATGTGTTTAGCTCTTACTCCATGTTAACAAGAGGCAGTACCGAGTTCATGGAGAGATTATTGGTAAAAGTCATAATAACCAGCCTGTTTTCCCTGTTCTTGTTCATTCAGTTCCTTGGTGTAGGAAGGTAAGGGATGTGCTGAGATTTCAGGAAAACATTTCATGCATTTTATCTCGTCTTTCCTCTTCTACCCACTCAAGTGTATATTTATGCAACATATCATGTTGCATTTCATGTTGCAAATTTGCCAGTCTGAACTGTGAATTTCTCAGAAGTCCAATCCACCGTGTGGTTTTTAATCCATATTGAATTTAATCAGTCCTGTAGACAATTCTAAGATTGCAAGTACAAGACAGAGCATAGGGGACACTCATAATAAGCCTTACAATGTACTTACAACTGTGGATGCAATATCAAACTCGTCTGTGTATGTAAAAACCTATGCTCCATTTATGCAGTCACCTTTGATTTAAATTACATCATAAAACTATGCCAATACATATCTCTGTGAGAATTATTTAGCCTTCTGAATGGAAGAGCCCTTAGCAATCTCATACTTTTATTACTGTTAAATTGTTTTTCAAAATAAGACACTTAGGCCGCTTAAATTGCTTAAGTTCAAAAAATGGCAGATAATCAAAATCAAGTTTTGATAATGGCAAATTCACTAGCAGTTCAAAATTACATTGGTGAATTCTTTCTAGCAATTAGTGATAGACAACTCATGAAGTTACAGAGAGAATAGACTGCCGAAGGCCATCAAGAAAAAAAATAAGGTCTTTTGCAAACATACACTTACAGTACCTCTGAATACTCACTCCTCTATTGATCTTACAGATTGTATAGCATTCATCTCACTTTCCTCTGCACCCTCAGGTTGTATGCTGACTGTTGATTGTTTTCTCATTAAAGAGCATCCTTGATTTTCATTTAATTTTTAGGCTCAAAAAGTTGTTGTAGTCCACAAAATACACCTCAGTTAAAGGAAATGTCCAGTATTTAACTAGATAGTCAGATATGTCCAATAGTGCTACTTGTCTGTCTATAAAGAAAAATGCACATTAAATATAACAGGAAAATATTAAATGTGAGTTACTATGGGCCTTTAATCACTGTTTTTAGTAATTACGTGAGTTAGTCACATATGTAATCCTCTATTTGCTCAGAAATACCAAAGAATTTTATAAAAAGTTCTAAAATCCAAAAAGGCAAAATAATTAAAGATATTAATGCAATGTTTTAAAAAAGTTAGAACCAGATGTATACAGGGCAAATGACTTTAGAATCCTAAGAAAAAGGCTAGGCACAGTGGCTCCTACCTGTACTCTCAACACTTTGGGAGGGTGAGGTGGGAAGATTGCTTGAGGCCAAGAGGTCAGGACTAGCCTGGGAAGCATAGAGAGACTTCATCCCTAAAAATAATTTTAAAATTAGCCAGGCATAGTGTCATGTACCTGTAGTTCTAGCTGCTTGGGAGGCTGAGGCTGGAGGATTGCTTGAGTCCAGAAGTGTGAGGCTAGAGTGAAATATGATTGTGCCACTGAACTTCAGTCTGGGTGACACAAGACCCTATCTTTAATAATAATAATAATAATAATAATAATAATAATAATCTAAAAGAGATCATTTCATTATTTCCATTTGACAAAGAGGAAAGCTGATAAGAAATCTGATGGCATACTATTGAACACTCAAAAAAAGAGCTCTAAGTGTCTTTGGAAGTGCAAGTAAAGGTGATACCAAAATAAAAAGTTTGTTGGAAGATTAATATCTAAACATGAATTATTTCCCTCCTCTGTGAGCCATTACTCAGCTGTCAATGTCATTTACATATTTATGAATCTTATATAGGGAACATCAATGTAACCTAAATGACAATCACAATACAACTATATTGGGAGGATATAGGTTTAGGAAGTGTATGTGAGTGTGTGGGGTTTTGGGGAGGGATATAAAGGAGATCTAGAGCCCTATCTTCCATGTAAGTATGCCAATAGGAAATCCTTAGAAGTCAAAGACCAAAAAGTAGTAATATAAGTATTTATTTAGACATATTATCAAAATAATTCATTTTAAAAGTCGAAAGAGTTTGCCTCTGGGGAGTGATAAACTTAAGTGGGAATTAAGAAATTGTTGATTTTTGTCATAAGTCTTATAGTACCATTTGATCCTTTAAACAATCTGCAACTATTGCTTAGATAAAAATAAAAAACAAAAGAAATAGCATCAAATTCCCATAAATTTGACATTATGTTCCCAGAGGAGTACTTGGAATGCTGATATTTCATATTGCATTTTAATTGTAAACACATATCCTTAATAATCAAGTGAGCTGAAGGTACATTTTTGCCCTTGTTTGAATCTCCTTGGCTTCACCAACTATAAAATAAATACTATGAAAGGCAATCTTATCTTCTCTGAATGAATATTTTGAGGAGAGTGGACGTACTATAAGACAGCAATGTAATCTATTTAGATCAACTGCAAGTAATTAAATTATATATATTATTTAGTCAATCTTTAGAAAAGAAATAAATGAGTCCCTTAGAGATTAATGATTTGCCTGAGGAATTTCTATTGGGGAATAATAATCATAATAAGAGGGTCCTTAGCAGTCTCATTTTCTTAACATATGCATCTGGTTATAATATTTGTATTCTCTTATTCATATCAAATAAAAATAGGGGCTACACATAAATTTTAATTCAGATTGCTTTCACAGAAATTTGAGAAGTATTTTTATAGAAATATCCTGGGATGTTTCATAAACACATCATATTGCATGATAGTTCCATTAAATTAATTTGAAAAAGTGTCAGCATGACAACTCTTTGATTCATGAAAGTATTTTGAAAATACATCTCATGTATTTTTTGTTTTGTTTTATTTTGTTTTGACAAGTCATTGTTATATTAGTCTGTCACAATTTAGTCTAGATGATTGCTGTCAGCAGAGCCAACTAGCCAAGTATCATCCTTGATCTTCCTACACACATGCTACAGAACCCTTTCTTCATCGTCAGCTCTAGAAAATGCCATTTATCAAAGTCCCTCAGGCAAAGCTTTCCTAGGGTACTGTGAGACACAGACTCAACTTTAAGAATATAGGAAAAATCTGGTTGAAATAAATATGAGGGAAAGATTCAAAGGCAGAAATACATCACAAAAGGGATGATGTATAAAATGGGGGAATATAAGGGATTTAAAGAACTCTTTTTCATACCTCAGCTCCTTTTTGTTTTTCACTAATTTCAGAGAGAAATTTAAATATCTCTAATCCCTCTACTCATATATATATATAAATTATATAAATTATTGGTAAGAAATATTATTATTTTAGTCATATGCAAAATTTATTTTTGACAGTTAGGTTACTGTGAATCCTCAGTATTTCATGGGATGATTAAATCGTCCCATGAAATATTAACTAATTAGTGCTTATTATTAGGGGTAAAGATTGGTTTAGATCAGGTGTTATAAACCTCTTTTAATAAATGTCAAGATAATAAATATTTTAAGCTTTATAGGACATACACTGTCTGTGGCAAGTACTTTGCCATTGTATCATGGAAACAGCCAGAAACAATGCAAAAATGAACAAGCAGGGCTATGTTCTAATAAACATTTATCTACAAAATAGGCAGCCAGTTGAATGTGGTTCATGGGCTATGATTTTCCAGCCGCACGGCTTAGATGATATTATAGTCATGGAATCAGGGGTGACAAAATCTTTTCATAGATGTCATATCTATGACTTCCCAGGAAGTCTCCAAGAAGAATATATGCAGTAGGAGTCAAATGAAAAACTAAATACCAGTTTAGGAGGGTAGAAGATGGGAAAGTTTTAATGCAGAGACATGGCTCTACTTATCTGGTTGAATTAAATGAATAAGACTACAGGCCAGAATGAGGTTTTCTTTTTTATCTATACTGAAACAAAATCTTATGCTTGAGATAGTATTGATCTCCTGGTGGTCACATGCCACGGGAAGTAGAAACAGTGGCAATCATGAATAGAGACAGAACATGGTCGTGACTCCTGAAGACAGATGGGCACCCACTAAGCCGACAATGATGAATGCAACAGAGATGGATGGGATAAAGCAGCTCCATCCACAGAACTGCCCATAGTTTAATTTAGTCACACAGCTTGATGCCCAAATAAAGTACAAGAGAGGTCATTCACGGATTTGTATGAATTCCTCTGATTTTTAGAACACAGTGATCATGATAAGTAATAAATATACTACAGTAGATAATGTGTTTTGATCATCCAGATAATTAGTTCTCTTCCCTGTGGGGAAAGCCAATAAGTGGAATAAACAGAGCTGAAACTCCACGGACAGATACAGATAGAGAGAGGGAGGAAAGACAGAAAGGAAAGTTTAAATAAGATCAACACAAAGAATCTTTCAAAATGTTTCCTAGCACTTGATAGTGCCTCATTATATGTTATGTATACTTCTCCCTGAGATAGATCTTGCGCTTTCACAGATTTGCTGCACATCTAACAATTTATAAACATTCCTAAGCCTCAGTTTTATTATCTGAAAGACATGAAAATATTAAATCAACCTTACCTGAAACCTGTTCCTTGACACACTAGTTAAAAAATTTAATGAATTAAAAACAAAACAAACAAATAAAAAGGATAAGTCAAATAAGTTTGAAAACTTTTTTTTTGCAGTCATATTTTAAAATGAATTCATTAACTCTTACCTAGAATAATGTCATAACCTCCTTATTTCTCTGAGTTAAATCTCTACTTGCCCCTCCTCTGACATTCTTCCAAGCCAGTCATCTTTTCAAAAGACAAGTATAATTTTGAAAATCCATTGCTCTAAGTAGATCCATGCCTTTTCCATTAGCTTCAAGTCCAATTGCTGTATCTTGCTGCCTCGACCTATTCTCCAACTCGAAACTTCCATTGTTGTGTTTTTGCTCTGCTCCAGGTACTGTTCCTTGGTAACCGTGTGTTCTTTACACCAATACCATCTTTCTTGAGCATGCAATTCCAACTCACTCAAATGATTTCTCTTCCCAGCACCCCCACTGATGTTCAACTAATTAAACTTTCCAAACCCTTTGAATCTCAGAAAAGCCTGAACTGATCTTCTCCTGACTTGGAGAAATCAAACTAATATACATTTTTATAGTACTATATACTATAGTAACATGAATCTCTGTTTTATTATCATGCAGTTACCAGAGTGTCATTTTATATTCATTTATGTAATTCTTTGGTTATCAGCTATCTCCCCACTAAATCACAGGATCTATTTGGGTAGACACATTATTCAGTTCTGTGAACATATTGTCACCCTCTTGTACAGTTCCTGGAACTCTTTTCTAGTAGTGATTTCAAGTTATATATACCCAGAAAAAAATTATCAAGGATATTGCAATGGTTTCATCCATGCATTCATTCATCCTTGTATTCATTTGTTGTGAAGCCACTTCCCACTTTATGACCATTCATTGTGATGGGTCCTGTTGATACAGGCAAAGAATGGCAGAAAGGGTAACTATCTCATGGAAATAGAGTCAAGAGCAGGAAACAGAGTACATGTCAATATACACAGACTTATTCACGTGGTTTTAAAAAAGTCTTTAAACAAAAAATACAGAGCGATGTAAGCATATACAATTAGCAGTCTTGACCTAGTTTGGGAGTGGGATAAGAAGGCGTTGAATAGGAAGTGACATTTGAGTTTATACTTGAAAGATGATTGCTAGGTGAGAAGACATTAAACATTAGACAGACAGGTAGATTTCTTGCTCTCTCTCTCTCTCTCTCTCTCTCTCTTTCTCTCTCTCTCATACACACACACACAGACACAAACACAACACAATGTATAATAAGTGCACATTCAAAGTATGGTAACTGTAGTTTAGAAAAGACAAGATCAGGATGTCCAGAAATGGTCTAGGATTAGAATTGAGCCATGACTTGGCTCAGATAAAGACAAAAAGTTAATGTCTGAATTTTGTCCCAGTAAGAAATTTAAAGGCAATATAATTTAGCTATTTCTCTCTACTATGTATATATGTATGCAGAAATAACCACATGCACGGTTACCACAATACAGCATGAAAAATCTAACACGCTATAAGAAAAATAGAATTCCTCAGGTAATTTAAAATTTTGCTGATATAAAATAATTTATTCATAGTCGGATGATTTTAATTTTTTCAATACCCTATTTTACAACCATTATTTTCTAAGACCTGATTCTTCACATTATATTTTTTCTGAATTTTAATAAGGAATAATTTAAGACACAAGTATTCTGCTTTGTCTACATAGGTTTTTGCAGGGATAATTCAAGTAAATGTGGCACAATCAAGAAAGAATATTAGCTTCAAACCAAGAGTTTCTAAAATGGAAAAAAATATCTAAGTACTTTAGACTAATGAAAGAGAAGGCCAGTCTAAATTAAAAACTATTTTATAATACAAGTATTCCACTTTTTAAAAACTACATTCAGTAACTAAAACTGGACTCCAGGACTGTATGTTGAAAATTGCTTTAAGAAATAGATAAAATAATGTATTGGCAGACATATTGATAAAATACAAATATTTTTAAATCCTGTAGAGTTCTAAAAAAGAGTTTATTACTGATATTGATAGAAATATTCAATCCACAATTTGTATTATTAGTTCTTCCTACAGTAAAATTTTTCTTCATAATTTATGGTAAGATCGGTGTTAACTCAGACATTTACTGAATCATCTGAAATTATTACAAAGTAATGAGATTTCTTCTTTGTATTCTTACCATGGTGTTATAAATCCTGGGTATTACTCTAGGAGTTCCACAATGTTTAGTATATTAAAAAATGAAAAAAATAGCAGTTTTTAATGCATGTACAATTCTCACCAAATCTAGTAAATAAAGGTCAACAGTAGTTAGCAATTTTCTTGTTTTGCTTAACTCTTCTGCAAACATGTAGATTATTTGATTGCAAAAATGGTCAGATGTGGGTTTTTTCCCCTTTGAAACAAGTGGGGAGTAATTGAACAGGGGATAACATTTTACACTATTTTAAAGTAGCCTTTTGTGGGTTCTAGAAACAAACCTTGGGGAGAGTAAGAGGACCCTGGGTGCTGAGTTGTCAATCCAGAGATAACAATGACACGTTTTCAGAACACTGCTGGTTCAGAAACGTTATAATGTGTCAGGAGTAAACAGCCTCATTCATTCTGTTAGTTCTGTTGCTTCTGGCATGTTATGATTAGAGATGTGTGTGGCTTTAAAACCAAAAGATTGAATTGCTTAACATGTTATGAACTGGAAAGCCTGGGCCAAATGGAAGCCTAATCAGCATTTTTCTTCTTTCTAAATGTAAATAGTATGATGCAGTGTCCTGTAAATGATGCTGTTTATCATATACTGTCAGAAGATGCTGCTGAAAATGCATTTCCATTTGTTTCCTTACTTGGGTTTGATTTGTAAAATCAGATTTAAACCGTGTATGAAATTGAATCTAAATTTCAAGGATAGACAACCTAATGATATTTATCATAACTAGGACAAAGTCTAAAAACAGTTATTCTAACACCAGCTTTTAGGATTTGAAAGAAAAATGTGCCTTTATTTTAAAATTTAAAATAGCTTAAATGTAATGAATTTCAGACTAATTATAGGCATTAATGTAGAAAAACCTAATCTCAGCCAAAATGTTTATGTGTAAACTGCAATTGGCATACTGAGTTACTACTGTCATCTTTTCTCTTGCACTTTTACGGCATACAAATAATTTAAAAATAAAGGGTGGTAAATATATTGCTTTGATTTATTAGTATTTTTATAATTATTATAAGCATTACATTAATTCCTCACTTCCTTGGAGAGAAGAAGACATCTTATGAATACAGATCTTTTTGGCAGATTATCGTGTGCCCACAAAGATTCAAAAACACAATTTGCCTTGTCTGGGTTCTCAGCTGATTATATCCAGTCTGAAATCAGTGTGAACCACATACACATTGCCAAAAGTCAGAAATTTTTAAGACTTCATTATGACTATTGTTACAACGACAATATTTCAAGATTGCCAATTTTAGAAATTAGGGCAGTACCATTCTCAGATGCAGGCATTAGTAGTAACACTCTTTGGAGATCCACTGCAAGTCACCAACACTCAAACACAATGGCGCTTTTCTTTTTTTCCTGTTATGCCCTCATGGGGTATTTTTGAATGTTTGTTAACAAATTGCAATTATGGTAACGAGTCATTCAAATCAAGCTGATATAGTCAGGCCAGAGAATGAGAGATTGTGAGTTTTCAAATGTTTTAAAGGAAAGAAGAAAATTAGAGCTTTTCTCCTGGGAAACCCATGAGAGTGGTTGCTTCTGTTAAAAGTTGATTTCTCTAAGACATGCAAAGTGTCTGCCTGGTCTCTGCTGCTTTATTCTTGGTTGAGGTAGTTATGGAGGCAGTTTAAACTGTTTTGAAAATGCTGTCAGAGAAGTGAAGCTGGTGAATAGGACCCAGTTCACCCTGGTTCATTATGAAGCTTAATCAAATCAGTTGACATTTGGAGTGGGTGTAGGTGCAACCACTGTCCCAGAATGTTGGCACCAGCATCACTTTATACACTGGTCTGCACAGCCTTCCTCCATGCAGTACCTAACACCCTTCAAAGTCATATGCTTTAGCCTCCAGATGTTAAGAGGGATCCATGCTGAATGGACTGGAAGCCCTGGGTAAAGGTGCAGACCGGGTCAGAGGGGATAGTTGGATTTGTACATGAAACTCTTGGAATATGCATCTTATTTGTACTTTGGCCCCAGATGTCAGAATGACTAGAAGTGGGCCTGAAACAAGAAATGTTCTTGGTATTATATTAAGACGGCATTGGATGATTTAAAAAAAATCACTCACTCCATATGTTGATGCTGACTTGGGGAAGCCTCTTTTTGACTTAATCTCTTCACATTTACACTAAAATAATGAAAATGCTTTATTCTTCCAGGCTCTGACATTGTATGGTTATTTTCCTTTATTTTGAATACTAATCCATACAACAATAATAATATACATTTGCCATGTAGAATCCTACATTGCTAAACTCTACATGGTAGATATTTTTAAGGCTTTGGGAAACAATAGAGATTTAGATTCAATACCACTTGCTTGGAAAACAATAGCAATGTAATCAATAATTTATACAAACACAACTTATTAATAAAATTTTCAACATAGTGGGAAATGTACTTGAAATTGGGAAAATGTAGAAATATTACTTTTTGTTAGTACTTTTTTCTTTCATTAAATCTATTTTTGATGTTTTATACTTTTTTAAATTTATAGAAATCAAGGACTATAATAACATATTTACCTGATTTATTTTCATAAACCAATATAAGCATGGTTTACATTATGCTTCTATATCCTATTTTAGAATAGAATATAGAAGGATATAGAATATTAGGGATACAAGATATATAAGGAAATATATATATGATATAAGTATATAGGATATTAATCCTTAATATAGGATATTAAGCTTATAGATCCTATTTTAAAATAGGATATAGAAACATGATATAAATCTATTAACTTATGTAAATTCGATTTTAAAGTAAGGTATAGAAGCATAATAGATTAAAAATAGTGAAGAAAATTTTAAAAGTACAATTTATTCCACAAGCATGTATTCAGAAACTACAGTAATGGCAGACAATGTAATAAAAAACAAAAAAAGAACACTTGAGAAGATTTATTTTTTAGAACTTAGTATTTTTGGACAAGATATACATATAAAATTAGATAATTTTGCTACAAGGTGGTAAACAATACGTTGTTGAAAGGATAAAAAGAAGTTTGGGAATTTAGAGAAAAGTAATGACAAACTCTTCTGGGAAGAATCCAAAAAGAGATATTGTTTGCTTTCAGTGGAGCTAGCTGCCAGGGATAAATAGCAGTTTTCTGGGCTAAGAAAAGAGAAAGAACATTGCAAGAGCAAAGAACTGTAGCTACAAAGACTGTCAGGGAAAAATTAAGCAATTTCATTTATTTGGAGATAGAGTTGGAGGATTGTGGGTAAAAGTTTGGTAGGCAGGTGCAAAATATAAAAAAGATGAAAATGGTGTTAAAGAAAATTTGGCCTAAAGCTGCCTCCATCATTTTCATTCCTACATAGTGATCTACAATCTAACTCAGTTTGAAAACAAACAGCAATCTAAATTAAGAGAACATTCTTATAACAAATAGTTGAATCTCAGACAATCACAGGCTACCAATTGATCAGACCATGTCCATACGAGGCAAATGCTTCATCATACCATGCCCAAATAAGGCAAACTTTGAGCTGCAGGCATTCAAGCTGTTTCTGTACATCACTTCCTTTTTCTGTTGGTAAATACTGCCTGCCCATGTTGCTGCAAAGCTCTTTGAACCTCCCCTGGTTCTGAGTGCTGCCAGATTCATGAATCACTTTTTGTTCAAATAAACCCTGCTAAATTCAATTTGTTAAAGCTTTTATTTAACAGAAGCGGAATCTGAGGGAGGACCCCAGTGACCCTCAGGAAGATTGAATGACCATGCATAGGTACCCGTTGAGCCCAATGTGCCCACTAATCTTTTGCAGCAATTGGAGGTCATGAGTGTGTCTCCTGTCAGACTCAGGTTCTGTAACCTCTCCAACTTTATTTGAACAACTTTTACTGAATGGTTAGTCAGGATTGGATTAGATTTGATAATTAAATGTATTGTGATCCAGTTAAGAGGCCTCAGGTAGGTGACTTTTGAAAATAGATTCCTCTGAATCTAAGTAGTCTAAGACTCTAGAATTTGGGACACCAATTTATGAAACACTGGCAAGCTTCGTATACAAAAATTATGAGCCCATAATCTGTGTATTTTTAGAAAAAAATGAGTTAAACTTATGAAACATAACTTAGAATTAAAGTGGCCAGAGTGGGGAAATGTTAACCAGATTAAATTGTTCACTTGCAAATTACATTAGAAAATAAAGAATCTAAAACGCCACAAAACCAATGGTATGCATTTTTTATTTATTTTTATTTATTTTTTATTTTTTGAGACAGATTCTTGCTCTGTTGCCCAGGCTGGAGTGTGATGGTGTGATCTTGACTCGTTGCAAACTCCGCCTCCTGGGTTCAAGCAATTCTGTCTCAGCCTCCTGAGTAGCTGGGGTAACAGGCACCCACCACCATGCCTGGCTAATTTTTGTAGTTTTTGTAGAGATGGGGTTTCGCCATGTTGGTCAGGCTGTTCTTGAACTCCTGACTTCAGGTGATCTACCCACCTCGGCCTCCCAAAGTGCTGGGATTACAGGAATGCAGGGATTACAGGAATGCAGGGATTACTGGCCCTGCTTTATTTAATCAGTACACAGGGGGATAAAAAAGATTAAATGAGTCAAGATTGTCGCTTTAAAGGATTCCTTACAGATGGCAAATTTTAAAAATCCATAAATATAAGTCAAAAGTTTTAGCCATCTGGGAAGAAAATCTAGTTGTATTGGCCAGACAAAACAATTTGGATCTAAATTGTCTTCAATAAAGTAGTGAGTTCTGTATTATTGCATTTGTCACATGGCTAAATAATTTTAGAATGAAAGCAGTAAGATCGGTTTTTGTCTGTAGTAGGTTATGTCCATCTGTATGCAATATACATACGATATTTTCCTATATTCTTTTGATATTGCCAAAATAAAATTGTAAAGCAACTATATTTAATTGGCTTACAAAAAAGTGCTTATATAAGTTAAGTTTTCTCTCAGAAAAAATAAGAACTTCTCCCAATTATTTTTAAGTTCATGTAACTTGGGTAATCTTTGTTAACTAAGAACATTGTTGGTGTGATTAAAATAGGCATATCATCAGAGTTGTCAACATTAAGTATAATACAGATGTAGAACCTTTTCTCCATAGGTTTATTAGTAAAATAAGTTCAGGTTATCTCTACATTATAAAATTTATTAACAAAAAAAACAATTTTTTTAGAATATTGTTCTGTTCTTAATAGAAAGTTATGAAAGGTTCTTCTTTATCCTTTAGGAATTGGCCTAGAAAATTGAAATTCTAAATTTTACCAACATAATTTCCTGTGCTTCACATTGTCTTTGTTAGGTTTTTTATCACTTAAGAAAACTGAGACCATTCTATAAAAAGAGCTAAAGTATTACTACCATTATGGAACTTTCCATATTTGCCTTTCAAGTCTTTAAATTATTACTCTGGTTAAATGAATGGCTATTATTCATAGTGACCTGTTATCCTATTTAGATCAAACGTTTTAAGCCTTAGATGTTTTTTATAGATTTCTCAAAATCAAATTCTAAATTAAATATTTTTCTTGACCTTAAATTATCTTTAAAATTTTACAGATGGGCCCTTGGTGAATCTCAAAAGGCTATCTCTTTTTATACAAAAGATATTAAATGAATCATATTTATTTCATATAATAAATTGAGAAGCATTCTCAAATAATTAGTAATACTAAACCTTCTTTGAGTTATACTTGTATGTATTTATTATTAATATGTATTCCAGAAATTGTATGAAATTCTTACATACTTGATCATACCACTAGACTGGGTAAGAATTCCTGAACTTTAATTAAGAGACTGATGGTTTCATCAAACTTCTAACCCAACATCATAAGAAGAATTAATTGAATACCAAAATAATTCTTTGGCAGGTTTTTATTCTAATTCAGCCAGTACTAAAATTGTTAAATTATGTGATTTGAATTAACTACCTTGATTGATCCAAGTCAAATTTTGAATTAACTACCTTGATTGATCCAAGTCAAATTTTCTGATCTAGTTTGGATGTTTGTCTGCTCCAAATCTCATGTTAAAATGTGATCTCCAATGGTGGAGGTGGGACTTAGTGGGAGGTATTAGATCATGGAGGCAGATCCCACATGATTGGCTTAGCACCATCTCCTTGGTGATTAGTGAGTTCTCACTCTGATAGTTCTCACAAGGCCTGGTCATTGAAAAGAGTGTAGCACTTCTACCTCTCCCTCTCTTGCTCCTGCTGTTGCCATGTGATATGTCTGCTCCTCCTTCAGCTTCTGCCTTGGTTGAAAGCTTCCTGAGGCCTCACAGAAGCTGATGCCAGTGCCTGGCTTCTTGTACAGCCTGCAGAACCATGAGCCAATTAAACCTCTTTTCTTATAAATTACCCAGTCTCAGGTGTTTTTTTATAGTAATGCAAGAACTGACTAATACAGAAAATTGATACTGAGAGCGTAGTGTTGCTATACAATATTTGAAAATGTGAAAGCAGCTTTGGAACTGCGTGAGAGGCAGAGGTAGGAAGACTTTGTCAGGCTCAGAAGACAGGAAGACAAGGGTAAGTATGGAACTTCTTAGAGAATGGTTAAATGATTGTGACCAAAATGCTGATAAAGATTTTGGACAGTGGAGCCCAGGATGAAGAGGACTCAGATGGAAATAAGGACATTATTGGGAATTGAAGTCAAGGTCATCTGTTTTACCCCCTAGCAAAGAACTTGGCTGCATTGTGTTCATGCCATAGGCATGTGTGGAAATTTGAACTTGAGTGATGATTTACTGTATCAAGCAGAAGAAATTTCTAAGCAGCAAAGCATTCAAGATGTGGCCTGTGTGCTTCTAATAGCTGAAATAAGATGTGGGAGCAAATAGATTACTTGAATTTGAAACTTATATCTAAACAGGAAAGAAAACACAAATATTTGAAAAATTTGCAACCTAACCTTGTGACAGAGAAAGAAAAAGCTTGTTTCGTGAGAGAAATACAAGAAGGCTGTGGAGTAATCACTTGCTAGAGAGATTAGCATGACCCAAAGTGGGCCAAGTGCTAATACCCAAGACAATGGGAGAAAGACCTTGAAACCATTTCAGAAGTCTTTGGAACAGTCTCTCCAATCACAGGCCCAGAGGCCTAGGATGAAAGAATGGTTTGTGGGTCATGTCTGAGTCACCACTGCCCTATACTTCCCTAGGAACCTGCTCCTCCCATCCCAGCTGTACTGGGTCCAGCCTGGGTTTAAAGGACTCCAGGTATAGCTCAGGTTGCCACTCTGTAGAGTGCAAGCTGCCATAGCCTTAGAAGCTTCCATGTAGTATTAAGCCTGGGCACACAAAGAATGTAAGAGTGAAAGAGGCTTGGCAGCTTCCACCTAGATTTCAGAGGATATATAAGGAAGCTTGAGTACCCAGGCAGAAGTCTGCCATGGGGTCAGAAGCCCTATAGAAATACTCTACTAGCTTAATGCCAAGGGGAAACGTGAGACTGAAGCTCCCCTATAGAGTGTCCACTGGGGCATTGCCTGGTAGACCTGTGGGAAGGGAGATGTGGCCCTCCAGATCCCAGAAATGTAGGGCCACCAACAGCTTCTGTCCTGAGCATGGAGAAGGTGCCCGCACTCAAATCCAAACTGTGGAAGCAGCCACAAGAGAATGAACCCTGCAAAGTCACAGTGAAGGAGCCATCCAAGGCCTTGGGAGCCCACTTTTCACACCAGGTTAGAGGACACGGAGTCAAGGATTATGTTGGAGCTTTAAGTTTTAATATCTGGCTTACAGGGATTTGGACTTGCTTGGGACCTTCTGTCCACCTCCACCCCCATTTATTTTTTAGCCAGTTTCTGCCTTTTTTGAATGGAAATATTTACCCAATGTATGTACCAGGATTGTATCTTGGAAGTATATAACTTGTTTTGATTTCGATTTTATGGACTTATAGGCAGATGGTGATGCATCTTAGATGAAACCTGGAACCTTGGACTTGATGTTGGAATGAGTTAAGACTTTGGGGGACTGTTGAGAAAGGATGATTGTATTTTATAATGTGAGAAGTTCATGAGATTTTGAGGCCAAGGGGAGAAATAATATAGTTTGGTTGTATTTTTCCCTTCTAATCTCAAGGTAAATGTAATCCCCAATGTTGGAGGTGGGACCTAGTGGAGGTATTGGATCACGGGGGCAGATCCCTTATGAATGGCTTAGCACACTCTTCTTGCTGATGAGTGAGATCTTGTTCTGCTGGTTCATATGAGATCTGGTAGTTTAAAAGTGTGTGGCACATACCCCCTCCATCCTTTGTTTTTGTTTTGTTTTATTTTTTTTTAGACTGGATCTCACTCTTTCACTCAGACATGGCATGATCATGGCTCACTGCACCTTCAAACTGCAGGGCTCAAGCAATCCTCCCACCTCTGCGTCCTCAGTAGCTCGGACCACAGGCATGTACCTCCTTAGCCAGCTAATTTTTTAGTTATTTTTAGTAGAGACAGGGTCTCATTATGTTGCTCTGGCTGGTCTTGAACTTCTGGGCCCAAGCAATCCTCCCATGTCAGCCTCCCAAAGTGCTAGATTATAGGCGTGAGCCACTGCAACCAGACTCTATCTTGCTCTCATTCTCACCATGTGACTTTCCTGCTCCCCCTTTGCCTTCTACCATGACTATAAGTTTCCTGAGCACTCACCAGAAGCAGATGTTGGAACCATGCTCCATGTACAGCCTGAAAAACCATAAGCCAATTAAAACTTTCTTCATTATAAATTACTCAGTCTTAGATATTTCTTTATAGTGATCCAAGAACAGGCTAACATATTACCTATGATAAGGAATTAAATAAACAGTGATATGCACCTGAATTGGAGAAACAAAATTTAAGAGAATGTAAATACAATATTAAGTGTAGGCTCATGGAGAGCTCAAATGGCCACCTGGCCCTTCCAGAGTCTTTAGGGCTTCCAATATTAAAACTCTGTACTCTGTGACTCATCATGGAGTATACAGAATGATACGAATTATTTTAAAATATTAGTGGGGTGAGGTTTCTAAATTTTTTTAAATTATTTATAACCAATATTTGGTTTGTCAAACCCATAATCCTGGTAAGACAAAGAAAACACATAATACAACCCTGGTACCTGCCTGATCATTTAAACACTTATAGATTTATTTTATTCACTTGCTACCTTCGATGCATGTTTCTTGTTATACAGAAGTTCTCTCATGTAGGAAAGCTGATGCTATAACAGTAGCGGAAATGTTATTAGAATATGTGTTATACTTATGGGGTATTTCTGGAGAAATCTTCAATGACAGAACTTGTTTCACAGGACAAATTGTAAAATAGTTAAATAATATATTACAAATACAAGGGTACTAGGTAAAGCTAATTTGATTGATTAAATTACCTTGGTAACAAGTATTACCCATTAATAGCAATCAGATCCACTCTCATTGGAAAATATAGTTTTATGAAATAGTTACTAGAAGTAATATGCCCTTAATACTAGAACTTCTTCTATCTCACACTCATAAACTCTGATATAAATTTGATGCATTATGCCAAAGGGTATTTTCACTAGATAAAAGAAGCCCTTTGTGATCCACCAACTGATGACAAACAGACTCTTCATGATGTAGAGCCCAGAGATTGTGTCTTCTGGAAGTTACATCTGAAAAAGACTTACCTTGAGCCCCATTAGAAGATACCATACAAATTACTTCTAACCACCCACACTGCAGCAAAACTTCAATGCTTCAAGTGTTGGATCCACATGTCTCCATGCAAAAGGCCCCCTCCAGACTCTTGGGCCAATATACTCATTGAAGAATGTATTAGTCTATTCTCCCACTGCCAGTAAAGGTATACCTGAGACTGGGTAATTTATAAAGAAGAGAGGTTTAATTGACACACAGTTCCACATGACTAGGGAGGCCACACAATCATGGCAGAAGGCAAATGAAGAGAAAAGTCATGTCTTAATGGTGGCAGGCAAGAGAAAGTGTGCAGGGGAACTCCCCTTTATAAAATCATCAAAGCTCTTGAGACTTATTCACTTTCACAAGAACAGCATGGGGGAAACCACCCCCAATGATCCAATCACTTCCCACCAGGTCCCTCATATGACACATGGGGATTATGGGAGCTACAATTCAAGATGAAATTTGGGTGGAGAAACAGCCAAATCATATCATTCCATCCCTGGCCCCTCCCAAATCTCATGTCCTCGCATTTCAAAACCAATCATGCCTTGCCAACGGTCCCCTAAAATCTCAACTCATTTCAGCATTAACTCAATAGTCCACAGTCCAAAGTCTTATCTGAGACAAGGCAAGTCCCTTTCACCTATAAGTCTGTAAAATCCAAAGCAAATTAGTTACTTCTTAGATACAATGGGGGTACAGGCATTGGATAAATACAGCTGTTCCAAATGTGATAAATTGAACAAGATGAAGGGGCTGCAGGCCCCTTGCAAGTCTGAAATCCAAAAGGGCAATAAAATTTTAAAGCTCCAAAATGAACTCCTTTCACTCCATCTCCCACATCCAGGTAATGCTGATGCAAGAGATGGGTTCCCATCGTCATAGGCAGCTCTGCCCCTGTGGCTTTGCAGGGTACAGCCCCCCCTCCTGGCTGCTTTTACAGGCTGGCATTGAGCATATGCGGCTTTTCCAGGCACAGCATGCAAGCTATCGGTGGATTGACCATTCTGGGGTTGAGGAGGACTGGAGGACAGTGGCCCTCTTCTCACAGCTCCACTAGGCAGTGACCCAGTGGGGCCTCTGTGTGGGGGCTCTTACTCCACATTCCCCTTCCACACTGTGCTAGCAGAGGTTCTCTATGAGGACCTCGCCCCTGCAGCAAACTTCCGCCTGGACATCCAGGCATTTCCATACATCCTCTGAAATCTAGGGGGAGGTTCCCAACTCTAAATTCTTGATTTCTGTGCCCCCACAGGCTCAAAACCATGTGGAAGCTGCCCAGGCTTGGGGCTTGCACCCTCTAAATCCGTGGTCTGAGCTGTACCTTGGTCCCTTTTAGCCATGGCTGGAGCGACTGGGATGACTGGGACACAGGGTACCAAGTCCCTAGGCTGCACACAGCAAGAGGACCCAGGGCCTGGCCCAAGAAATCATATTTAGCTCCTAGGCTTCTGGACCTGTGATGGAAGGGACTGCTGAGAAGGTCTCTGACATGCCCTGGGTACATTTTCTCCATTGTCTTGGTGATTAACATTAGCCTCCTTGTTATTTATGCAAATTCTGAGAATTCCTGCAGCTGGGTTGAATTTCTTCCTAGAAAATGGGTTTTTCTTTTCTATTGCATAATCAGGCTACAAATTTTCCAAACTTTTATGCTCTACTTCCTCTTGAACACTTTACTGCTTAGAAATTTCTTCCACCAGATACCCTAAATCATCTATCTCAAGTTCAAAATTTCACAAATCTCTAGGGCAGGGGCAAAATGCCACCAGTCTCTTTGCATAGGAAGAGTGACCTTTACTCCAGTTCCCAACAAGTTCCTCATCTCCATCTGAAACCACTTCAGCCTGGATCTTATTGTCCCTATCACTATAAGCATTTTGTTCAAAGCCATTCAACAAGTCTCTAGGAAGTTCCAAATTTTCCCACATCTTCCCGTCTTCTTTTGAGCCCTCCAAACTGTTCCAACCTCTGCCTCTTACCCAGTTCCAAAGTCATTTCCGCATTTGTGTGTATCTTTACAGCAGCACCCCAGTACCTGGTACCAATTTAGTGTGCTAGTCTGTTCTAAGGCTGCTAATAAAGACATACCTGAAACTGAGTAATTATAAAGGAAAACGGTTTAATTGACTCACAGTTCTGCGTGGCTGGGGCAAGCCCTCACAACCATGGCAGAAAGCAAAAAAGGAAAAAAGTCACATCTTACATGACAGCAGGCAAGAGAGATTGTGCAGGGGAACTCCCCTTTATAAAGCCATCAAATCTTATGAGAGTTATTCACTATCACAAGAACAGCACGGGAAAGACCCACCCCCATGATTCAATTACCTCCCACTGGGTCCTTCCCATGACATCTGGGAATTATGGGAGCCACAGTTCAAGATAAGATTTGGATGGGGACACAGCCAAACCATATCAAAGACCTCAAGGTGAAACTCACCAGGAAGGTTTTTCCTCAGAAGCAGAAGACATCCTAAATGTGGATAGTTTTCTCAGGATTACAGGTCAAGATTTCTTACCTCTGTCATCAGGAAACCTTTGTTGCCTTTCTTTTTTCCCCTGTTTTGTTGTTGATGTTATTGTTTATACATGGAAAGATAATGCAATAATTAAGACTTCATGATCTATAGTTTCAAGAATTCTCTGGCTTACCCTGTAACAAATTTCACTGATATTCCAAGTGCAATATTTGGTTCTTTCTATAAAGTTAGGATGTTATGGTCATAAATTTAGATTTTTTTAATATCTAATAGTAAGCAAAGTATATAGTGATATTTTAACTTTAAGTTATGCCAGAAAATGGATAAGAAAACCACACCTCAAAATATAAATTAAAAGTTTGTAGCCGAATTTATAACATTAATCCTTTAATTATTGGTAGCCTCCAGCCATGCAATGATTCACTAATGAAGCCTTAGAGAACTATTACTAGAGCTTTCCTACTGGTGACACCTAACACACAAGGCATCTCACAGGGAACTGTCTGCTGTGCCCCTCTAGGATATATTGCTTGTCTGTGGAGTATTTAATGTTCAATGAAATATGTAGCCAAATACATGTCTTAATAACTGGAAGATAAGGGGCCAATGTGGATTAGGGATTCTGTCGGTACCACTGTCACCCCATGAACAACTGGAAGCTGGACACCTTTTAATTGTCACCATGGAATAAGGAGCAATTTGCAAGCAATCATAAATCCCTCTAAATGGGCATCTTTTGGTAGACAGCTCCTCCCTATTCTGTCATAAATCTAAATGGTATTATGATTAGGAATCTGTCTCAAACATTACTATAGCTACCTCTACTGCAATGGCTACGGTTGCCCAGAAAACATCTTTAAATTTTTGCTAAAGGTGTTTTAGATAACATGATTGCTTTGGACTATCTTTTGGTTAAATAGAGGGAATCTGTGTAATGACTAAGACCCACTACTGCCCTTGGATAAATATATCTAGTATGATAGAAACTCAGAGGTAAGAAATCCACAAAAAAACGTACTTTGTTTAAAAAAAAAAAGTAGATTCATATTCTGGCTCAATTTTGATGTATTTGATTTTGAGCTGTTCAATTTGTGGGGATTCCTATAAAGGAGCATACTTTGGACTCTTAGCACTATCCTTTCGATAGCCATTATAATAGTCTCCCTGTTATACCATATACTCTTAAGGGTCTTAAATGCTTGAATGCAGTCATCTGTTATATGTAAAATGATCTTATTACAGAAAAATCAAAAGAGAACATAAAGAAACATTCAACTGACCTGAAGCCATGAATTGTGAATTACACAGTGAGACCAAACAAATTCATTATGATGGTGACAGAGAGTGGAATTAATGCCTAAGGTTTTGGTAAATCTCTCAAAATTGAGAGGCTGACAGAAATGAAAGAATTGTTAAATTAAACTAAATTTGGCCTGAGGTTGCATTTGTACTTTGAGTTCCTATGTAGAGAACTGCAACCCAACTTAGCATGTAAATAAATTGCAACCTAATTTAAGAGTATATTCTTGTAACAGATAGCTGAGTCTCAGCCAATCATAGTGTTACTGTAATACAAGGGGTTTGGTCTAGGTCCTGTTGCTCATGACACAGAGAGCCAATGACTTAGATGGCCAGTATTGCCATGGAAGAAAGCTTTAATTAGGTGTTGCAACCGGGTAGATGGGAGGTGAGTCTCAAATCCATCTCCCTGACCAGCTAAAATTAGGGGTGTATATAGTAGGAAAAAAATGTAACAATGTGTTGGAAAACAGGGGCTAGGGAGGGGTAAGGAAACAAAATGAGGAGTCTAGCATCCCATTGTCTGAATACAGTTATCTAGTGAGTTTCAGTTCTTTCATACTTTTTGAGAGGCCTAGCTGTCTTTCCTGAGGAAGGAACTCAGATAAAACAAATATAAGTTTCAAGCTTTAAGATCAGAAGGGTCAATTTCTATGTTTTTATCCAAAGGAACTGTCAATGGGACTGTTGGGTCATTTTCAATAGTAGTTAAGTTTTGTCCAGTCACAAGATGCCAATTGATTAGGCTATGTCCATATAAGGGAACTGTCTCATCACACCATTCTCAAATGCAGAAACATGGATCAATCTCATATGTGTAACTTTGATTGAGAAAGGCAAGAAACAAAAGAATCATTCTAGTCTTTTTTTTTTTTTGAGACAGAGTCTTGCTCTGTCACCCAGGCTGGAGTGCAGTGGTGGGATCTCAGCTCACTGAAACCTTGGCCTCCCAGGTTCAAGCGATTCTCCTGCCTCAGCCTCTGGAGTAGCTGGGATTACAGGCATGTGCCACAATGTCTGGCTAATTTTTGTATTTTTAGTAGAGACAGGGTTTCACCATATTAGCCAGGCTGGTCTCGAACCCCTGATCTCTTGATCCACCCATCTCGGCCTCCCAAAGTGCTGGGATTACAGGTGTGAGCCACCGCGCCTGTCCTCATTATAGTCTTAAAGTATTATTCCAAGGTTGTCCCAGACTAACATATATCAATTAGGGATACATACAAAGGTAAAGAAATGCAAATAAGCAACCATCATAAAGTAAGAACAGTAATTACCTACAAGGCAATGCAGAGATTTGGGATCAAAAATACCCTGTTGGCAATGTTTTAATTCTTTTTTAAAAAATGTATTTACTTTTTATAGAAATGGGGTCTCACTATGTTTCCCAGGCTGGCCTTGAATTCCTGGCCTCAAGTGATCCTCCTGCCTCGGCCTCTCAGTATACTGGGATTAAAGCTGTGAGCCACTGTACCAGGCCTGATGTTTTAATTATTGATCTGAGTGTAAGATCAAATAGTATATGATGTTAATTGGGTTATGAATGGGGTTAAAATTACACCTTGCTCTCTATGTCAGGACATTTGTCATTGGAATCCAGTTACCATGGTGGAAGGATGACCAATTAGCCCATGACAAGAGACTGCATGAAGAAACCACAGTGGAGAGAAACTGAGGCCTCCAGGAAATAGCTAGTATTAATCACAAGACTAATGAGTGAATGAGCTTCCAAGCTTCCATCTGCGGCCAGACACAGTGGAGCAGAGAAGCCATATCTTCCTGCCCTGTCCAAATTCCTTGCTCACAGATTTCATAAGCATAATAAATAAATGTTTTGCTATAGTTTGTATGTTCTCATAATAAGCGGAGCAGGTGATCACTTTATAAAGACTTGTGAAATTGTACTTACAGGTGTATGTACTTTTCTGAAAATATGATCTTTTTTCGCAATAATTTTTTTTAAATCTATATTTTAATCGTGCCTTTTTCCGATTTGATCTTACATGATATTTGTTTTACTGGTTTTTCTTTAATTTTCACAGCTGATGGACAGCAAAACTTGATTCAGAATCACACTGCTGGTTTATGGATTCAAAAGATTCAACTCTAAAAAGCTCTTACTTCCCATTTTCACTGCTCTCATCCTTATTATTTATTTATTTACACCTTGAACAGACACAGCCTTAATATATTTTCTATACCCATTCCAATCCATTATTATGTTATTTTCCAAAACAGCTCTGATCATATCACTTCCCTGATTACAAAAGAAAACAAAGGTATCAATTTAGGATTTTAAATGGTAGCTAAGGGACATATGTTGATAATCTCTTCTACTTCAGGATACAATAAAAATATTATAACGGTAAACTAACACACTTTACAAATATGTCAAGCATTTGCAAGTAATTTATTTCAGTTAAAATTATAAAATGTTTTACTTTAAATATATAAATAAAAATGAAATTTAAATACAGTACAGAAATTGCATTATAAAAAGTCAGAGAAAATAAAATTTTAAAAATACTATACATATTGTGTGTAACATACCAATAAGGATACAATCTATTAGAAAAAAAATATGTTAAAATAAGAGTAAACTAGAAAAGTATATTTTTTCCATCAATAAAAGATACATAATGAAAAATATGCATGAATAAGAATTTCTAAAAATTCTCAGGAAGACAAAAAATAAAATGAATGTACTGGTAAAATAAAAACAAATTTGAAAAAAGCTTAACAATAACAGAAGATACAATTGAATGCTCCTGAAGAATACAGAGTGATTCTGAACCAGGAATACAGTGATAGCAGAGGCAGCTACGTGAAATGGAAGGTGGTAAATAGAGGCATTGAACACATGGAAGTGTAATGGTTCACTCACCTTTGCCCCACCATTTCTCGTCCATTTACAAAATAATAATAATAATAATAATGCAGATTTTTTTAAAAAAGTCATCACTTAAGAAGTTGAGCCAAAAGTCTTTGGAGAAATAGGATAATAGAATATCTGAATATCTGTACCACACAAAGGAATCTCCACATAATTTTGATGATACAGGTTGGGGGATTCCCTACATAATAACTAAATTTCTCACAGGTTACTATTAACCATGATTGTTAAATCATAACTATTAACTATTAACCATATTAAGTTAATAGTTAAACTATTAACCGTATTAAGTTAATAGTTAAACTATTAACTGTATTAAGTTAATAGTTAAAAATCAAAGTTAATAGTAATGATTTAACAATTAATGAAGTATTTTGGAATAGAAGATCTAAGCCTACCACCTTTCAGTTCAAGCAGTCATTGATATGCTGTGGAGAAGGCACCCGAAAGTTAAAGTTCTTTTTTCACTTATAAAGAAATCCATAAAAGTGAAATAAAATCCCTGCCACCCTCACTCAGTAGGATACCACAAAGATTAATGAGGTAATGCAAAATAGTGCTTTGAGCTATTCATACGAATGGTGCTTTACAGAGGTACTTTATTGTAATTATTCTCTGCATTTACCTTTAATGCCGTATCTAAAGAATTTTGGACTAGAAGGGAATGTAACTTTCCAGTACACAGAAGGTGTTTCAAAGTCATCTGTTCCAATCTTAACTGTTAGCTATATTTTTCTTAAATTAATTAAAATCTGCATTTTATAATTCCTTTGTATTTTGGATTATTGCAATGAATTAAGGAAGGTAAGGGATTTAAAGTGTCTGGCTCTTGGTAGGACCTTATTAAATATTTGTTTTGATAATGTTACTGTTTGCAGTCAAAACAGTTACAGTAAAAATGGTTTTAGAAGTTGTAACAAATCAGGCTGCAGGATCTGGGAAAAAAAGGGCTAAACTGCCTTTAATGGGGAACCCTATTAAAGTTGGAAAGCTGACACTTAATAGACTATCCAGGGTAGAATAAATGACTGACGATCACATTCTTAGATGGAGTTTCTTTGTTTTCTTGTTTGCGAGTGATCTATTCTCCAATTATCTCAAATTGAACTTTCAACAATTGTTTCCAATGATGGTCAGTTGAAATAGTTAAATTTGTTTGAGAAAAAACTTATCGCTAAGCGAAGACCTTTATTGAGGCTTTCCTGGAGCACAGGAGGCATAGCCCAAAGACAGACAGTTTTCATTATAGTAATAAATTATATCTGTTATAGCCAATGTTAAATAAGTTATGGGTTCTTTAACGTCTTTAAAAAAGTCATGACCATAAACCTATGAAAAGATCATAGATGGTTGATATTCTGAACCCAGGCAAAGTACAGATATATTTTTAAATCTGTGGAGACCTACCTGTGTTGCAGGTATACTTGTAAAATGGTTCCAAGTGATCCACACCTCCTGGTATGTCCTTGTAGAATCAATACTCAAGACTTGAGTGAGAGAGAGACATGTGACTTGCTTTTCCCATGACCAAAAACACCTCCCATGATGCCCCTTTTCCAACATTTCAACATGAAATTTGGTGGGGACATATACTCAAACTGTATCATTCTGCCCCAGCCCCCCCAAACTCATGTCCTTCTTACATTGCCAAATACAATCATGCCTTCCCAACAGTCTCCCAAATCTTAGCTCATTCTAGCATTAACTCAAAATCCAAAATCTTATCTGAGATAAGATTTCATCTATGAGCCTGTAAAATAAGATTAAAAAGTTACTGACTTCCAAGATACAATGGGGATATAGGCATTGGGTAAACATTCCCATTCCAAAAGATGGAAATGGGCCAAACAAAGGGGGCTACATGCCCCACACAAATCTGAAACCCAGCAGGGCAGTCATTAAATCTTAAAGCTCCAGAATAATATACTTTGACCCCATGTCCCACATCCAAGACAAACTGGTGCAGGGCTCCCAAAGCCTTGGGCAGCTCTGCCCCTGTGCCTTTGCAAGGTGCAGTCCCTGAGGTTATTCTCATGGGCTAGAGTTGTGGGCCTGCAGCTTTTCCAGGTTCACAGTGCATGCTGCCAGTGGCTCTACCACTTGCATTTGGAGGATGCATTTGGAGGATGCAAGAGGTTCTACCACTTGCATTTGGAGGATGATGGCCTTCTTCCACAACTCCACTAGTGAGTTTTCCAGTGGGGACTCTTTGTGGGGCCTCTAAACCCGCATTTTTCCTCTGCAGTGCCCTAGTACAGGTTCTCTATGATTAGTCAGCTCCTGCAGCAGGCTTCTGCCTGGACACACAGGCTTTTCCAACATCCTCCGAAATCTAGGTGGAAGCTGCCAATAATCTACCACTCTTGCACTCTGTGCACCTGTAGGCTTAATACCACATGGAAGCTTCCAAGGCTTATTTATGGCTTATGTTCTCCAAAGTAGCAGTCCAAGCTGTACCTGGGTCCCTTTTAGCCATGGCTATAGCTGGTGCAGCTGAGATGTGGGAAGCATTGTCCCAAAGCTGTGCAGGCAGTGGGGACCTGGGCCTGACCTCCAAAGCCATTCGTTCCTCCTAGCCCCAGGACTTGTGATGGGAGGGGCTGCCATGAAGGTCTCTGAAATGCCTTTGAGGCCTTTTCCCCACTGTCTTGGATATTAGCACTTGGATCCCTTTCACCTATGCAAATATCTCTAGCAAGTAATTGCTCTACAAGCCTGCTTGTATTCCTCTCACCAGAAATCTTTTTCTTTCTTTGCCACGGGGCTAGACTGCAGATTTTCCAAATCTTTCTGCTCTGCTTCCTGTTTAAATATAAGTTCCAAATTTCAGTCTTTTTTTTTTTTTTTTTTTTTTTTTTGCTTTTGCATCTGAGCATGGGTTGTTAGAAGCAGCCAGGCCACATCTTGAATGTTCTGCTGCTTAGAAATTTCTTCTGCCAGATACCCTACGTCATCAATCTCAAATTCAAACTTCTACAAATCCCTAGGGTATAAACAGAATGCAAACAAATTATTTACTAAGGCATAACACACATGACTTTTGCTCCAGTTCCTAGTAAGATTTTCATGTCCATCTGAGTCCTCGTTAGCCTGGATTTCACTGTTTATATCACTATCAGCATTTTGGTCACAACCAATAAATCAGTCTCAAAGAAGCTGCAAACTTTTTCTCATGTTCCTACCTTCTTTTCAGACTTCCAAACTCTTCCAAACACTCCCTGTTATCCAGTCCCAAAGCTGCTTCCAAATTTTCACATATCTTTGTAGCAATACTCCACTCCTGAGTACAAGTTTTCTGTATTAGGCCATTCTTGCATGGCTATATAAATACCTGAGACTGAGTCATTTATAAGAAGAGAGATTCATTTGGCTCATGGTTCTGCAGGCTGTACAGAAAGCATAGTGGCATCTGATTATAGGGAGGCCTCAGGAAGCTTCCAATCATGGCAGAAGGCAAAGAGAGATCAGGCACATTATATGGTAAGAGTAGGAGCATGAGACAGAGTAGGGAGGGAGGCACTACACTTTACAACAACCAGATCTTGTGAGATAACTCACTCACTATTGCAAGGACAGCACCAAGACATGACAGATCAATCCCATGAGCAAAACACCTTTCACCAGGCCCCACTTTCAACACCGGGGATTACATTTTAACATGAGATTTGGGGGAGACATATATTCAAACCATGTAATTTATATTTGACCCAACTTCTATCTGTGCTGAACAGCAGAGTGAATTCTATAAGTTTTGCTACTGGCATTTTCATATTTAATAGAATTGCTTTCTGTCCTTCTGCCATATATGGAATTCACAAATTTCTTATCCCCCAATTGATCTTGTTATCAAATTAGATCTTTTCATAATTCATGTGTTAACAACTTCAAATTCCAGTCACACAATTACTTGTCCTCCACACTTCTAATGAATTATGCCACCAGCCTACTGTTTCAGCCACATTATCTTATGACCACAACCTACACATTTACATTGCTGCTAAGTGGTCTACCTCAGATATTTTAATAAGCTACCAACTGACATCAAATTCCAGGATGCTGCAATCATTTCTTCCCATTAAACTTACTATTGTTTTATTTTAATCTTCAGTTCCTTTTCCATTTCATTTTATTCTAACCCATAAACTACCATAATATCACACATCTTTCCTTTTCAGTGTGATACATTGTATTATTTCCAGTTATTTACTCCCTTCCTAAAAGATCTTTATATTTCTTATGTTTGCCAATCCTCAGTGTAGAAGATGAGAGCCTATGTCATGGTCAAGGTTGATCATGTGAAATTGCTTCCTTTGACCAATGGAATGTCAGTAGACATGACCAATACCAATTTAGGGAAAATTTTTAAAAGAAGACAGGAGAAGTAGAACAGAGACAAATACAGTAAATGCTGACCTGCATATCTGTCAGCAAAGAATAAAGCCTGTTGCCATTAGACACTGAGATTTTAGGGTTGTTGCCGAAAGAAAAGCCGATTCATATATCTGTGACTGAGTATCTCTTACTATCATCCTCTTTCCCAAACCCCTTGTTTTTTCTGCCTCACAAGCAAAAAAAAAAAAAAAAAAAAAATATATATATATATATATTCACAAGCTATATATATATATATTCACAAGCTATATATATATATTTATATATATATTCACAAGCCATATATATATATGTGTATATATATATACATATATATATACATATATACATATATATATATGTGTATATATATATATATATATATATATCTCCTTCAGAAGGCCTCTTTCCTAAAACATGCTTGTTCCCAAACTGGAATCAGTTCATGTTCTAAGAGCTTCTGATAACAATTATATAAAATTTATACTTTGTTGCCATTATACATTCTCAATCTCCACATACCTGATCTCTCAAAGCAACACATTAATCTGTTCCCTTATCCTTGATCAGCAACTTTATATCCTCAATTGCTATTTCAGATGTCCTTCCCTGAAGTCTCCTACCCAGTCAAGGGACTGTTCTTTCTCAGCAGATTGCGTTGTGTCCATCTTCATATATATGTTAGCGATCACTTAGGCATATATTTACATCTGCATTTACTCTTTTCCTCTTTCTTCCCATCTCTGGATTTCATATCACTTTTCCAGTTCGAGAGTAATTTAACTGTTCATGTTTTATCTAGTTACTACCTCGTTTTACTTCTTGGATTTTGATAAAACTGTTATCCTCTCTGTCTACTGAATTATAACTAGTTCATCCTTATACCTAATCTGTCCATTCTAACACACCCAACATGTTGAGAGTGTGATACGTTCTTGTTCCTCCCCTCTCAATGACACCTCAACCCCCTTCATTCTGATTTTATCTCCTAACTTTCACTGAAGCCATTTTGATAAATAGCGATTAGTTCAGACTTTTAACTTTCTGAACATGACAGTTTTATTTTTATTTATTCAAATGCAGAGTTCTTCCTTTGGTTATTTAATTTATGTATGATTAATAAATGAATGGATTTTTATAATTTATTGGATTACTAATACAGATGTATCTCATGATTATTAAGTAGGTTTAGTTAGACTTTTTTAGGAAGCTCTAAAATTTCCAAAACTGTTTGTAAGCATGATTTGAGTAGGGATAAGTAATTTTACTTTAAACCATTAGAAAAATTTTCCTAAGAACAAAATGCCTATAATGAGACTTGAAGGATAAAAAAAAAAAGTTAAGTGGACACACAAAGAAAAGGTCATTTCATGCAAAGAGAAAAACATGGGTAAAATTGTACCCAATAATGGTGGGGAGTTCAAAGTGTCTAGAGCACCCAGTGGAGATAGTAAGGGAAGTGGCAAATTAGGAGTTAAGATAATATTTGATCACCATAGATTTCATTACTAAAGAGCTTGCCAAAGTTTTAGGTGATGCCCTGTAGTAAATTGGAAGTCATTGTAAGAGATTTTTGAAAGTATATTTCATGAATGGTTTATTTTTTAGCAGTGGTCCTCTGTAGATGAAGCATGCAGGCTTGATTGTAGAGAAAAAAGCTTGATAGCAGTGAGGATGCAGGATGTTTGGTATAATACTGTGGAAAGATCCCTTAAAGAAGAAGTAAGTTGTGATAAGAGGGACAGACTATATATGAGGAATGATAGTTGGTGCTCAGGGCTCTTTTGCTTTGGAGGATGGAAAAAATGCAATGAAGATCACGTGTGTGTGTATGTGTGTGTGTTTTTGTGTGTGTATAAAACATATTGTATTATGTAATATTATATTAGTGTTAGGAATGTCAGCAAAGGGAAAATCCCAATGCAATAAAAAGTTTTACAAATGTGCCTCATAAAAAAATGCCTAAAATTTTTTTCTGAGAATATCCTATTGTATTCTTTCCCTGAGTCTAAAACTGAAACAAACTAATATTTATTCCTGCATTACACAATGCTGAAATTGGTTACATTTTCCTTTTGCTATGCTAAATAATACTGAGAATAGCAAAAACAATAATAATAACAATAAGAAAACCTACTTGCTCCATAAAATGAATGCTCCTAGAAAACTATGAAGCAAATAAAATAACTTACTAAAAAAATGCAACCAAGCATTTCAAGTCTTCAGTCTTCCTGTTTAATACAAAGCCATTATATCATATACTTTGACCAAAGCCAAACATTTTCCTGACTTAGAAGATCCACCCATAATCACTCAGTGCAGGTTTTGAGACACTACTAAATCTCGGTCAAGATTGTGTTCTAAGCTGGGCAAGGTGGCTCATGCCTGTAATCCCAGCACTTTGGGAAGCTGAAGCAGGAGGATTGCTTGAGCTCAGGAGTTTGAGACAAGTCTGGGCAACATAGTAAGACCCTGTCTCTATGAAAAAAATGCAAAAAGTTAACCAGGCATGATGGTGTGTCCCTATAGTCCCAGCCACTCTGAAGGCTGGGATAGGAGTACCACGTGAGCTTGAGCGATCAAGACTGCAGTGAGCTGTGACTATGCCACTGCACTCCAGCCTGTGCTACAGAGCAAGACTCTATGTCAAAAAAAAAAAAAAAAAAAAAAAAAAAAAAAAAAAAAAAAAAAAAAAAAGAAAAGAAAAGAAAAAAAAAGAAAAAGAAAAAATGGAGTTTTACCTTACTCTAGTAAGTGTAATAAATGTAGATTTGCTTCATAAGTAAAATTTTCTGGAGGTCTTTTGGAAGTTGACAGTTGACCGAACTTCAATTTATATATAGATGCCAGTAGTGTATTTAGCAGTACTATTATTATTGATTTATATTCAGTTAGTGCTGAGAAACATTCACAAGATACATTATTTCAAACAGAAATACACTAGCTTTGGAATAATCAATTTTTAGGACATTGGAAGCTAAATCATCAGAAAGAATATAGCTTTGAAGATGGTCTCCCTTCTCTGTCAATGGGATCTATGAGGAATGACTCTGTGTCTTTCATATTCACTGCATCTCTTATCTTGACCGGGACATGGTAGGGATTAAATAAATAATTGAATAACAAAAATGAACCAATGAAGCCATTAGCATCCTAGTGAGTGACTTTAATACAGAATCCATAGACAGTGTTCCTTTATATTTAAAGTTGTAAGACAACTGATTTCAGGAGATAATTATATGATATGTAGTTAGGCATTTACTAGTGACAAATTGCTCAATGGTTACCTGGTTTTCATAGAGTTGGGGGAGGAGTTGACCTTGGAAGGCTGTATTACATATAGGTAATATAATCTACCTATTGTAAAATAATCATACTCTTTCAATATGTTAGTCATTATAAGCAGGCCTTTTTATTTTTATTTTTTGTAGAGATGGAGTCTTGCTCTGTCACCCAGGCTGGATTACAGTGGTGCAATCTCGGCTCACTGCAACCTCCACTTCCCGGGTTCAAGCAATTCTCCTGCCTCAGCATCCCGAGTAGCTAGGACTACAGGTGCACGCCATCATGCCTGGGTAATTTCTTTTGTATTTCAGTAGAGTCAGGATTTCACCGTGTTGCCCAGGCTGGTCTCGAACTCCTGAGCTCAGGCAATCCACCCGCCTCTGCCTCCCAAAGTGCTCGGATTACAGGCGTGAGCCACCACACCCAGCCATAAGCAGGCCTTTTTAAAGTAAGCTGTTATAACAGAGACTAGTAAACATTGTCTCAAGGTCCAACTATGTAAGTACTTATAGTATTGACAAGTAGAAAAATAATTTACCTTGAAGGATAGTAGTTTCTATTGAGAAATTTCTTTGATGGAGAGTAAGGGACATTGGCGGAGCCTAAATGGAGAGGGGGAAATTAAGGAGGACTACATTTCTTTGCATAAGAAATAGAACATTTCGTTAGTTTCCATAATTTTTTTTTTCACTATAAAAAAGGAAGAGAGAAAAAGGAAGAAAAAACAACCAAAAAGGTGTCATGAGGACAGACACTATTTGAGCAGGCATGACAAGTAAGTAGTTGTCAGTGAAGACTTGGAGAAAACCCAACTACTTTTAGAATAACAAATGCTGTTATTCAGTATTACGTAGATTCTATTTTGGGGATAATTGTTACCATTTTCTAAAATATTCAATAAACTATGCAGAACACACAAATGCCACAAGAGTTTGTATGTGTGTGATATGAACAGGCAGCTTTACATCCAAGTATATATATAGTGGAAAACATGGGTGGTGTATGAAACTGATTCACCAAGTGAATGCATTTGGTGGAAGGAGAAATTCTGAGCAACAGATAATTATGAGGATGTAAGCCACAAAAGCTGTTTACCCTAATCTTGAGACAGAGGTGGGTGGATGTATGATATTGTCATATAATTTTTGTGCCATATAGAATGTGGGTTTAAGTCAATATCATGGATAACTTAACAGTAGGGTGACATTAGATAACAGCTGAGCTAAAATTAAAATGAAAACAAAATTACAAAATTAAAAAAAACTACAAAATATCTCCACATATAGAACATGCTAAAAGTAATACTACCATACATTATTTGTAGGTAATATATAAAAATGTTTCCTCATCCTATACAAACTTAGTCAAAATTAGAGAATTGAATATAGTCCATCTATAGCATATTATTAGTGATTATTTATGATAATCTCATATTATAAAACATAGTATCTAATAATTCAGTTTCATGTTTACCTGCTGATAATTTGTGGGGTTTTTGCACATGTAAAATGTCTTTTAAGATGCAGATTTCATGGAAGAATGCAAAATGAAGAATTATACATTGAAATTCCCATATTCAAGCAGGCTATGATCTTTATATATTTTGCTATCTTGAAACATATGACTCCACCATTAAACATGAAATTCTACACCATCAAATACCATTTATTGAATACTCTCATTTTCTTATGTGCTTAGGCTCTTCAGTAAATATTTCATTCACATCAATCCATTTGTAAATCTAAATGTTTAAAATCTATTTTCACAGCCAGTAGGCTACACCAAAGCCAGAAAAATAACATGTTAATTTATTTTTAAAGGATGACAGACAAAATGGGGTATAAAGAAAGAAAGAGAAGAGAATAAAGAGAGTAAGAGAGAGAGAAGGAAGGAGAGAAGGTCTTTGTGTTGAAGACCAGATATGTGAGGGGATTAGACACATTTTGGATATGTGATTACATTAATTTCAATGATAAATTATTAAAATAACACCTCTCAGTTTCTCTTTATAGTAGGTTGAAATTTCCACGTCATCCACTTGTAAGCCTCAGAATGGATTACTTATGAGTCTGAAATGGCCAATAATAATTAATTTTTCCATTTTAAAGCCAGTTATTTTATCCATATTTTGGAAATAGAAATGAGTAAAAACAAACAAAAAGCTACAATTTTTAAATCGTAACATTTTGGATTAAAATCCAAATGAATAACCCTGGATTTAGTCACAAAGAGAGCATTGCTTTTTTAGCACTTTGTTTTGAACATTCTTCCTCTAGAAGAGTAAGCTACTCTTTCCGTGGCAGAACACTACATGACATGATTCTTTAAATTGAATGCATCCTCAGGATCACTGGGCAGTCCCATCCAATGCTATAAGAGCAAGATTCCTTGATGAGAGATTTTGGGACATACCCTTCCCTAAATTTCACAGCAGCTTGAAAGCAAGATAGGAATCAGTCTAATTTACAAAAGATTTGTAAATATTATACATGTGTTTAAGTTACATTAAATTTCAAGGAGAATAATTTAAGAAATCTGTACACACCTTGTCCTTAATTATGGAAAATATGACTTCAAAATTATAAAAAGTGAAAAAAATGATATCTGTGTATGCTTATTTACCTTTTATGTGATAAAAGGAAGAAAAGACTACAGTTAATGATACTAAAAGACAATAAACTTTTCATTATTATTATAACATATATATGGGATAATGTTGAAGCAAAGAGTTTATAGGCAACAAAAATGTATTTGAATTAGTGAATAGGAAGATTACCTGTAGTTATTTTAGCTGGGGATAAAATAGTTAAAGGCTATGTGTTGACATCTAAAAATTAGATGCTTACCTGGGGAAAACTTGCTATTTTGCTTCTTATAAGTAAATGCATTTTTGTAAACCACAAGAAAAATTTTTTTAGGTCCTAAAATTAGAAATAATGACCTGTGAATATCCTCCTATCTGACAATTCAAGTGTTTCTATCTTGATAAAAGTCTTATTCCTTACACTAATGTTACACAATGAAATGAATTATAATCACTTTTAACCTTGGCCTACATTCATCAAATGGTAAACCTGGGGGTAAAAGGTTCTATATCCCGTTTCTGATACTTCCAATTAGAATCATCTAATGAGCTAAACCATTTTTCTCTTTAAAATGTCCCAAAAGATGTAAAATGTTCTTGTGCTTATAGTAATTTAAATTTTATTTTAAGCAATCAAAAGAAATTTGCTCTGTGAGCAGCTTTTAAAATTTGGCTAGAGGCCTCTGCTTCAGGGAACAAGCAGTCTCTTTCCAACTCTCTTTTACTGGAGTGATTTTCCCTTTCAACCTGTGCCTTTTGGCCCAGTACAAATCAATGAACTCAAGACCCAATATACCATGTCTTAAAAATCCATTTGGAAAACAATTGCTCCATTCAAAGTTCATCTGCTTCCTTTATCAGAAATTGCTGGAAATGTAATTTTGCAGCAAGCATTTCATTTCTTGTCTTGAAATAGATTGAAGTAAATGTAAAGTCAATGATTAGATAAATGCAATGTCTTGGGTTGATGCCACAATGCAATATTTGATGGTGTGGTCAGTACTGATGGATGTTTTGTATAGTTACTCAGCTGTATAATGGGATAAATTCCCATGACTCTATTTAAAATACCATGTGGCTCCTTTCAATTAATATTACCAAAAGTACTTTGGCACAAATACAAAAGCATGAGGGATTCCTGCTGAGCATGCAAGTGCAGTAATCTTTGCTCTGTACAGAGATTCTTCTTTTTACAATAAACTGTATCTGTGTACAATTTATTTACTGAGCCAGAGTGCATGGAGTAAATAACACTTTCAAGATTATTCTTCCTTCAGAAATCGCTTTTATTATTTTATAAATAGCCTTTGCAAAGGAATCTCTTATACTATAGTTAAGAATTCAACCCTGATCAAGTAAGTGCATGCACGCATACACACACACACACACTAAATCCATAGAAACATGTTTGTTGTTTATTTTAATGGCAAATAAATATATTTCTCTTTTCTATTCCCTAATATAAAGGTGCACATAATTCAATATGAAGTGGGGCATATCTTCCTCTAAGAGATATCTTCCTCTAAGAAGTGAGGCAAGAAAACAGGGTCTGGAGGCAGGAAACATAAAGCTGATTCACACTTCAGCTACGACAGGAAATGTTCTCTCCATAGTAAATGACTTTGTAACTTTACTTCATCCTCCTCATTACATAGGGCATACCCCAAGTAACCAAAGGAATCCTCTAGAGGGTATTTAAACTCCCCAAAATTCTGTAACGGGGCCCTTGACTGCCTATGCTTAGGCCTGCTCCCACGCAGTGGAAGGTACATTCATTTTCAGTAAAACCCTTCATTTCTTCCTTGCTTTGTTGGTGCGTTTTGTCCAATTCTTTGTTCACAACACCAAAAATCTCGACACCACGGGTGACAGCCAGGAGGAAAAGGTGAGCCCAAAGATTGGGATTTATTTTTCTCCTTTCTCCTTTTCCTTTCTGCTGTATACAGAGGAATCTCTCTCTCTCTCTCTCTCTCTCTGTCTCTCTCTCTCTCTTTCTCTCTCTCTCTCTTTTCCTTTTCAACCCAGGACCCTTGGTGGGCAGCGCCTAAACATGGAAGCAACTACAGGTTTCTGGCTGTGGCCGGTGAAACTAAGGGGTTTCCATGTGGAGAAGCCTGACTGCCACTGCCCGGTTTGCTTAAGGGACCTGGGTCTTCTTCATTTCTTTTTTCCCTTCTTTCTTTTTCAGCATTTCAGCGGCTATTTACAATTGCCCTATTCCAAAGGGAAAATGACTTTTTTTTTTAAATCTTTTCCATGCATGGTGCCTGATCCCTACATGCCGCACAGCTCAGAGCACACTCGCACATGTTTCAGAGGACTTAAACCTTCTTTTCTTATGCTAAATTCTTCCCTTAAGGTTCTCAACTGGCTAAGGACAAAGAGGCCCACCTGGCATCCAGGTCTTCTTATTATAGTTCATGGCTATTCTTGTAAAGCTCATAGTAGGCTCTGGAAGGGAAAACCTACATGTGGCGCCTGTGCCCACCTAAGGTCAGAGACGTCTGACACTCTAAGATTGGACCCCCACAGAAGGATGCTCTGGGGGTCCTGCAGATTTCAACCTGCCCAAAGGGGATACTCTTGGCAGAGGTTCTGAGGTCCCGTACTAAGGCCTCCTTAGAATGTTCTCTCACAGTTGCAATGCTGTTTGGCCCCAACATTGTTTGGAATTTGGAGTTTACCGTTGAATGGGAAAGTGGAATGGTGTTGCATGTATCCAGGCTTTCGTGCTATGATTCTAAGCAGGGCGTCTGGTTAACGTGTGATGCCCTCCTTTGATACTGTTTGGCCCCAGTGCTCCTTGGAGTCAGGGGAGGTTTGGCCTTTAAAACTCAAACTGCCATGGAGACTACTTTACCTGAAATTTTGGTTCACAGCCTTCATTGGATTATCGATTGGGGCAAAGTAAAACCGAGAAGCTTATATTGCTATCTCATGGCTAAGGTTCCAAGCTATTGGATCTTCGTTTATGTCTGTGTGTACATGTCTAGATGTGTTTATTTGTATGTACACTTGCTGTATGTTGTGTCTACCAAATTGGCTTATAAATAAAAGAGCGCTCATAAATTATGTAAATAAGTCTAAGCAATTTTCAAGTTCACGTGACTTAAAATATAACTTTACTGAACAAGCTAGCTTTAAAATTCTTGGTGGAATAAAAACAAAAATGCCTTCAGAATTGTCAGCGTACCTTTTGTCTGAATGTTATGTTTGTCTTTCCTAGATATTTTAAAATGTGAGTGTTAATTTAAGCTGGGAGCTCCTTGGGGCGAGCCTGCCTTCCGTTCTATTCAAAGTCTCACTGAGATAAATGCGTATCTGATTGCTTCCTTTGGAAAGGTTAATCAGAAACCCAAAATTATGCAACCATTTGTCTCCAGCCTACCTATGATCTGAAAGCCCTCAATCCTGCTCCTCACCTCGAGGTGTCCTGCCTTTCTGGATGAAACCAATGTTCATTTTACATATGTTGGTTGATGTCTCATGTCTCCTTTATTAAAAGTAAAAATTAAGTACAGTGAATGGGATTAATGTTTTAGGTAAACTTTCTGTGTAAAATTAAATCTTAAAGTTACTTTTGATGCTCATTTATTATCTGGGTCATTTCCAATTAAGAAGGGGTTGTTATATGGGGAAATACGTTTCTAAAATTGTGGAACTGTACTTATCTATAAATGTCCATATGTGATAGTTCAGGATTTCTTGCTTTCTAGGGTTTCACAAGTTTTAGGTTACTAAGTATAAGAATTCTAGTTAACACATAATTCTGTATACAACATGTGCCAGGAAGGGTTATGTTACTAGTGAAAAAAAAGAGAATAATTTTGTCTAATTGTGGAGTTACCTAAAAGTTAGTTCAAACTATAGATTTGAAAAGGTTATTTATGAAACAATGTAGTAAGGAACCATTAAGTAGGGGAGAAAGATATGGAAAAAGTTTAAATAATAAAATATTCTTAAAATCTTGATAAAGAATCAGAGACATTTGGCTTCTTAACATTTTCATAGTTAAAGCTCTTAGTCTTAATTAAAGTAAAATAAGAAGTGTTGTAAAAAATGCATTGGCAGTTTGGCAATTCTTTTTTAAATATAGTTAAGCCTGAAGCTGGATTTAGTGTAAAGCCAAATTTCACATACATGCTTGCATTGCTTCATACTATGTTTACTGTTTTGCATGTATAGAGCATGCAATAAGAGGTACTTATTGCTAATGTGCCTAAAATGAATTTCTTAATTGCACAGGATATATAATAATATTGGTGAACTTAAGGATATTAAATTGTGTATCAGGAATAAAATATTCATTATGTGGGTTTTGGGGGGACCAAGGTAATACTGTGGCCTCCAGAGTAAATTAAGTAAGAAAATTTAGGATTGGTTTCCTGTTTATTTGTTTTGCTTCTAGTTTTTGTTCGTTTGCTGTTTATTCTCCTCTGGCTTTGCTTGTGTATGCATATATGGATAAAACTATGATGTTTTTTAGTTTCTGGTGGAAGACTTTTATTTGGTTCTGTGAATACTTATTTTGTTTCCTATGTATTTCTAGCAGTCATCATTCATTCCATTTATCTAGAATTCCTAAGCTACCTGTATTGGGACAGCAGGAATTAATGGAGCACACCAGCTTTCTATCTTTAAACTAACTTTTTGAATTTTAGGCTTCCTTATACTTTAAGTGTGTTGAGTTTACTTTCATAAATAGAATTGGAGTCATATTTCTCTCTCTGCCTGGTTTCTCTAAAATTTGTAAACTATTTGTGAATATTCTTAATTCATGGCAATGTGTTTGTTTGTATACTGTCAAGCAGGCTCTCCAGGGCTGCTCAGGGGGAGAGAACCCAGAAACCTGGCATGCTGGCAAAACAGCAAGAATTTCTTACCACTCAGTCTTTCTCTCTATGCAACTGGTTAAATACAAAGTAAAAATCACTGTCTATCTCCTCTGTAAAGTTTTACATTAATTGGTTTAAATAAGAAGAAGAGCTTACATTAAATATTTTGTCAGAAAAGTGAGAAATGTAATGTCTTTTATTTAGTTCATGTGACTTGAGTAATTTGTGGGAAATAAAGACGGCTTTATAGATTATTGGTAAAATACATATGTCTTCAAAATGTAAACATGTGGTCTAAATTACGTTTAAATATTAGGTTTCCTTAATGCATTAAGGTCATAAGCTGCTTCTTTGGCTTTTGAGAATTGTTTAACCTGCCTGCTTTCCTGCTAGGTAAGGCCTGGGGACATGCAGTGTTGGCCGTATACCTAGCTGTGCTGGAAACAGTCAAACCTTATCAGAACAAAACTTAGCAGGTTTTATGTTAAAATTCATCATATATCATGCAATTGAGACTACCAGAAACAGTTTTACATGCAAGGTGTTTAAGAACAGTAGAATTAGTGGGGTTGTTTTTGATAAAAGATTATAAAAAGTTTTTTCTTCTTTAAAATTTCTGAGTCATCATTTTGGTAAAATAAATAATTTATGGTGATCTGGATATCCAAAATCAAATTTCAGTTTCAGAATTGTCTTTCCCAATGCCTGGCTTTTTAGATGGATAAGAGGGCACCTGAAAACAACCAGAAGGGGGGTAAGTGGGATTATTTGACATGTTTGGGTACATGGGATTGCCAAAATGATGTTCAATCTTCTTTAGGTTATATTTTTGTGAATAATACTAATGTATTTTCTAGGATGATATGGCATTTCTAAAATTCTAATGTCTAAGTATGATTATTATGTTAAGTTATTGTAGACCACAGAAATAACCAAATTTCCTTGTATAAAGCTACTAACCCAAATAGAACAAAAAAATTAATTGAATGCCGGGAAAATACTTTGTCAGATTTTCATGTTAAATCAGCTGATATTGAAATCGTTTGAAACAGTTTATAACCAGTGCTTGATACCATATTCCTGGGAAAACAATTACAGCATCACATACATTTGGTCATCTGGTGGTCCATTTAAACATTTGGTAAAGAGATTTCATTCAGTTGTTATTTTCAATGCATATTTTCTAGTTGTATGAAGGCTTTCCCACACAAGAGTCTGATGTTGTAATAGTGGATTGTTATGCTATTGTGTGTTTTCACCAGATGGGGAAAACTTTTTATGGTTTGGGTCTTCTCGAGGCATCAGACAGGGACTGTCCTTGCCATCCACACTGCAGCAAAACTTTGAGACCTTGGGCTTTGGGTTCATGGTCTCACAACTGAGAGGGGTCACTCCACAATCTTGGAACTGTACACCCATTGGAACCCTTGGGGTAAAACTTACCAGGGAGGTTTCTCCCAGGAGAAGGGTGCCATCCTTGATGTGAATATCTTTTTCCAGGTTCATGGATTAAGACTTCTACTCTCATGAAACTCTTATCCTTGAATATTTTTTCTTGCTTGTGCCTCTATGATCAAAAGAAGTGAAAAGGAGGTCTCTTATGTGCACTAATGGGGTGTACTTTTATTTGTGAAGGAGTGTGCAGCCAGCCATACACATGGATAACCTTATACTTTGATGGATAAAACATGAGGGCCCAATGTATGTAAGAAACTTTAGCGGTGCATACGTTGCCTCATAATCAGTCAAAAACAAAACATTGGTTCACTCCTCTTAGCCCACATCATGGGCTAAGGAGAGCATTGCCTGGAGACCTGCAGCATTCTAGAAGGGCATCATTTGTTGCATCCTTTTTCCATGGTTTAAGGTAAAGGAAGCAATGATTGGAAGTGTGTCCCTCATGATAGGCCCTATAGCAGATTCTACTCTGAGAGCTATCGGTGCACAACAGACTTTGCATTATTCGCTTGTGAAAGTTGTGCTAAACAATATAATTGGCTAAACAGAAAAATACTGTGGCCTATGAGAAATACATCAAATGCAGATTATAAAAATTCAGTTGTAGGGGATTAATGTAAAAAACAGTTAGTCAAGCGAGTAGACTCTTCATCTAACTCCTTTTTTAATCTATTAAATTTTGGGTGGTTTTGTTTGTGGGGACCCTGGTTGGGGAGAATGCTCCAAGCTCTTGGTGTTGTCCTCCCAATGGTCATTGTGGTGGTCCCCCTGGTGCACTGCATTTCTCAGAGATTTTGAATGTTTGTGTGCAGCTATCTCTGGGACATCAAATGGTCTCTCTTCAACTAGTATGACAAGAGCTGAGGGAGATGTGCAACCATGAGGCCACCATAACCTATGAGTGACATGCTGAGACTGGAGGCGCAAAGTAATGATAGTTGAGTGTGGCTCTAAGGCCCTAAGTTTTGGTCGCAACCTAATCTGTTTGTTTGCATACTGTCACACTCTCACCTAAGTGGTCACACTCTCACCTAAGTGAGAACCTGACCAAAAATAGGGAATTTTTTTAAACAAACTTCTGGAAGGCATTATTCTGGGCTAAGCTCATGCACTAGGCCCCAACAGACCAAACCAAACCAAAATGGAGTTGTTTGTGCTAAGACTTTAAGGAAACACATAGATCCTAGAATAGACCGGGTGTTGTTGTTTTCTCCTGCAAGTCTCTATAACAAACATTTTTGACTGAATAAGTATCCACCCCATGAAGTTCCCATTAAATCTTTTAACCAAATTCATTTCCTCTTGCCTGGAGATCATCAAACTTCAGATGATCATGCATCAAAGGTTCCAGCCAGTTCCAGGTGAAGACACCACCCCTGGGTATCAAGAAGCTAACCTGTGTCCACTAGACAGAGCAGGGCGAGAGTTCCATGATCCCCTATAGTAATGACTATGCCCCAAGCCAGCACGAAGCAGTTACAGAAAAAAGACCATTGGTCCCTCTGCCCCCCATAAAGATTTATGTGGATCACATCTCTCAAGGGGAAGATGAGGCAGGAAAACAGGGTCTAGAAGCAGGGAACTTAAGGCCAATTCACACTTCAGCTATGACAGGAAATATCCTCTCCACAGTAAATGACTTTGTAACTTTACTTCATCCTCCTCATTTACATAGGGCATACCCCAAGTAACCAATGGAATCCTCTAGAGGGTATTTAAACTCTGCAAAATTCTGTAACTGGGCCCTTGAGCCCCTATACTTGGGCCTGCTCCCACACTGTGGAGGGTACTTTCATTTTCAATAAATCCCTTCATTCCTTCCTTGCTTCATTTGTGCATTTTGTCCAATTCTTTGTTCACGACATCAAAAACCTGGACACAGCCGGGCACGGGCGCAGTGCCTCACGCCTGTAATCCCAGCACTTTGGAAGGCTGAGGTGGGCCGATAACCTGAGGTCAGGAGACCAGCCAGACCAACATGGTGAAACCCCATATCTACTAAAAAATATAAAAATTAGCCAGGCATGGTGGTGTGCAGCTGTAATCCCAGCTACTTGGGAGGCTGAGACAGGAGAATCACTTGAACCCGGGAGGCAGAGTTTGCAGTGAGCCGAGATCACACCGTTGTACTCCAGCCTGAGAGACAGAGTGAGACTCTGTCTCAACAACAACAACAACAACCAAAAAAAAAAAAAAAAAATCTTGGACACCCTCCACCAGTGACAGAAGGAAGAAAAACTCAGAATAAAGGTAGCCTTTAAATTATATTTTTGAGAAACGTTTCTTTTGGGAAACGAATTGAAAAGCACAATTCATGCCTTGATTAGGAGTCAATATCATGCTAGTATATCTCTTCAGAAAATAGTTCAGGCTAATTTCAGATGTGCTAGAATTAACCCTCACAGCATGGAAGCTTTCCTTAAACCAAAGTGTGGAACAAAAATATTGACTGAAACTCTGGATACATGTGCATGGCACGTAGTCTGGTAGGCTTTCCTTTAAAGACTAGTGAACACACCTCTTCATTGGAAAGAAAAACAAATGGAAATTTGGAGAATTTTATTATTTGAGACTATTCATATTTCATATTCTTAGAGAAGATTATCCCAGTCTCATCCCTGGTTACATTAACCTGCCTCAGTGTTTTCAGTAGAGGACAAGGGAAGAGGTTTGGAAACTCTCACTGTACAGTGTGCAGGTTTTACTTCATTACCCTATTTTCAACCTGTCACTGTTGCTTTTGCCTCTCATTTAGGTGAAGCTCAGTTTGGCTCTCTCTAGTTCATGTATTTAGATCAATACCAGCAAACATTTTTTCTCTAAAGAGCCAGATAATACATGATTTTGGCTTTGCGGAACATATAGCTTTTGTGGAACTACTCAACTCTACCCCAAAGCCACCATAGACAATATGTAAAGGAAAGGGTGTGGCTATGTTCCATTCACATTGTCTGTACAAAGTCAGGTGGCAGGGTGGCTTTGACCAGAAGGCTGTAGTTTTCTGACTTCTAATCTATAGTGCAAAACTTGAGTTTTCTGCTTGGTGAGAGATAAATAGTTGGAATGTGGAGAGAAACTTAACTGTTTTACACATATTACTCAAAATTCAAATTTTAACTTCACAGCTCATTACCACTTTCTATAGTTCCTGGTTCCTGCACTTCCTGAGCGTCTCTGGAATTCTGTAAAAATATTTATTTACCTCTTATCAATTTATGCCCATCTAGAAATTCTCAAGTATTATAAGAGGTTCCTTGTTTTGCAAAGTCAGTAACTTCCCATATGCCTGTTTTCAGTCTTTCCAAAGGCCAAAGGCCCCCCCCAAAAAAAAGATAACCTTTCTTGACTATTTTAATCTTTCTTTTGCTTTTACCCTTTGGATTTTGCACTTTACATCTGTACTGTATTTTATTAGAGTATCAGTAAGAAGCAGGAGTAAAGTCATGTGTTTAACTGCTTCTCTTCTGCCATAAGCTGACCTCTTCTTTTTAATTTCAGATTTCTAACTTCCTTAATGTTTGCAACTTTTTATTATACTCATAGCTACTTATTGATTATGGATTTAATCTCTTTATGAAGTCTGTCTGCTTGCCTGCCTCCCTCCCTCCCTCCCTCTCTCCCTCCCTTCCTTCCTTCCTTCATTTTTTCCTTCTTCTTTTCTCTCTCTCTTGCTTGCTTTTTTTTGTGTGTTTGTAACTGCTGTGAATACATAGTGAGCATGGCAGTCTACCAGTAGTTATTTGAACTATAACTAAATCATGGATATGGGTATTTCCTCTTATCTAGAAATTGTCTTAATCTTTTCTGTTTTTAGTGAGATAAATGTAACAAACATGAAAACAACCAGAGATCTGGGCCTGCGTGGCTTTTTCCCTATCTAGTTAAAGAAGGTAAATTAATATTGCTACACTAGATTTCACCAAGGTGTGTGTTAATAATTAACCCAATTTGGTTCAATTTAATAACTGTGGCTATAATGAATAACAAATATTTTGATTGGCTTAATATTTACTTTTAAAAATGTTGGTGCTGTTTGCACTATGATACACTTGACTTAATTGTTCAAATCAAATATTTAATATTATGTTAGATATCATATGGGCATAATATATATTGAAAGTTGTATATAACAAATTTTCTAATTCTGCTGTAATAATTAATAAAGTATTTAATTTTAAAAATTATTTGCCACTGATCTTTTTGCCAATAGACACTTTACTTCCAGAGAATACTTACAAAGGAATAAGACAAATGAGAAAGGCATTTGTTTTCACTTTCCTCTAATAAAAAGAGTGAGAGGATATTTTAGAATATTAACCATTACCAAAGTTTAACTGTTCGGAGTAATTTCTGTACATCTTGAGGTTTTATTTCATCTTAGAGTACTAAGATTAATTAGTATAAATTAAATTTGATCCAATCTATTACCCACCTTTAATGATACATACTAATGTGGCAAAATATATATATAGTTTTATTACATTCATTTTATTTAGTTATACAGGACAGGAAACAGCATACTTGTATTAAGGCATGTTTATGATCTAAAGGAAACTTTTCCATCTCGGCAAGCTGTGGGGACTGATAAGTTCTTGAGCTAGTCACCCATAAACCACTGTGCAATGACAAGTTTCTCTCAGTGAGATATTCTCTAGTATTCTACACAGAAACCAGCATGCTATAGATAGAACTGAGAAATAGTGTGCTCAGTCTGAGACCAATTGATCTCACGGTAAGAATTTGAGTAGATACCCTAAAACTAAAATCACTGAATTTTTATCTTGCCAGCACACACATGCATGGACAGATGATTCACCGGCCTGCAGTATTAACTAGACGTTCCACCATATTTGTATTATTTTTATGGAGAACTTAGTTCCTAGTAAATTTCTTGTTTCATTGCATACATTTTAAAGAAATATGTTCAATGTTTTCTATAAAACTTGGTCTGAAATATAGGCAGAAAATCATGGTACCCCTTACAATATTACTACCAAGAAAGCTAGGAATTTTATAGAAAAATTAGCAATGCAATTGAAATGGAAGTCTCTAAGGTTTAGGTATTTTACCACCATATACCTTTTCAGGCAGAAATTGCTGATCCCACAGAATGGTGGATTGCTCTGTTAAGGCTTTATTAAAATGCTTACTAAAAGTGGAGGGATATCCTACAAAATGCCATATATTCTTTGAGCCTGCAACCAATAAATGGTTTTCCCCCCTCCCCCCCACTATACCTGGAAAACATGAGTCCAGGAAGCAAGGATAAATGTGGGAGTGTTTTTCTACCAATTGATTCTATTGACCCAGTCACAAAATATTGCTTCCCAACTCCAGCTAATTAAATTCTGTTGGTTTAAAAATATTCATATTCAAATAATGTTTTCACTAAAATAACCAACATTTTCATCAATCTACTTGCTAAGACTACCACCCAATTCTTTATGCCATTGAACCAATAGGGATGTTCAATATAATTCAGTACTCCTGTAATGACATGAGTGATTAACCTTAGTTATTTTAGAACATATCTTCATCTTCCCCTCCTGATCTATTTTTCACCACCTCCACTCAATTTTTTCCTGGGATGCTAACTTGCATAAATGATATAAAAAAATCTCTGCTTTCTTGTTGGTTTCAGCTAATGGAGGAGTCCTGGCAAAAGACCTGAAGGAGAGAGCGAAGTCAGGATATTTGTATTCCAGGGCTCTCCCTTTAAGGTTGCTTCATGCTAAATATTCACCTGCACTGAAGGTCACTGCTTCCCTGAAGACAGGTCATTACATAGAACCTTTGCTGTTTCATATTTACTTCATTGCATTGTCCTTTTAGGCATGAGCATTGCAACAGCTCAGTTGCAACAGAACCACTGGTTATGCACTGTCTATTGTGCTTTCCATCACCCATACCTTTGTAAATAGGCAGCTTTGTAAATAAAACTTGCCTATTCCAAGTGTGCACCTATTTCCTTTTAAGACACTAATAACATTTTAAAGGAATTGCTGGTAAACAATGAAACTAAGAAAGGCTATATTTAAAATCCAAGACAGTATCTTATGCCTCTTAGCAATTCCATGGCCAATGGTAAATTTTAAGGGACAACTGCAGTTACCCAAAACAGGCAGAGTCACTAATATGTTTGTCCCTTTAGAATGGAAGGTTTATGTCCAACAGGTAAAAAACGCAACCCATCGACGACAAAGTAAAATATGATTAGTGAAAGGAGGACTTACAAATACCAAGTCTAGCCTATTGATAATTTGCAGAAATGAGCATTTATAGTAGCTATGCTAAATGTATATACATATATTTAAACATACACACATATATACACACACATATAGCTATTAATACACATATACATATATACACACACATATAGCTATTAATACACATATACATATATACACACACACACTTGAATCCAATAACAGGTATAATTTCTACTCATACCTTTACTGACTATTTTGTATAAAGTTTGTTCAGATCATTTAACTTGAAATTTTAACTTTTAAATTTTTGGATCACATGAAGGAATTAGAATTGAAATAAAAGAGGAAAAATATCACCCAGAAGTGGATAGGATTCCATTTTAGGATTGTCAAGGGTAAGCAGGTCTGCACTTGTTTAAAATGGTTGCATTTTGATAGCCAAGAATAATGAAGTTGTGATTGTTAATTGGGATATAATTTTGGATAGAAAGAGCAATAGGGATGCTTATAGCCAAGGTGGTGGAATGTGCCTGGTTGCCTTTGACGGTGCAGCAGTACTTTCTTCTCTTTTGTACTCTGCAATATCACAAGGAATGAAAAATTGGACATTATGTTTTCAGAATGCTTGCTAGCAAGACTCTAGGTTAGATTCTGCCAGGTATTCATTTAGGATTTGGAAGGCAGAAAAGAAGCACAGCCATATTAATGTACCTCCAGCAGTGGCAGACATGCTCATGGGCCTTGATAAACAAGCATCCTAGAGGAGTTTATTGAAGAGAGCTGCTTTAGTTATGCAGGCATCTTTGATCTTACTGGTGGTTTTCCTGTGATTCCCAAACTATCTAGTTTGATCATAATTAGCTGGATCTACCTTTCTGATCTTCATATTTCTGGCTCTCCAACACTTTTGGGAGCATCTAACTCCCTCAGCAAAATCTTTTCTGTGTGAAAGGTATAGAGTGGTTTCAGTTTTCCTGAGCAATTCTGATTAGCACTATTGGTATGTATCTTCTTTCAATAAATATTGATATGAAGTCCATGGCATTATCATTTTTGCCTTAGATATCAAAGATTTCCAAGTGAAAGTCTGCACTCATAGTTGTTATTTCGTTACTAGGCTTCCCTAACATTTAATATTTCCTTAATTTAGCCAAAATCATTTTAATAGTATTTATATATTTGATTGTAAATTATATCAATAAGTTATATACACATATAAAGTAATCTGTAGTCTGGTGAGAATATTGATCTATTGGAAACATCCTATAATAGATAATACAAATTAATGTTTTAAAAGCGTTAGATATTTAATTTAATCAGCCTTTACTTTATTACTCTATTCTTGGTGTGCTGTAAATAGAAAAATAAATTATAATGCCATACTACAAGTATGCCTAGGTTCTGGGGCTGGCAAGAAGATGAGACCAGTTAGATTAATCCAGTTTAGAGTATTAGAGATGGCTTATCCCAGGTGATTTTTAGCTCAGTCTTAGTGCATGACCACAAATTAATAACATGAATTTAACCAAGCCAAAGAGAGTCTTAGTGAAGGAACACCATGAGAAATCTGGAAACGGAGTAAGAAAGAACCAGGTGTGTGTGAGAACTTCAGGCATTTTAATATTGCAGGTACCTAGCATGCACATTTCAGAGTGGTGGGAGGTGACACTGGGACCAGGTAATGTGGAGATTTATTGCCATCTTAAAGCCTTTGGACTTTGTCCTAAATGCCATGTGAAACTAAAACTAAAAGTTTACTGGCTAGAAATGGAATAAATGGATTTGAGGCTCATGAGTTAAGCAACATCATCAAGGGTTTGTGTTACAAGCATGTCAGCAAATTTTATCTTGCTTTTTTTAAAATAAAAAGCACTAACTACAGGACACATTGAATGTCCCTTAAAATATTGCAGATTAGTTTTATATGAGTAAAGTTTTATATGGGCTTCTTCCCATAACTATACAATAAATTAGGAACTGACTGTAGTCATGAAATATGATGACAGGACTTAGACCTTTCATTGGCTAATTAAATTTAAGTTCTATTTTTGAACTTTTGCTCTAGTTGGTCATTTATCACAATTATAGCAAAACATTCAGATGGGAAGCAGTTCTAACTAGAAAGCTCTTATAGATTCTTAGTTACATTTTTAGACAGTGTAATTTGATTGTACATAAAATCATTGTGAATATATTCTTATTATTTAACTATTTATATACCATAAATAACAAACACAACTACTTGATTTCTCTTCCTTTGGCTATGCAAACAATAAATCTATATTAAATATTGCCTACAAAATATCTAGGAGGTAAAATAAAATATTTTGAAAGCTTTAATTTTTGTAAAAAAACATTTGTACATGATTAGGTAGGAACATCTCCTGAATTTTTCACCAATTCTTGTAAGTTGAATAAACACATAGGTTCAAAGGGTGAATATTTAAAATTAACACAAGAAAAAAGCGTTGTAAAACCAAACCCTAAAAGTACATTTTCACTTTGAAACTTATCTAAAAACGACAGGATATTGTTATTCAGTTGTATAAAAAATGATCTATGAGTATTTAATACATAATATTTATTCCAGTTTTACTAAGTAGCTGTGTTAGTAAAACTTCATGCTTCCAGAAAAATATTTATAATTCAGAATTACACAAAATTATTCTGATCATTTTAATCCTTGGATGAGGAGTTTTTTTTTATTATGTTTTACTTAGTTTTCTGTCATAACCAAGCGTAACTCATTAAATCTATTCATTTGGATAGCTGGTTCAGGATGTGAGCAGAAAACATATGGGAGGCATTTGACACCTAGTATCGTGTGAGAGAGACTGTTAATTAAGTTATGTCAAAACTACAAACATGATGATAATTTTACAAGTGTCTAGTGTCATGCTTTCCTTGAAATCAAAGCATGCATTAACCAACTAGAAAAATAATTACATTTTGCAGATTAAGGGACCGAAGCAAAATAGTCCAGATGAGAATATTTTCAGAATGAGCATCACAGTTCTTCTATTTGAAAACATAAAAAGAAGGCCATAATTCTGATAGTATTCCTTACTGTAATTTATAGCTCTGTCAAGGTCAGTAAATTGAATAAGTAGATGTCAATATGTCTAGTACAATGGAGTCAGTGTTTAAAACACTGTTACATTAAGAACACTATTTTCAAAATTAAATTTCATAAACTCTTTCTTGGCAAGCTCTTAACTTTTCTTGGAAGCAGCCAAAAGTGGTTACATATTAGTGTGAGAGCAAAATTGTAATGCAGATGTGAAGGTCTTTTCAAAGAACAATCAATAGAAATGAGGTAACTGAATGAAAATCACAGGCTTAAGCTGTCAATTTATCAGTAGATTTCCTTTGGTAATAATCAAATTTAAAGTTGTGACCTTCAGAGGAAATAGATGTTCTGACAAGTTCTTCCAGATTGAGAGTTAAAATCTGAGGCCCTAAAAGAAAAAAGTCTATTATTCCTCCTCTGTGTATTTTAAAACAAACACATATATAAACTAAAAAAATACTAAATAATCCAGTTACATGACTTGGATATTATGTGTAGTTTTGACCTGATTAATTAAAGGGCCAAAAATAGTTATTGAGATAGGGAAAAACACAAATCACATTTTGGATTTGTTTTGATAGGGAGTAATAATATAATTTTCTTGGACTTTCAACCCAGTACAATATCATCTTTAACTTTTACTAAGAAAATATTTGCTTTTCTATTATCGAGTCAAACTACTTCAATTTACTGTATCTATCTTATCCCATGTTATTTATAGAGCATCCTTGGAGGAGTTTCTCTAATTAAATACATGTTATTAAAATAAATTTGCTTGGGGGCATAGGCTTTTTCTTCTTCCTGAAAGCACTGTATGTATTAAAATATTTCAAATACCTAATGTGACTCTGATCTGTGTGGTGAAATATAGGATTATATTTCTCCCACACAAATATTTTTCTAATCTAAGATATTCAGATCACAGTTCTAAAATTCTAAAGATTTGGCTGGAACAATTTAATATATGCAAACTATGATTAATTAAATATCCACATTATTATGTTTTGCACATTTTAAACTCTTTTTGTTGAGGTGTTAGAGGCAAGGCTATGAAAAAAATATTGCTAATGGGATTCCTAGTAGATGGCAAATCAGATCTATGTGCCAGTTCTCCTGGCTCAGGAAGCGGCACCACCTGATGGTGCCCTCTTTCTTGATTCCGTGGCCCAATGGAGAAATAAGTGTAGACAATAAAAGCTATGTCACAAAATTAGCCATGAATTATGCACTCAATAGTGTTAAGCTTTAAATTATAGAAAATGTTATTATGATTAAGACTCAGTTAAATATTAGAAATTTTGAGATCTAAATGTGGTCTTATTACTCAACATATTATTCTGATATTTTTGAAGGTAAGGACAAAGATACTAAGAATTTAGTGGAAAATAAAGAAAGCAACCTTTTGAAGATGATAATATTAATATAATATTTCTTGTAAAAGAGGCTTTCACATGACAAGCCTGGAATATAACTGTAAGGAAAATTCTGTAAAATATAATGAAATGTAATTGTAAGTTAAATTCTTTAAAAGTTTGATGGCTAAAACTATAATACAAAATAATAATATACACATAAAACATACCCATGATTATATTTAAAAACTACAGGTGATATATAGATAGATTCTGATATGAATTTCTAGGTTTCTGCCCTTTTATATAAATTATTTAAAACACTAACACAGGAGTAGCACGTATATGGAATTTCTTCAGGTTGAGTCTTCTGTGTTCTGCTCATCGACTTCTGTGAGTCCTGAATTATTGTGTATGTTCTTCATGAAGATAGAGCCATACTGGTCTGGTTTATTGTTGAGTCCCGAGGTCTAATATAAAACATAGAATACAGAATTCACTTAGTAAATATGGTTGAGTAAACAATCCATATTTGGAAATGGCTGCCACCTTTTACATAAAGGGTAGAGCCATAATTAAATCCATAGTTTCTAAAAATTTATTAAATAACATAGTTTTGGTATTTGATATTCCTAAGAAATTTAATCTTAATCTCTGTAAAATATATGCCACTATATACTCTCCATCTAAAAAATTTTTGATTTCTTTGCAAGAAATTGAGTTAAATGAGTTAAAATAGGTGGTGCTCTTTGACCAGTGCATATCACATATTTTTAAATTCTAATTTTAGAGCAGTTTTAATTTCACAGCATAATTAAGAGAAAGGTGTACAGATTTTCCATAAATCCTTTGCCCCTCCACATGCATTCATTTTCCTGTTATCAATATCCACCACCAGAGTGGTAGATTTGTTACAATGAACGAACCTAGATTTACACATCATTGTCACTCAAGGTTCATAATTTACATTGGGTTTCATTCTTGGTATTTTAAATTCTATGGGTTTGGAGAAATGTATAATGACATGTATTCATCATTATAATATCATGAAGAGTATTTTCACTGCCCTAAAAATCCTTCGTGTTCTGCCTGTTCATCCCTCCCTCCCTCCTCTCAACCCCTGGCATCCACTGATCTTAATTACTGTCTTCATATTTTTTGTCTTTTTCAGAATGTTACATAATTGGAATATGCAGTATATAGACTTTCAGATTAGCTTCCTTTACTTAGTAATATGCACCGAATTTTTCCCCTATATCTTTTCATATCTTGGATGTTCATTTTTTTTTAGTGTTGAATAATATCCCATTGTCTGCAATTACCAAAGTTTATTTATCCACTTACTCACTGAAGGACATGTTGGTTATTTCCAAACTTTAGCAATTATGAATAAAACTTCTACAAATATATATGTTGAGGTTTTTGTGTAAACATGTTTTTAACTCCTTTAGGATAATATCAAGAACAATTGCTTGATTGTATGGTAAGAGAGTGTTTTGTTTTGTATACCCCTGACAGTTGTATTTCAAAGTGGTTATACCAGTTTGCACATTCCCATCAACAAATAATTTGAGTTCCTATTGTCTACATCCTTTCCAGTATTTCATGCTGTTAGTATTTCAGATTTTGGCCATTCTAATAGGTGTGCAGTGGTGTTTCATTGTTGTTTTAATTTGTATTTCCCTGATGACAAATGATGTGGAACATGCTTTTATATACACATTTTCCATCTGTGTATCTTCTTTGGTGAGGTGTCTGTCTAAGTATTTTGCCCATTTTGTAATTGGGCTGTTAATTTTCTAATTGTGAAATTTTTAGGGTTCTTTGTATATTTTGGATGACATTCCTATATCAGATGCATCTACTGCAAATATTTTCTCTGTCTGTGGCTTGTCTTTACTTTCTCTGCACATTGTCTTTCACAGTGCAAAAATTCTAAATTTTAATAAAGCCAAACTTCTCAAATATTTCTTTCTTGGTTTGTACCTTTGATGTTGTATCTGAAAAGTCATTATTATACCCAAGGTCATCTTCATTTTCTCCCATGTTATCTTCTAGGAGTTTTAAAGTTTTGCATATTACATTTAGGTCTATGGTCCATTTCGAGTTAGTTTTTTGTGAAAGATGTAAGGCCTGTGTCTAAATTTGTTTGTTTATGTGTGGATGTTCAGCACCTTTTCTTTTTTTCTTTTCTTTTTTTTTTTTTTTTTTGAGATGGAGTCTCGCACTGTCACCCAGGCTGGAGTGCAAGTGCAGTGGTGCTATCTCGGCTCACTGCAAGCTCTGCCTCCCAGGTTCACGCCATTCTCCTGCTTCAGTCTCCCAAGTAGCTGGGACTACAGGTGCCCGCCAACATGCCTGGCTAATTTTTTGAATTTTTAGTAGAGACGGGATCTCACCATGTTAGGCAGGATGGTCTCCATCTCCTGACCTCGTGATCCGCCCACCTTGGCCTCCCAAAGTGCCTTTTCTTGATAAAACAATTTTTGTTCCATTTTATTGCTTTGCACTGTTATAAAATATCAGTTGACTATATTTATGGTGGTGGACTCCTGGGCTCTGTATTTTGTTCCATTTATCTATTTGTGTATTATTTTATCAATACCACATTACCTTGATTAATTTAGTTTTGTTGTAAGCCTTGAAGTTGGGTAGTGTAAGTATTCTAACTGTGTTATTCTTTTTCAATATTGTGTTGGCTATTCTATGTTTTATGCCCCTCTATATAAACTTTAGAATCAGTTTATCATTATCTACAAAATAACTCACTGGCATTTTTATTGGGATTGCATTGAATCTATAGATGAATTTGGAACAAAACTGATATTTTGATAATATTGAGTCTTCTTATCCATGAAAATGGAAGATCCCTCTATTTATATAGTTTTGTAAAATTTCATTTGATATAATTTTGTAGTTTTCCCTATATAGATCTTGTATATATTTTGTTAGATTTATACATAGGTATTTTATTTTTTGAAGTGTTTATGAATATGATGTTGTGTTTTTAATTTGCTATTCCACTTTTTTAAAATTACTGGTATATAGGAAAGTGATTGGCCATTTTTTATTTGCCCAGGCTGGAGTGCAGTGGAAGATCTCAGCTCACTGCAACCTCCTCCTCTCAGGTTCAAGCAATTCTTGTGCCTCAGCCACCCAAAATAGCTGAAATTACAGGTAGGTGCCACCACAATTGGCTAATTTTTGTATTTTTAGTAGAGACAGGGTTTTACTATGTTGGTCAGGCTGGTCTCGAACTCTTGGCCTCAAGTGAGCCACCTGCCTCTGCCTCCCAAAGTGCTGGGATTACAGGCGTGTGCCATCACACCCAGCTGGAAAGTGATTGACTTTTATATGTTCATCTTGTATTCTGCAAACTTGCTATAATTACTTAGTTCTAGAAATTTTTTTGTTGATTCTTCTGGATTTTCTACATAGACAATCATGTCATCTGCATGCAAATACAGTTTTACTGCTTTTTTTGCAATGTGTATACCTTTTATTTCTTTTTCTTATCTTATTGCATTGGCTAGTACTTCCAGTACAATATTGAAAATGAGTCATGAGAAAGGACATACTTGCCCTATTCTGATTTTAGTGGGAAAGTTTCTAGTTTCTCACCATTAAATATGAAGTTAGGTGTAGATTTTCTGGATAAATAGTTTACCCTATTGAGACGGTTTCCCTCTATCCCTCATATACTTAGAGAAGTGGGTTTTTAAATCATAAATGGGTGATGAATTTTGTTATATGCTTTTTCTGCATCTATTGAAATAATCATGTATTTTTTAGCTCCCTGTTGATTTTATTGATCTTTTCGAGAACCAACTTTTGATTTTGTTAATTTTCTCTATTGATCCCCTTCATAAATTTTATCAGTTTCTGCTCTAATTCTTATTATTTCTTTTCTTTCGCTTACTTTGGATTTAATTTGATCTTACTCTCCTGGTTTGTACGGTATAAACTTAGTTTACTAATTTTATATTTTTATTCTTTTCTAATATATGCATTCAATGACATAAATTTTCTTCTAAGCATTGCTTTTGTTGCATTCCACAGATTTTGATAAGTTGTGTTTTCATTCTTTATTTATTTCAAAATATGTTTTATTTCTGTTTTTTTTCTTTGATCCATGTGTTATTAAAATTGTGTTGTTTTATCAACATATATTTTGAGATTTTCCGGTAATCCTTCTTTAAATGATTTTTAGTTTGATTCTTTGGAGTCTGAGAGCAAACATATTCTTTTAAATTTTTTTATGTGTGTATTGTTGCTCATAATGTGGCCTTTTTGAGGGAGTGTTTCATAAGAACTTGAGAAGAACGTGAATCCTGCTGTTGCTGGATAGTATGTAGATGCTGATTTTACCCAGTTGATTGTTGGTGTTTTGTTCAACTATGTCATCACTTATTTTCTGCCTGCTGGATTTGCTCATTTTTGATAGTGGGGTGTCAAAGTCCCCAACTGTGATAGTGGATTCATTTCTTTCTTCTCACAGTTTTGTTAGTTTTTGCCTCACATAGTTTGATGCTTTTTTTCATTGTCTACATATTAAGGATTGTTATGTCTTTTTAGATAACTGATTCCCTTCTCATTATATAATGCCTTTTCTATCCACAATAATTTTTCTTGCTTTGAAGTCTGCACTATTCAGAATAATATAGCTACTCCTGCTTTCTTTTGATAAGTGTTTGTATGGTTTATTTTTCTCCATTGATTTACTTTCAATATATATGTGCCTTTATATTTAAAGTGAGGTTCATCTGTAGACAACTTATAGTTGAGTATTATTTTCAGATCTATTTTGACAATCTCTGTCTTTTAATAGGTACATTTAGGAAATTGAAAATAATCAGTTCCAACTGACTATTGATACAGTTAGATTAATAACTATTATATTTGTTTACTCATTTTTTATTTGCTGCCCTTGTTCTTTATTCTATTTTTTTCTTTGACTTTTTTCTGTCTTTCTTGACTTTAATTGAACATTTTATATGATTTAATTTTTTTCCTTTCTTAGCATATCAGTTATACTTATTTAAATACTTTTTTAAAATGGTTGTCCTAGAGTTTTCAATATACATTTCCAATGAATCAAAGTCCACTTTGAAATAACACTGTATCCCTTCTTAGGTAGTGCATGTGCCTAATAATAACCTAATAATCCTAATTCCTTTACACGGTCCTTTGTATCATTGCTATCATTCATTTTACCTGTAAATAAATATATGTAACCCACAGTCTTTGGATACTCCACTCCATCTTATTCAGCCTGTGTTCTCTTTCTTTTTAGTTTCCAAGGTTTCTATTGCTAAATTCTCAAGCTCATAGATTTTGCCTTCAGCCATGTTGAGTCTACTGATAAGTTCATCAACGACATTCTTCATTTCTACTACAGTGTTTTTTTGTTTGTTTGTTTGTTTGTTTTAATCTCTATCCCTTCTTTTTGGTATTTTCTTTGGATTTCCACCTCTCTTCTGACATTTCTTATCTGGTTTTGTATGCTGTCTGCTTTATCCATTATAGCACTTGGCATATCAATCATAGTTGTTTTAAATTACTGGTGTTATAATCCCAACATTCCTATCATGTCTGATTCTGATTCTGGCTCTGTATCTTCAAATTGTCATGTTTTGCCTTTCAATGTGCCTCGTAATTTTTCTTGATTGTGAGACATGATGTACTGGGTAAAAGGAAATGCTATAAGTAGGCTCTTAGTACTGTGACAGTAAGGTGTCGGGGGAGTGGAAGCATTTCATAATCCTATAGTCTCAGTCTTGTAGTGAGCCTGAGCCTCAGAACTATGAACTTCACACGTGTTTCCCCATTTTGTTTTGTTTTTTTCATCTTTCTCAGCAAGGGCAAGATAGCTAGAGTGGGCTGGAGTTGGGTCTTTCCCTTCCTCCAAATCAATTAGACTCTGATAATACCCCAACAGGTTAGGATGAGGTAGACTAGTTTCTCCTGAGGGCAGGCCTAATAACAGAGTGTTTTGGTGTACTTCAGTATCGCTCATTTATCCCTCCCCCTGCCGGTAGCACCAGGAGATTTTTCTCCAATATTTACTCTGGAAACCTGGTTGAACTCCTAGAGGTAAATCTCACACTGTTGTGGGAGACCCTCAATGACTGGATTCATCTAGAGTTTTTAACTGTCAGACTTATCCACACTGAGCCCCCAACAATGGATCAACTACAGTACATATTTTGCTAACCCACCATGGCACTGGTCCCCATGGTGGTTTCTGCCCCAGTAAGCCATTCTTCCCTCTATTCACTTGTCTATGACTTCCATCTTGAGGGCAGCAATTTGCCCTGTGTCCTCACTGCTCTTAGGCAACCAAAAAGTGTTCTTAATTTTTCGGTCTGTTCGGTTTTTACTTGTTGTTAGGTTGGAGTGGCAACATCTAAGCCCCTTATATACAGAACTGGAAAGTGGAAGTTCTTTGCAAACGTATTTATTGTTGCTTTTTACTGACTCTGACCTGAGCATGCTGGGTCCTATTTTTCTGCATGTTGATGCAGCAATGGAGAATTTTGTTGTTGTTGTTGTTTTGTTTGCTTTAATAAAAATAAATAACTTCCTGAATGAAGTCTGAGTAGAAAATTGATAGATTATTCAGTAAAAACATGTATTCTGTGATATTATAGGACTTTCTTTTGCTCATTTAAGTCTTTTTTTGTTTTGTTTTTGCTTCTGATTTTCAGGATGAAAATGGTTTCTGTGGTTTTCTACTGAACAACTGATGCATTAACTCACACCAGCAGTGGGTGTCTTGTGCAGAATAAAAGGTTACCTCTCCAGAAAGGGATTATTACACTAACCAATTTTTCATGTCGTGGCTTCAGTGACCAGTTCGTTCTTTAGCAGAACTATAGTGCTGGTCACAGAGTAGCAGTCCACATTACAACCTTTTGGTCACTTTGAAATACTCTTATCTGCTTCAGATAAATTAGTTTGGGTTCTATTTGGAGGGATAAAATGAAGTTTATGGAATCTCAAGCTCATTCCTATCTTGTCATTCCATGATAAATCATGTTGGTTACAAAGCCAATTGTCCTTTGGGGGCAAATATAAAATTGCTCTACAAATATATCAGAGCCATACATCTATTGCTCCTGGTAAATGTTTGCTTTTTAAACTCAGTCTCAATGTAGATACATTTCAGATATGTAAAACAACTTGGATGCTGGTGATAGCTAAAAATAAAAAAATACTGTCCTTTATTCCTTTAATTATAGACATTAAGTGGTATTACTAGAGAATGAAAAAAAAGCCCTCATATTGTTTTGTAAACCCAGGCCCGAGTCTCAGTCATCATATTTGTAAGTGGACTGGATATTTTAACTGAAGTCTTTTGTTTATCCTAAAACTTATCTGAAAAAGAATGAGACTATTTTACTGACAACCACTTTACCGAATCAAAAATAAAAAGCTCTCAGGTTTTGATTCTCTTTAGCTAAATAAGAATACAGAATAGTAACTTATATGGCTCAGGTTATATGGTATGTTTATTGTGCTATAAAATGCTATAATTGGAGTTAAAGGTATTTAATTCTATAAACAAAAATAGGAATGTTTTTACCTATGCCACTTTTCTGACATCTAGGTAGGCTTTGCCCAGGTTTGGGAATGAAAGAGATCTGTATATGTAGCCTGGCTCCAATACATTAGCTGTAAGACTCATAGTATGTTCTGTGAAAATTAACGAAGATAAAATAGTTGAAACTGCTTAGCATACTGTTTTTATATTGTAGTTTTAAAAATTGTAGGTTTCTTTTGTTTTGTTTTGCAATTATTCAATTCACTGTCTTTCATCTTAGCCACAATGAGATCAGCAAGAGAGTGCTAAGATACCATGCTTTCTATTTTCACTGTGGAGGACTTTTGGCTATGAATAATACCTGTGAAATATAAAGGACAGTACCCACTTTCAATAAATCTATAATCTCATCATGACACAAATAAATGTCTGTATGCCCAATGACACAGGAAACAATCGGCATGAGAATTAAGAGAAGCAAATGAACCACTGTGGGCCACAAGAGTAAGATAATTATAATAGCTAATATTGAAGACTATCTATTATGTCACTTAAAACTAAGACCCAAAGAAATAGATCTGAAGTATTAATAGTCATTTTACAACAGTGGAAATCAAGGTTTAGAAATGGTGTCTTGGCTGAATATGGTGGTTTACGCCTGTAATCTCAGCCCTTTGGGAGGTCGAGGTGGGAGGATTGCCTGAGGCCAGGAGTTTGAAACTAGCCTGGTCAACATATCAAGACCCCCATCTCTACAAAAGGGGAAAAAAAATTAGCTGGGCGTGGCAGCACGCATCTGTACTTCCAGCTACTCAGGAAGCTGAAGCAAAAGGATTGTTTGAGCCTGCGAGTTTGAGGCTGCAGTGAGCCACCATCATGCCACTGCACCCCAGCCTGGGTGACGGAGCAATATGGTACCTGGAAAAAAGAAAAGAAACAAAAGAGAGGAAAAGAAGAGGAGAGGAGAGGAGAGGAGAAAAGCCATCTTGTCTAAAGTCACTGAGTGGTACAGCAAGATTTGGAATATAGGAAGTCTGACACAAGAGTTTGTGCTTAATAATCACAAAGTACGATTTTCTTTTGGTTAAATATTTATAGGCAACAAAGGAGGCATCAAGTTAATCTATATACACCATAGAGCCAGAGCAAAGCAAAAAGTACCGACTCATTCAAAACGTGGTACTGTGGGAGCAGCCAAAGGCTTGTCCTATTATAGGGGAGGGTTTAGATTGAAATTTTCAAAATGGGAAATGTAGAAATGAAAGAAGAAACCTTTGAATTCACATAATAGATAAATTAATTCAAGCTTCATCTAAAAATATGCATGCAAACATACACCTTTTCAAAAATTATGACCACAAGAGTGCAGAATTATTTTGCGATTCTAATTCTTTAACATCTTTCTTTTCCTCAAAATTAGCTGGGAACTTCCAGAATCAACTGTTATTGATGAAATGTCATAACAGTAGTGCTATTGCTTACTGCATAGAGTACCTCAATTCAGTGAAAACTGGCCCACTATACTGATAACTCATTATCATTATGGTTACTCTGAGGCAAAGCAATGTAATAAATTTCTACTTGAACCTGCAGAAAAAAATTTAGTACAATTTAGGAATGTGCTATTTATTTTGAAAGTTTGTTTTTCATTGCTATATTACATAAGATTTTACTAATAATTTTAAATTAATATTCTAAAAGTACCATTTCCAGATATATTAGCTATAGTTTTTTGTTGTTGTTGGAAAGATGATACCTGTTTGAATGAGGAAGGAAAGCCTTTTCATATTACTATTAATATCTTAACATCATACAGCACAGAAGGCTGTGTCCATGTAAATAGTATAGATGTGAAAAGTTCATAGAGACTTTCAAAGAAATAATAACTTTGAATAAGACTCTAGCTGTCCCCCAGATTAATATTAGCTCATGTAATCCGAACATATTCCATTAACTCTATGGTGATTTCGTTTTCATGAGCTATTCTTATATTGACTTTAATGTATACCATCAATGATGAAATTCAGTCATCCATGCACTCAGTTAATCTGTTGGGCAGGCAAAACAAACAAGAAAACAAACAAACAAAAATTATTCTCTTTCTCTCTTCGGAGACTAGCTGCATGCATTAATAAGCACTAGGAAACTTAAACATACATTCAAAGGGAAACAAAAATCTATTTAAATAAGGCTGCATCCTATGACAGTTTCTTTCTCTATATATATATTTTTCTATATATCTACAGGTATATTTCTCTCTGTGTATATATGTATGTATGTGTATATATATAGAGAGAGAAAGAGAGAGCAAGAGAGAGAGGGAGAAAAGAGAGAAAGGACTTTCAGAGGATACAGTCTTATCTAAATAATTGTTCTTTCTTTTTTGAATGTATGCTTATCAAGCACCCTGGTCCTTTATTAATGCCTACAGTTTTATTCTGTCATATACTCTTCACTTTTAAATGATAAATTGATGAAATTCAGTAAAGCTTCCTTAGAGTTCTTTTATTCAGCACCTGTTATTTTTGGCACTCATGAAGAATTTTGTATTTAGTATAAATTATCAAACCGACTTACATAAACACATCTGCTCATCTAAGATACTTCATAAACAATAAAAGATGGTTACAATAGGCTGGCTAATTTCTCAACAACATTAATTGTGAAAATTCTCTGTTTTTAGAGTACAAAGGCAAGATTATACTTTTCAGTAGGTAAGAAGTTGAAAGTATTTGCACAACACTTTACTCTGTTTTACTCTTTTAACAGCAATGTATTAGATTATAACTGTTTGATACTGAAGGCAAAAGCAAAATATGAAAATCTAATTACACATAAAAGCAAAGATAAGATGGGAAGAGACTTTGAAAGACCAAATTAATCATTTTATATTTATAACTAGAACATATCTCTACTTATAATATCTGATGATATGCATACTTTTATAAAAAGATAGTGATTATACCAGATCTTGAGTTTGTTTTCCTTCCTGTAAGGAGCTTTCTCTCATTGGCTTTATGTTATTTTCATTAACGAAGGAAGACTTCATTGATGTCCCTCAGAAAAACTTTCTTCAAAAACAACCACTGGAAACTTGAAATCTATCTAATCAAAATATTCCACTTTAGGAGCAATACCCACTCATTTCATTACTATAAGCTTAATGGTTTCAGAGGAATAGCATTTAATATTCTCTTTGAATCTGATTTTTCAAAATCAATTAATGCTTAATTCTAATTTCGGTTCTTCTGGGCCATTGATTCTTTTCCTCATTAGGTTCTTTTAATCACTTGACTTCCTCAAAAAGTTACAGTTCAAGTTTCTTACAGAAAATTTTCTTATGAAAAAAATTATATAAATATAAATGTACCTACCTAAATATGCCTTCACTATTAAATTTTTCCCCTGCATTTGTATAGTGTAAAGAACTGTATACCAGACAAAACAAAATATTACCAATTCTTTTTGCGTGTATCTCTTCAACCTTCAGGAGCAACTTTAATGCAATTTGGGACTTTATAAAAATAGTAAATACAACGTTAATTGTGACCAAGTCCTGTCATAAGGAGGACTTTTATTCAAGGTATTGAGACAGACTAAAAATATCACTTTAGACACGGTCAAATACATGAATACCTATTTTCTTAAATGGTTATTGTCCTTCACTTAATTTGGATTGTGTGTGTGTGTAAATTTTGTTGTCATCTCTATGGAAGGTATACTTATCCTTTTTATTTTGCTTAATGTCTCAAAAATATATCTTCATAAATGTTTCCATTTTGAGAACATTATTTTACAAGGTTATTTCTAGAACTAATCTCCATATTCTGTCAAATCAATTCAACAGTCTGTAAGATCCATAAACTACCAGAGATTTCTAGGCAAATAATTATTGATCAGGCTTAGGGAGACTGACAAAGTCAGTGGTGATTGACTTAAAACACTCATTTAGTCATTGATTTATTCTTTCAACAGCTTGAACACCTTCTATGAATGTAGCAAATGGCTGAGATGTTTGCATGGTCTTATGAAGTCTATTATCTCATGTTAAGACATTAAGAATCTGGAGCAGCAAAAATAATATATTTCTTCTCATCATTCTTTTCTGTCCCCTTCCCTGCCTCACACAAACACATTTTTTCTTATTTTATTAGTTCATAAAAAGAGATGAAAATTTATTTGATGAGAAATTATTCCTTTAATTGATGAATGTCACTGTGAATCATTACTTCTTTTTTCATAGCTCATTGCTAGTATACCTATTAAAATTACTTTCATATGTCTTTATATTCATCAATTTTATCACAAAGTAATTTTTATTCATCCTCTTCTACCAGTCATCACAAAAGTTCCCAGAAGGTGAGGTATTTTTCAAATCTAAATAACTTTCCCTACATAGCACCACACAAGGATCTCAGATGGAATGGAAGTTTGTCAAAGAAGAGCCAAGAGCTTAATAAGAATAAATAATATTCAAATTCTCAAGTCATCTGGAGAGCACTTTCTTTCTAAGACATGTTTCTATAGATCTACTTTCAAGAATAAAGATAACTCTTGCTTTTTCTAAGTCATTTATCTACCTTACTGCCATTTAATGTCTGTTCTCTAAAAAGCTCATTGCCAAATGTTTTTCCATATATATATATATGGAAAAGAATATATATATATATATATATATATATACACACACACACACACACACACACACGCACACACACATGCACACATATACATATATATTGCTCATAGAATTCTGAAGAGAACAGGAAGGCACTGCTGGAAGGAAATACACTCTTGATAGAGAATAGTGTGTTACCATTCTGTATATAATGTGTTACCAACTGTATATAAAATTCAAACAGGAAGCACAACCCCAACCAAAAGAACAGGCCTTCAATTTTGGAAGTTCCAGCACAGGAAAACTACTGTGAGGTGTATTCTTGAGCCATCATGCAGCTTCCGCACTCTTGATATTATATCAAAGTACCTAATTTTGTCAAGCAACTTTAAGATAGTTTGATTAGGTCTTACAAAAATTCTTTCACATAATCCTAAAGCAACACTGTAAGAAGGGTATTATCTCAAGTTTCCAGAAGAGGAAACTAGCATCAAAGAGACTAAGAAATTACCTCAGGCCACACAGTGAGTAAGTGGAGGACTGATATTGGAACATAAATTTATTTGATTCAAAATCTGTATTTTTCCACTGATATATATGTTTACTAGATTCAGACAATTACTAAAAACGAGTTAGGTGATATTACAGAAATAAAGATGAGTCAGTTGGTGTTTTCACCTCTATTATTATTACTTAATGTTATTATTTATTATAGAACATATGTACTGTAAAACTATTCTCCTAAAATTTTGACATATATTTATCCAAAAGCAAGCAATCATTTCAGACTATAACTGTACTCCATAGTGGTTCTTAACCATCAGTATGAACCGGAGTCACAAGAACTTAAAAAATCTAGATGCCCAAGATCAAAGGAGACATTGTGATTTAATTAATGTGAGTTGAGAGGTTGATATAAAAACGAATGTGAATGACATATATATGTATATATATGCATATGTACATATATATTTCCCAGGATTGAGAATCACAGAACGACCATATTTGTAATGCAAATCTGCACAGTATGTGATGCGGAAAGAACCCTTTAATGATTTTTGATGTGCCCTATTTCTAGAGTAGATTTTTGAAAATATTGATTTTTTGATTATCTGTGAACACCGTAAGTATGAATAGTATCTCCCTCTCTTATTAAAGCACAGACGGAATAGGTTAGGGTATTCTGCAACAGCACACAGCCCCAACATCGGAGCAGCTGAACATAATGGTTCATTTATCATAGGTGGTAAATCCATGGTGATTCCTACTACCTATTCAGGACTTCAAAATAAGATGGAATTATGCTAATTGCTTCTGTCTTGTGATCTCCTTGATTACTGTGATGAGGTAAGACATTACACAAAGAGCTCAGCTCCACTGTTTGTCAGAATATGTGTGTGCCAATCATAGCCTATTGATTTGAAATATTCACAAGTCATCATGTAACTACAGGGAGGTTAGGTAATGCAGTAAAAAACACGGAATATGAGACTGACATGACAGTACTATCTCCGCCACATAACTGAACTAAAGGGACACTTTTATTTTCATTTTATTAGAGAGATGATATAGATGACAGAGATATAGATAGAGATATATAGATGATAGATAGATAGATAAATGGAAGATAGAAAGGAGATAGATGGACATATGTTGAGGGCTGAAAAGCTGTGAATAACAGTACAACCGACAGAATTCTGAAATGATGTCCCACAATAGCTGCACTGACCTGAAGGTCCAGGATTTTAGAAAATGTGGAATGGTTTGTTTTGTTTTGTCTTCCTGAATGAACTGCTAGTTTTGTTCCTGTTTTCTTTATTGAAAAATTATCCTTTGCTATTGATAGGATTTTATCTGTATTTTAGGGTGAAATTAAAGCAAGTAGCTTACTCTCAGCCTTAGGAATATAGCTCGACAAATACATGGTCTGTCAAATGGCAAAAATGGTGCAAGTCAACAAATGGGTATGAAACTCAGGTGATTTACTGGACAGTGTTCCACTGTGATTGGTTGATGATGATAGAGATGAGTTAAAGTTGGATCTCCAATTAGTTCCTCTTAGATGAAAATAATAATCTTGCAATAAGGGATTACAAGGCATGAAACATTTATATACTTCCCATCCTGGTAATTGTGGGACATGCCTATAAGTTATGGAAGCACATACTTCATTTAGATAATTTGTTTAGAGTAGCCAACTCTAGCTACTCTCTGGTATATACTTTCTAATGACTTTCTAAATTTAACTGAGAGTTAAATATGGAAAATATTTGGCTAGCAAAAAGAATGTCTATTTTGAGCAACAAGCATAGGCATATTATTCTTTCAGTGTCAGATGCTCAAAATCAGTGTTTTTATCAATCAGCAATTGGATTTTTCTGCTAATGTTAGACACATTTTAGGGAATGCTGTGTACTAGAGGTTTCCCTCTTTTGAAAAACCTTACCTCACATCCATTCCTTATTCTGTTATTATTTGGCTTTCTATTAAAAAACAATTCTAATTTTCTATCCGATTGCTCAATCTGATTCTCAATAAATTATTTCATCTGGATAGTTGTTGAGTTATACAAAGCTGAACCAGAAAGAGCTCCTCACTTCAATAGTTGACAATCAACTGATGAAGAAAGCCAACATGATTACTATAATGTAAAACATATAAACATCATGAATAGTAGTATGTAGGCTTAGAAAAAAAGTATTCGATAAAAGAAATGGTGGCATGGTGGCATTTAAGCTGAACTGTAAGGGTCAGGCAAAATGACTAGAGCAGTATCAATATAAGTAATTGGATAGATATGGAGAGACGTATAGGGTGATGGGAAGATTAAGTGATTCAACTTAAGTCAACAAAGTCTGCATGAGCAGGAAAGTATATGTTACAGCTTGATTAAGAAGTATATATTATTTTGTTTTTAAGGTGTAAGCTCATTCTGTAAGCAGAGTTTCTTGAGCTATGGTTGATATGATTGTGTCAGTCTTTTAAGAAGTTAATTAAATATGGAAAAGATGTGTAACAAGAAAAACTTCTAAGAGATTATTGAAGTGTCTTGTAATAAATGATGAGAGGTGAAACTAAATCAATACCACAAAAGAAAGGAGATGAATGCCAAATACATTTGTGGGTAGAAGCCCTTATCTATTTATCATGGAAGAGAGTGAGAAATTTAAAAAGTAGGTTGTAGATTTAAGCATGGGTGATCGGGTGTTAAATCGATGCTTTTATCAAAGACAAGATAGTTAAAAATACAGACTATATTGTGTGGATGAATACAATGAATGTAACTTTATATATTTCAGAATATGGGTTTGGAAAAGAGAATTGCTTCAATTCAGCAGTCAGGACTTTCCTTACCCTGATTAGTCAAATTCAGTGAATCTTATTCCAGCAAGATACAGTGAAAATTCTGTACCTCTCTGAGGTCAGATTTGACTTAAACCAAAGGTCCTCTAATCTCTTATGTGCTGTATCTGATTTTCTTGTCCAAAACCTTATCTGAGTTTGACTAAATTGATCCCCAGCATGAGCATACTTCCCGATGTCTGACTACTAGACTGTTTCTGAACAACATTTCCTTCTTGACCTCTACATTTTTCAAACTTCTTTATCTTTATCTGTACCATCACACCAGCTTGCTATTTATTACTTCTGTTAGTACCTCTTTCTTATATCTACTTTGATTCTCCTGGACCTGGATGTCACTATTTTATTCTTAACACTGTCTTTGACCCAGACATAGGGCTTTTACCTCACTCTTAGATTATATAATACATAACAAAGAAGCATCATGGTAGAAATTTAAGATAGAAACAGACCATCTTGATAAGCCTATGAGGCCAATTCACTACCTTAGTACTTTTTTATCTAACTGGAGGCCATAAATAACATCTTAGGATAGAATTGACCAAAAATAAGGGCCTCATTTAGATGCCTGGTAAGCATGAGCATTTGAAAAAACTTAAGTTATTTAAAAGTATTTTAAATAACAATTTTAGTTCTCTTTCATACCCTAGTCAGACACTGAAAACAACTAGTATTAATTGGCAAAGGCACTTAAAAGCATCAATTTATACAATTCTTGGAAATCAGTATGTTCCAGGATACATAAACTCATGTCTGAAAGTTGCAATGATCCTTATGTGCTAATTCTGTAATTTATTTGAGGATAGGATGGCCACTTTTACTTGTTCAGTTCTGCTGTATATATCTACTGCTCTAAAAACAATTAACACTAAATGATGCATTTATAAGTGAGACTGATATCAATAAAATACATACATTATCTTAGCCTGAATTCAGGCTATTTTTCATGTACTTACTTTTCTGATGAATCATAAAACAAACAGAATCATTTGAAATATAGCAATGCTCTCCGTAAAGCACATATAACTCCCAGAGGATGGGATTTATGTTTCTTTGAATGACAGTCAACGCTGTAAAAGTTTAGTTAGAAGAATTGCAGGTCAGAGATCTTGGATGTGAGTGACATTGGCAGCATAAAGAAATGATCAGGGAATAAGTTTTTTTGAACTTTGTCAGTCAATTTTTTAAAAGTCAGAAGTCTTATAAAGAAACATAAAGGAATAGTTTGTCAAATGCAGTTATACCTAGAAAAATTGAAACGATATAAAATAATTAAAACAAAATGAAAGACATAAGCTGAGCATGAGCTCAAAATTAGTGATAAAAAGAATATTTTTCACCTTTTATTTCGATACGACTTTTGATTTACTGAAGAGTTGCAAAGATAGTACAGAGTTCCCATGTGCTCTGCTTCTAGCTATTCCTAAGGTTAACAGCTCACATAATCTGATGTGTTTATCAAAACTCAGTAATTAACTTTAGTAAAATGTATTAATTACAAACTTTTTTGTATTCAACAAGTTTGATCACAATTTTTTTTTTTTGCTGATCCAGGAGTCAGTACAGTATATCATGATTCACTCAGCCATCATGTCTTCTTAGTCTCCTTTAATTTGTGATACTTTCTCAGTCTTTCCTTGCTCTTGTTTTGGTTTGGCTTGTTTCCATTTTTGTTTTCGTTTTTTATCTTGGCATTCATTTTTTATGCCTACCAGTATAGTAAAATGTATTTCAGTTGAATTTCTCTAACGCTTTCTTAAAGAATGTGGTTATGGTTTTGGGGTAAGAATGACAGAGAGATGAAGTGCTTTCTTTTCTTACATTATATCAGGGGAGAGTTTTGTGATAGTAACATGAATGTTACTGGTGATTTTAGCCCTAATCACTTGGGTAAGGTGTATTTTCCTGGTTCTTTCCTATAAAGTTTTGATTTGTCCCTTCCCATATTTTATTTTTTAAAGAAGCAAACCACTAAATCCAGCCACCACTTAAGGAGGAAGAATTAAGCTCCTCCACGTCCTTGAGGGAAGAATATTAAATAATTTGTGGAGATATTTTAAAACCACCAGAGTAATTATTAAATATTTTGAGCAAGATCCCTTGAGACTGTACACATGTCTTATTCTCTTTAAAGTTTTGCTCACTCATTTTAACATTCATCAGTAGATCCTGCCTCAAAGTGGACATTTCCTTTCTTTCTGTTACTGCAGTACAGGATGAGCTTGTATTTTCTGTCCTAGCTTCAGACTCAGTCATTTCTCCAAGAATCTTCTATAACAGTTTATCAGAGAATAGTATTTAGAAACCAAGATATATGTGGGTGTTAGCTGTGATAATTTCTACTGAAATTTCATTGTTTCTAGGCCATCTTACCACACAGAGCTAGGACATACATGTATGTATACTAAACGTATGTATGCAAATAAATGTATAGAAACATTTCTTTAAGTATCCATCTGTACCTCTCTCTCTCTCTCTCTTCCAGGGTTTATTCTAGCTTTCTCCCTCATTATTTGTGACTTCTACCTCTTACCATAGTCACCTAGTTTCTATTTTCTACAATTTACTTATTTATTTGCTCAACTCTAGTATACAAGTAATTTCAGAATTATCAACTAGGGTACAATGTTTATGGACATTTCTTTTTGTATTTAGCTCTACGTTACTGGATGAGGATGGGTTAGGGTAAGACCCTGCTTAGAGTCTTTAACTTTTCTAACTCTTTTGTACTATATGTCTTATCTGAAATTTATTCGAAAATTATATATAGGTAAAAAATTGAAAATGCAAAATCACAAATTAAATCTCTTTTACTGAAACTGCCATTTCCCAATTATGTTATATTTATCTCAAGCCAGAAGAGGAGGATATGAAAAGATCATTTGCTACGCACTGTGCTCTCTAGGGATTTGCAATATAATATGTATTTATTTTTCCTGTACTTATATGATTGCAAGCCTTTAATAACAAAACTGTAGTGAAAAACACTTCATGGGCCTGAGATAATGGTACTTCCTTGGGACATGTAAGGACCACGACTTTTAAGGAATTGAATCTCAAAAGCCTTGAGTAATGTAATTACAATGGGGTTATTGGATTGTTTGCTGAATGCAGTTCGGTTCTAATAAAAACTACAAGCACAACAAACTCTACCCAGAGACCTAAAAAATAAAATTAGACCACACTCATGCTTAGAAATAACCTCTTCTTTTGGGACACATTTTCTCCATAATACTTTCATTTATTTGATTGGCATTGGATTTGGTGGCTAAATCAGGGAAATGTTTTATTTCAGTTTAGAAGATTCTTAAAAGAGGGCTCACATTCTAGAGACTTAAGTCAAGCTAGATTTTTCATTCATACTACTCATATTTAAGTCTTTTAAAAAATGAATTGTTGTCCAAAGCTTTTGCTAAAATGCATAAGGTAAACCCTTGCAGGTATATCTGGTCTGGAATTAAATTTCCTTGACAATAAGTATCAGGTTAACTGGTCAAAGTATTGCATTCTCTTTGATGCCAAAGTTTAATATCTTGCTGCTTCCATTAATCCTCTTTTTTTCCTCATGAAACAATTTTCATTTATTTACTCATTTCAACATTTTTATTTGTATGTGAGACAGTAACTTTGACCAGGAATTGCTAGAAAGGAGAAGAGACTGGACCCAACTCACCCCTCATATGTCCTAAAACTCAAATTCTGCAGTTTAGCCCACCAAATGTCATATTATTAGTTAACTGTAGATTTTGAATTTTCTTACAGCAGTCTATCCTCATCACTTATGTTGCATTAGATCCTTAAAGTAAAATACCTTCATAGAAAGTTCATTGGTAGAGTGGAGAGGAATGTCCCAACCTGTCTTTAAAGGATTGTTCTAAAGGTCCTTATTGAGTGACATTGAACTGGCTCATTATTTATGTTCCCTGAAAATATAAATTGAGGTATCTAATTTAGAGAGTTTCATGAGTGTCAAATGTGATAACAAATGAGGTTTATAGCATACAAACCTACCACAATCTCAATTTAAATGAAATTTCAGTGATTGCTCCTCATACAAATGCTTATCTACATTTCAACACTGAAAAAGCATGTGAAATCTAAATAGTGGACAGTGGCCTTCCTGAAATTCTCTATACTAAAATTAGTTCTCCTATACAATGTAATGAAATATTTGGTAAGACATAGGCAAATTCAAATTCAGGGAAAGAAGGGTCAGTAAATTATGCAATACTCCCTCTTTTTTCTGCTTTACATTTCCGTGTTTTAATTAGGATTCTCTATTTGATTATTTTCTATTTGCTTTATACATTATATTTGAAAGTAATTGAAGCAAAAAATTAATAGTTTCTAAAAGTAACTGAAGAATCCATTTCAAAGGCTACCATATGACATATTTTCAACATGATTAAGGCTTTTTTCATTTGCATGCTAATTTATGCATGTAGATACAATTCTGTATAGGTAAAATTCAAATTTTTAAAATGTTGATATTAAGATTTTGTGCCTATATATTTTCATTAATAATCCTGATTTTTTTTTCTTTTCTTTTCTTTCTTTTATTTAATATTAAGAAGATGTTTAAGATTGATATGGTTTGGCTATGTGTCCTCACCCAAATCTCACCTTGAATTGTAATAATCCCCATGTGTTGGGGGAGGAACCTGGTGGGAGGTAATTGAATCATGGGGTTTGGTCTTTCTCGTGCTCTTCTTGTCATAGTGAATAAGCCTCATGAGATCTGATGGTTTTATAAAGTGGAGCTCCCCTGCACATGCCCTCTTGTCAGATGCCACGTAAGATATGATTTTGCTTTTCATTCGCATTCTGCCATGATTTTGAGGCATCCTAAGCCATGTGGAACTGTGAGTCTATTAAACTTTTTTCCTTACATGTACACATATGTTTATTGGAGCACTATTCACAATAGCAAAGACATGGAATTAACCCAAATGCCCATCAATGATAGACTAGATAAAGAAATGTGGTACATATATACCATGGAATACTATGCAGCCATAAAAAAGAAAAAAGATCATGTTGATTGCAGGGACATGGATTAAGCTGGAAGCCATTATCCTCAGCAAACTAATACAGGAAGAGAAAAACAAACAGTGCATGTTCTCACTTATAAGTGGGAGGTGAACAATAAGAACACATGGACACAGGGAGGGGAACAACTCAGTGGGGCCTGTCAAGGGGTAGGGTTGGGGAGAGAGAGCATTAGAAAAAATACCTAATGCATGCTGGGCTTGATACCTAGGTGATGGGTTGATAAGTGCAGCAAACCTCCATGGCACATGTTTACCTATGTAACAAACCTGCACATCCTGCACATGTACCCTGGAACTCAAAATAAAAATAAGAAATAATAAATAAATAACTCAGCCTTGGGTATGTCTTTTTAGCAGCATGAGAATGGATTAATACACTAAATTGGTACCAGTAGAGTGGGGCATTGCTGTAAAGGTACCTGAAAACGTGGAAATAACTTTGGAACTGGGTAACAGGCAGAGGTTGGAACAGTCTGGAGGGCTCAGAAGAAGATAGGAAAATGTGGAAAAGTTTGGAACTTCCTAGAGATTTGCTGAATGACTTTGGCCAAAATGCTGATAGGAATATGGACAATGAAGACCAGGTTGAGGTAGTCTCAGATGGAGGTGAGAAACTTGTTGGGGAGTGGAGTAAAAGTCACTGTCGCTATGCAAAGAGACTGGTGGCATTTTGCTCCTGCCTATAGATCTGTGGAACTTTGAACTTGAGAGAGATGATTTAGGGTAATTTGTGGAACAAATTTCTAAGCAGCAAAGTGTTCAGGAGGAAGCAGAGCATGAAACTTTGAAAAATTTGCCCCTGACTATGCAGTAGAAAAGAAAATCCCATTTTCTGGGGAGATATTAAATTTGTATAAGTAAGTAACAAGGATCCAAATGCTAATCATCAGGACAGTGGGGAAAATATCTCCAGGGCATGTCAGAGACCTTCATGGCAGCCTGTCCCATCACATGCCTGGAGGCCTAGGAGGGAAAAATTGTTTCCTGGGCCAGGGTCTGCTGTGTACAGTCTAGGGACTTGGTGCCCTGCATCCCAACCACTCCAGCCCTGGCTAAAAGGAGCCAAGGTACAGCTTGTGCCTTCACTTCAGAGGGTGCAAGTCCCAAGCATTGGGAGCTTCCACATGGTGATGTGCCTGCAGGTGCACAGAAGTCAAGAATTGAGGTTGGAGAACCTCCCCCTAGATTTCAGAGGATGTAAGAAAATGCTTGGATGTCCAGGCAGAGGTATGTTGCAGGGGCAGAGCCCTCAAAGAGAACCTCTGCTAGGGTAATGCAGAAGGGAAATATGAGGTGTGAGCTCCCACACAGAGTCCCCACTGATTCACTGCCTAGTGGAGCTATGAGAAGAGTGCCACCATCCTCCAGACCACAGAATGGTAGATCCACTGACAGCTTGCGTCCCACATCTGGAAAAGCTGCATACACTCAATGCCACACAGTGAAAGCAGCCAGGAGGTAGGCTGTACCCTGCAAAGCTACAGGGGCAGAGCTGTCCAAGGTTGTGGGAATCCACCTCTTGCATCAACATGTCCTGGATATGAGACAGGGTGTGAAAGGAGATAATTTTGGAGCTTTTATATTTGACTGCCCTGTTGGATTTTGGAGTTGCATGGGGCCTGTAGCCCCTACATGTTGGCCAATTTCTCCTGTTTGGAACAGTTGTATTTACCCAATGCCTGTACTCCCATTGTATCTAGGAAGTAACTAACTTGCCTTTTGATTTTATAGGCTCATAGGCGGAAGGGATTTGCCTTGTCTCAGATGAAACTTTGGACTGTGGACTTTTGAGTTAATGCTGAAATGAGTTAAGACTTTGGAGGATTGTTGGAAAGGCATTATTGGTTTTGAAATGTGAGGACATGAGATTTGGGAGGGACCAGCAGCAGAATTATATGGTTTAGCTCTGTGTCCCCAGCCAAATCTCACCTTGAATTTTAATAATCCCCACATGTCATAGGAGGGATCTGGTGGGAGGTAATTGAATCATTGTGGAAGGTTTTTTTTCCATGTTGTTCTTGTGATAGTGAATAAGTCTCACAAGATATGATTGTTTTATAAAGGGGAGTTCCCCTGCACATGCTCTCTTGCCTGCCACCATGTAAGAAGTGACTTTCCTCTTCCTTCACCTTCTGCCATGATTGTCAGGCCTCCTCAGCCATGTGAAACTGTCAGTCCATTAAACTTACTTCTTTTATAAATTACCCAGTTTCAGGTATGTCTTTATTAGCAGCGTGAGAATGGACTATTACAAGAACATATGGAGAAACTAACAATTTTATTTAGAATTTTTTTTTTCTAATGATTGTTTCTGGTTAATTTTCAATGCTAAACCAGACAGATTAAAATAAGACAATTTAGTGTTCTATAAAAAATGCCACAATGTATTAATAATTCCCTCTACTTTACTGAGCTGGCATTATCAAAGTTCTTTATATTATTTTGATACTTGAGAAAATTATTTGTTTCCATGAAAAAATGAGTACAATGCCTAATGATAGTTTAAATTCTCATGTTGATTAATTCAATAAAATATTTGTGGAGTATTTGCCATATGCAAAGTGGGTTACTTGGTGCTATGGATGTAGCAAGGAACAAAGGAGATCTGGCTCCTGCCTATGTGAAATTTACAGTCTATCCTACTGAGGCAATCAAATACTTGGTAATTATGAGTGACTTAGGTTGATCTCTGGAAGGTGACCTGATGGAAACTGTGGATTGGTTGTTCAGCCAACATTCCATCATCCTTATGGAGAACTAGCTTCACAGACTTTATTAGAATAGTTTTAAATGCAAATTTGGTTCTACGAGTAAAATGGAATCATGAGACTTGGAAGGTCTTTTATTTTCCATTCTTCAGCTCTTGAGGGTCAAAAGTCATTTGTGTGATTGCAATGTCTTGATTCTGGATTATTGACACCTAACTAGTTTAAGAACTAAACTAATAAATAAGAATCATTCTTAAGGAGCAACTCATGCTACCCTTTTCAGGTAGCTTCTCAGAGGTAGTAGTATCCCTGATTCATTGATTCTGTTTAGTTTTGGGAGGTTTTCCTTCATGCCCACCCAATATTCTAAAACTCCTATCTTCCGAACCACTTTTGCTGATACAATCCCTTCTTGATGTAGATAGCTAAAGAGGTTCCTATTATCATCAATAAGCCTTGGTAGCTATGGTTGACTAAGAATTAACAGTCAACTTAGTAGACAGAATTTTAGGCAGTGAAAACATTAAGTACAAAGGCCAAGAGACAAAAAGGTACACAGACTGTGTTAGCAAAGGAAGGGTGCTTATGTGACTGGGCTGCAGAGAGGCGAGTTAATTATGCCATTCCAGGAGAAAGATGCAGATTGCTTATATGGATCCAGGATTTTGTGTGTTGATCCCCACACAAAGGGCAGTGTCAGACATAAAAGTTGTTGAGCCTAGAAATAATATAATCAGTTATTTTTTAAAGGTCATTTTAACTCAGGATAAAAATGAATTTAAATGACTTTAGAATAGTGCTGGGAAATGGGTTATGGATTTTTTACAAATAAACAATGTGGAGATAATGGTTACATGGACTAGGATGGTGGCAATCAAGTTAAAGAAAACTCCATGAATTAAAGAAATACTTAGATATGAAGTTCATAGGATTGTTATTTGAATAGCCATGCAAGCTAAATGTAAATGAGGTATCAAAGATGATGTCAGGTTTCTGATTTGTAAAATTGAGTTGAAGGTAGTGCCTTTTGCTAAGACATGGATCACAGAATACCAAGATTCTTGAAAAGGATTAAATGTTCACATCTGGACAAGTTGAATTTGAATTGCCTGTGGAAAATCAGAGAAAGAAAATACATATTTAAACATACATTATTAGTCAAGACTGGTTAAATGGTGAAACAGCATAAACATAAGCTTAAAATGATGGTGTCACCTTAAATATTAATCACAAACAGTAAAAGCAAATTAATAAATTATTATAATTTTAAATTATTAGATTTTTGGATTATTGGAATATTTTAGATTATTGGAAGGTAAAAAATATAAAATAAATAATTAAATCATAATTTTAAATTAATGAATGAGATTTCATCTAATTTTTATTGTCTCCAAGGAAATGGTTCAGGTTTATACATGAGTATTAGACTAGGAATAAAAAAATCAACATAGAGTTAAAAAAAATCAACATAGAGTTAAAAAGTGCCTTAAATAAAACAAAACTAATATAATATGTTTTTAGGTTTACGACTAGGCACAAAGTGATGTTGTTCATTTGTATTATTAGGTAGATAGACAGGAGAAAATAGATATTTGGCTGTTTACAAATTAAAAAAACAAGTCTATTATAAAAATCAAAACTCCATCTCAGTACAAAAATCATGTCAAACATTTAAACTACTAAAAGGAATAAAGATAAAATATAAATTAATTCTTAAAGAGACACCAAGATAATTTCCTTTCATTCATTTGCTCACATTTTGTCTTTTTATGTCTTTCACTCTCTTGGCAGAGCAATAAAACGCTTTAACATCTTCTTGGCCTAATAAGATGTATACATCAAAACCCACACTGCCAGTAACATTTCTCATATTTCAGAATGTAACATTTTAATCATAAAGAAATAATAGAATGAAGAAAAATATAATCTTACATAGGATGTGATGACTCATTAATTCTCACACTAATAATTTGTATAAATCAAGGTGAATGAATATAAACTACATAAAATACTTGAGAGGTTTAAGAAAATTTACAGTATCTTACTTGGTATCTAATGAATTTTTAATTCATGCAAGTTTTAATAGAAGGCATATAGCAAGCCATTTCAAAATTTATGTTGAGATACACTCAATTACAATTAATTCACTGCACCACTGAAGCAGAAAACAGTTGACTTTATGAATATTAGGAATAGTGTCTGATTGCATGGTGCCATATCTATTACATTTGACTGCTGGTACATTGTGTAGCACCATGGAAATAAAATTGAATTGAGATCAACATAAAGTAACTGTGACTATATACACAATGGCTGTTTTGATGTAATTTAATAAAATTAAGTGCTACATTTTTTTAAGATAACTTAATTTGTATTTTTTTGTTTTGTGCTAACATGCATTTGAATTAAAATAACATAATTGTATATTTAAGCATAAGCATGAATTTAAAACTACAAAAATATTTTTCTTAAGAAATTAATTGCTATTAGTTTGGATATTTTAAATAGCTGCTATTTTGATTATGAGCATTTTAACATACCTATTGAAGGTGATTTTAATATTTTTCATACTGTATTAAAACAGATCATTTTGAAGTTTAAATATGTCATTAAATGTACTTCAATGACATTTATTGAATTGATCGTTGCCATAGATATGAAATAAATTTTGCAAAAAATCAACTACTAATCATAGATGATTTTTATAAAAGTTATTTTATAACTTTTGCATCGTTGTTTGGGATGTAATGATGTACAGATTCTTGCTTCTACTTTTTTTTTCCTTCACATTTTATTTTAGATTTAGAGGGTACACCTGCAGATTTGTTACATGAGTATATTACATGATGCTGAGGTTTGGACCCTGTCATCCAGGTAGTGAGCATAGTACCCAATAGAATAGTACCCAATAGGTAGTTTTTAGAGCCTCTACCTCCTCTCTTCCTCCTCCGTCTAGTAGTCTCCAGTGTCTATTGTTTCCATCTTTATGCCCATGTATATTCAATGTTTAGATTGCACTTATAAGTGAAAACCTGCAGTATTTGGTTTTCTGTTCCTGTGTCAATTCGCTTAGAATAGTGATCTCTAGCTGCATCCATGTTGCTGCAAAGGACATGATTTCATTTTGTAATATGGCTGTATAGTATTTGATGGTGTATGTGTATAATGTTTTATTTATCCAATCCACCATTGATAGGCACCTATATTGATTGCATGTCTTCGCTATTATGAATACTATTGCAATGAACATACACGTGCATATGGCTTTTCGGGAAAAGGATTTATTTTCCTTTGGGTAAATACCTAGTAATGGGATTGCTGTGTTGAATGGCAGCTCTGTTTTAAGTTATTTGAGAAATCTCCAAACTGCTTTCCACAGTGGCTGAACTAATTTACATTCCTACCAACAGTGTACAAGAGTTCCCTTTTCTCTGTAGCCTCACCAGCATCTATTATTTTCTGACTTTTTAATAATAGCTGTTCTGACTTGTGTGAGAAGGTATCTTACTGTGGTTTTGATTTGCATTTCTCTGAAGATTACTGACAACAAGCATTTTTAAAATAATTTTGTCAACTGCTTGTATGCCTTCTTTGGAGAAGAGTAAGTTTATTTCCTTTGCCTGTTTTAATGGGGCTACTTTGTTTTTTTCTTGTTGATATGTTTAAATTACTTATAGATTTTGGTTATTAGTCCTTTGTTAGATGCATAGTTTGCAAATATTTTCTCTTGTTCTGTAGGTTGTCTGTTGACTCTATTGATAATTTCTTTTGTTGTGCAGAAGCACTTTAGTTTAACTAGGTCCCATTTGTAAATTAACTAACTAATTAATTTAGTCTCACTCTGTTGCCCAGGCTAGAGTGCAGTGGTGTGATCTCGGCTCACTGCAACCTTTGCCTCCCCGGTTCAGCGATTCTCCTGACTCAGCCTCCCGAGTAGCTGGGATTATAGGCATGTGGCACCATGCCCGGCTAACTTTTTGTATTTTTAGTAGAGACATGGTTTCACTATGTTGGCCAGGCTGGTCTCAAACTCCTGACCACAAGTAATCCACCCACCTCAGCCTCCCAAAGTGCTGGGATTACGGGTGTGAACCACCGTGCCTGGTCCCCATTTGTACATTTTTATTTTTGTTCCTTGCTTCTGCTTTTGAGGAAAATTGCATAAATGCAGTTGTTTTTCAGATGTTCTAAAGGAAATGGATAAGATCACACTTATATGTGGAATCTAAAATAGTTGAACTCATAAATGTAGAGAGTACTATGGTGGCTACCAGATGCTGGGGCCATGGGAGAGACGTTGGTTAAAGAATACAAAAGTTAAGTTAGATAAGACAAATACGTTCAAAAGGTCTATTGTACAACGTGGTGACGACAGTTAATAACACCATTGTATTCTTAAAAATTGCTAAGAGAGTAGATTTTAAGTTTTCTTACTATGTGAACAAAACAATAATAAGTATGTGAGGCAATATGTATGTTAATAAGCTCAATTTAGTCATTTCGCAATGTATACATATTTCAAAAATGTAAATGATAAATATATACAATTTTATACATTCCACAATGTGTATATACTTCATAACAATATCCTGTACATAGTAAATACATACAATTTTATCTGTCCATTAAAAAATATATATAACATAAATATTGAAAAGAACACTCAGTAAAAAAGTAAAATGTATTTCTTCCTCTTTTCTTTAATATTGGCAATCATTTCTTCCCATCTATGTACACATATACTATGATCATCATTAATAACATGATAAAAGATATTGATTAAATACCTAATATGTTCTTGCCACTCATTTAGGCAATGTAATGATTAGAAAATTATTAAGAAAATATTTACATGCTCATATAAACTCAGTTTACAAGGCTATATCTTATAAATTACAAGCGTGAATATTTATTGCCTTATCCATTCATTGTGTGCTGCCTGAATAAGCAGCAATGTTCGAACCCAACATTGAGATAACTGCTGGAAAAAGTTTATACGTTTCCTTTTCACATACATTTATTTTATTTATTAGATCTTCCTCTATCAAAGCCTACAATTTCCTCCTAGTATTTAATGGTTTATATCCAATATCTTTAGTGTTCTCAAGGTCACTACATATTTGCCCCATTAGATTTACCCTTTCAAGATAATTTTGAATGCTTTCCTAAATCCACATACTTTTTAAATCAAAATTTGTGATGCTGCATTGCTTATGTTTAGAATATTCCTGCATAGGCAATAGTTCTGAGTCCTTTAAGATCTGTATTCTGAAATTATCCTCCCATTCAGAAATCAGCACCTCCCTCTCTGAACTGCTTGAATTCTGCCATGGCCACATCCTAAAATGTTTGAATTACAATTATTTATGCACAAAGACTTACAGAGAATTCGAGTTGAGAGGAATATTGGAGCCCCGTACTCCGCAGATGTGAAAACTTGCATTCTTGGAGGTGAAGTGACTTTGCAATAACAGATTAGAAGTTCACTTTATCTAAACATCCATATAAATAATAAAATCTTCTCTGAGTTCAAGGTGAGATTACTGACAGTCCTTAATATATATTAGTGACAAAGGCCTTCACAACTGTAAAGACGGTCCCAGGTCACAAACACAAAGGTGGAGCCACATCCTCTCAGTCTCAGTTAATGTTTGCATTTTCTTCTATCACAATGAAGCTTTATATTTTAATCAATTGGAAAAAGATCTCTCACTTCCTTTGCAAACTGGAAAGGTAGCATTACATTTTCCTCAAAGCCAAATAAAAATGTGTTATTCTATTACTCTATTTTTTTCTTTTTCTTTTTCTTTTTTCTTTTTTTTTTTTTTTTTGAGATGGAGTCTCCTTCTGTCACCCAAGCTTGAGTGCCCTGGTGATCTCCTCTCACTGCAAGCTCCGCCTCCCGGGTTCACGCCATTCTCCTGCCTCAGCCTCCTGAGTAGCTGGGACCACAGGCGCCGCGGTCCTGAGTAGCTGGGACCAAAGGCGCCGCCACCGCGCCCGGCTAATTTTTTGTATCTTTAGTAGAGACGGGATTTCACCGTGTTAGCCAGGTTGGTCTCGATCTCCTGACCTCGTGATCCGCCCGCCTCGGCCTCCCAACGTGCTGGGATTACAGGCGTGAGCCACCGTGCCCGGCTACTCTCTTTTTTCTAAATTCTAAAAGCATGAATTTTATGGATAAAAACATCATTCCTTTTTTACACCAGGTGCTTTTAAGGCACTGCCAATATGGCATTACTCTCTTGTACAATCTAGTTATGCTTTTCTTAAAAACTATGGGTCAGGCTCAGTGGTGCCTGTCTGTAATCCCAGCACTTTGGGCGGCCCGGGTAGGTGGATCACTTGAGCCCAGGGATTCTAGATCAGCCTGGGCAACATAGGGAGACCCCGTCTCTACCAAAGAAAACTTAAAATTAGGCATGGTGGTGCATACCTGTAGTCCCAGCTACTCAGGAGGCTGAGGCAGGAGGATCGCTTGAGCCGGAAGGTGGAGGTTGCAGTGAGTCGAGTTCATGCCACTGCACTCCAGCCTGGGTGAAAAAGCGAGACTCTGTCTCAAAAAAAAAAAAAAAAAAAAAAATAGCAACGAAAACCCACAACTATGGATGATTCCATTTTAACTTCTAATATATATGTATGTATGTGTGTGTGTGTGTGTGTATATATATATATATACTTTATTTGTGTAAAGACATTCTATATTAATTTTCAGTTCTCTATTACATCGAACACTGTAACTTCGAAAAAACTGTCAGTAAGATACATATTGAAAACACATTAGATGACATAGGACAACAAGTTGAATGATAAAAGGAATAAAATGTGGATAAATTCTGGATCTATATACAAATAACACAGTAAAATGTGCACAATGCACATTTGCAGTTAATACTGCAAAATGACTGATAGTGAGTGAAGAGATTTATCTTCATGAGGTATTGTAAGTGATGGAAAAAACCAATCTGCATTCATTTAATTAAATGCATTTTTTAAGCAACAAAATATTTCAGTAAATCTGAAAACAATAGGAGGTTATTTCTATGATCCAGGAATATTCATGGACCATAAGTATTGAAAGATGTAAGGGAGCGGCGTTACAGGCGGCAGAAAATAAATAGTAAAGGTCTATACCCAGCTTGGATGAAATTATGCAGATTTGTAGATGATATCCATAAATCACTGCATCACAGAAATTTGGAGCTGGAAGGAAGATTTGAAACTAACTGTACCAAGGAGTAAAAAAAAAGACCTCCGAAATTTTAAGAAACAAAAATTTATGAGTTTCTGTATTTTCCTATGGGAACTTTATTCAGGTACTCAAGTGTTGTGTACACAAGAAGGAGGACCAGAAACTAGTTCAATATTTTTATTTTATGCAAGACATTTGAAATTTGAAAAGAAGTGAGCTGTTCAATTGTGTGTTTGCACAATTTCTAAACACACATGTTTACATACATGCACACATATGAGCCAAATTGATAGTCATATTTATCTTGTGTCTATGAATCTTGATAAATTTACTAATTATAAAAGTTTATCTGTAATGTACTTTGAATTTTCTAAGTACACAAACTTGCTATCTGTAAATGATGGTAATCTTAGTTATCTGTTCCTTTTCAGTTCTTACTTAAACACGTTATTTTTCTTACCTTACAACCCTGTCTAATATTTTGCTAGACAATGTAAAGTATAAGTGGAGATATTGGAAATCCTCATCTCACTCATGGAAAATATTTTAAGATTTCACTACTAAATATAAAATTTGATGTATGTACTTTTATGGATATTCCTATTTTTAGTTTAAGGGCATACCTTTTTAAATTTAAAGTATTTATCATTAACTGGTGTTGGATTTAGCATATACTTTTTCCATATCTATTGAAATTATTGTATGTTTTACTCTATATTCAATTAATTTCTTGAATTATTGAATTTTTGAATGTTAAACCCAATTTTTCATTGGAGAAAAATGCACTATGGTCATGATATATTTTTTTTCTTTTCACATACCATTGGAATTATTTTGTTAATATTTTAGTTAATTATTTTCTTATGTATTCATGGTAGCAATTAGACTGTAATTTTTTAATTGTAATTTCCTTGTGAATTTTGTGTGCCTTTTTTTTTCTCTCATATAATGAGTGGAAAGTATTCCACATGTTTTTATTTTATAGAAGAACCTATTTGTGAATTTTCTTATCATCTCTTCCTTAAATATTTGTGATAACTAATTGGTAAAGGCATTTGGGACTAAGATATTCTTAGGGAATATTTTTAATTAATTATAAATTTATTTTTACAAGTAGATACAGATTTACACAGGTTTCCTCTTTATGCCAATTTCAGGTTTGTTTTCCTAGGATTTTTCTCATTCTTATAAAGATGCTCTTAATATTTTTTATTAACTTTTTGATGTTTGTAAGATACATTGTGCTTTTTTTTAATTCCTGATATGAGAAATTTGTGCCTCCTCTTCCTCTCTTTCTTTGTAAAATCAGAGTTGCTAAGTGTTTATTGATTGTATTAATATTTGCAAAAGGTGAAATCTGGTTTAATTTTATTTATATTACATACATTTTTCTATCTTATTACCTTCAGTATGTATGAATTCTTTTTATATTTCGGGTTTAATTTGTTGTTTCTTTTCTTCATGAAATATCATTTAGTTCAGACTTTTACTGTCTACTATGGTGTGTTTTTAAGGTTACACATTATTCTTCTAGTAGATTTGCTATAATCGTTTTAATTTATCGTATTTTCATTATCATTATTTTCAAAGTCTCATAATTTCTATTGGAATTTTTCCACCTATATATTATTTAAAATTTGTGTTGTTAATTCTCAGCTTTGGGTTTTTTACATTTTCTTTTTATTATTGATCTTAATATTTGACAACTTTTGGCAACTAGCTTTGTGGCCAATATGCAGTCAATTTTCCATGGATACTTTAAAAAATAAATTTTGTTTTGGCTATAGATATTTGTGCATGTAAAACAGGTCAAACCTGATAATAATTTTTTTCAGTTCTTCTACATATGTTTATATATTTTGCTTTTTCCATTAATTATTGAGAAAGTAATATAAAAATTCTCACTCTAATTTTGGATTTGAATTTTTCTTTATATTTTTATCAATAAAAATTACATAATTTTTATAGATTTTATTTACCAATTACATTTTTATAATTGTCATAAATTTCTGGTAATTCCTATCATTGACCCATTTACTATTATGTAATGTCCCTGTTTTTAAGTACTGCTTTCTTTTGCTTGGTGTATTTACAGTATGCATTTTTTTAATCCTTCTACATTTAGCTTTCTTCCCTTACATTAAAGATTCGATTCTAATAAGCATTATGGGCATTGTTATTTTCTAACTTGCTCTATAAGCATTTAGCCTATATAAGTTCATTATAATTACTTACTAATTTAGATTTATATCAGCCATTTTAGTATCTGTTTTTAGTTTGTCCCACTAGCTTTTTCCTTTTTCTCCCTTTGAGATGTTTTCTCTATGAATTTTATTTTGATATCCAACTTGTTACTACTATTTTCATAGTTGTGAGTATAATTTTAACAAAACTTTCTTTCTACATGGGAAACTGACCTGGGGTTAACTTTTATGTACCTGTTTTCCTAGAAGACTGATGATAACGGCATTTTAGTGTAATACTAAGTAATAAGTTCCTAGAAGCTGGATTAAAAGGACCATTTATGAATTACAAATATCACGTTGGAAGACACAGCTTTGATTTTTCTTGTATGTTGAATGACATACAGAGGTGTTTCGTTGTGGGGGCCGAGGGTTATGCCCAGTGCTTCTTATATGGAACCTACAGCTTCTAAGATAGAAATGTTTCCACACTCTGAAGTGCTGCCTTACATCTCAGCGTTCATTTAGTAATCCTAAAAATTGCCCTTGAATTTTGTAAGAATTCCCACTGAAGAGACATACCTAATACTACCCTATTGGCATGCTGAGTGTTCCAGCAGATTGGGTATTGCAGTAGTTGCCACATAATTACAATATGAATCTTTAATAATAATAATGTAAAATCACTTCTCAAATAATGCCATGGCCTTGGAATACTTTAACTTTATTTGTCCCATCTTTCTTTTTTGCTGTGTTTGCCATGCATTTTAATTATGCATTTGTTTTAAACATTGCTATATTTGTTATTTACAGTCAGTATTAGGCTCTTTATTTACTTCCTGCATTTCTTTTTCACTCTCAGATCGTTGTCCTTCTGTGTAAACACTTTGATTTAATATTTGTGTAGTTTCTGTTTACTGGCAGTGAATTACCTCAATTTTTATTCATCTGGAATTTTTATATTTTGATTTTTTATTTAGTATTCAACCTTGAAGGATGTTTTCACTGGCTATACGATCCTATGCTTGCAGTAGGTTTATTTTAGCATTTTAAAGCTGTATTTTATTGTTGTCTAGGCTCTATGATTTCTGTTAGAAGTCAGAAGATCAATTACACAGCATGACGAATGTAGCCATTAGCTCAGTACTGTACATATGAATTTTGCTAAGAGAATAAGTTTCTAATGTTTTTAATCACAAAATGCTTAAATATTTGAGATGATAAATATGTGAAGTAGCTTTAACCACACCAAACTATATTAAAAATTATAACACCACTTTGTACCCCATAATTATATACAGCTATAATTTGTCATCAAAAATTAATAACAGTATATAACTCCTTACAAAAAAAGCAACCATAAGTCTATTTTTGCTAATTTTTTAATATATCTGGTATCTCTTCTGCCTCATGATCATGGTCTTCCCCTTATTGCTTTGTACAAAGCATCCTTAAATGCTGCAGGGAAGGATGTCAAGTGGAATACCAGCTTACCTCTCTGTGGTTGCTTTCTCATTTTGATATTGACCCCTCATTTCTCATTATCTCAAATTCCTCATATATTTTATTTCATTAGTCTTTACTTTTTCTACCTGGTAATATTGGTCTGAAGCAAAATAATTATGTATCCATCATACCTAGAAATGGAAATCTGTACTTATAAGCAAAGTCTGTCCTTTTTTGTTTGTTTGTTTTACTTTGTTGCTTAAAGTATGATTGCCTGAGAAGTCACCAAGTAAGGGTAAAATGGGAGCCATAGTATATTCTTTGCCTGGCTATATTTGCTATTGTCAAATAATGGAATTTTGTGCCAAGTCATTGCCTTCGGTCCTTACGGGATCCAAACTGCTTAATTTATTGCTTGTGTCTATTAATTATTAGTTCTGTGACCTGGTTAACATCCTTAAGGTCTCTGTATCTCAGTTTATTTATATATAAATTAGGGATACTAATTTTTTTAACTATGGAGTTTTTGTGAAAATTAAATTGTTTAATGTATATTGTTACCTATTTTGATGATGGCAATAGTATAATAATTGAAACATTAATAGCTGTTGATATCACATATATAAAACACAAGTTGGTGTTACCCTGTAGAAGAGAGTTACATATTGTTACACAGTTCTATATCCCTACCTATACTAATACATGTATTAATATAATGCCTGTGTTGTAGCAACTAATTTCTATAGGTAATTTTTATAATGTAGTCATAGACAAAGTATACACTTTTATTCCAATCAAAGTTTGAAGGTAATATTTACATATACCATGTTTCCCTTTATTTTTGGCATATTGCAGGACTATTTTTAAAAATATTATACTTGAACTGCTAATAATATTAATTCTAAATATCTAGAAGAATATTTATACATCTGAAAATTTTATTATAAATTAAAAAATATATCATTGTGCTGCTTGAATATATTCACTAACAAAATTCCTCTGTTATCTTGTTCAGCTGTTTTCCTCATTCAGTACTAAATGTTTAAGAAGAATTGCTAAGCTATGAATTACATTCTCTGGCATCTCTATGAAGTTCTCTGGAATGAAAATATCAATTTAGTGCAGCAGTTATGCAATTTCTATGCGTTGAGCATAAAGTAGCAGTTTTCATTAGCAGGTTTTCACAGTCAAAACTTATTTCTCTACCAACATTTCTAATTCAAAATGCAAGCTGCTTGTTTGCAAACAGAGAAATTGGAACTTGTCAATTATGTTAATCATCACTTATAAAATTTCTTGAGTGTCTCATAATCTACAGAACAATTGAAAATTCACTTTTTTATGCCTTGTCTACAGCTATTTAGTTATCTGCCTATCTATCTCAATATTTCTCTCATTTTGATTAAATAATGAAGGAATTTTTTTTCAAGCCATGTTTTTCAGTCATTAATGGTGTTATTAAGGGATTTAGCTGGGTTTTGTTTTGTTTTTTGTCCCTGAATCAAAGTACTTTAAGAGCTCCATGAATGAATAGAAGTGATAGAATAAGCTACAGAAGCTTAGCTTGCCCTTACTATTCTGTGTAATGTCTGGGCTAGAAATTTGATAGGTATAATGTCTTTCATTATATCATATTTCAGAGGCATTTAAGATGTGTAAAGTCTAAATCACTAATTTAATACAACATTATAATTTTATTGTCATTATTTTCTGTTAGGTCAGATTAACATAACATTTTAATTGTTCATATTAGTGATAATAAATCTTACTTTTTAATTATTATACTTTAAGTTCTAGGGTACATGTGCACAACGTGCAGGTTTGTTACATATGTATACATGTGCCATGTTGGTGCGCTGCACCCATTAACTTGTCATTTACATTAGGTATGTCTCCTAATGCTATCCCTCCCTCCTCTCCCCACCCCACAACAGTCCCCAGAGTGTGATGTTCCCCTTCCTGTGTCCATGTGTTCTCATTGTTCAATTCCCACCTATGAATGAGAACATGCAGCGTTTGGTTTTCTGTCCTTGCGATAGTTTGCTCAGAATGATGGTTTCCAGCTTCATCCATGTCCCTAGAAAGGACATGAACTCATCCTTCTTTATGGCTGCATAGTATTCCATGGTGTATATGTGCCACATTTTCTTAATCCAGTCTATCACTGATGGACATTTGGGTTGGTTCCAAGTCTTTGCTATTGTGAATAGTGCCACAATATACATACGTGTGCATGTGTCTTTATAGCAACATGCTTTATAAACCTTTGGGTATATACCCAGTAATGGGATGGCTGGGTCAAATGGTATTTCTAGTTCTAGATCCTTGAGGAATTGCCACACTGACTTCCACAATGGTTGAACTAGTTTACAGTCCCACCAACAGTGTAAAAGTATTCCTATTTCTCCACATCCTCTCCAGCACCTGTTGTTTCCTGACTTTTTAATGATCACCATTCTAACTGGTGTGAGATGGTATCTCATTGTGGTTTTGATTTGCATTTCTCTGATGGCCAGTGATGATGAGCATTTTTTTCATGTGTCTGTTCGCTGCACAAATGTCTTCTTTTGAGAAGTGTCTGTTCATATCCTTTGCCCACTTGTGGATGGGGTTGTTTGTTTTTTTTCTTGTAAATTTGTTTGAGTTCTGTGTAGATTCTGGATATTAGCCCTTTGTCAGATGAGTAGATTGCAAAAATTTTCTCCCATTTTGTAGGTTGTCTGTTAACTCTGATGGTAGTTTCTTTTGCTGTGCAGAAGCTCTTTAGTTTAATTAGATCCCATTTGTCAATTTTGGCTTTTGTTGCCATTGCTTTTGGTGTATTAGACATGAAGTCCTTGCCCATGCCTATGTCCTGAATGGTATTGCCTAGGTTTTCTTCTAGGGTTTTTAAGGTTTTAGGTCTAACACGTAAGTCTTTAATCCATCTTGAATTAATTTTTATATGAGGTGTAAGGAAGGGATCCAGTTTCAGCTTTCTACATATGGCTAGCCAGTTTTCCCAGCACCGTTTATTAAATAGGGAACCATTTCCCCATTTGTTGTTTTTGTCAGGTTTGTCAAAGATCAGATGGTTGTAGATGTGTGGTATTATTTCTGAGGGCTCTGTTCTATTCCATTGGTCTACATCTCCATTTTGGTACCAGTACCATGCTCTTTTGGTTACTGTAGCCTTGTAGTATAGTTTGAAGTCAGGTAGCGTGATGCCTCCAGCTTTGTTCTTTTGGCTTAGGATTGTCTTGGCAATGTGGGCTCTTTTTTGGTTCCATATGAACTTTAAAGTAGTTTTTTCCAATTCTGTGAAGAAAGTCATTGGTAGCTTGAGGGAGATGGCATTGAATCTATAAATTACCTTGGGCAGTATGGCCATTTTCACGATACTCATTCTTCCTATCCATGAGCATGGAATGTTCTTCCATTTGTTTGTGTCCTCTTTTATTTTGTTGAGCAGTGGTTTGTAGTTCTCCTTGAAGAGGTCCTTCACATCCCCTTTAAGGGATTCCTTGGTATTTTATTCTCTTTGAAGCAATTGTGAATGGGAGTTCACTCATGATTTGGGTCTCTGTTTGTCTGTTATTGGTGTATAAGAATGCTTGTGATTTTTGCACATTGATTTTGTATCCTGAGACTTTGCTGAAGTTGCTTATCAGATTAAGGAGATCTTGGGCTGAGAGGATGGGGTTTTAGAAATATACAGTCATGTCATCTGCAAACAGGAACAATTAGACTTCCTCTTTTCCTAATTGAATACCCTTTATTTCTTTCTCCTGCCTGATAGCCCTTGCCAGAACTTCCAACACTATGTTGAATAGGAGTGGTGAGAGAGGGCATCCCTGTCTTGTGCCACTTTTCAAAAGGATTGCTTCCAGTTTTTGCCCATTCAGTGCGATATTGGCTGTGGGTTTGTCATAAATAGCTCTTATTATTTTTAGATTTGTCCCATCAATACCTAATTTATTGAGAGGTTTTAGCATGAAGGGCTGTTGAATTTTATCAAAGGCCTTTTCTGCATTTGAGATAATCATGTGGTTTTTGTCTTTGGTTGAGTTTATATGGTAGATTATGTTTATTGATTTGTGTATTTTGAATCAGCCTTGCATCCCCGCGATGAAGCCCAGTTGATCATGGTGGATATGCTTTTTGATGTGCTATTGGATTTGGTTTGCCAGTATTTTATTGAAGATTTTTGCATCGAGGTTCATCAGGGATATTGGTCTAAAATTCTTTATTTTTTTGTTGTGTCTCTGCCAGGCTTTGGGATCAGGATGATGTTGGCCTCATAAAGTGAGTTAGGGAGGATTCCCTCTTTTTCTATTGATTGGAATAGTTTCAGAAGGAATGGTACCAGCTCCTCCTTGTACCTCTGGTAGAATTCTACTATGAATCTGTCTGGACCTGGCCTTTTTCGGTTGGTAGGCTATTAATTATTGCCTCAATTTCAGAGCCTCTTATTGGTCTATTCAGGGATTCAACTTCTTCCTGGTTTGGTCTTGGGAGGGTGTATGTGTCCAGGAATTTATCCATTTCTTCTAGATCTTCTAGTTTATTTGTGTAGAGGTGTTTATAGTATTCTCTGATGGTAGTTTGTATTTCTGTGGGATCGATGGTGATATCCCCTTTATCATTTTTTATTGCGTCTATTTGATTCTTCTCTCTTTTCTTCTTTATTAGTCTTGCTAGCAGTCTATCAATTTTGTTGATCTCTTCAAAAAACCACCTTCTGGATTCATTGATTTTTTGAAGGGTTTTTTGTGTCTCTATTTCCTTCAGTTCTGCTCTGATCTTAGTTATTTCTTGCCTTCTGCTAGCTTTTGAATGTGTTTGCTCTTGCTTCTCTAGTTCTTTTATTGGTGATGTTAGGGTGTCAATTTTAGATCTTTCCTGCTTTCTCTTGTGGGCATTTAGTGCTATAAATTTCCCCTACACAGTGCTTTAAATGTGTCCCAGAGATTCTGGTATGTTGTGTCTTTGTTCTCCTTGGTTTCAAAGAACATCTTTATTTCTGCCTTCATTTCCTTACGTACCCGGTAGTCATTCAGGAGCAGGTTTTTCAGTTTCCAGGTAGTTGAGCAGCTTTGAGTGAGTTTCTTAATCCTGGGTTCTAGTTTGATGGTACTGTGGTCCTAGAGACAGTTTGTTATAATTTCTCTTATTTTACATTTGCTGAGGAGTGCTTTACTTCCAACTATGTGGTCAATTTTGGAATAAGCGCAATGTGGTGCTGAGAAGAATGCATATTCTGTTGATTTGGGGTGGAGAGTTCTGTAGATGTCTATTAGGTCTGCTTGGTGCAGAGCTGTGTTCAATTCCTGGATATCCTTGTTAACTTTCTGTCTTGCTGATCTGTCTAATGTTGACAGTGGGGTGTTAAAGTCTCCCATTATTATTGTGTGGGAGTCTAAGTCTCTTTGTAAGTCTCTAAGGACTTGCTTTATGAATCTGGGTGCTCCTGTATTGGGTGCATATATATTTAGGATAGTTGGCTCTTCTTGTTGAATTGATCCCTTTACCATTATGTAATGGCCTTCTTTGTCTCTTTGATCTTTGTTGGTTTGAAGTCTGTTTTATCAGAGACTAGGATTGCAACCCCTGCCTTTTTTTGTTTTCCATTTGCTTGTTAGATCTTCCTCCATCCCTTTATTTTGAACCTATGTGTGTCTGTGCATATGAGATGGGTCTCCTGAATACAGCACACTGATGGGTCTTAACTCTTTATACAATTTGCCAGTCTGTGTTTTTTAATTGGAGCATTTAGCCCATTTACATTTAAGGTTAATATTGTTATGTGTGAATTTGATCCTGTCATTATGATGTTAGCTGGTTATTTTGCTTGTTATTTGATGCAGTTTCTTCCTAGCATCGATGGTCTTTACATTTTGGCATGTTTCTGCAGTGGCTGGTGCCAGTTGTTCCTTTCCATGTTTAGTTCTTCCTTCAGGAGGTCTTGTAGGGCAGGCATTTGCTTGTCTGTAAAGGATTTTATTTCTCCTTCTCTTATGAAGCTTAGTTTGACCAGATATGAAATTCTGGGTTGAAAATTCTTTTCTTTAAGAATGTTGAATATTGGCCCCTACACTCTTCTGGCTTGTAGAGTTTCTGCCAAGAGATCCACTCTTAGTCTGATGGGCTTCCCTTTGTCGGTAACTCGACCTTTCCCTCTGGCTGCCCTTTATATTTTTTTCCTTCATTTCAACTTTGGTGAATCTGACAATTATGTGTCTTGGAGTTGCTCTTCTCAAGGAGTATCTTTGTGGTGTTCTCTGTATTTCCTGAATTTGAATGTTGGCCTGCCTTGCTATGGTGGGGAAGTTCTCCTGGATAATATCCTGCAGAGTGTTTTCCAACTTGGTTCCATTCTCCCCGTCACTTTCAGGTATACCAATCAGACATAGATTTGGTCTTTTCACATAGACCCATATTTCTTGGAGGCTTTGTTCATTTCTTTTTACTCTTTTTTCTCTAAACTTCTCTTCTTGCTTCATTTCATTCATTTGCTCTTCAATCACTGATACCCTTTCTTCCAGTTGATCGAATCGGTTACTGAAGCTTCTGCATTCATCACGTAGTTCTCATGCCATGGTTTTCAGCTCCATCAGGTCATTTAAGGACTTCTCTACACTGGTTATTCTAGTTAGCCATTCGTCTAATCTTTTTTCAAGCTTTTTAGCTTCTTTGTGATGGGTACTAACTTCCTCTTTTAGCTCGGAGAAGTTTGATCATCTGAAGCCTTCTTCTCTCACCTCGTCAAAGTGATTCTCTGTCCAGCTTTGTTCCATTGCTGGTGAGGATCTGTGTTCCTTTGGAGGGGGAGAGGCACTCTGATTTTTAGAATTTTCAGCTTTTCTGCTCTGTTTTTTCCCCATCTTTGTGGTTATATTTACCTTTGGTCTTTGATGATGGTGACGTACAGATGGGGTTTTAGGGTGGATGTCCTTTCTGTTTGTTAGTTTTCCTTCTAACTGTCAGGACCCTCAGCTGCAGGTCTGTTGGAGTTTGCTGCAGGTCCACTCCAGACCCTGTTTGTCTGGGTATCAGCAGCAGAGGCTGCAGAAGAGCAAATATTGCTGAACAGCCTATGTTGCTACCTGATCGTTCCTCTGGAAGCTTCGTCTCAGAGGGGTCCCTGGCCATGTGAGGTGTCAATCTGCCCCTACTGGGGGTTGCCTCCCAGTTAGGCTACTTGGGGGTCAGGGACCCATTTGAGGTGGCAGTCTGTCCATTCTCAGATCTCAAACTCCGTGCTGGGAGAACCACTACTCTCTTCAAATCTGTCAGACAGGGACATTTAAATCTGCAGAGGTTTCCCTGCCTTTTTTTCCACTATGCCCTGCCCCCAGAGTTGGAGTCTACAGAGGCAGGCAGGCATCCTTGAGCTGTGGTGGGCTCCACCCAGTTCGAGCTTCCTGGCTGCTTTTTTTACCTACTCAAGCCTCAGCAACGGCGGGCGCCCCTCCCCCAGCCTCTCTGCCACCTTGCAGTTAGATCTCAGACTGCTGTGCTAGCAGTGAATGAGGCTCTGTGGGCGTGGGACCCTCCGAACCAGGTGCAGGATATAATTTCCTGTTGTGCCGTTTGCTAAGACCCTTGGAAAAGCACAGTATTAGGGTGGGATTGACCTGATTTTCTAGGTGCTGTCTGTCACGGCTTCTCTTGGCTAGGAAAGGGAATTCCCTGACCCCTTGCACTTCCCGGGTGAGGCGATGCCTAGCCCTGCTTCGGCTCTCACTCTGTGGGCTGCACCCACTGTCCTGCACCCACTGTCTGACAATCCCCAGTGAGATGAACCCGGTACCTCAGTTGGATATCTGGAAATCACCTGTCTTCTGCGTCATTCATGCTGGGAGCTGTAGACTGGAGCTGTTCCTATGTGGCCATCTTGGAACCCAATCAATAAATCTTACTTTAATATTTATTACACATCAAATGCCACTAGCATGTTAGATTACCTTTGTTTTCTCATTATATCAAATCAGTTTTATAGCTAAAAGTCTTATTATATATATTTGTAAAGAATCTGGTAAACAAAGCAAAACCTATACATAAAATATAATGTGATATTTGATTAGAACTCAATGTCAACATTAATTGTTTAAATCCAAGTTAATATTAAAATCATGTATGCTATGGAGAGTTATCTCTTCAATAGCTTCTGCTTTCCTAAAAGAAAACATATCTAGAAAAGCAATACAAGTTTAAAAGTGAAACATTTTGTGTATTACTCTCCCTATCTTTGTTCAAAAATACTTTTGTCTACTTAAAAAAAAAATTTTTATCATAATTTGAGTGATCTTTAAATGCTAATATCAAAAAGTAAGTTCTTTGGAGATAATTCAAAATTACACATCATTTATATTGTTTTCAGGGAAATTTAGAAAATTAGTATATCATTTATTACGTGCTATGAAGGGATATTAGCATTATACTAGTAATAATTTCACACTACCTATAATATAAATTAAGAAATCTATGCTGGCTTCAATGTATAATTTATTTGCTACATTGGGGATATACTAGTCCTCAGTAATACACGTTTCTAGCTTTACAGGACCCTGGAAGACTCTATGCTTTTCCTCTCCTTGAGGTAATTATAATCTTCCCTGTTCCCCATCCCCTGTGAATAACTCAGAAGTATCTATTTAGATCCTTTGCTCATGTTGAATTGGGTTATTTGGGTTATTTTTCCCATTGAGTTGTGTGAGTTCCGTATGTATTTTAAATAAGAACCCATTACCAGATATAAGATTTGCAAATATTTTCTTCCATTTCATAGGTTGTCTTTTCATTTAGTTGATTGTTTCCTTTTCTGTGCAGAAGCTTTTTTGCTTGATGTAGTTTGACTTATTTTCGCTTTTGTTTCCTGTGCTTTTATTGTCACATAAAAAAAAAAAAAACATCGATAAGACCAATGTCAGGGATATTTGCCCTATGTTTTCTTCCCAAAGTTTTGCAGTTTCACATCTCATTTTTAAGTTTTCAATTCATTTTGAATTGATTTTTATGTATAATGCAAAATGAAAGCCCAATTTCATCCTTTTTCATGAGGATATTCAGATTTCTCAACATAATTTATTGAAGAGACTATCCTTTCCCTATTGCTTTCTTAATACTCTAGTCAAATAACTGACTGCACTTGTATGGGTTTATTTCTAGGATCTCTATTTTTTCCCATTGGTCTACATGTCTGGATGTCAACATCATATTGTTTTGATTTCTGTAGTTTTGCAGTCGAATTTGAAATCAAGGAATGTATTGCCTCTAGCTTTGTTCTTCTTTCTCAACATTGACTTGGCTATTAGGGGTCTTTTGCAGTTCCACATATATTAGGATTGTATTTTCTACTTTTTTGAAAAATGACACTAGAATTTTGATAGGAATCTCATTGAATCTGTAGGTCATTTTAGCTAATATAGACGTTTTAACAATAATAATCTTTCAATTATTTAACACAGGATATTTTTCCATTTGCTTGTGTCTACTTCAATTTCTTTCATCAATGTTTTACAGTTTTCAGTGTATAGATCTTTTGCCTCCTAGGTTAAATTTATTCCTAAGTATTTTATTATTTTTGATGCTATTGTAAATGGGATTAAGTTATATACATGGTCAACAGGCATATGAAAAGGTGCTCATCATCACTATTCTTCAGGGAAATGCAAATCAAAACCACAGTGAGATATCACATCACACCTCTTACGATGGCTAATTATTAAAAAAAAAAAAAAATGGCTGGGCGCAGTGGCTCAGGCCTGTAATCCCAGCGCTTCAGGAGGCCAAGGCGGGGGGATCAAGGAGTCAAGGATCCTGAGGTCAGGAGTTCAAGACCAACCTGGCTAACGTGGTGAAACCCTGTATCTACTAAAAATACAAAAAATTAGCCGGGCGTGGTGTCATGCACCTGTAATCACAGCTACTTGGAAGGCTGAGGCAGGAGAATCGCTTGAACTCAGAAGGTGGAGGTTGCAATGAGCCATGATGATGCCATTGCACTCCGGCCTGGGCAACAAGAGCAAAACTATGTCTCAAAAATAAAAAATAAAAAATAGAAAGACAAGAGATAACGTGTTGGCAAGGGTGTAGTGAAAGGGAAACTTTGTATACTTTGGGAGGAAAGTAAATTGGCACAGTCATTATGAAAAACAACATGAAGGTTTCTCTAAAAATTTGAAAAAAATAGAAGTACCATGTGATCCAGCAACCTCACATCTTTCTAGGTTTGTATCCAAAGGAAATAAAATCAGTACCTCCAAGAGATATCTGAGCCACCATATTTATTGCAGCATTTTTCATGAAAGCCAAGGTATGAAAACAACCTAAGTGTCCACTGATGGATGAATGGATACAGAAAATGTGGTGTGTTTGTATGTGTATGTGTGTGCATGTGTGTGTTTGTGTGTGTGTGTGTGTAAGAATATTGTCCAGCCACAAAAAGATGAGAATCCTGCCATTTGCCACAACATGGATTAACCTGGAGGATACTGTGTTAAACAAAATAAGCCAGTCACAGAAAGGCAAATACTGCATGATCTCACATAAGTGAGATCATAAAAAAGTTGAACTCATTGAGACAGAGAGTATTTGTGTTTGCCAGGGACTACAAGATGAGGAAAATGGAAGAGAGATGTTGTTCAAGGGGTACAAGCTTTCAGTAACAAGATGAATGAATTCTGGGGACTGAAAGTGCAGCATGATGACTGTAGTTGGTAATACTGTATTGTTTACTTTAAATTTGATGAGAGAGCAGATTTTAAGTGTCCTCACCTCCTGCCCAAACACACAAATGGTAACTATGTGTGGTGATGAATGTGTCAATTAATATGACTGCAGTAATCTACACACAGTCTAAACATTTATCAAATTATTACATTGTGCATCTAGATATACAGTCATGCATCTCATAATGACATTTCAATGATGAACTGCCTATACAAGTTGGTCTCATAAGATTATAATGGAGCTGAAAAATTCCTATTGTCCGGTGATGTGGGCGCTGCCGCAATATCATAGCACAACTCATTATTCACATCCTGTGGTGATGCTGGTGTAAACAAATCTGCTGTGCTGCCAGTCATATATAAGTACAGCACGCACAATTGTGTATAGTACCTAATACTTCCTCATGATAACAAACAATTATGTTACTGGTTTATTAGTTTACTACGATATACTTTTTACTGTTATTATATGGTGATCTCCTTCTACTTATACAAAAATGGTTAACTATAAAACAACCACAGGCAAGTCCTTCAGGAGGTATTCTAGAATAAGGCATTGTTATCACAGGAGATGACAATGAATAAGGCATTGTTATCATAGGAGACAACAATGACACCTCCATGTGTGTCATTGCCTCTGAAGACCTGGTGGGACAAGATGTGGAGGTGGAAAACAATGATATTCATGATCCTTATCCTGGGTAGGCCTAGGCTAATGTGTATATTTATGTCCTAGTTTTTAACAAGAAGGTTTACAGAGTAAAAATAAATAAATTAATTAAAAATTGAAAACTAGAAAAAAGCTTATAGAATAGGACATAAAGAAAATATTTTTGTACAGTTATAAAATATTTGTGTTTTAAGCTGTTACTACAAAAGAGAAAAAAGTTTTAAAAATATAAAAGTTAATATAGTAAAATAGTTATGGTGAGTTAAAGTTAATTTATTACTGAAGAAAGACAATTTTTAAAATAAATTTGGTGTAGCCTAAGTGTACGGTGTTTATAAAATCTACAATAGTGTACAGTAATGCCCCAGGCCTTCACATTCACTCAGCACTCCTTTACTGACTCACTTATTGAAACTTCCAGTCCTGCAAGCTCCATTTAGGGTAAATGCCCTACATAGGCATTCTATTTTTTAAAAAAAGTTTATATCCTATTTTCACTGAAAATTTTATATGGTTAGAATGTTTAAATACATAAGTGTCTCTGTGTTCCAATTGGCCACAGTATTCAGTACAGTAACATGATGTACAAGTTTGTAGCTTAGGAGAAATAAACTACACCATATAGGTTAGGTATGTAGAAGGCTACCCCATGTAGGTTTTTAGAGTACACTCTGTGATGTTTGGACAACAATGAAACCACTTAAGGGTGCATTTCTCGGAACATATTTCTGTCATTAAGCAACCTGTTACTGTATATAATTTGTGTTTGTCAATTAAATATTTTAAAATTTAAAAAACTCAGATTGGATTTGAAAGCTGGTGCTTATGTTGATTTACAGCTTTTGTTTGTTTTGCCCAAAGACTCCAAATAATTTGTTTTTCCTCTGTATTTTTTTGAGACGGAGTCTTGCACTGTCACCCAGGCTGGACTGCAATGGCATGATCTCGGCTCACTGCAACTGCCACCTCCTGGGTTCAAATGATTCTCCTGCCTCAGCCTCCCGAGTAGCTGGGATAATAGGTGCCCACCACCACGCCCAGCTAATTTTATGTATTTTTAGTAGAGACGGCACTTCACTATGTTGACCAGGCTGGTCTCAAACTCCTGACCTCATGATCCACCCACCTCGGCCTCCCAGTGTGCTGGGATTACAGGCATGAGCCACCGTGCCTGGCCAACTGTTATTTCTCTGTTTTGTAGTTTCTGTACACCTAGAAGGGTATCTCTCAAAAAAGTCCTAGGGTCATTGGAAGCATGTTTAATTGCTAGCAATAACAGGTAAAACCATAGATGAGCTGCTGTCTTTTACAGAACATATGGCAAGAAAAGCAAGCAAGGATGGTAGATGAGTTAAAATTTAAATGAAATAGATAGTCTTGGAATATAATATATCCTAATTATCATATATTTATACATTTTCTAAATATGTTGTATTGGTTGATATGTAGAAAGAGGATGAAATGGAAAAGTGAGATATGCCATTCTGGAAATTAGAGAAAACATTACTAGACTTACATAATTTGTTTTAATGAACTGTAAGCTTGGAGTGGCATAAGAATGTTTCTGTTGAGAAATTGGAAAATTGTCAACCCTAGAAAAGTTCTTCAATCTTAGTCTGCCTCAATTTTTCTATTTGTAAAATGTCAGTCTCTCATGTAAATGAAAAATTCTTATTCTCACTGTGTGATAAAATTTTTTTGTAGACAAATGTAGAGATGTGGTAAAGAAAAATCAGATCTCAAGAAGTGAGAAAAAAACTAAATTTTTTTAGATGTGTGATTTTTTTATAGCAAAAAAGGTCAGAAAAATGTAAGTACAACATTTTCTAAAAATATTTAATGTCACCTGGTGGCTTCCTGTTGACATAAAGGGATGTTTTAACCAACAATAAATGTTCCAGAATTAAATGTCTCAGTCTTGCATGTGGAAGACAAATGGGAAAAGGAGGAAATTTTTTAATACTCTTTTCTGCTTTTAGCTTAGAAGTAATTGCCTATAATGAGAGTTCATTATACCATATCCCCACAATGCACATATTTAGATTCAAAATTAGAGATATGGGGTGACAGTAAAGTTTCTGGAAGATCCTCAGTACAATGATGTGTGAATTGAACTACACTCACAAAACAAATTGTTATCACAGAAACAGTCAACTTCCTTAAGAGGCTAAATAGTACCAAGACTAGATAAGGAAAGATGTAGGTCAAATTCGATTAATGTTTTTAAACATCTAAAGAAGGAATATATACATCAGAATTTTTCAAACCCTTGACAGCATGGAACCTCAGAAAAAAGAAACATTGAAAAGACAAATTAACAACTGCTTTTCTAATCACTGCCTATAGCAAAGGGTTCTGTACCCTAAGAGTCAGTTATATCTGTTATCAGATATTACTGACATCTGATATCTGGTATCTGATATTAGAAACATATATTTTCAATGTTGGTGGTGTACGAAGCTTAGTGTATTAAAATGCTGATTCATTTTACTCTAGTCCATACTTACTTACCAAGGCATTAGTGAGTTGTAATTTGGTTCTCCTTATGTCTTCTATAAACAGTGTTAGTGTTCTTATACTTTAGAAGGTAGATTTTAAAGTATAACAGGGCATTGTTGTTACATACTTTAGCACCTACTTACTCTAATTATCAACCAGTCATCTGTCCAAGAACAGTCAAATCTGGAACTTGATGACATTATGTTAATTAATCAGTTGAAAACATTTACAATTAATTTACACACACACAACTATATATATATGGGCTGCCTAATACGTGTGAGATATTGGGAATAAAACGTGGTAGGGAAAATATTCAAGAAAGGTGTTTTTTTTTTTTTTTTTGCATCCTTGCAGTACTGCTATATGTATAGAATCTTTTGAAAAGCTAGAATCTGTTGAAAAATTATAACTACATTCTGATCTTAACATCGTAAATTCATATCCTCATTTGTACTGTGGATTGTAGTCAGGGAGTTCTATTATATTTAGTGAAAATTTCTGGAAAAAAAAAAAAGACCCTATGACACACCACAGTGAGTGGAGATGATAGTAACATTATGCTCCAAGCCATCAAGTCTATGAATTCTCTTGGACAGTTTATAGTTCACAAGTCATAGTGAGTCTTTACACCATTGATAATGATTTATGAATAGTCACTACCTAAGCATGAGCCCTGCAGTGTATAAAAGAAATCCTTCTACTTTGCTACAAATCAGATCCACTGAGATTCTGCCTCCTTGTTATTTACTTGTTTGTGAGGCCTAAATTGACTAAAGCCTGCTCAGAAAGGCATCTAAATATCTCAGGACTGTCACAGCCAAGAAGAGGCTCTAGCTTTCCAGGGCATTTGAGAGACAAGTGAATGTCAATAAATTTCCTGTAAAAAAAATTCCACATTTGAAAACTTTACTGAAATATGGACAATTTATCATGTTTCTCCATGTTTGCCTTGGTTTATCTGTAATATTATTTTACTTGCATAAACATTATTTTTGTTTGAAAATTATACATCTATGTTTGATAGCATGCTTTTGAAAACAAGACATTTAATGTCAAAAAAGAAGCATGAACAATATACCACTATTCAAATTATTTTTTAATCCTTTGATGTTGGTTTGTTTGTAGCTGTTAAAATAGTCAATTATGTAAAAAATGTCCTTTGAGAAATGTTTTCATATAAAATCTGTAGTGCAGAGTGTAACTGACAAGTCCTATATACAGACACACTATCAGCCACTTTATGATTGATTTTGTATTTTTAGTGAAAATGACAGTTGGTTATGATTTAAAACTGGAAGCATTGGCAGAAGATATGCTAATACTTTGACAACACTTACCAAGCTAGCAGGAAAAGTGACAAGATAAATAGCACTAGGCAAAAACCCACTCAATAAATATATGACTAGTTTGGGGCTAATTAACCCTGTTATAGAAGCTGGGTCTTATGGACAACAAGTAGTGCCAAGGCACAAATGCTGAGAGACATGGTGAGAACACTTTACATCTGCTTTTTTTAAAGCATTTTTCAAATATATAATACATTGTTATTAACTATAGTCACCATGTTGTACAAGAGATCTCTTGGACTAATACTTGCCATCTGGTTGAAATTTTGTATCCCTTGACCAACATCACCCCAACCCGCCCCGTGCCACAACACACAGCCACCCCAGCCCCTGGTAACCAGCATTTTACTCCTTAGTTTTATGTGATAACTACAAGGTCTCATACGTCATATGTTAATTAGCTGGATTTAGTCATTCCATAATGTACATGTACTTCAAAACCTCATGTTGTACATGTGACTTTTTTCGATAATTTTTTTAAGCATTAAAAAAAGAGAGATAGTGGACTCTTTTGCAATTCAAGCAACCATAAACATGTGAGGACTTATCCAGGGTTAAGGCAAAGCAAGACAAATCCATGGTTCTGTTATTATAAATACTGAAGAACTACGTAGGCAGCATTCAGGGTTCTCAGAGACATTTGCATGAGTGGAAATAGGAGCAGGTAAAGGTTGAGGGGATGCTGAGCCACCAAGGCAATGGGGCCAAGTGTGCTATTGCTGAAGACTTGAGTGCTAGTCATAGTGAGGAATTACCATATTAGCATAGGAGATTAGGACAATTGCAGACAGCACCTACCCACGAAAAGAATAGGAGCAATGGGAGCTATAGAAAATGTTTTGCCTCAGAATCTGCTCATGCGTGACTCACACTTGGGCCAGGGAAACTCAGTTTTGTCTCAAATAGAAATGATTTGGCCAAGGAAAGTAAAGGATATATTGGGTTATTGATAACCAAGAAAAACAGGGTATCATCAATTTGCAGAGGCAATGTACTTTATTTTCTATGATCTTCTAACGTGTAAACAACAACAACAATAAAAAGCTGATGATAATACTGACTCAGCATATCATACACTTGGTCCATAAAATACAACAGGAGGTAAAATAACTGATAGGATAATACAGTTGCTAATTGAGGGCCTCACCTCACAAACACGACGACGCTAAAGGCTCATTGAGATAGTGATTGTTAATAGACTTCTACCATAGAGTATTTAACTAGATTGTTAAAATGCATTAAAGTTACTTGGTGACTGACTGCAAAGTTGATTTACTCAGTGTAGAAATATACTCCCCACCCTTCTTGTAATTATAAGATTTATACTATGTACTCTTTGCTGGCTGTACATTAATTTTAAAAGTAGGTGGCATGAGATAAAAATAATAAAGTGAGAAGGTCCAGTCACAACCATTTTCTCTGTTTGCTTTGCAAGTCATTAATTCTTCAGAGTTTGAAATCTATTCTTCATAAGGTTTATGTGGATTTTAGCAATGTTTTTTGAACAGCATATGGGGTGGCAATTCCAAATGATGGATAGCATTTGCAAAGATTAAAAATTAAAATAATTGAGTGTTTCCTTGGGAAAAGTCATTCAGAGAGCATTCTACCTTTAATCTAGTTTCCCTGCTCAATTGTTTATAAATTTAAATATTTTTGGGATCACTGGAGGAAAATAAAGCTCTCCAAAATTATGCTGTGATAAAAATGAATTATATTTTTTAAGGTTTCTAATGTACAATGTTTCTCTTTCAAGGAGTAAATATCATTTAATTTACAAAAAATAATAATAATTTAAAGGTCACAGACTACCTTTTTTTTCTCTCTTTGACACTTTGCACATTCATCTCATTTCATCTCATTGTCTGACTGTTTACCTCATTCATTCAGTAATATAAATTCCTTGGCATTTAGCTGGATCTTTTTTCCCCTTGTGGTTTGAAGTTCTTTCCCTTTTTTAATTAGATTGACCTTTTGGTACACTTGAATGCCCTCAACCTGACAAAGAATAACTGTTTTCTTCTAAGGCAACCAGAAATGAACAGAGAAAGAGTGAAAACACTGACATAAAATAAAACTTTTGATGCAGTGATCTGGGTAGTATAATTGTATAATTGCTACTTCTCATAGTCACTAACATACAGAAATACCTGGTTTCCCTCAATTCTCAGAGCTTTAATGTGATGAACTGCTTCATATCTTACTAAATTAACACTTTTAGGGAGCTCCTTAAAACTAATGTGTTTAAATTATTTTTAAAGTATTTAGTAACAGCTGACCTGCCTTACCTTTTCTAAAACCCAATATGTAGTATGGAATAATTAAAAATATGACTCATCCTCTTGGTCAGTCATTATTGTGTACATGTGCACATGATACACATATACACATGGGCACACACATACACATAACATATTTTTCTTTTTGTAAAAGTAAATTTTGAATAACATTTAGTATATAGTCATCTGTTGAGGGTTGAATCTACCCTGACCAATTATCCTACAAACATTCAAATACTTATGATATACCCTCCCATACATGACCCATAATACAAAACTCGTATAATTATAAGGCTGTGTAAACTAATCCATTTTGACTAATGCCTCATTTGTCAAAGCTTGAGATACGAAGTAGGCAAGAAACAAACTCTGAAACTTTGTGATGAATATAACAGAGTCATAATAATATCAATACATATTATTTTTAATATTCTGACATCACATTTCTATCTCCAAGAGCAAAAAAAAAAATAAAACTTTTAAAATGTATACATTTAGAACAAACTGACTGATGCATACTCCATTATTTCAGAGTTATAAATTGACTATTTAAGTATTGTAATTGCTTGGTCAACCTGTTCTGAGTACAGGAAAATATGATAATTGAATCTCTAAATAGGTAAAGCAATTATTTTAAAAAAACACCAAAGATATCTTTTTCAAATTTATAGCCTAGATAAAATTATATCTGGAATATGCAACTGGAGATAGAAGAGATATTAGAAAACTAGTAAAACAATCTAATAATTTTATAGAGTGGCATGTAGACACCGATGTCAGAAGAAAAACACTCTCTAATAGAAAATTATTAAAATTTTATGGCAAGCTTCACATTAAAGAGTATTGCAAACCTATAAAACTAATATATATAAAGACTAGTGACATGAAAATATATTTATAATTTAACTTTGAGTAAAAAAAATAAAGCCACATAACAATTTTAGTAAGATCGCTGTGTGTGTGTATATGTGTGTGTGTGCTCATGTGCATAGGTATATATGAAACTCAGGCATTTAGTCTATCATTATTCATAAGTTGAATTGATTTAAAAAGTTATAAATCACTGTTTTATATAATATTTTTATTATAAAATAGTTATAATAAAAATTATTCTAGTTCTGAAAAAATTGGGTAGGTGAAAGGTTTTTTAATGTTCTTGTGTTATTTAAACGAAAACAACTGGTGACAACATTTATAAGTCTTTGTAGGATCTCTATGCTAATTTAAGACATGTCATGCTAACAAATGCTGGTTCTAGTAATGATAATAGTAATTTTAATAATAACATCAAAAATTTCAACAACAATAACAATACTATGTGCTTGATTACTTTAAAGATGTTTAAAGACGTGGACCAATGATGCCAAGGTAATTTTACAAAGATGTAAAACCTTTTACAAAGGTGTACATTTTTGTCCTATTTGGTGGAGAAAAAAATAGTCTTTTCAAGAAGTGATTCTGACACATCAGATATCCATATGTAGAAAGATGAATTTAGATCCTTAGCCTATACCGCAGGCAAAACTTAACTAACATCAATAATAGCACTAAATGTAAAAGCCAAAACTAAATAATTTTTAGAAGAAAACACGGAAGAAAATTGTTGTGACTTTGAGGTAAACAAATAATCCTTAGCCACAAAAATTAAACTACAATCTATAAAGACAACAATGAGTAATTGAATTTCATGAGAACTAAGTCAAGCCAGGAACATGGAGAAAATATTTGCATGTCATATATCTGATAAAGACCTTGTATCTAGAAAAATAATAATCTGACAACTCATTAATACGACAAATAACAGAATTTAAAGGTGGGCAAAATATTTTAATAGACCTTTCATCAAAAAAAGATATCAAAAATTATTAACATCATAGTTATTAGGAAAATACAAGCTAAAACCACAGTGAGATTCTGCTTCACAAACCGACATTGATCAGACTGTGAAGAAAAGGAAATTCTCATATTTTGCTTATGAGAATGTCAAATATGCCAGCCACATTGGAGCATAATTTCATAATTGTTTCATATTAGGTAGCAATTCTAAATCTAGCGATCTATCTGGGACAAATGAAAACATATTTTCACACAAAGCCTTGGATGCAAATTTTTATAGGAACATTATTCATGAGAATCAGAAACTGGAAACATTCCAAATCTATATCAATTGGTGAATGAATAAACAAAATGTGATATATTCCTACAGTGGAATGTTATTGAATAATATAAAGGAATATGCTACAAGATGGATGAGCATCAAGAAAATGTTGCTAACTAAAAGAAGCCAAATACAAAAATATAACATGTTATGATAATTTTAATATAAAATGTCTAGAAGAGACAATCTATTTCTAAAATCGTAATGTGACTATGGTTGCAGAACTCTGAAAGTTTTTGAAAAGTCACTGTATTGTATACATTTTAGGGTATTTAATTATCCTGAAATATAACTGGTAAAAAAAGTAAACCATTTAAATTTCCCCTAAGAGTCCACATGATATGATAACTTCTATCGCCACTTGGATACCACAGTGTAATAGAAGTTACAACCATTGCAATGAAGCAAGAAAATAAATAAAATGCATGAAGAATCCAAATAATCAAGTACCTTATTTTTTAATGATATCTTTAGAGTGATGTCAGTGATAATGACAGACTAGAAAACTTTAAAACTCTATCTCTCCATAGAAAGCAACGTATACACTGGCAAAAACTGTGAGAATCAACTCATTTTTAACACCAGAATCTAATAAAAGCCTTACAACAACCAGAGAATTTTTGACAAGAGAGCTTGGTGGTGTTTTAACACACTCTATTACCATTCCTTAATCCCCAGCTTGGAGGCAACCTTGACATCAGCTCCTATTCTTAGTGCAGGTAGATGCAACGGAGGGAGTAATACAGGCCTCATTCTCCAAAGATTGTGATTGTGTGTTATAATCTGTTAGGGATCTTTACCTGATGGTTCCCTGAAGGGTTTGCCTTTATTTGGCCTTCCTTAGACCTTTTCCAGGGCTGAGGATCATATGAATCACAGGGGAGCATTTGTTGAAAGCATTTAAAGACAAATGAAATTAACCACTGACAACTGTAAATAAGGCTAACATTTAGGGCAAGCAATAGAACAAAAACCATGGGTAGGCAGAGGTTAGGGAAGGAGATACATGAAGAAATTAGAACTTTGAAAAACTCGCAAGTATTATGTGAAATTTAGAGAGTCATGCATAGTCACAGAGTTGGACATGTACTCAGAAAAGACTTGAGAAGACCCTAAGATTTTACTATTGGCCAAAAGGCACCACACAGTAGGAAGTGAAGGCTAAGGAAGAGTTGAAAACTGCCTAGATAAGCAGTAAGGCAGTGATTCAACAGACAACTAACCTGCACAGATTGGGTGACTTTTTGTTTGCTGTTATATATATATATAACTTTTGGGGCTAGTCAATCGTTAGAGATAATAAATGGCTGAGCAGGCAGCATGTGTTTAATACGCAAACTAACCAATTGAGAGCCATATCTCTTCTATCTGGCCCATACACCTCAGGGGAAATTATTCCTCTAAATTAATCATCCCAGGACCAGACACCAGGCAACTAGAGACCATATCTTTAGCTTAGAGCCCACCAGAAGTATTCAAACTAACCAGTCCTACACTGTTCACTTTGCTCTGCCTTGCCTTTCCTGCAGAAACCCAAATAAAGGCTCTGGCCTAATGCTTTCCCTTCACTCCATCTTCTGCCTCTTGACTGCCCCAGTGTCTTTCCTGTGCTGCTCTACATGGCATGCCATGCCTCCTGTCTCAAGGATTGTGAGTATAATAAAGTTTGTATACCTGAGCTTCTCTTATGTCTCCTCTTGTGCCTTCACACAACTAGCCATCACTAATAGAACAGAGATCTCTATGGCCAATATGACAAAAGAAAAAAGAGAAAACACACTTCATAAAATTAGTTGGGAAAAGTCAGTAAACAAACAACAATCACAACAAGCAGCAACCACACATCATGGACATGAGTGAGAATCCGATTTCCAGAGTTGCCATCTTACACTAATCAAAATATCCAGTTTTCAACAACATGAAGCATGGCCCATTTCTAAGGATAAAGAAAGCAATGAAAATTTAGTCCTGAAGAAGCCCAAATATTAGTTTTAATGATAAAATGCTTTAAAACTGTTACAAATATGTTTGAATGGCTAAAGAAAACCATGGTAATATAACTAAAGGAAACCAGGAGAATAATATTAATACATCACTAGATAGAAAGTATTGATAAAGAGGTTAAAAAAGTTTAAAAGGAAGCAAATAGAACTTCTAAAGTTGAAGCACAAAAACAGAAATGAGAAAATCACTCCAGGGGTTCAACAGCAGATGTGGGCAAGCAGAAGAAAAAAGTCAGCTAACTTAAAAATAGATCAGTTGAGAGTATACAATCTGAGGAGCAGAAAGAAAGATGAATAAAGAAAAAAAAATAGAGCCTAATAAACTTCAAGGTCACCATCAAGTGCTCCATCACATGCATAATGGGAATCCTAAAAGGAGAGAAGAGATACAGGCATAAATAATAGTTGAAGAGATAATGGATCACATATTTAAAGTCTTGACAGAAAAAAAAAAAACAAAAAAACTATGAAACAAGAGATCTGGCCCAACGTGGTGGTTCATGCCTGTAATCCCAGCATTTTGGGAGGCCAAGGCAGGTGGATCACCTGAGGTCAGGAATTCAAAACCAGCCTGGTCAACATGATGAAACCCCGTCTCTACTACAAGTACAAACATTAGCCAGGCGTGGTGGTGTGCACTTGTAGTCCCAGCTACTGGGAGGCTGAGGCAGGAGAAACGCTTGAACCTGGGAGGCAGAGGTTGCAGTGAGCCAAGATTGCACCATTACACTCCAGGCTGGGTGATGAGAATAAAACTCCATCTCAAAAAAAAAAAAAAAAAAAAGTTCTATATTTGGTAAACCTATCCTCTAAAAATGAAGGAGAAATTGGGACATTTGCAGATAAACAAAAACTGAGGGCACTCATTGCTTGTAGACATGCCCTGTGAGAAATGCTAAAGAGAATTCTTTGGACTGAAATGAAAAGACAATAGAAAGTAATTTGAAGACATATGAAGAAATAAAGAACACGGTAAAATATAACTCCATAGGTATTTATTATAGCCAGTATTTTTGTATCTTTGGTTTATAAGTTATTTTCTTTATAATTTAAAAGACAAATGAACAAAATGCTACCTATGTCAAAGGGCAAACAATGTATAAAGATATAATAAGTGATAATTACAACAAAGTGGGTGGTATAAGTTATATCTGAGCACATTTTTGAATGTTATTTAAATTAATTTGGTATTAGGTCATATAAAATTGTTATAATTTAAGATAATCTAAATACCCAGGATAACCACTAGGAAAATAACTAAAAAAATGCACAATAAATAAATTAGAAGAGAATAAAAATAGCACATATGCACAAAAAGGCACATACACAAATGTGATTAAACAAAAAGAAGGTAGTAATAGCGAAACTGAGGAATGATCTCCCCTCCCCTGAATATATGGCATAGAGAAAACAAACAAAAAAACAGTATTCTTACCCTTATCAGCAATTCCAATAAATTTAAATGAACTAAACTTTCAAATGAAAAGGCAGAAATTGGCAGAATAAAAAAATTAACAAAGAAGCAACTATGCTGTATACAAGAGATTTACTTCACAAGCTTAGAAAAGATCCTCTCACTTTTAGAAAAGCAGCAAATAATTTGAAAGTGAAGTATGCAAGAGATATTCCATGCCAATAGTAATCAAAAGAGAGCGGAAATGGCTATGCTATTATCAGATGAAGTATCCTGAAAAAAAAATTACAAGAGACAAAAGCACTATATATTGGTAATATAGTCAATCCATAAAATCTTTAAAATTTACAAACATATACCTATCTAACAACAGTCTCTTAATAGATCAAACAAAAACTGCAGGACTGAAAGGATAAATACATTGTTTTACAATAGTATTTGTAAACTTTAATACTCCACTTTCAATAATGGATAGAAAAACTCAATAGCAAAAAGAAAATGGAAGACTTGAACAATGCTATAAACAAACTAGACCTAACACATACACACATATATAGGACAGTCCATCAAACAACATCAGAAAATGTATTTTCCTCAGGTACACATGAAACAGTATCCAGGATAGACCACATTTTAGGCCAAAAAACAAGTCTCAAAACAATTAAGAAGACTGAAATAATACAAGGTAACTTTTTCAAGTTACTTTGAATAAAATGAAACTAGAAATAAAAAAAATTTTGCAAATATGTGGGAAAAATATCCTTAAACAAGTAATAGGTCACAAAAAGAAATTTTTTTAAGGTAAATTAGTTGAGATGAGTGGAAACAAAAACACAATATATCAAAATTTATAAAATGCAATGAAAGTATTGCTCCAATGGAAATTTATAGCTCTAAGTGCCTACATTAAAAATAGAAAACAGTGGCCAGGCACAGTGGCTCATATCTGCAATCCTAGCATTTTGGGAAGCCAAGGCAGGTGGATCACTTGAGCCCAGGAGTTCAAGACCAGCCTGGCCAGCATGGTGAAATATTGTCTAATAGAAAACAGATACAAAACGAGTAGCCTAACTTTCGACTAAAATAAAATAGAAAAAGAAGAGCAAACTATATACAGAGCAAGCAGTAGAAAATAGTAAAGACAGGGATTAATGAAACAGAGAATATAAAAACAATTAATACAACCAAAAGTTGGTTATTTGAAAAGATCAATCGATTGACAATCATTTAGCTACACTGACCATGAATAAGAGAGAAGATTCAAAGTACTAAAATCAGAAATCTTGGGTACTTTACTCATGAACCTACAGGAATTTTAAAAAGAGATTATGAGAGAGTACTATGAACATATGTTACACCATTAAAGTAAATAATATGGATGAAATTGACCCCTTTTTAGAAACACACTAAATACTGAAACTGACTCTAAAACAAACCCAGAAAATATGAATAGATACATGACAAGTAAAAATATTGAATAAGTAATCACAGTTTTCCCAGTCAAGAAATGACCAGGGTAAGATAGCTTTGCTATTGAGTTCTATCAAACATTTAATGAAGAATTAACACCAATCCTTCTAAAAATTTTCCAAAAAAAAAATAGAAGTTGACATTCATTACTCAGATACTGAAGCCAGACAGAAGCATTATAGGAAATTAAAAAAAAGTTATAGACTAATAGTTTTTATGAATGTAAGTGCAAAACTTCAACCCAATTGCAATCCCAGGCGCATATAAAAATGATGATAAATCATGACCAATGGGTCTTATTACAGGAATGCAAGAGTAAATTAATGTATGAAAAGCAATCATTATGATACATCACATAGTACAATAAAGGGAAAAAATTGCCTGATTACCTAATCTGATGCAGGAAAAAAAACACTTTATAAACATCAATAAACTTCCATGATTAAAAAAGAAAACAGAAAACTTGTAATAGAAGAGAACTTCCTCAATATGCTAAAGGGCTTTAAATGAAAAATCCACAACTACTCAGTGATGAAAAACTGAAAGCTCTTCCCCAAGATCAAAAACAGGACAAGAATACCCACTTTTACCACTAGTACTTAACATTGTACTGGAATTTCTATCCAGAGCAACCAGGCTATGAAAATAAATAAATAAATGGCACCCAAATTGGAAAGAAAAATGTAAAATCATCTCTATTCTCAGAAAATATGATCTTATATTTTAAAAAATTCTAAAGAATCCACAAAAACCCAATTAGAATTAATGGATGAATTCAGCAAAATTGCTGGATACAAGATCAAAATACATAAATCCATTGTACTTCTATACACTAGCAATGAACAATCCAAAAAAGAAGATTTGAAAGCAATTTTTGTTAAAATAGCATCAAAAAGAATAAAATACCTAGGAATAAATTTAAGCAAAGCAATGCAAGACATATATGATAAATCTGTAAAATGTTGCTGAAAGAAATGTAAGAAAATCTAAATAAATGGGAAGGCATCCTGCCATCACGAATCGAAAAATATTGTTGAGCGGGCAGTGCTCTACCAATATTATCTACAGATTCACTTTAATCCTTGTCAAAATTCCAATGGCTTTTGTTACAGAAATGGAGGAGGTGATCCTAAAATAATATGGAAATTAGAGTAACATATATATTTATTATCACAATTATCATGATGGATGGTACACATATTTGAAAACTTATGTGATTTATTTTACCTCAGTAAGGCTATTAAAAATCAACATCTTTTTGTCCTAAAATAGTCATATGTCACTTAACAACGAGGGTATAGAGATAAGACGATAGTGTACCAATGTGCAAATCAAGATGACTTTTTTCATACCAGACTCATCTGATTTCTTGTAAAGTAGTGTTCCTGTTACTTTATCTTTCTTTTAAATACCTCATATTTTCAAGGTAAATATACCACTCAAATAATGTATGCTTAAACTTTTTGGTAGGGTTTAAAATGGTAAGTCTTTTAGTAATGTATTCTGAATATTATGCTACATTTGAGAGTTGTTATTTGATGCAGGTTTTCAGTGCTTTCTTCTACCAGGGTCTCTTTGACCCATTTGTTTTAGGCATCATTCTGGGTCATCCTCTTGCAGATGGGCTAATGAGAGTTGAAATAATCAGAAGTTACAAAAGAACAATATAGTAGACTCAAAGTGTTCTGGACAGTGCCTAGAGTAAATAAATTTTTATTGATTAACTCTTGATTAAATTGTTTAATAATTTAGTTAGATTAGCAAGATGAAATCTATCTCTTGAGGGGAACATCATAAGTAGAAATACTGGAACAACTACGATTTCAGAACCCCTTTGATATGAAAACTAGAGTCTGTTATGGAGATATGAATCCCTACTTTCTCACTTAAACTAGTAGACAATGCTTCTAATGCATTAGGCAAAATATAGATGAATATTAGTTTTAATATCAGTATTGCAAGCTACATCTACTTAGTATGTAACTGGTGAATGTTTTGAAATCTCCATTGCCATAATAAAAATATTACTATGATTTTTTATTTAAACATAAATGAAGAATCATTAAATCTAATCTAGGACTGATATTGTATATGGTATTTTGGGTTCTCTGCTGAATATAATATTGTGTTTTTTTTGCTGTTTTATGGAATCTATATAATTTACTGCTGCAAAACTCAGTACTTATCAGAGTGAGGTATAAATTGTAATGATGGTGATTAAGTTCCCTGCATAGATACATTGAAGTTTTAGTGTCATGCTAGGATTCTTTTCATAATGTTCTTGACTACAAAGAATATATGTTAATTGAACTTCACATCCAATGCCAACTAAATGCATTAACAGAGCATTAGCTCGTTTTAAAAAGAAAGAAAATAAGAAAAGAGAAAGAGAAAAAAAACCTACAACCTTTATTTGGGGATCAAGTAAGATATTTATAATTATTTTTAAAGTTACCTCCAAAGAAATAAATAAATATTTCTACATTACATGTCATTTTTTTTCATTTCAATTCTTGGCACGTATTACCTGTATCTATCTATCCACCTATCTTTCTATTATCTATCTATCTATCTATCTATCTATCTATCTATCTATATCTATCTATATTTTTTAACCAAGACAAAAGACATCTCATTTTATAATTTCTTCATATAATATTCACAGAATACATTGTTTTGGGAAAAAAGTTTTGTTAAGAAATAATACTAATCATATGGGGTTTTTTTTGCAATTTCACAGACTGACATTTTCTTAACCTAGCTTTTCCTGTCATGACCACCACTGCTTCTTGTAGATGCCATGCAAACTTCATGCTTATACTATATCCCATTTTAAAAGAGAAGAAAATGGTGCACACAAATTACATGGTGAAAATCTTGTAATGTATTGAGAAGAACTAACGCATATCACGTGCATTTTTAAGTTAGTGTTTTCTTTAGCTAGACTATTAAATGGTAGAATAGATTGTTTTACTATTTTTAAAAATTAATCTTATTTATCCCACTATCTTACATTTTAGGGTCACTAACTCTGAGATTGCTATCTAATTGTAATCCCCCCAAACTGTTTCTTCCTAAAAGAAAACTGATTGGATTAGGTATCTCTCTTCTTCCTTATAGCTTGTGCCACAGGAGAGGCTGGAACAATCCCCTGCTCTAAGGACAGATCCTAGTGAGTTTGAGCTGATGATGGTGGTCCCTTTCTCTTGGTAGTGCTTGGTTTAGCTGTAGGCATATACTGTCAGTCCAGCAGAACAGATGACTGATGTTGTGCTACAAGGAAAAATACTCAGAAAAAAAAACCTATTTCTCTGTAACCCAGTGAAAGTTAACAATTATGCACACAAAATGAGGCCATACTATAGATATTCATTTACATCAGCTTTTTCATGTAACAATATATTGTGAATATTTGTTCTGTGGTAGTACATATGAAACGGGGCAAGTTCCCTTGTTCCCTTCGCAGGGCGTGCGGTAGTGGCTCGTTTCATCAGTGCCCGCTGCTCAAACCTCTAGGGGAGCATAGAGGCAGGCAGGTTGTGGGGCTCTGTCCCCACAGCAGTGGCTAGGGATGAATGTTTCCAGCTCCTGACGCCCCAGTGGGCTTGTGCTACAGTGTGCTCTTTCAGTTTTGGCATCTAGGCTGCTTGTGTTAACCAGCTCAATTAGACCCTCTACCTTGTGGCAAGGACAGAAGGCTTCCTGTATTCCGGGTTCTTGCCTTGGTGTACTGGAAGAATTGGATCACACCTGGGCTTGGAGAAGGAATAAGTTTTACTGAGTGGAGGTAACTCTCAGCAGATGGGGGAAGCGAGAAGGGGGATGGAGTGGGAAGGTTTTCCCCTGGAGTGGGGCCACTCCTTGGCCTGGGCTCTCCTCCCACTGCCCCAGCCAAACTCTGCGTAGTTCTCCCAGTCCATGGCCTGCCAGCTGCCGGCGTCTGCCAGTGCCTGTTGGCATGCTCTTCAACTGATGTGCTTTTCTAGACGTCCAGCGGCCTGTGTGTCTGCCTGCTGGGGTATGGGGGGGTGATATTTATAGGAACAGGGTGCGGGTGTGGCAGGCCAGGGTGGTCTTGGCAAATACAACATTTGGGCAGGAAAACAAAAAAGCCCTAGCCAGGGACCCGCCCTTCCCTTCCCAGCACTTCCCTGCCCCACTTCCGTATCACACACACAGCTACTTCCTTCTATTTTATGACTATATTATATTTAAATGTATGGCTCTATGTAACCAGTCTTCCGATGTAGGCAGTTGAGTGTTTCTAATATTTTGTTATTACAGATGGTCACAATAAAAATCTTTGTTGCACATGCACACACACATATGCAGAAATCCCAAAAAATGATTTCTCTCAATTTTTTTTCATTTCTGGAACTGACACACAGAATGGTTAAATTTGTCTAGTCTGAAAAGACACCTAAGATTCAAAAGATGTACACAACCTACTTCCTTTAGGATATTTTTGAGCATTGAGTTAATGAAGTCTAGATTTTTTTCTATGCTTAAACTTTAGTGATATAGGGTAACAAATGTCCTTATTGTTGAAAGCCACTTTAAGCTCTTTTTATTGTTCCTTGCAACAGAATGTATCCTAACCAGTATGCACTTACTAAATATTTTATTGTTTGTAACCATAATAATCAGTTACTCCAGGCTATCCTTAGAATTATTTTGCTGAAAAAAATCACTCTAGTGAGTGAAGAAGAAAAACACAAATCTGTATTCCAAATACTTCAGTAAATTCAGGTATATTTTAAAAATATATTCTTAACAAATATTTATGAAACATTTCAATTTATTGGTAATAATGTGATTAAAAATAGACACAGGTTCAATCATCTTGGCAACTCTGGTGTATATGGAGAGGCAGAAATTTAAAAAAACGATGAAAAGGAAAATAAGCATAATTGTGACAACTGCTATCAAGGAAGTGCTTCATGTGTTTGAAAGAATGTAATCAAAGTAAAGGTAGGGTGGAGTGAAAAGAAGATCTAGAAAGCCTAGACACAGAATAGGATGCATGACAGCCTTGGGGTAAGCAATAATATGGCATACTTAAGAAATTAAAAGCAAGTTTGCCAGGTTATAGTGTGGTAGCCATCTGGCCACATGAAGTAACAAAGGGAATCACATCATGGGCCTTCAAAAGCAGCAGCGTCTCACCAGAATCAGTACACTGTTTCATGCACCCAGGTGGTTTCAATCGTACCCCACAGAGAAATAAAACAATTTAATATTGTTTTTCAGCAAAACTATCCTATGAAAGCCAATAGAGTCTAAAGAATATTATAGCAAAATGGTTTGATTATACCTTACCAAAAGTCAGTGCATGCTTGTCTGCAAAGCTGCTGCTGAGCAGGAAAGAAACTAAAAGATGAATCAGGGTGGATATGGAAACTGATTAGACTGCTGTTCAAATAAATGCACTTTTTGTGTCAAATATGTTTCTTTTTTCTTTTCCATGTTCTTTAACATTGCCTAATCTACTAGAAACCAGTGATAACATATGAGAAAGCCAGTGCAATAGTTTCCATGTCTGTGTCCCCACAAATTTATATGTGGAAATGTTTAACCCCAAGCATGGTAGTATTAAGAAGTGATGTCTTTGAGAGATAATTACATCATAAGAGTGGAGCACTAATCCCATGAATGGGATCCCAGAAACTTCTCTAGTCCTCTCTCTGTCATGTGAAGATACAAGAGAACACAATAGTCTGCAACCCAAAAGAGGGCTCTCCCCAGCACCCAGCCATGATGACATCCTGATCTTAAACTTTCAGCCTCCAGAACTTCAAGAAATAAATTGATGTCATTTACAAGCCATCTAATCTATGTTATTTTTGTTATAGCAGCCCTAACAGATAAGACACCAAAGTATTTCAATATCATTTACTATATCAATTTTTTCTGTATACAACATAAATAACACTACATTTATTTTTTTTCATGCTAGATTGATTTAGTTGTTTTACTAGAGTTGAATTTTGATCAAAATATTGAATGGCTTAAAAATTAGTTTAAAAAGTCATTTCATTGAACTAAATGCTGTCTACTGTTTTGGACACTTTTTGCATTTCAACTAAAATGTGATAAAGTAACTCCATGCGTAGGCAGTTATAAATTTGTCTTGAACACATGTAAATAATATCGTTTTAAAAGTCTGTGTGTGTAGAAGGTAAAATGTGAAATTAGCTGGGAAGTAGCTTCAGTGGCAGCATTTGCAGTGAATATTTTGAGGTTTTACAGATGACTCATTTCTTCTTGATTTGCAGACGTATACTTATGATCTAGATAAAACACTAGAATGTGTGAAGTCCATTGATTGGCAACTTTAGAAAAATTATTCAGTGTTCATATTATGAAATTAAGCTTGAAGAAAACATCTGCTTATGGCCTCTCACACACCATAGCTAGGGACATCATTTGTCATACTTTGGGGCTTCAAACACAAGATAGTTGGGAGGAATTTTTTCTAAAACCTATTAACTACAATAATCAGATATGGGAATAGGAGCACGGTCATTAGCAGTAAGGGCAAATTGAATTGTGGGTATTTTTAATGCCATTAAAATTTATTTATCTATTTATGATCGTTAATTTGAGGATGCAGTGTTCCTTACAGTTAGGAACACAGGTGGGAGAGTGAAAGTGAGATTATTTGAAAGGTATCAACTACGAAATCCAACTATCTCAAGAAGCAGTGAGAATGATAAACATGCTCTACCTGCCCTGGCAGTTAGAATGATGTCCTGGAATTGCTAAACTAAGCTTTTCAGAAGTCAAATCTGAGTATTATTATAAGGAAAATAACCCAAAATACATGTTTTGTATGATTAAAAAAAAAAAAAAAAGCAGTTGTCTCCCTATTTCACTGATGCCTGAGATCTCAAGATGATATCTGGGAAATTTTCAATTTTATATAAGTCAGTTAAGAATTATAGGACCTTGATGTATCTCTTCGCAGCACAATTTTAAGGGACAGCTAAATTGGGGTTTTCTATTTTGGTTCCTACTATTTTAGCTTTGAAAGTCACGTTAAGCAATATAAAAATGTTGCTAGATGCCTTTTTTTCAGGAGGGATTGTTGATTATGGGGAAACATGAACTGATAAGAAGTAGTAATACAACTTCAAATTAACAAATTTTCAAATTAAAGTAAGAATTTCTTCTAAAATATCTAATAGATAAAAAAGATCAAATTTATTCTTGACATATGACTAGTAAATCAAACTCTGATAGAAAAGCCTAATGCATTCTTCTGTAAAATGATCATTTGGAATGAGAAAAGTAGCTTGTCTGAAGGCCTTAGTTTATTCTTAATTATGTCTGGAATGCAATTGCTTGGAAAGCTTGCAGAGTGATTTCAGAGCAATGATATTTTATATATTGTGACAGACTGAACAATCAGCAGGATGTTGAACAAAACAATGTAGTACCAAATTTGCTCCTGAACCATCGCAAAAATTATGGGAATATTCTTTTCCTTAGAAGAGTAATTCCAAGCTCAAGATTTTGTTTCCTCTTAAAAGTGAAGAGACATTTTACATCTTGCTCTCACTTTACCTGATGTAATGAGAGTACAGAAGATGCTCAGTGAAATGCATCATTGCTTAGAGAGTTTAAAATTCATAGAAATGAATGTAACAGATAGTTTTGATTCCACCATGAAACGCATTTGTGCAAACAAGTGGAGGAAAAGATGTTTTATATTTACTTATTACAGCCATTAAAGTTAAGGTTTTAATTTCTTAATTTTAGTAATTTTATCAGACAAATAGAACTGCCCCAAACCTCAGGCTCTATGAATGTGTATATGTGTGTGTACATATAAATTTAAGTTCTGTTTTAGAATGGATTCTGAAATTCTGTAAATCATATATGATTGTGCACTAAACAGTTTGAAGATCTCAGATATAAACCCATGATAACAAAGCTAATAAATATTTTCAAGAATTTAGCAGGGGAAGAGCCTTTAAAATAACATAAAATCAATGAAATAAGTCATTTCAAGTGAGAAATATCATGTTAGCTTCCTAAAAATGAGAACAATAATTTACAACATGAATGAGTTTAGTATTGCTTTTAAAATGGTGTCTGAATATTTGAGTAATTATAATTATTATGCTTAAAGAAGCATCAATATCTTAAAGATTAATATCAATGCATCATTAGCAAAAGGGCATTACAAAGGAAATTGAATGCTAATAAAATTTTTAAAAGTATGCGCAGTAAAATCCAAGTTTTCGAAAATCGTCTAAAAATAAAGGCTTACTTCTTGAATTTCCATTAAAATAATTATAGTAAGACTGTACTTCTTAAAATTTTTATTTCATTTTTATGTTTTAATCTAGGCCCCAAAGAACCATTTTCTTCAAAAATATCATTTTATTTAATTAACATATATATGAAAAAGCCCATAAGGCTAAACTTTAATAGGGTTCATATTTACTGTATTTAAGCCAGAGAAAGTAAAACAACAAGAATACTGTTTTTAAAATGCAGAATTCTCCATGCGCGTACAAGATTTTACAAAGCGAACTCTGTTAGATGAGGGGCAAAAAAGTTGTAAACTAATAGTTTTTCATTAAATTCACCTTAGTTTCCTTCTTTTATCAGCAAGTGGCCTTTGTTGTAGTGTTCTTGGCATCTTTTCTGTCATGAATAACCTGACACCATTTTCTATCCTATTTAATTATCCTCTCTGGCTTAAAGCATAATCAGCATCAAACCAGCTGTGCAACCTTGAATGAATACCATTTCAATAATGCATTGATTTTTTAAAAAGCACAAGGTGGCTATTAATTTTACTTGAAACCCTCCCTCCTGACTATAGCCTGTACACAATTTTAGAAGCTGTATCCATTTGCTGCTAAGTAGTACTATCCCTAGTGCACTCATTATACCAAAGGATTCTCTCAGTCTGACACTATGACTGGCCAGACAACTATTAGTAGCCAAGAAAGGCACTTCTTGACAAGGAGGCATCCTGATTATTATGATTGACTGGATCATTGAAAATCTTTCTAGTAGCACAAAAAATAGGCAAATTGCTAGAAAGAAAGAGAGAGAAGAAACTTCCCAAAATCCTTTCCACTAGCATAAGTAGTCCATGTATTAAGAGCACCTGCATGTGAAGAACCTACAGTCTTGATAGAGAGATGTTGATACTTCAATCAATAGCAATGTTAGATTGCTGGCAGAAAAGGCCTTAAACCCTCTAAAAAGAAGCACATTAATCATGAGCATGTAGTGTCTAGGTCTGAATCTTCGCCAGTGATGAAGCACAGGACTTACAGTAAGTGAATTACGTGGGTTTTGGCATGAATTCTAAATTTCAAATTTCACCTTGGCTGACCCATGCAGCTTTATAGAATTATTAAAGTCTAAAAATGGATTTTATGCCACCATTTTTTCACAGAGTGGATGTCATAAAGTCATGGACTATCAGTGCTGGAAAGAACCTTGGTTATTCAATACAACTCATTAATTAATCAATGAAAAACAAACACACAAACAAGGAGAGCTCAAGTGAATTACCAAATATATAAAGTCTACTTTTTAAAATACTTTTTTTCATATTATTGCCATCATTACTACTGTTATTATGAACTTTGGATGAATGTGATATCTTGTCTAGATTGGGCAATATAATATATAAACTGCCATCTATAATAAATAATCCCCAAATCTCTGTCTCTTAACACAAAATGGTTTTATTTTCTCCTTACAAAAAATGCAAACTTAGTTGTTTCTGGTTAGATGGCAACCTTCAACCTGGTCATTTACGGTCCAAGATTTGTTTCCTCCTCTGGATTCACTGTAGAGCCTTGTCCTCTGCTGGATCATCAGCAACAGGCAGCTTGTGGATGAATGCGAGTGTGAAGGATTATCCAGGAGATGTTTATGAGCCAGGACTGGAAATTGAGTATCTATTGGTCATGTAGCTATACCTAACTGCAAGGGTGGCTGGGAAATGTAGTTTCACTCTGCACCTTGGAATGTGGTGGATGCTGTGGTATGTCATTCAGATCCCGGCTTCAGTACCAAGGAGCTTATATTTTCAGCTGTTTGGAGAACTGACAAGGGATGACTTTCAGTAATTCACTGTCTGGGAATTGCTCTCTGACAGAGATCTGACGCAGCTGTGCCCCATTCTCAGAAGCATCCCACTTCTAGGACCAGTCCAGGGGGGATACAAAGGCCTGGTCCATTTGCTACAAAACAAAGACAACTCTGAAGGACCATTTTTAGCTCCAGTATTTCCTGTGGGACGGCTGAGGCATTTGATGTGAATCCATAACAACTCAACTCCTGCTTCATACTTCCTCCACTCCACCTGTAAATCTGTATATCACAGTCGATTTCTTGGGGAATTAAAGGAAAGTAGGAAGGAATTTAAGGAAAGACAGGAAAGTCAAGGGAAAAGTAGTCTCTGCACATTTTGCCTTTTGATCTGCAAATTTTTATTTTATTCTTCCTCACTCATATAGGGCACATTTGCCCTGTCTAGATACTCCATCCATATTGAAGTATAGCTTTTCTGGTGGTGTATTGGCTTCTCTAGCATGTCCAGCCATGTTCTCTTGGCCCAGTAATCAATAAAACAGAAAAGACAAGTTATCTGCCTCTAATACATTAAATACATAATGGTGGAGAAGGCTCAGAAGAACAAAAGAAAATATGAAAATTGAAAGTCTCAGCCATTACAGATACATTTTGGTGTTTAATACACTGCTAGACATATCTTATGAAGACTTGCATTTGGGGTGAAGGTTGATGAAAAAACTCCTTGATAAGACTGATTTTTACCTCTTGGAAAAATATTGTTGTTTTCCTTTCCATTCCTCTGTCTGGGTCTTGGCTCAACCATTCTTAGGGCCTTTTTTATTTGTTATCATTCGTGATCATATCTTATGTGAACAAAGAAGAGTATGTCCTGGATAGAATCTGTTAGAGTCAGGATTTTTTTTAAGACTTGAAAGTCGCAGGCATTGTCAGACACTCTTAGTTTATTTTGCCTGTATAATTTCCACACTAACTTGCTAAGCTTATGATTTCGTTGAGTCCAGTCAGTTCCATGGGCCAGTAGGCATACCCAAGACATACTTCTTACTTTTACTTCTGAGTTTCCTAGGCCTTTTACCCTCTCTTTCTCTCAACTTCATGGCAGCTATGTTGACGTGATTTAAACTAAAAGACTAACGTGGGAAGGAATAGCACTAGGAATACCACTAAGGTGAGTCGTAGATTTTTTTTAACTATTTAAATTTTTTAGCAATGTGATTTTCACTGAACCTTTTTCAAGTTTGTTTTTCACTTAGTTCTTTTAGAGATGAGTCTAAAATGATTGCCTTTTCAATTCTTAAAGCCTTTTTATCTCTGGATACTCTCCAGTTCTTTTGAAACTTTGTAACTCTTAGCTTTCTTGAATGCCTTGCTAAAGGCAGCCCATAGTGACAGACACATTTTCACTCTGTTTTTTCCCACTTTCTTTAGAGCAATAGGCTCACTATTTATATAACCTGCCTTCCACGTTATGGCAGATAGAAGTTTCATCACAGCTCAAGAGAACTCTCTAGGCTTTTTTGGTCCATTCCATGACTACTAAATAAATGCCACAAATTTTTGTGTTTTTGCTGGCACCACATCAATTACTGTTCAATATTCTGTAGTATTTAGGGTAACTGTTATGGCCAGGAGGTAAGAATTGTACCAAATATTTCTCTGAATTCAAAGTGAATTCTCTGAATTCAAATAACACAATAAGAAGTTATTTCTCACACACATAAAGTACAATATGGATTTTCCCAGTCTTTGTGCAGCCTTGGACTTTTTCATCTAGGCACTCAGACTGTTTTGCTCTGCTGTGCTGTGTTTCTCTGAGGCTTAAGATGGATTGCCTCTGGAAGGCAGTTAGGGGAAGAGAGGACATAGAGACTACTTGTAGGAGTGTGAAGGGACAAAGCCTGGAAGTAATGTGCTTCAATTTCAAGTCTTTAGCCATGACTCAGTCATAGCCACAAGTAAATGTAAGGGATGCTGGAAAATATAGTCTGCTTACTCACCAGGATGTAGAGGCACATTTCATGAGCACAGAATATCTGCTACAGATTCTTACTTCCTATGTATTGTCCGCTTAAACCTCATTATAATAAAAACTGCATAACAAATATGTGTTATCATTATTAATACATTTCCTGACCACTCAGAGTTAATAATTTTACTCCTCAGAGATAATATTCTTATATTTTAAAAATAAGATATGCAAGACATTAAGCAAGTTATGTCATTCCAAAAAATTCTTCTGGGGAAACTGTGTAATTTTATGAATTGGTTAAGGACAGGAACAAGCAATGCTTTTATATCCAAAGGAAATGACTTTTGGAAAATAATTATTAACTCCAAGAGCACATAGGCATCAAAACCAAATATCACTTTTTTTCCCTTCTCCTGAGTTGTACCCTCTAATTACATTTAATACTTCCTAAGTAAACACCATATAAATCAGAGTTTTCTTTAAAAATGAAAACAATTGCATATCCACAACGTAATGTTGGGGTATTTGCATGGCAATCACAAAGCAATTATATTGTCTTTCTTTTAATTTAGTCAACTCTAGCTCCTAAATCCTGTTCAGGCAAAGTGGTTGAGCTAAGTAACTTTTAACTACCAAAGTGTTTATATTGTATAGCAGTTGTCATTGGTACTTTTGTAATTACTCTGCTATTTATTTTTCTTAGTTTAGTAATTTGGAAAAAGAGTGTTGGAGACATCAGTTAAGCATTTATACAAATCTATCAAACTGGCTGTATTTTTAATATTCAGGTTTAATAATTATCCATATTTACTATGGAAAATTGAGTAATAAATTATAGATAAAAGAGTATAAAAGTTATTCTAAAACACGAACTTGTATGAAAGTAAAACCAAAGATTAAATTATAAAATCAGCCTTTTTATTCTTATTTTGGAAAGTTTTGTATGTCTGTGTTTCACATTACTTTTTAAAGTAAACTTTTATGAAATATCACTTACATACAAAAATGAACAATTTATAATTTTGTAGCATGAAGAATTTCCATAAATTGAACTTATTCATATAATCAAATCCTCATATCATAAATAGAACATTACCAACAACACAGAAACCCCTTTCATGCCCTATCCTAATCATCATCCTCTAAAAGTTAACTTCTATACTGATTTCTATTGCTATGGATTAGTTTTGCCTTTTTAAGGATTGTAGGAAGTTGGAACTATAAAAAAAAGTAATACAGTGGATCCTACGTTGGGCTATCTGTTCCCCCTTTCAAACTAAAGCAATTATTCCCATGGTAGCCATGAATTTTGGCTGCGGACAGCTCACAGATGTATCCCTCTCAGAGAATTGTCCTTGGAGGGAAAACACCCAAGGTTACACCTTCTCGATGGAGGCAACCTACACATAATACCAAGTGAGGTACAATGGCGAAGCCCTGTTACTTCAATTTGGGACCAATCTAAAGGAGCCTCCCTCTATAGTTGAGAATGAATTCCATCTCTCAACTCTAGAGATGAAATGCGATGGAATCATCACACACTTCCACTGTAACACATTGCAGTTGAACATCTTCCTGTACTTCATTTTAGTTTTTCTCACTCACCACAAATGTTGTTTTTCAGATCTTCTTCCTAGAAACTTCTGTCATGCATTTTCATGCCTCAGAGACTGTTCCAGGGAATACATCTAAAGCAGTTGGTAATGGGAGTGTTTCTAGGATGAAATCTCTAAAATAGGTTTTTGAAGATGGAATAGCTGCTATCAGGCTGACAATGAGAACCATTATTAAAAGTAGGTTGAATACCAATAGCTCCTGGTATGCACTAACAGTGTAAAAAATCTTCTGCACAGCAAAGGAAACAATCTACAAAGTGAAGAGACAACCACCCCCCAAATCTCCCCTAAATATTTGCAAACTATCCATCTGACAAGGGATTAATAACCAGAATATATAAGGAGCTCACACAAAAACAATACGAAAAAATCTAGTAATCAGATTTTTAATAAATGAACAAAAAGGTCTGAATAGACATTTTTTAAAGAAGGCATACAAATGGCAGACAGGTACATGAAAAGCTGCTCAATATCACTTATCATCAGAGAAATGCAAATCAAAACTGTGCGATATCATCTCACACTGGTTACAATGGCTTATACCCAAAAGATAGGCAGTAACAAATGCTGGCAAGGATGTGGAGAAAAGGGAACCCTTGCACACTGTTGGTGGGAATATCAGCTAGTACAACCACTATGGAGAAGATTTGGGAGGTTCCACAAAAAAACAGAGCTACCATATGATCCAGCAATCCCACTGCTAGGTGTATGCCCCAAAGAAAGGAAATCAGTATATTGAAGATATGTCGGCACTCCCATATTTATTGTAGCACTATTCATAATAGCCAAGATTTGGAAGCAACCTAAGTGTCCATCACTAGAGGAATGGACAGAAACGAATGAAAATGTGGTACATATACATAATAGAGTACTATTCAGCCATAAAAATAATGACATCCTGTCATTTACAATAACATGGACGGAACTGGAGGTTATTATATTAAGTGAAATAAGCCAAATCCAGAAAGATTTTGAATATTTTGAATATTTTCCCTTATTTTGGGGAGCTAAAAATTAAAATAATTGAACTCATAGAGATAGAGAGGAGAATGGTGGTTACCAGAAGCTAGGAAGGGTAGTGGGGCAAGGGAGGAGGAGAGGGTTAATTGGTACAAAATATAGTTAGAGGGAATGAGTAAGATCTAGTATGTGATAGCACATGATGACTACAGTCAACAATAATTTATTGTACATTTTAAAATAATTAAAAGCATATGATTGTTTGTAACACAAAGAAAGGATAAATGCTTTATGTGATGAATACCTCATTTAACCTGGTGTGATTATTATGCATTTTGTGCCTGTATCAAAATATCTCATGTATCCTATAAATATATACACCTACTATGTACCCACAAAAATTTAAGATAAAAAATACTTTCATCAGTGGTGAGCTAAGACGGGAGAGGACGCACTGGCTATGAAATGCTCGAGGTTCTATATATGGAGGAAGGACTAATTTAAAGTGCTATCAAATGTAACTGCTATTGCCAGGTGCTCTCAAAAGATTGGAGGGAAAAAACATCTTGAGTTTGATTAATCACACATAAAAGCTACATTTGAAGGCCAGAGTGCCTCTTTGGCAGCTTAGAGACTCTCATTTCTTGCAGTCAGATGCAAAAAGAGCTGAGGTTCAGGCATAAGGCTTAATTATAAACAATAGAAGAATTCCAGATGTGGTGAAATCTCCTATTTTAAAAAGAAGACTCCCTTTTGGGGAGGTCAGGATTAATTATAAACAATAATGAATTGTTATAAGGCTTAATTATAAACAATAGAAGAATTCCAGATGTGGTGAAATCTCCTATTTTAAAAAGAAGGACTCCCTTTTGGGAAGGTCAGGGCACAAGAAATTTGGCATGGAAATGTGGATTAATTTCCTAGAGAACTTTGAAATTCTAGGTCTCCATTAACTTTTAGGTCTTCTTTTATGTACCGTCATTTCGGCTTGCCCAGATGTGGGGCACGAGGGGAAGAAGGAGTGAGGTTTAAAAGTGGTAAAAAGTCAAACGTCAAAAACCATAATCAAGCTAGTCATTAAAGATATTGAACTTATTGATTATTGATTGCTTGTTATTTGATGTCAGTGTTAAATAAGATGAGTACCTGTGTCATCCGTGGGTGAATAGTTGATTTTGTACTCTAGAATATCTTTACGGTCTTTGTAAAACTTTATCAAAGTCTCTTGTGCCTGGTGGAACGGTATAGCTACCAAAGGTTTCTAACTGAGCTGAAGACATTTCCAAAGGTTGCTTACTGAACTTCAGTTTTTGTCACTGCAGAATAACGTTACTGCTGAAAATGTCCTGGTTTTAATTTTATTTATATTTAATTTTGGCTTCTTGCCCATCTGGTCATTATCTATTTAGAATCGGGAAAATACCTTATGGGAAAAATACCAAAATAAGGAACTCACGTTTATGTGCCTTGCTTCTCTTTGGTATATTGGTCTGTAAGTACTAGATTCTTTTATAGCCCCGAACTCCAATTGTTGCCTCCCAAGTCCCATAAGTCTTCAAAAACCTCAGCTGGCTTGTCTTTTCTTTAGCAGCAACTTTCTATGTCGATTTTCCAGAAACAGACAACTACCCTTAGGCAAAATTTCTTTACTATTTTTTTATTTCCTTTTCTCTGAGATCTTAGCCCTTTAAGTCTTTGCTCCTCCAGCAGTTAACCAAGGACTTTATTATATTTTGATGTCTATCTATATATTAATGTATATTCAAATTTAATCTGATTGTTTCAGTGTGTGTTGAAGTTCTGTAACTTGCTTCATTTTATCTAGAAAATAGTCTCTCAATGGCATTTTTGAATTTAAAATTTCACGTTTTGTTATTAAGACCTAGATATAGTCAGAAATATGAAGACAAATATTGTCTAAAAAATAAATGAGTAAAATCAAATGCAATTTATATAAGGTGCTCTAGTAAGTCTAAGCAATTGTAAATTTTGATAAATTGTTACTGTCATTTCTTTATTTTGAACAATGTATTAGATATTGTAGTCCTACCTATTTTGTAAAGAAACTTCTTTTTCATAATAAACTAAGTGAGTTTAGATAACAGCATGATGAGTCTATTGGTTGAGTTCAGCCCCAAACTTTTTCAATCCAAGTCTTTGTATTTTAGCATCATCTCCAATTAGATGTGTTTCATAATCAGGGTGTTTTTTACACTATATTTTGTCAACTTATGATTCAGGTAATGCATTTATCTAATTTAAAAAATGAATGGTTTGTCAAATTTAAAACTCACTGTTTACCATTTAGTAAAACACTATACCAGTAGAATCTTTCTTTATCTAAATTTAAGGTAAGTTTTACATTTATAATTCTAACATACTGCATAATGTGTTTTTCTACCTGTAAGAGCCAAATCATCCTCGTTTAAAAAAACCCTGATTTCATGTAAAATGGTTTTGTATGTTTCTTTAGAGCATACTTGATCTTGGTTAGTAAAATTAATCCCTACTTTATGTTTGATTATCTGCAGAAGAAAACAAAATGATTTACTGTCATTTTCTCTTCTATTTAAAATCAAAACCATAGTAGAACACTAACTGTTGGGATGTAGGGATGTTATGGGTACCTTATGCTTCTTTCCTTTTAAGATAAAAACCTGCCCGAAATTCTCCAATATGTTTTAGATCTCACAGCCTTTTTGACATATTTTATAAACCAAGGGCACACCTATATATTTATTATCTTCAGATTTTAAATTTTTATAATAGGTAAATTTTGTAAGCTTATAGCACAAAATTATAATTTTGTAAACTTATGTTAAAGTTTAGAGAACCTGAATAAGAGTAGTGAATAAATTCCAAGGATTTGGTAAAAGGAGAGGATAATTTTGTGTGTGTGTGTGTGTGTATTTTCTCTTCAATTATTTTTATTTATTTAGTTTATTTATTTTTATTTTTTTCTATTAAGATTGAAGCACATGTGATTTGTTCCTGTTGTTCTACCTAGAATATTAAGCTTTGCTTTTAGGCCTTGAAAATAAAGTGGGAATAGAGAAAATTTAAAAGCTGCAGGGTACCATTAGAAATAAACAGAGGAATGTGAAATGTTGATTAAAGATCAAAGAACAGTAGCAGAATTAATTATCTGGAAGCTGTGAAATCACTTACAAACTGCATAAAGCCAAGGCAAGGGAATTGAAAACTTATTACTAATTAATTCTTATAATATATTAATAAAACAGACAAGGCACATCTTAATAATTTAGTGGAAATTTGACTGTAGTATCCAAATTCATCTCTGAAAGGTATATGATTCAGTTGATTAAGCTCTACAAAACTGGCTTCAGGACACGTACTTCCAAGTGGAACACAGGTTGCAAATACAACTGTAAGTGCTACTGAGTTACTAGGGTTGGATGTAGAAATTATAAGGGGGCTTAACGAATATAAATGTTACAGCATTGTTATGATGAAATGTGCCAATTCCAATAATTCTGTGGGGAAAGAAAATTAATTCAAACTTAACCACTGATTACAGAGCAAATGATACAGAACAAAATGAGAGGGACTTCAAAAATGTAGAGCCATTGTAACACCATTCATTTAGAGTATCTAAACAGCTCCTTTCATCCTATTAGTTCAAATCTTAACAAGTATTCATAAATCGTGCTTTATGCTGCGTTAATTAATTTACACAAGTACAAAATTTGGCTATACAATTTCCTCATTTCTGATTTTCTGACTTTAAGAGGATTGTAAATGGTCATAACTTGTACTCATTATGTATTAACTTTTTATCTTAACGATATTCTGGACATTTTACCAAATAGTAAGCTTGACTTTTCTGGAATGACTTTTAGATTTTGTATTTCAGTGGCCTCACTTGCATTATGTATCTGGACCTCAGCAAATCTTATAACAGCAGAGATCTTTAAGACTGACTTTTATTTTATAAATATTTTTAATTCATATGCAAAAAGTGTCTTTGGAAATTCTAAGGACTCAAAAACAATTATAAAAAGTGTTATTGAAAAGTATGTATGTGTAATTAATGAATATTCTTAATGATAATGTTAATGACCGTACTCGCTATAATTTAAAAGTTGCACAAAAGTATAACATGCATCAGTAGACCATGGTCTCCTCGATTCTGCCAGAAAAATCAACAGATCAGAGAGTTTCACTTACAGAAAGCCTTATTGGTTTAATCTACTGTAAGCCACAATGAGGCCAAACCAATGTCTAGATGTCAAGTATTAAAACACTGGTTTCTTTGAGAGATACTGGGATTGCGGTATGGCAAGCTGATTCCTTTTCTTCCCTTCAGCTGTGAGAACTGTGAAGTGAATATCATAGTGTTGTCAACAAGAATATATGTTAGAGAAAAATGGAGGCATTTATTTGGGAAAATAATAAAGAAATCATTTAAACATTCTGAAATGGAAAATCAGTGTCAAAATAATATGTATACTAAGGGCATCGAAGTACCTAATAACCAGGGAATAATTTAAAATAAACTTCATCAAAATAACTATGTGTAAGCTTTTATTTATGAAATGTAATTTTACTTATGCAATGTTAATGAAATATGATTGTCGCATTTAAACTCACCATGCTTTTCTTGTGGGACATGGGGGAATGGGTAATAATACTCTTATTTTTGTTTCTGTGAGGATGAGGCATGTAAACTCTTTTATTCAACAAGCATTTGTTGAACTACTCTATGCCAGATATTGTTCTAGGTTTTGAATTACACTGGTAAAAAATAGTAAAATTTTCTGCTGTTCTGGACAATGTAATCTAGTAGGGGGACAGATAATAGACTTATAGAAATAAATGCACAAGAACACTTAGATTGTAAGTGCTAGCAAAAAATAAACAGAATAGGATAGAAATGTCAGACCATCATCAAGAAGGCATCACTATAGGGCTGTTCAAAACATAGCAGCTGGCTTCTCCCAGAGTGGATGTGTATCGTAACAATCTCAATAGTAACATGTCATCACTTCCACCATATTTTATTGGTCATATAGATAAATGCTGTTACAGTCTGGAGAGAGGCTACACAAAAGTATGAATGCCAGCAGGTAGGGATCACTAGGGGACATGCTGGCTGCCGTATGCAGTCAGGTTAAACAACTACTAGAGGTCAAGGATAATGGAAAGTGCCAAAATGATCAGAGTTTACTTTTGTAATTCAATTTTATATATATTTCTGAAATGCAGCGATATCAGAAGAAGATTAAATAAAGAGGGGGTGATCAAGATTTTATATATGCGATCAAGATTTTGAAAGAATGTATACAAACTATTTCTTTGAAAACATGATATTTCTATCAAGATAGAAAGATCTTTCTATCAAGATAGATAGAATGTTTATGTTGACTTGAAGGTAAAGAGAAAGCAAATATAAAGGAACTGTCTATGAATACCCAAAATCACATGCAAAAATCAGTGAAGGGCAAAAATTTTGAAATGTTTGTGAGAATAGAAAAAAACAAGAGAAGGAGGTTCCTGTGCTACTGTTATGGAGAAGACAGACAATTCAAAAAACACGGAGGTAACACATTTAGACATGGATGAAAGGATGCATATTAATTTCTGTCAGAATGCAGGAAGGTGCAAAGCATAGACAAAGAGACTAAGACATTTCTGTATAGGAAAACATATTTATGCAGAAATTTTTCACTACGGATTTTAGGTAGAATAATAGCTCTCAGAGTAAGAACCTCATAACCCAGGTTTCCAGATTTATTTCCAACATTTTTTTTCTCAAGACTAGCAATTATCTCAACCTCATTTTCATCCTTAAACTCTGACCATTCTAAACATTGAATGAAGCTGCCATTCATTATCAACTTTATTTCTTTAACATTGGTTGACATTGTTAGAGAAGAGTATACACACAACTATACCTTGAAGACAAAGTATCATTACAAATCTACACTTTTGACATAACTGGAATCTAAGCATAACTGGATCCTTAGCTTATCTTTATCTAAGATAAAGGTCTACGTTATGGCAGGAAACTTTTGCAAAATTTCGCAGAAAACATTTTTAAGTCTGTAGTAGCATTGCATTCCTCTTGTAAAGGCAATATTCATTCCTCATATTTTAGAGACTGAAAATAGTGGTAGAACATACACACACATTCACACACACCCCAATCCACTTTACTTCCTAAACACATCTAAAACTTCCCTCTTCCGTTCTATCAAAGAGACTGAAATACCTACCATTTTTCAAATCTCATGGGTCTTTTCTCTTTCTTTTGCCTTTTATAAGTCTTTGTCATGAATTACGCACCCCTTCTTACCTTTACTACTATCTCTTCCCTTTTGTCTTTCTCTCTCTAATCCTTTGTTCCCTCTCTTTCTCCTAATTTCTGTCTATAAGCATTCTTATATAATTTTTAAAAAGCAAGAAAATGATTTAATCTCACATTTTATTTAAAAATTCTTCTTTCCTTTACTTCATATTTATATTATCTTGAAATGATGTTTTATGCTTAGTTTCTCAACTTCTTCAATGTCATACATTTCCTAAAACATTAGTGTCTGGCCATTAGTCAAAGTATTTCACTCATTCTCTTGTTATTATGTTTGATATAGACTTACACTTGTTGGCTTACATAAAATTATTTTTGTTGGTGTATAGAAATTTCTCTCTTTGCAAATTTATCTCTCTGCAGCCTTTGATAGTGTTGTCCGTACTCTGAGCTTAATAATATGCTCTCCATTAGCTTCTGTAATGTATTTCTTCTGATAGCACCTGACTCTCTTACAACATTTCTGACAATTCTTCCCTTTGTAGGTCATGCTCCCTTACCCACACATTAAATGCTGGACTTCCTAGCCATGTTCAACTTGATTAATTTATATGCTTAGTTAAAGCCTTACTTGACAAATTTTAACAGAATACTATTAACTGATAATTTTAGTTTTTTTATAAGCTGGGAACTATCAATTACATTTGTGAAAGGTCATACAAATATTTTCATATAGAATTCCCATGCAGAATTACTTCAACTCAAGCTATTATAAGATTCATGACTTACCCTCCCAAGATATTATTCAATATATGTAAATTCTCCTGTCAATGCATTCCATTATCACTTACTCTCATCTCTATTTTTCTTTCTCACCATAGCTCAAATTCATAGACATTTCTATAGTCATTTCTTCAAATCTACTACAGAACCTGTTCTTGAATACAGATTTTCCACTCTATTCCACTGCCAGTGTTTAAATGATCACAAATTAGCTTTTACTTAGAGTGGAAGTGGCACCACTCACCATCACCCCTCATGACCCTGTGGTAAAATTTTTGCTTCCTGTTTCTGCAACATTATGTTCTGCTGGCCTAAAGGTCTTAGTTCCAGAGGGAGGAATGTTATCACCAAGAGACACAGCCAAACCATATCATTCCACCCTTGGGAGCTGCCCAAGGCTCCCATCATGGGAACCCACCTCTTGCATGAGTGTGACCTGGATGTGAGACATGAAGTCAAAGGAGATCATTGAAAGTCTAATGACTGTATTATTGGATTTTGGACTTGCCTGGGACCTGTAGCCCCTTCATTTTGGCCAATTTCTTCCATTTGGAATGTGTGCATTCATCCAATGCCAGTATCCCCATTATATCTAGGAAGTAACTAACTTGCTTTTGATTTTACAGGCTCATAGGTGGAAGGGACTTGCCTTGTCTCAGATGACTTTTAGTTAATGTTGGTATGAGTTAAGACTATGGGGAACTATTGGGAAGGGATGATTGTGTTTTGAAATGTGAGGACATGAGATTCGGGAGGGGCAAAGGGCAGAATGATATGGTTTGGCTGTGTCCCCCACCAAATCTTATCTTGAATTACAGTTCCCATAATCCCCATGTGTCATGGGGGGACCTAGTGGGATGTGATTGGATCATGGGGGCAGTTTCCTCCATGCTGTTATCATGATAATGAGTGAGTTCTCATGAGATCTGATGGTTTTATAAGTGTCTGGCATTTTCCCTGCTTGCACTCATTCTCTCCTGCCGCCCTGTGAAGAGGTGCCTTCTGCCATGATTTTAAGTTTTCTGAGGCCTCCCCAGCCACGTGAAAATGTGAGTCAATTAAACCTCTTCTTTTCTTTGTAAATTACCCAGTCCCGGGTGTTTCTTCATAGCAGCATGAGAAAGGACTGATACACTTGGATTCTTCCAAGATAATTTTCTGGTCTCTCTACCAATATTCTTAAAAATGGTTTCTAGCTTTCTTCTTCAAAATCTAGAGGTGTGTATACCAGTCTTGGACTCATATACGTATCTGTGCTATTAAAGATACATCAAATTTGTTAGGTCAGTTCAAAAAACCCTACATAATATAGTCCTTAGTGTATTTTCACACTTCAAATACCCTGTACTCTTTTGTACCATCAAAAATGTTTCTAGGACACAAAAAAGCCCTTCAATAATTAATGTTTCTGGTCTCTCTTGAAAATAAATATATGTACAAAATTTGTATTTAAGTGTTTTTTCCTCTGTTATTTTCCAAAATATATCTAAAAAAACCTAATTGAAAATGAAGATATTCTTCCTTAATGGTTTACATTGGGTACCTGTAAAATTGATGGAATCAGTTTTACAAGGGTCAAATTATAAGAGAACCTAGTACTTTGTAAAATTTATTTTAAAGGAAATGGTTCCACATGTTTAGAGCACTATACCATGTCTTTTTCCAATCCCATGTTACCTTTAGGCCATTGGTTTGAGTTAGGAATCTGTGCTGCAGAAAACAAGAATGGCTTGTCTGTGCATTATATTCTTTAGCTACATCTGCCCTACAGTTCTGTATTGTGGAAGTATAGTCCTAGATACAGTTGACTCTCCATATCCCTGGTTCTGCATCAGTGGATTCAACCAACCTCAGATTGAAAAATATTCAAAAGAAAAAATATATAGTTGTGTCTATACTGAGCAAGTACAGACTCTTTTCTTTTCATTCTGCTCTAAACGATACAGGATAACAATGATTTACATAGCATTTATATTGTATTTGGTATTATAATTAATCTAAAGATGATTTAAAGTATATGGGAAGATATGCATGGGTGAAATGCAAAACTACAAAATTTTACAAAAGGGACTTGAATATCTGTAGGTTTTAGTATCCACAGGGGGTCCTAGAACCAAACCTTTATGGATGCAGAGGGGCAACTGTATGTGTGTGTGTGTGTGTGTGTGTATATATATATATACATACTGTATGTATGTATGTATGTACTGTATGTACCGTATGTTTATATGTGTGTGTGTGTATACAGTTGTTCCCTAGTATCCATGGAGGATTGACTCCAGGACCCTCTGTGGATGCCAAAACCTACAGATATTCAAGTCCCTTTCAGAAAATTGTGTAGTTTTTCATGTCAGAGAAGTAAGAATTATATATACATATAAATAAAATATCTACAATTGTTAGAGTGAAAGAAATATATATATATATATACACATTCTTTCACTCTACCAATAGTCTTTCTTAAAAATGAGTCTTTCTTTTCTGATTGACATCAGGTTAGTCCCTAATTTTTTTAACATATTATCTTTAGGTAACTTACTGTTCTTGAGAGAATCTTTATCTATATATTATTAATGGTAAGAAGAGCACATCACAAAATTTACCCATGGATAAGTTAAGGAAAATCAATATGACAAATAAAATGGCAAAGATAATATATGCAGAATGTTTATATAATAAAAGAATGAATGAGATACCCTATTATAAAAGAGAGAATATGTTTCTTAAAAAATAGTCAATGAACAATATTTGATAGCCAAGAAAAAAGAATACAATCATATGAAATAATAAACATTGATTTCTTAGTTATTTTTTTCCCTTCTGGTGAAATAAGGAAGGTTTAAAGAAAAACATAGAAAAAGTAAATGAGAAGCAATAAGGATTATAAAGAACATATCTGAAAAGACAGTTATGAGAGAAATGTTATGTTTGAAAAATCCTCCAATTTGCAATAGATAAAATAAATAAATAAATAAATGTAACCAAAGAGATGGTAATAGTAATAGATAAAGATTTTGGGCAAAGATGTTACAATATATACATAACTGGTTCACCTGAAAATTACTAAAAACCATAAAAATGTAATACAGTAATTAGACAAAAACCCAACCTCCAGATCAAATGGCATATTTTTTCGAAGAGGAGTTGGTAGATTGCTGTAAATGTTAGCTGATATCTTTATATCGTTATTGAAGCAATTGAGTATAAATGTATCCTATGGAAATTTGGGGGAACTTTGCTTTCAGTTGTTGCTAAGATAAAGAAAGAGTTCTGTTGGTTCTTAGGCAACGATAAATCACAAAAAGTAGGAAACAATCTGGTTTTTCTCACTATATGACCACATTGAACAGATTTCTGAGGAGTAATGTCTTATGGATCTTAAGAGAAAATGAGCATGGGCTATACTGAAACATATAGACCAGAAAGCGGATAATGAATCAAACAGAATATAATTTTATGACTTTCTGTGTAAATGTCCAAAGAAAGATGTTTCAGCTAAGCAGCAAGTGTCGTTTTCTACATGATAATGCAATAATGCAGACTGATGGAATCTCTGCTTTTGTCAATCTGCGACCTCCAAGGTCAATATGAGCATTTCCAAGCTACTCTGCCAGAAGGAAAAAGAGCAGCAAATGGCTTCATGGTCCATGCCTGAAAGTCACACATGATACTCCCATGACCATTTCTGGATAGTAATCAGTCACATATCTATACTTCCCTGCAACAGAGGCTGGGAAACATTCCAGGAAGAAGTGGACAATAGAGCAGAAATTGTCAGTTTCTTCGATAGCATTTATAATAGGTAAATGAGGAAATAACTTAAGAATTAAAATATTGAAATATCAAAATCTGATCTAAATGTGTTTATCAGTTTTCGGTTATATGACTAGAAGGGAAGAGACTTAGAGGACACATGATGGGTGCTGTTCTGGAAGATGTGATACAGCACGTAAGAGGGAAAAGCTGAGTGAAGAGTTCAGTGAAAAATTTACCTATTCTGTAGTTTTGACTAAATCTGATCAAAAGATAAAAACGTTTTTCAAATACCTCTGGCCACTTTATATACACAGATTTGTGAATGGCTTCAATCATTTTGCTATGGAAAAAGGGGAGTTGTTGGACACTTTGCATATTACAAAAAATTTCTGAGATAAAGACATTAAATGCATCCAAATCTGTACTGATATTAAAATGATAAAAGTCCCTTTGTCTTTATTCTTATGATTTCCTTTTTGTTGACGGAGTTTTCAAATGCTGTGTTCAAATATCAGATGTGATTCCTCACTAAATTGTGAACTATAGTTCATAGAGAAATAATAATTTCTCTTCAGCTCTTCCTATAGTAGTATATTGTAATTTTAGGCAGTCTACCTAATGCTTAAAATCACCATTTCCTTAATTCTTTCTTTGTCATTTATTTCACATACCCATGAAAGTCAAATTATTGAATAAAATAATTTTGAGTTCTATCTATTTAAATGTAAGAAACCTTTTTTGAAAAATATTGGTTTAAAGTACAACACTGTCTTGAGATTTAACGAGAGCATGAATGCATTTTACATCTTATCATGTTTTATTACTACCTAGCATCTTATTTACAATTAAAAATAATGAGTTGTAGAGATATCTATTAAGGGATTTCATGAGAAATAACTTTATTCTCACTATGAGACTAAATGTAGGCAGCAGCACAGCATTGTTCAGGATAAAATGACTGTTTGATAGGATGATTATACCAGGAGGGATAACCTTCTCTGTGGTGTACATAACTTCTCAGTCTCAGAAATCCAGCCAAATACAAGTAGCAATATCCCTAAGAGACCTTTTCTGGCAATGGATGAGAGCTTTCTCCTTTAGGACATTCAGAGGTCAGTGCTTACGGTTTCAGCAGTAACCAAAGTCTATTTAAAGTGTCCCGTGTTAGAGAAATGATGAGGATAAAAATTTTCCTCTAATTTAATTCTAACAGATCAGAAGCATTGTCAAGAACAAGCAAAAAGAATGCAGCGAATGTGTGCGAAGATATAAAAAACTGACCACAAGTTCTCCTACCATATACTTATAGGTGAAGCCTTCACAGATGAAAATGAATATGGTAGCCTAGTACAGATCAGGGCCTCAAGCTCAAGATCTGAATTATATCCTGTGTGCAGAGAATCGGCTTCACCTTTTCCTTTTGAGAAGCAATCACACACATGACACAACTCTGAAGGACTATTTTTTCAAGTCACTTTATGTCTTCTTAATCGCAGACATTGGAGGATTGATAGATAGAGCTGGTAAGAAACAGAATAAAGATAGTAACAAATAGGCACAATAAACTATTATTAAACAGTGATAATAATAATTTCGAAAAACGTTACTAGTCACGTATGTATATAATCCCATATCATTTTAAGTTTCTTAACTTGCTTATACACCAGGGGATCTGTGATAAGCAGGATTTTTTTTTTTTCTGAAACTTATTAGCAGACATGTTTATGTGTATTTTGATGGTTGAAAAAGATCAAGAGATGGCTAGGTAAGGAGTGCAGTAAATTTGGAGCCATTTTTCAAACATTCGAGGTATATGAGTTCAGTTATTGCAGTAGTGAGTTCTGGGCTGTCCTGCAGAAAATGTGGATACTCTTTCGAGAAATGTGAAAAGCCTAATGTATTTGAGAATTCCATTTTTCTTAGTGCCACATTGGTTACATATGCATTATTTATGAAGAAAATAGGGTGATTTATTAATTTTTAAGTGAATGGTAATTGCAGGAATCTAAATGTAACTAAAATAACTTGGGGTGAAGGGGATACAATCTCCATAATCATAAAAAGGGTTTTTCAATGAAATACAGTTATCTGCTGAGTTTTATAAAAATGAAATTTCTAAATGATTATTCCTCAAATCCATGTTGCTTGTCATTGTTGTTTTTACAAATGAGGTAGTTGACATTGTCTTCATCCTGCTTCTATGCTGGGAACTGAATGGCCATTTGCCAAATAACAGCAGATTATTGCATTTTTCAACACAAATATCCTCATACATATATTCAATAGTTTATAAATCTTTACCCAGCTTACAGGTCACAGTTACAAAAACCATTTTTAGTTGTACATTCTCTCTCTCGCTCACTCACTCGCTTGTTCTAGCTCCCTCTTGTTCTAGTGCTCTCTTTTTCTGGCTTTACGCTCTATCTTCCAAATCCAAGTGATTCTATTTAAAATAATTGGGCCAGGTGAATTTTCAAGCTGTTTATTTTCTCTGCACTTTTTCCGTACAACAAGCAAAACAGACACATCTGCCTATGCAAAACAGGGTCAAATCAGAATGTTTCATTTGTTTATAAAAGACTTATTTATTCATTGAAGAATGATCCAAGTTGGTCAGAAAGATCCAGAATCTCACAAAATGACTAATTCTTCAGATAATTCTAAATAGTTTTATACTCAGAACACATCTGATGTCAGGACACTTGGAAATTTAGCCATGAAAACTCAGATTTCTCTGAATTCTGTGGATGATCATGATCCTTTAAAACAATAAACATAAGGAAATGAAAGTTTTTCCACTTATTCAATTAAGATATGTTTTTACTCCACAAAACTATATTTTCAAAAGTTGCACTTTCTACTGAGAATTTAGACTGTCAGTAAATTTCATAAATTCTTTCAAGATTTTATTTTCAAAGCTAAGTACATAACATCCTCCCAAACTTCCTGTATTTACAATTTCTGTAAGGTATTATTATAAGTTTTCTGTTTTGTTGTTCACAAGTTTAAAATTTGGAAATGCAAATACCATTCTCTTCATTTTACATGTGTTTTTTTTTTTAAGAGACTTGGTTTAAGTAGTTTGTCTCCGTTTACACTAGAAAGCACTTGTCCTGCTTCCTAGCCAGTGCTATTCACTATGCAATTAATTTCATTTTATATTTTGGAATCTTATTTATGCAGGCTCAACCACATATATTTTTTTTCTTTTGGAAAATTTATTAAAAAATAAAATAATTTAAAAGAAGTGTTAGTCATTTAAAAATATTCAAATGCCTTCTAAATATAAGGAATGTATTAGGGTTCTCTAGAGGGACAGAACTAATAGGATATATATATATATATCATATATATAATTTGTATATATATATTTGTGTATATGTATATATTTGTGTATATATATATGTGTATGTGTGTGTGTGTGTGTGTGTGTGTGTGTATATATATATATATATATATATATATATATATATATATACACACACATGGGAGTTTTTAAAGTTGTATTAACTCACACGATCACAAGGTCCCAAAATAGGCCATTTGCAAGCTGAGGAGAAGGGAAGACAGTCCAAGTCCCAAAGCTGAAGAACCTGGAGTCTGACATTCAAGGTCAGGAAGCATCCAGCAGGGGAGAAAAATGTAAGCTGGGAGGCTAAGCCAGTCTAGCCTTTTCACATTTTTCTTCCTGCTTTATGTTCCGGCCATGCTGGCAGTTGATTAGATGGTACCCACCCAGATTAAGGGTGGTTCTTCATTTCCCAGCCTACTGACTTAAATATTAATCTCCTTTGGCAACACCCTGACAGACATACCCACAATCAATACTTTGCATCCTTCAATCCAATCAAGTGGACACTCAGTATTAACCAACACAAGGGACCTTGAAGGCGTACAAGAATTAAACAGAACTATCAGTTCCTTCTGGTTAGGGTGTATTTTGGTTAGATACAAAACAGGGAGACCCTTTAGAAAAGTTCTGCCATATTCTTAGTCCACCTACCTCTAACAGAATGGCCTATTATTTCCAGTAGGTCATATGTCTTGTTAGAGGCCCTACCAGTAATAAGCAGCAGCAGAGTTACAGATGCTGGTCAGCCTCAAACTAAACTTTTTTGCTTAGATAAATTTTGTCTGCTATTTTGTTTGTTTGTTTGTTTGTTTGTTTGTTTTATGGACACTCGGTAGCACTTTTTATCATTTAAAGTCTTCCAAATTTAAAGCTCCATGAACACATTTTGTGCATTTCAGCATTACTCAAGTTCTGAGACTTTTAGTCATGTCATGCTGTCCATGAAATATCTGATAGATCTGTTCTTTCCTTGGGCATCGTATTGCTTCTACAAACATAGCTCAAAGTGTAAGGAATTTGTAATTTTCATCATAACTGACAGGACTGGCAGACACATTTTTCTCAGTTGACTTGGTGCATGCTTTTGACGTGCATAACTTATGAAAGCAGTGTTTATTTGTTTACAATTTAAATTTTCAGAGCCACAAAATAGATTACAACATAGTCTTGTTCAAAATTAAATGAAAATGATATTTGAATTATTTTAGAATGAAATACTTTGTATTTTTTTTGTAGAAAGTATTTGGAGTACAAAATTATGCAGGTTAGAATAAATGCAAAGCTGACCAACCCTATAAGTTAAATAAGTAATTTGTGCCAATGGTTAGTACACACACTGTTTTCAGTACACACTGCTAAGCTGCCTCAAAGAATAATTTTGTTTTGTAGATCCATAGTAATAAACTTCTTTATGTCTCAAGTTCCAGCTTGGTGTAAATTTAATTAGCTGAATAGTAACATCAAATTTATCATAAAAGTCGTAACTGACCATTAACTACTATGTAACGCTGGAGACATGACCCTATCATGATACTATAAGATTGCCTGTTCTAGAACATGACAAACAGTTAGGGGGAACAGGAAAAGTCAGTGTATTTGTCACTAGGAACAAGAAAGATCAAAGGAACATGACCTTGTGCTGTTTCATTGTTTTCACAATTTTAAGACGCACACTATACTCTTAATGGCAAATGCCTAGAGGTGTGGTGCCTTCATTTTAAATTACAGCTATGTATGTTTAAGAGATTGTATCGGCATTTTCAAGGAGTTGCTTCTCTGTATTATATATTTTGTTTTAAATTTAGCAAAAGGCCAAGCTCAAATTCATTCCTAATGAGCCATGTGTTAATGTCAAAGTCTCTGCTGTCCACTCAAATGCCAAAGAACACATCTGACTTTATAATGAGCCAAACAGTTGTCTCTTCATAATCTCAGTTAGCCTTCTGTTAGATAGCTGCATCCAAAATTTATAACACAGTGGTGGAGGTTGTGGCTGTGATGGCTGAAAGCCAATCAAAGATGTAAGACTTCTCATATTGTGTCAATATTATTGCCAAGTCTTTACCATTCTACCTCCACATAGAAGAAAGTGTCTCAACAAATTCCAGATGGAATGTTGCCTGATTTTCATCTGTCCTGTACACTAATGGAGGAAAGATCAAAAGCAGATGACAGGCATCAAGGCAATCCGCCAGTGGCAGGGCTATGGGAATGAGAACAAAAGTATGCAATGGCACTGCCAAACCTTTGTTTTCCCCAGAGGACACTGTTTCCAATTAACTATATAATTTCTTATACTCTTATGTTCTGAACTTTGTTTGCTTTCTGACTTGAAACTTGCTGACATTCAAAAGTTTAATGTTTATCTTCTCTATTCTCTAGGTAATATGTTACCTGGTTAACATGAAAATGAATGTCTTCACATAGTCATGAGTAATGAAGTGGATATCTAGAAGCAAGGGGATTTTAGGATATTGTGGATGAAGTGTCTTACATAGATATTAAAATTGTGAGTTGAGATTTGATAGATAATTCAGGCAAATCTTTAAAGCTGAGGGACATTTACATTTTTATTTCACTTCCTAGTGAGTCAGTCTGCACTCATACAGGTTCTCAGATAGGTTTTTCAAGGATTTACCCAAGTGTAATAGAGATATTGGAGTATTTATACTTCAAGTTGAAAAATATTTTAGTAGCGATAGAAAAACAGAAAAATACATCAGAATAAAAATAAGTAGAAAATATTAGTACTGTATTTTAATATTAAGTTATTACATTTTATGATATAGGATTTTTGACTTTATTGGATTTTTCCAATTTGTCTCTAATGAGGTTGATTTTTTTAAAATTTCAGTTGAAGTAGGTAAATATCCAAGTCCTGGTACTACACAAATCAGGTCGAAGAATGAGGTTTGCTCATTAAAAGAAGGGATGGCAATACATTAAAATGACTTCACTGAATAAATACCTTTGCTACATGCTTCAGGCTTTGTTTTAGTTTTTGTTTGTTTCTTTACCAAGCTATTTTTGAACACTTTTAAGTAATAGTCTTATCAACTAAAGTAACAGCTTAAACATTTATAGTTTATTTTAATGTATATATTGATAAAAATATATCAATTTAGATGATATCAAATATGTCAAGTACTTAAGAATTAATATAACAAAAGCTGTGAAAAACCTATACCATAAATTTGTAAAAATTGATTGACAAGCTAATTTTAAAATTGGTATGAAACTACAAAGAAATAAGATAGCAAAAATGGTTTTGAAGACGACAAAAACTAGAGGCCTTATATTGCCAGACATCAAGCTAATTACAAAAGTATAGTAATCAGTATGCTGTTGGCAAATAGGATATACTCATTGAATAGAGCAATTTGCTTCAAAGCTAAAAGTGGAAATTGGTATAGTGATGCAACTACAGAGAAAGAGCGAGAGAGAGATAGAAATGGGAGGAAGTCAGGAGAAAGAGAAAGTGGTGAAGGTGGGGAGAAGGGGGAATATGCAGCATTATGTGAAATAATGTCTTGTCCCCTCATTTCAGAGTGTATTTGTTTCCAAGTTATGACAAATAATTTGTTTTCATGATTTGTTATCTAGGCCATATCTACCTAGTCGGCCATAAATACTCTGTGGCTTTAAGTAAAGTCCATGTGTGAGTGATTCCCAAATCTGTATCTTTGGCTCTAATTTCTCCCTGGAACTTGATTCTTATATCTAATTACCTAATAGAACACATCACATTATTACCTAATATTTATCTCAAATTTGGCATGTTATAAAGAGGACTCTTTATCTCTTCTTGTGTTCTCCCAAATGTATACCTTTCTCAGGCTGTAAATAACTTTAATGCTTTATTCAACCAAAAATATGGGCATTCTCTTTAATTAGTCTGCTTTCCTAACCCTATCCTGTATGTATCTCTCTCCAGTACCATTGTAGTCATAACTATTTTTATCTCTTGCTTAAAGCAAAACAGTAACTCCTGTTTTCCTGATTCCACTATTGATTACTTCCTTATGATCTATTCTCAACACAACAGACTCACATTTAGAAAAAAATACATGTCAAGTAATGTCATACCTGTGTAAAGTAATAATAATAATAAACATAAGAATACAAAGTCTTCTTTCCCATCAAGATTCATATAATTTGTACCTTCTGAATCTCTCCATGCTCTTCCTTTTGCCTACCACACCATCCTACTCAACTCACCTGAAATTTTTTGTTTTTCTAATTCCATGAGCCTACACAGCTAGTTTCTACATTTGATCTTTTGAACAAACTATACCTTTGCCTGGAATGTCTTTTTCTGAATCTTGTTTGACTATGTCCTTACTGTTGTGACCATTACTTTCAGGTTACTTCAATTGGCCAATCTGTTTAAAGTGAAATCTCATATAACAGGCTATTTAACTTTCAATATAATACTTATCATAATCTGATATTTACCTCTTTATTCATTTACACAACACTCAATAGAACACAAGCTCCTCCTAACAGGAATCTTGCTTTTAGCTGTACAGTGGTGCCTATCAAATAAGTACTTGATATTTACTGTTAAATGTTAAAAGAATGATAGGTTGCAATGAAAAGGCATAATTTGGCAAGACCACTGATCAGATGAGGACTGGAATTTCAGTCCCGGATTAATTAGGACAAACAGTCAAACCAAAGTAAAATATTAGAATAACCCCACTGAGAAGAACTGGCAAAATAATCACAGATAGAAGAGATATAATAAGCATTTAGAACAACATCCTCCTCTCATCTGTAAAAGGAAGATTACTTTTCCTTTCTCTAATTCTAATACAGCAAAGCTAGAGGTTATGAACATCATTTCACTACCATTTGCACGCTAAAGACCTAATGATGGTGGATGTATTTTTATCTTCTAGACTTCTAAATTTGATAGAATATTGACATTGGTCTCACGGGGCTATTGAATGATTTCCTGGGTCATGTCTGAAATCTAGCTAAATGTATTATCTCTAAAGGAGTTAATACAAGGTCATCGAAATTAAGATTGTAAATGTCTAAACTGATGAAATCAGTACTGAAGAGGCCCCAATATTTCCATAGACAAAAGAGGGAACTAAAGTGTCTAAAATGTTGAATATGTGTCATCGTCTTATATAACATGAATAGAGAGCAAAATAATCAAAATTAAGAAGTTGGGAAATTGGGTTATCAGCTATTTCCCAAAATCATATGTGGAGCTGCATTTTGATATTTCGCTCAGGTCAGTTTTAACATTTCAGTGTGAAGTTCTGGTATATACATAATTGATGAACTGAAGTAGAGTTCACAATGATTTTTTGTTCATTGATATTTTCTTTGCAAAGACAGACGCCAAATGGGAAGGCTAATTTATAATGTTCCTCCCCTTTTAGAAATTTATCTTAGATGGGAAGAAAATAGTTACAAGTTTTAAAAAATATATTTTGAATAGTAGCATTGGTATAGGACCTTAGTACCTGTACAGTATTTTAACCATGATGCTGACTTGAGTCTCTTGTGTTACAATACTGACTTTTTTTTGTACTGTTGCTCAATGGCTAAATATGTGTAATGAATACCTGCTGTTCTTAAAACCTGGAATTTAGATAGGATACCTTGCTTTAATTGAATCTCCTTTGCAACTGTGGAAATGAAAAATAGTATACTTAACTAAGTAGTACTTATTTTTTTTCCATTATGATAACCATAGCCTATTCAAAGAATGTAGCTTTATTTATTCTGCTTATATTGCCATAATTTAATTTATTCTAAGAATTGCTGATAAACCAATATTAAAGCAATAAAAAAAGTGTTTCGGGATAAGCATAACTCTAACTATACTTCAAAATTATGATGCATTGTTTATAAACTAAATTTTTTTCTCTCTGGGAAAAAATGTTTGTGTTACATTATAAAAAAATGTAAATCACATTAAACATGTGCTTTAGATTCATGTTCTAATGAATAATTTGTGATAGAAGACAATTAGACAATTCAAGAAAATGCTTAGCTTCAGTTATAAGAGTGGAAGGAAAGATAAATAATTGCCAAATACTCTATATTTAAGTATTTATAACATTTTATTCAGGACTACATATGAGGATATGGTAGCACTATTAGTCATAATGAAAGGCAATATAAAATATTATATATATATATACATATATATATTTGAGATATGGCCTTGCTCTGTCACCCAGGCTGTAGTTCAGTGGCATGATCTCGGCTCCCTGCAAGCTCTGCCTCCCAGACTCAGGCTATCTTCCCCCCTCAGCCTCCTGAGTAGCTGGGACCACAGCTGACTAATTTTTTATAGTTTTTGTAGAGATGGGATTGCACCATGTTTCTCAGGCTGGCCTTGAACTGCTGGACTCAAGCAATCTGCACACCTTGGCCTCCCAAAGTGTTGGGATTAAAATAAGCCACTTTTCCCGGCCCAAAATATTCTTTGATTTTTTTTTTTTTTTGCTGTTATTTTGTGTTCCTATCCTTCTGAATTCCCCTATAAAATAATGCAATATGATTTTCCCTTCTTTATTTAAATATACAAATACTTATTTAAAATGTAAAATTAGTTATGTAAGGTAATTTATAAGCCTTTGTATAATACTTATAAAAGTATATAGATATGGATTTAATTACCATAAATATTTACCTGTTTACTTATACCTTTAAACCAATATTTATGAACATTTTCAAAATATCAATATAATTTTGTAATTATTGTCTCTTTAAAATAAGAGAATTTAGGATACCATTATTTTCAAACATGTACTAATGTACTAATTGTTTAATTGTTTATTAAGTAAGATTAACTGAGCTCTATAAATAATAATTTAGTAATTTTTTTGCACTTCATGCTATCAAAAATTTTAGTACACAGTAGTTTCAATAAACAATTTAGAGTTCCTCTTTTAAGGTGGTAAAATTGATATAACTCACATTTTAAATTAAAAAAGCATTAAAATTCAACATAACTACTTCATAGGGTGAATCAGTCACTTATGAACCATGACATGGAATATCATCGAAATACCCTTCTCTCTTAGAAACAGAAGATCAGCCCTGGCAAAGATATAATAACATTTTAGATCATATGCAGCACTTAAAGATGTAGTATTTAAAACTACGACTGTCATTTACAGTTAGCAAGATACAGATTTAATAAGTATCTCAAATCAGATCTCAATTAATGATATATAGATAAGAACTCTAGGAGATTAGAAAAATTCACTTACGTTTGGCCCCAGATTGAAAAAGTCCTTGTCATTTTCTGATAATTGCACATGAGAAGTGAAGAAAAATAACTTCCTACATAATTCTTCTTTATTTCCTAAGACAAGTCACCCCAACGTCCAGTGTATTCCCTGAACTACTGTGGCTGAAAGCTGAAACCCTGGATTAAATGTCCCTAGTTCAAATTTCTGGTCTGTCAATTAGTAGTTGTTGACTTTTGGTAACTTACTTAATTTATTTGCATCCTATTTTCTGTATTTATAAAAAGGAGATAACAATGGCATCTAATAGGTTGGTTATGAGCACTAAATAAGTTAATATTTGCAAAGCATGTAGAACAGTGCCAAGCATATACTAAGCACTCGTTAAATGCCATCATTATTATTTCATTCTGCTCCATTTCCACCTGTTTGATGTGATGGATTTTCTTGGTCTGTGTAATTGCTGTCATGTAGTTACTCTCTTGCATAGCTTTCTACTCCTAAATATCTGGCTCCATATCTAACCAAAACATCACTTGCTCTCATTAGATTACATAAATTTTGAGAAAAGGGATCATGTCTTATTTGTTTTTATTCTTTTTAAAGAAAATTTAATATTTGCATATTTGCTGGAAAGTGGGTATATAATTGAATAGATATTAATTAGGAGGGACATGGTTTTTAATAATCAGTACTGACTAACTTAATGGAGTATATGTATATTTCTAGACCGTAGCTCTCTGGGAGGTATCAGCAAGAACTAATAGTTTGTAATCAGGTATTGTTTAAAAGATAGAAAAAAATAGATAAACATTATATACATGGATTATTATATATGCATCTGTTCTCAATCTCTATTCATTCAGGGTAACTAAAATTAATGACAGCCCTGCAATAGTGAGCATACCTAATGCCCAGATCTTCTTTTTGAAATATAATTATTCTACAAAAGGAACCAGTCACTTAAGACAAATGATTGATTCCAGTTGTTGATTTCTAGAGCAGAGAAAATACTAGATGAGCCTGAAATTTTTGTAGTGTCAAAAAGTAAGGACATTTAAAAATAATAAGATGAAATATTATCAAAAGATCACAGACACCAACCTCAGCCAAAGCTAGAAAAAAAATGAAGACAAAATAATGATACTATTGCATTATAACACATAGTATTAATTATCCAAGAGTTCATACTGATATAAACAAAAAAATCACATAGGCAAATGGATAAGAAGAAAGAGCTATTTCATATGGTACAATTTTATTCAATAAATATATCATCAAAAAAGAAAATCCAAAGTAATCATTAGGCAAACATCACAATAATCATTGTTGTAAACAAGATCCACCGATGCTAAAACTATTGGGTAAAAGTTTGAGACTAAAGAAGATTTACGAAGTATAAAACTTTCCTTCCCAAAATAAACCCACAAAGAGGACAGTAGGGCATCTTACAAAGGGGAAAAGAGTAACTTCACGCTAGAGAAACCTGGCAGCAACCACTTAACCAAAAGACTAATGTCAGAATACCACCAGTGATAAAACAAATTAGCACAATAAATAACCTTGTAATATGATGAATTCAGAAGGACATAATATCATGTTTATGGTGTTCTTGCTAAACTTTCATAACCTCAGTCCAACAATGAGAAAATACCAGACAAACCCATATTGAAGGAATTATATCCTTCAAAAATTAAAACGGCTTAAAAAAATTCTCCAAAAGTTTCAAATTTTGCAAAAGAAGGAATGACAGTGAAATTGTTACAAACTGTAGACAAATGGGAAATAACAAGTAAATGCAATGTGAGGGAGCCTGGATAGAGTCCTAAAACAGTAAAAGGACATTAGTGGAACAATTTCATGAAATTTGAATAAATTCTAAAGCTCAAGCTAGTAGTAGTGCACCAATGTTCATGTCCTGTTCCTCATAATTGTATTATGATTTTATAAGGTATTAATTTGAGGAAAATCCAGGAGGATTATTCAGAAAACATCCGTACTATTTTTGCAGATTTTTGTATGTCTAAAATTTACTTTAATATAAAAAGTTGTGAAAGTTGTATTCTTCTTAAATTGAGTGACCACTAACCATATAATTGTTAGGAAGCTTTAAGTTTTATATTATATTCTAGAAATGCTAAGGATTAGTCCGCATAGACTAAGACATATGCTTCAAAACGGACCCAAAATTTTTAATGGTTTAATACAATCAAGTTTTGACGCTCATTCACACTGTTCTGCAGGCCTTGCCAATTCTCTAAGAAAGTCTCGGAGCAATACAGTACCTAAGATGACAGAGGTTTCACCATTCTGTAGGAACACTATTTAGGATGTAGGACATCTTCTGTCAATGCAGCATGAGAGTATGAAACTTGATTGTGCTGAAAACTGAAAATCAAACGCTTCACTTTTAAAGTGATCTTTATAATGTTTCATTGGTCACACAGCCACATCTTACATCAAAAAATACAGTGATATGTATTCCTTCACTTAATCAGAACATAAGAGAAACAAGACATCAGTGAATATTTATTTCAAACACAAATTGCTCATGAGATATCATTGACCATTCTTGAGTAAATAATACTTCCTATTATAGGAAAAGCATCACCTTGGAATAAGAAATATTCTCCTTCTCTAGATATAGCTATGACCTTTAGCAAGTTAGGTAAACTTTACTAACTCTGTTCACTTCTTTGTCAAATGACGATGATGTTTTCTCCCTTGCATTGCTCTTATAGATTAAATGTATTAATTGAGTTAATGTACAAAAATCTTCTGACACAGTTCCTGACATATTTAGTAAACATGTATTTAATAAATTGGGGAAGCATTGTGAGTGTAGACACACAGGTATACCAGAATTAGGATCTGGCTCACATTAAGCTCTACAATCAATAGTTCGAGATCTATGAATAGAGCCATGTGATGCTTAGACGCTGATATTCCACTGTGTGTGTGTGTGTGTGTGTGTGTGTGTGTGTGTGTGTGTGTGTGTGTTGGGGAATGGTGACAGGACTTACATATGTATGTTTTCTGAACTAAATTGATTGTACATAAGGAAAGAACTCCAGTGCCATCATGTACATTAAATTTCACATTTTTCTATAATATTGTTGAATATTAAAGATCATAAAAACCACAAAGAGGCGATGGTGGTGGTGGGGTCTTAAAAAGGATGAAGTATCCTATTTATTCCATAATTTTCTTTTCATATAGAGCTTTTTAAAATGTTTAGAAATGGCAGGCATTGTGGAACTAGGAAATCATCATAGAAACTTCATTTATAAAATCTTTAGAAAGCTTATCCAACTGAGTTAGTGTTAAACTGAGATATATTCTCATTCCCATCATATTTCTCAAGCCATAGGTCATTCAACTTGTCTAATGCTCTAATAAGATGTAAAAAATTGTCTTAATTTATATTATTCTGAGACCTTAAGATCTGTAATTTGGGTGTGGTGAGGCATTAATTTTACATCCAAGGCCTCAGTTCATTGATTTCCTGGATGTGCATTACAATTAGAAGATTCCAGGCTGCATAGAAAATTCTGTAGAAGAAAAATTTACAAAGTTCAAATGAATGATGTGCCTCATGAGAATATATGCATATAAGAAAGAAAATATGGTTATTTCATCACTACAGTTATTCATTCATTCAAAAATTCATTTTTGAGCATCTATATGAACCAGGAACTATGATGTATACCGCAGACACATCTTGAAACAACAACAAAGACACAATTTTGTCTTCTTGGAAGAGAGAAATACATAATCAAATGCATAAATAAGATTATTTCAGAGAGGGATGAGTTCTACAAAAGATATCAGAGGGGCAATACTCCAATTTTAGGAGTACAGAAACCCAACGGGCAGTGGAGGTTAGTGCAGTTTCATTTTATCTCTTGATCAACTAGAAAATCCTCATCTAATTTATTTTTATTTATCTATTATTTATTTATTTATTATTATTTTTTCTGTCTTCGTGACACTGGCTTCAATTAAGGACCATCCATATGTACTATTAACATGCAGAGATCCTGGGTCATGCTCATTTTCCACACCCTGCTTTTTCTATGGCCAATATTCAAGAAACACAGATGTTGTGATGTTTTTTTGGTTTGATTATTTACTGGATGGTTTCTGCTTAGAAGTTCTGTTTTTTCTAAGTTCTCATTACAGTAGCATTAATTGGGTTATTTAAGAATCTTGAATTTGACAATTGCATATTCTGATTTTGCTTAAAATATAGTTTTGGGATAATAATTTATGTATTTTATATTAATCTAAAATGTAAGACATATATGCAATAACATTTTTCAACAAGTTCCTAACTTTCCCACATTTCCTGTCTTCTTCAGAGCCCTCCAAACTGTTCCAACCTCTGCCTCTTATCCAGTTCTAAAGTCACTTCTACATTTTTGGGTATCTTTACAGTAGCACCTCACTCCTGGTACCAATTTAATGTATAGTCTGTTCTCATGCTGCTAATAAAGACATACCCGAGACTGGGTAATTATAAAGGAAAGAGGTTTAATTGACTCAGTTCCACATGCCTGCAGAGGCCTCTGAAAACTTACAATCATGGCAAAAGGGGAAGCAAGCACATCCTTCTTCACATGGTGGCAGGAGAAAGAAGCAGCGTGAAGTGAGTAAAGCCCCTTGTAAAACATCAGGTCTTGTGAGAACTCACTCACTATCATGAGAACAGCATGAGGGAACTTCCCCCATAATCTAATCACCTCCCACAATTTCCCTCCCATGACATGTAGGGATTGTGGGAACTATAATTCAAGATGAGATTTAGGTGGGGGTGCAGCCAATAATATCAATGAACATGATTTTTAATTACACTTCATTCTTAGTCCATTCTTGCATTTCTATACAGGAATACCTGAGACTGGGTGATTTACAAGGAAAAATGTTTATTTTAGCTCACAATTCTGTAGGCTGTATAGTAAGCATGGTGCAGTCATCTGCTTCTGGTAAGGGCCCCAGGAAGCTTAGAATCATGGTGAAAGGTGAAGAAAAACCATACAGTCCCACGGTGAGAGAGGCAGCAAGAGGGGAGGGGAGAGGTTCCATACTCTTTTAAACAATCAGATCTCACATGCACTGAGTGAGAACTCATCACCAAGGAGATGGTGCTAAGCCATGAATGGGGGATCTAATCTCATGATGCAATCACTTCCCACCAGGCTCCAACTCCAACTTTGGGAATTTAATTTCAACATGAGATTTTGAGGGGACAAATAGCCAAACCTATAGTTTTTCCACCCCTGGTCCCCCAAATCTCATATTCTTCTCATATTTCAAAATAATAATCCCTTCCCAATAGGCCTCCAAAGTCTGAACTCATTTCAGCATTAATTCAAAAGTCCCAAATCCCAAGTCCAAAATCCAAAGTCTCATCTGGAGGTGAGTTTCTTCCATCTATGAGCCCATGAGATCAAAACCAAGTTTTTATTGTCAAGATGCAATGGCAGTACAGACATTGGATAGACATTCCTGTTACAAAAGGGAGAAAGGGGTCATAGATTCCACACAAGTCTGAAACCTGTTAGGCCAGTAATAAAATCTTAAAGCTCCAAAATAATTTCCTTTGACTCCATGTCTGTATTCAAGGCACACTGGTGCAAGGAGTGAGCTCCCAAGGTTTTGGTCAGCTCTGCCCCATGGCTATACTGGGTGCCTCTCCTGGGGCTGCTCTTGTGGGTTGAAGTTTAGTGTCTGCAGATTCTCTATGTTGAAGCTGCAATCTGTCAGTGGCTCTACTGTCCCCTTGACAGTGTCCTCTACTGTCAGTGGCAACAGTCCCATTTCTACAGATTCACCAGACAGTTCATCTGGGGAGACTTTGTATGGGGGCTCCAATGCCACATTTTCCCTTGGCAATGCCTTAGTAGTGTTTCTCTGTGGGGGATTTAGCCCTGTGGCAGGTTTCTGCCTGGGCATCCAGGCTTTTCCATACATTCTCTGAAATCTAAATGAAGGCTTCCAAGCCTCCTTCATTCTTGCACTCTGTGTGCCTGCAAGCTTAACACCAAATAGAAGCCATCAAGGCTTATAGTTTGTGCCCTGTGAAGCAGCGGCTCAAGCTGTACCTGGGGCCCTTTGAGCAATAGGTAGAGCTGGAGCAGCAGGGATGCAGGGAACAGCCTTCTGGGGTGGTACAAATTATTGGCCCATGAAACCATATTTTCTTCCTAGGCTTCTTGGTCTGTGATGGGAGGGGTGGCTTGGAAGATTTCTTAAGTGGCTTCAAGGGATTTTTCCCATTGTCTCAGATATTAGCAACTTGACTCCCTTTTAGTCATATAACACTCCCTAGCAAGGGGTTGCTCCACAGCCTGCTTGGATTCTTTCTCTACCACAGGGCCAGGCTGCAAATTTCCAAACTTTCATGCTCTGCTTCCCTTTAAAATATGTTTCAACTTTAAGTAATTTCTTTGCTCCCATATCTGATCATGGGCTATTCGATGCAGCCAATCTACTTCTTGAAAGCGTTACTACTTCAAAATTTCTTCTACCAGATACACTAAGTCATCACTCTTAAGTTCAAAGACCCACAGATCCCTAGGGCATGAACACAATGCAGCCAAGTTCTTTGCTAGGTCATAACAGGGGTGAACTTCACTCCAGTTCCCAGTGAGTTTCTCATTTCCATCTGAGACCTCATCAACCTAGACTACACTATCTATATCTCTATCAGCATTTTGGTCACAATCATTTAATCAGTCTCTAAGAAGTTCCAAGTTTTTCTTCATGTTCTTGTTCTCTTCTGAGACCTCCAAACTATTCCAGCCTCTGCCTGTTACCTAGCTGCAAAGCTTCTTTCTTATTTTCAGGTATCTTTATAGAAATACTCCACTCTCAGTACCAATTTTCTGTGTTAGTTCACTCTTGTGTTGCTATAAAGAAATTCCTAAGACTACATAATTTATAAAGAGAAAAGATTAATTTTACCTTACAGTTCTGCAGACTGTACAGGAATCATGGTGCAGGCATCTGCTTTTGGTGATGGCCTCAGAAAGCTTACAATCATGGCTGAAGGCAAAGGGGAACCAGCATGCCACATGGTGAGAGAGGGAGCAAGAAGTAGGGGGAGTTCCCATACTCTTTTAAACAAACAGATCTCATGTGAATTTACTGAGCAAGAACTCACTTATCATCCAGTGCAGGGTGCTAAATCATTCATCAGGGATCCTCCCCCATGATCTAATCACCTCCTACCAAGTCCCCCTCCAACACTGGGAATCATTTCAACATGAGATTTGGAGAAGAGAAACATCCAAACCATATCAGCTCCTACTTCCTGGAATCTTCAAGAGACTTACATATCTATGTTCCTGAAATATGAGTCTATTATAGGCTTAGTGAGTACTTAGTTAAAGAAAAACAACAGGGAATTCTTGGACATATGTATTAAAAAGATAGGTTCTTTTTTAAACTTATTTCCTTCAGTTTGCAAATTTTAAATGTCCTTCCTCTTGCATTCATTCTGTATTATACTAGAATGTTCCCCAGACTATTGCATGTAAACTTATACTAAAGGAATATTTATTTAAAAGATGACTGATAAGACATAGAAAAATTATTGTAAAGGAGTCATATTTCAAACTTAATCTGTTAAAGCTAAAAGAAATAAAAAACATATATGGTTACATACTCCCCGAGCCCAACAAAACTTTGAAAATGAGAACTGAAAAACTAACAGTTAAAGAAAATTAAGATAAATCTTATGAATGTGAAGAAGTAAAAATTGTATAAAATAACTCTCAGCCAAGTGAAGATTGAAGATAAAATGTCTAGTTTTCCCATAAAAAAAGCAGTTGAAATTTTGAGTACAATTAATTAAACATGACATTTTATCATAAGCACATTTCTAAATTTTATACTCCAAAGGAAGAACAAAATATGGAGAAATCTCTAGAGTCACACAGCAATTACATTATAGTAATTATATAAAATTCTAGAGTATTCCATATTTCATATGAAGAAATATGTCAATATCATTGATAGTGTAATGAAAATCTGTGCTGTATCACGTAGAAACTCATTTAAGAGTGCTTACAATAGTATAATATAGAGTTAAAAACAAAGATATTTGGTATTTAAATATACATCTTGAAAATTTAAAATGAAACATTCTGCATATATAATATTTTCTTCATCTTTGGGTTTACTGAAATATCACCTGTCTTATAGAAATATAAGTGTAGAAAAACCTTTCTCTTCAAAACTTCTAAATTGTAGAGGTGATTTGGTTGAATATCTTCCCTTTAATCCTAATTTTGTTGAAAACTGTCTTTCACACAATAATAAAAAATATGTGCATGGTAATTATGTTTCAAGTACAAAACACTAAGATGTTTAGCTATATTTCTTTTTAGATTATTCTTGTCTCTAATGTTTTAAAATAGTAACATTGAATTTAATTTTATAATGTTGGCATAAAATTAACACATGTTCCCTTAGTAACTCAAAATACTTACACGTTTCTGAGGAAAAATCTTTCAGTTGTTGGTCTCATTCTACTTCCAACCCATTTGGGCCCCCCCGTCTTCAAATTTGCCTTTCTAATGCAGTTGATTTGGTTTATATAATTTCATACTGTTCTTTGGCTATACAAGCATCTGTAAACACTTATGCACATAAATATTTAATTGATATCATATACCTGTCTTCAAGCAATAATATGCTTAATTAGAAATAAACACCTAGCACTATGGTAATAGTTATAGTGAAAGTCTGTATTTTAATTCAAAAACTGTAATTTCCCAGTTGCAATCCCTATAAATCACCGTAAACAGTCAGTACGAATGTTTAAAATTGATTACTTTTACAAAAATGACTGCTTCTATTAGAGAACATTAAAAATAATATACTGAAATAAAAAGTATGCCAAAACATTGAGGAAGTCCAAAACTTAAAATCACAAAAGCAGAAAATAGAAAAATTAAAGTTTAGCTACCAAAGTTATCAACATTGTATTATATAATAAAATTTCATCTTGAGGAAGTTGAATTGCTGAGTAATTACATATGCAGTTCTTCTAAATTCAAAATAATTACGTAAGGAAGAATCAGCATTTCTTTAAGAAGGTACATGGCTTGTGATTTAGTTAAATTTTTATACAATAAAAGTTTATACTAGGTGAATATATACATAGAGATTTAAAAATTACTGATACAGGTATTACTTCTCTTCAGTGAATGTGTTCTTTGAAATAATACAAGTAATTAGTGATAAAAACAGGTGTTTTTCTTGGCTCTATAACTCTAAATTGACTAAAGAAATAAGATGAATATCTCTGACCTCAAAATAGACTGTATTTTTATGAATCTGATGAAGCTTCCTTATAGAAAGGGAGCATGCATGGAAATTATAAAAGCAAAACAAGTAAACAAAGGCATAACTAAGTAAATATATAACTGCAGTTAATATTAACATAAATTTATTAAACATGTACTATCATCCAAGTATTGTGGAATATAAAGAATAATGTGGGAAATGAGGAGAAGAGTTGATCCTTAATCTCAGGAAGCTTCTACAGTTGGTGTCAAGAATTGGACTGAAATGAACAAATAGTATTCAAGGCTTTAGAAGCCATAGTGATTCTGACTTTAATTGAATTTAAAGTTATTGTTAATATCACACACCATTTTGGGTGTTTTGCACATTTCTCTCTGTAAAACTTTTAGATCTCTTTTTTGAGCACTCAGTCATTTTAACGAAGAGGTCATATCCAAAGAACTTGATAAAACAGATCTCTCACTACCACAGAAATACTGCACAGTTCATATATCAACAAAAACATAGTTGACAGATTTGCTTTTATTTTCCAGTTCTCCGTATTCAGCATCTTTCCTCCCCAGGCAATTGGTACTTTCTCTTTCTAATAAACTCATTTTCAATAAATGTGAGAGATGACATATGCTACCCATTCCAGAGGCATTTCTATTTTAATGATAAGAAAATCTTAATAGTAAAGGATACTTCTGAGAAGTTTAAGTTTCAGAGCAAAAAGAGTTCTTTCAATATCTGTTGTCCAAATTTATATAAGTTTCTATATAATAACCTCTCTCAACCAAACTTTGAAGTAACTCAACGGAGTCATTTTTACCAGAGAAATTTCACTAGTGCTTGAATAAATTCCTAAAGCAGGATTTCAAGTTGTATGCAGAAAAAAAAAATGTGGAGGAAATGCTTTCTACAGATACTGATGAAGTCAGTTCATCTTGTTTTCTTGCAAGAGGCAGGTCATAAATAAAAAGGCATTCCAGTGTAACAAATGAATTCAAACTAGTTTGACAGAAACCAATCAGAGTTCAAATCTGTCAAAACAGTAGATTAAAAGCAAAAGTGGGGGGGGGCGGATGGCATGTCTTCAATACTAAGTTTTTTCACAAATTGAAGTAGTTCTCATTCTTTTCACTGTTTATATTAGATAATGATTACACTGGGGTGGAGGGTGGAGTGGGGGAGCCTTATTATTTAGAGGAATGTTATTAATACATCTCACTAACTCTATATGTATTTAAATTAAAGAAAATAAAAATTTTTTATATAACATATTTCTGGAGAAAAATTATAAATTATGCTGGAGTAACAGAGAGGCTTATCTCTGAACATGAAAGAAATAATGAAATTAAATATTTAGAGTTCTGCCTTCCAATTAAAAAAAAAACAGGAAAAGATATGTCACACTAATGACTGATTTTATTTTCAGGGTAGCTCCAATTATCTAAAGTTTATAAGTTAGGCTTGTGATTAACTTTTTAAATCTTTTTTCTTTTTTCTTCTTTTGAGAAGTAGTTTTGCTCTTGCTGCCCAGGCTGGAGTGCAGCCGCCTGATCGCGGCTCACCGTAGCCTCCGCCTCCTGGGTTCAAGTGATTCTTCTGCCTCAGCCTCTCAAGTAGCTGGGACTACAGGCATGTGCCACCACGCCCGGCTAATTTTGTATTTTTAGTAGAGACAGGGTTTCTCCATGTTGGTCAGACTGGTCTCAAACTCCCGACCTCAGCTGATCCACCCGCCTTGGCCTTCCATAGTGCTGGGATTACAGGCATGAGCCACAGTGCCGGGCCGTAATTAACATTTTTATACCAGTCAGTATCTCTGTGCTAGCATAGCTCACAGGAATAGACATGGAAAAATAAATATACAGCTTAATAGATACATAGAGTGATTCCAGCATTCACAGGGCTTTCAATACATACTGGCACTGAGGTGGACACCTCTGAAGGTGTGTAGCATGTAGGTGAGACATAGAGGTGATTAAAATAAAATTAATGCTATCAGGAAACTGAGGCAGGATAGGCAGCCAAGGATTTAACCTTGTCCTTGGGACGCGGCAACCCTGGCGACCAATAAACTTCACCATTGGTATTGTAGTTAAGCTCATGGAAGCAAAGGTATCTTCAGTAGGGAATTTCCCCTGTAGAGAACATGTGCACTTTTTGATTTTATCTGTCCTCAAACTCCGCCCTTTGCACATTATAATAGCAAAAAGCACACCCAGGGAGGAGATTTAAGATGCTAATGAGACATGCGATGTATGACCAAGCATGTACAGCTACTGTGCATGTGCACCCAGAGAACCACCCAGAACATGCTTATTAGTAACACCTCTTCCCACCCCTTATGAGTAATCATGTAAGACTTCCACTAAGGGAGTTTCCCCAGTGCCAATTTTTGCTGTCTCATCCATACAAGCAGCCTGCCCTGAATCTTCTCTTTCTCAGGGTGCACTGTCTAGTCTGCATTTAACTTTCAATATATTCTTTGTCCTTTTCAATAAATTGCGCTATGCTACATCTCCTTTGCTGCGTGTCTCTTCTTTAAATTCTTTTAAACTAAGAAGACAAGAACCGAAGTCTCACAACAGCCATCAACAAAACTTCTGGTTCAGTTTCAGCAATAGACACAAATTAATATGCAAAAAAACTGAAGTAGATATGGAGAAGGGGAGACAATAGAGTGGAATGCATTAATAGAACTGAATAGCAACAAGAATCCAGACTGAAACAATAACTATAGAATGTGCCACTATAAAATCACTTTCCAACTTGTGATTTATGACAAGAACTTTTATATAAACTTGAAATAAGGCTGTAAAAGCATTACAAGGAATGAGTAGTAGTAGTAATAATAGCAGTCCTATATGGTATTTTTAATTAGCTAGGTTTTGCTTTAGGCCCTTGTCTTATATAAACTCATTTAGTCTTATTCCAGCAGATTATCTGAAGATTAGAGGATTGAGATAGAGGGGGATTAAAAACAAACAACAAAGCAAAACAAAATTTGTGTAGCATTACAATTCTGGTATTTGTACACAAGCAATATGGCTCCAGTGTCTCTATCCACTACCATTTCAGAGTGCCTCTTAGTAAGATGACTAGAATTGCCACATTAATTTTCAAATACCTTTAATGAACATATAGAATTATTCTTAAGTGCATTATTTTATAACTATGACTAATACTAACTTTATATTAGTAGATCCATTATTGCTCTATCTTACAACCCATTCTTTTCTGTCCACTTAACTCTCAGGCCGTATAAACCTTGAATACTACCTTTTGAAGTTTCTTGCATATGGTTCCATTCTTCAATTATTAATTGAGAATCAACTACATGAACTGTGCTCTATTGTGTATCAGTGAGCGAGGCAGATGCTCTCTACCTACAATGAGTTCACAGGCTAAGATAAAAGAATCAATAAGAAAAAAATGTATTTAGAATTCATTGACAAATGCAATAATAGGAATAAGGGGTTGTCAAACCAGGAATGATTTATTTAGTAATTAGCCTGGTCTAGAATCAGGGAAACCATTTAGAAAATTACCGTGATAATAAAAAAATATATAGAGTTTTTAGTGTAGGAAAGGGAGTAAGAATTGAGTGGAAGATGGCTTTGAAACTGTTTTTAAAATTAGAATAGCATTTGACCAATTTTACATAGAAGAAGAGGAAAACGAGGTCTAGGTTAATTCACATGTTTCTGGTTTGTTTGGCTGGATAAATAATTATGTCACTCAGAGAAAGTATTAGAGGGGATCAGGTCTAAGAATCAACAGATAATTATTTTTATGTTTGATAAGATTGTGAAACTACTAAGTAGAGGTGTTGAATAAGCAATTACATACATGGAACGAGAAAGCAGAACTTTTATAATTATTAATATATAAAAACAATTGAAATCAAATGATCATATATGGTTACCTAGGGAGAATATATATAATAAAATAAAAGACCTGCCAGAGGGGAAACCTCAGATATATTTAACATTTAATTGGTCAACAGGAAGGAAGAGTTAGAGAATTAGGAGAAGGTCTGAGAAAGAGTAGAGTTGGAATGTTCCAAACACAAAGGAATGATAGATAATTTAGGTGATGTATATTTCAGTTATCCTGATTTGATCATTACATGTTATATGCTCATATCAAAATTTCACATATGCCCTATAAATATGTACAACCACTATTTTTCAATAAATACAAATTTTAGGAAAAGTAAAGAGTTATAGTAACAAATAGAAGAGATTGTTTCATTAAAAATGGTAGTCAATGTTTTTAAAAGCTATAGATAAAAAATAAAAATTACTAGTAAAATATATACGGAGTTTTTAATGAGAAGTATTAATATGCAGTGATGCTTGTTCTTGCTCAACTAATTTATATATTTAGTTCAATTCTAATCAAAACAACTTGGAACTTGAAAAATAGTCTGAAATTCATTTGGAAAAATAAATGGCTGAGTATAAATAAGATGTTTTGAAAACCATAAATAATTTAGGTGACTTCCAAGAGCATATATTAAGATATTCTCAAGGGTTACAATTTTAAAACCAGTATGATTCATATGGAACAATATACAGACTAATCAATAAAATAACAGCCCTTGCCAGACTTCAAGAACTTGAAATATTTTGCATATGATAAAATCAGTGTAAAATTAGAAAAAATGAATATTAAATGCAAAAAGCTGAATTAATTGGATAATTATTTATTTGATAAAGCACAACGTTAGATATATATTTTATGTCATATATTCATATATTAAAATAACTTCCAGATGTGTTAAGGGAAAATTGTAGAAATCAGCAAATAGATGCAATAAAATAAAAGTAAATGGGGATAATCTATAACCTTAATGTTAGGAATAGATTTTGCTAAGTATGGAATTCCAAGTAAATAACATAAAAATGTAAACAAGGTATCAAATCTCATAGAAAAAAGATATATAACATACATCCCAACAAATTACATATGTGTGCATGTATGTGTGTATGCACGTATCTATGTATTTTTGTGCATATATATTTTCGAAAACACAAAAAGGCTCCTAAACAAAAGTACATGTTACAAGGAAAAACTTAAATAATAAAGTAATAGTTATGACCAGTAAACCTTTAAAAATGTTTTTGGCCTCGTTAGAAACTATTGCCAGGCATATTAGAATAACAATAAAATACGGCCGGGCGCGGTGGCTCACGCCTGTAATCCTAGCACTTTGGGAGGCAAAGGCGGGCAGATCACGAGGTCAGGAGATCCAAACCATCCTGGCTAACACGGTGACACCCCGTCTCTACTAAAAATACAAAAAATTAGCCGGGCGTGGTGGCGGGCACCTGTAGTCCCAGCTACTTGGGAGGTTGAGGCAAGAGAATGGCGTGAACCCGGGAGGAGGAGCGTGCAGTGAGCCGAGATCCCGCCACTGCACACCAGCCTGGGCGACTGGGCGACAGAGCGAGACTCCGTCTCAAAAAAAAAAAAAAAAAAAAAAGGAATAACAATAAAATACATTTTCACCAATAAAATTGGAGGAGGTATGTAGTAATATGAAACATAGGTAAAGTCCTAGGTAAATGATTATTCTCATGCATATGTGTCAATTGTAAAAAGCAGATCACTTTTAAGAGGATAATTTATCAATTTATAAACTCTTACAATATTTATACAATTTTTTTCACAAAAATTTATCTTTAGACCCCAGTCATGGAGTTTTCCAAAGATATAGCTATAAGGACAACTGGTGAAACATTGTAATAGCAAATATTAAAAAATATAACAAAAATATGCATTAGTCAGAAAAAGAAAAATGTGACAATCACAAGCTTGAATGACACAGAAATTTGGGAGTGAAACTTTTTATATAATTTTTGTGCATATAATTTTGGCTTTTAGAACTATGCTAATAATTTATAAGCCCCCCCCCCAAATAAATACATAGAATAAACAAGATATTAGGGGAAAACCTGAAATGGGATTTAAACAGAAATAACTAGAAATAATTATTATAAAAATATATTACATAACCATTTGAATTGTACTCAACTTTGTTTACATAGTTTTATGGATTAATGAGTCCACTGCATACATGTAAACAAAGCACATAACATGTATATCATACATTATATATTTATATATTCACATACATGATAGATAGATAGGTCTGAGCTCTGGCTTTATTTTCTGTGAGGCCCTAGAAGTTAAAAACTCCTATAACAGTGAATATATCTAGGTCCCAGATCTTGATTTCTAAATAGCATTTTCAACAAGAAAACCCGGCCTCCAGGTCTCCTTAAAAAAAGCCTGGAGCTGAGAAAGTGCATAATCAACCTAGAAGGTATTCCTGTATTAGAAAGAAATGCTTGGAAAACTATGGGGGCCTACCACAAAGGACACAAGACCCAGCTAAAAGGGACTTTCACTGGCCCCTTGAAAATAAAAATCTGAGATTATTTCAGCAATAGATACAGAATCATACTAATAGAAAACTATAGGGAAAAAATAAGATTCCATTACCCCATACTAATACATACAAATGAAAAAAATAAATGGAAAGGGAAATCTCTTCCTTTAACTATAATTTCAACTAATCAATGTACAGAGCATGATGGAATTAGTAAAATCATGGTTTAGAAAGTACCTCAACAATACTCTTTTCAGACAAGATGTATCAGTAGGTACTAAATTTAGTGGGCAAAATACAGTAAAAAATAAGATAATTATATAATGTCAAAATATGTCCCCAGAAGTTGTCTATTAATTCAAAGAAAAATTGAGAAGGCTGACAGACAATATTTTAATGCAGTAAGCAATGTTTACGTCACCTGCAATGGGACAAATCAAGATTACATATGCCTCTGGATAGAATACATCTTGAGGGATGCAATGTTACTTCTATGCTATTTCTGCCCCAATTGCATAACCTTTATCAAATCATGTTGAAACATCAGACAAATCCAAAAGGAGGACATGCTACAAAATGACTGTTATATAATTGTGAAAAATGTCAAGGTGATGAGAATAGCTAAGCAACTGTTCCAAATCAGAGAATGATGAAACCTGATCGTTATATGCCAGGTGTAATTCTGTACTGGATTCTGTACCAGATCAGTATGTTTTTTTATTTTACCATGTAAAATATTAGTGAAAAAAATTGTTTGCATTTGAATATTAACAATGCATCAATGTTGATTTCCTAATTTTAGTAATAATATTGAGTTATGTAAGATAATGTCATTGCTTTTAGGAAATACACATTCAAGTATTTACAGGTAAAATGGCATATGCTTAAAACCAATTCGCAAGCATTTCAGAGAGAAACAGAATGATAAAGGCAATGTGGCAAAGGTTGACATTTGGGGATACTGGAAAATGGGCATAAAGAAAGTCTTCAGGATTTTTCTACTTTATTTTTGCAATTCCAAAATTAGTTCAAAATAATAATAGCTATTGTTTACCAGGAGAATCAGTTCTAACTTCAAAAGTAATGCCTTTATTGTCCCTTGCAATTACGAAGTTTTATGTTATTTCCTATTAAAGGAAGAAATATTTCCTATATACTAAAATCTGTAATAACTTGTTTCCCTTTTGCTGCCCTACTTGATCTTTAACACTGCTTTATCATTAAAAAAGTTAAGCTTTTTTATGTTTTTGATAAGGAAGGAAAATAATTTGCATATTTCACATATATACATTTTACATATTTTACACATATAGTACATGTACCAGTATATGCATTATATATGTATACATTATCACAATAATGGAAACTATTGTTGCATATGAATGCATACATCTTTCTTAGCTAATGGAGAAGGGAAACATTTAAAAGGACACTTAATTTAGGAACTATTTGATTAATAATAAGAGAAAATAATGGATATACAATAATTGTAGTTGATTGATTTTGAAAAAACACTAGTAAGCCAGAGAATACAGAAAAAAAAGGGATTTGTGGTTGCCATAATCAATGATCCATAGTTCTATTATTAAAGCAAAACAGATTGTTTTGTTGTTTTTTGAGACAGGGTCTCACTCTGTCACCCAGGCTGGAGTGCAGTGGTGCAATCTTGGCTCACTGCAGCCTTGACCTCCCAGGCTAAAGTGATCTGCCCACCTCAGCCTCCTGAGGAACGGAGACTACAGGTGCAGGCCACTAGGCTCTGCTAATTTTTGCATTTTTTGTAGAGAAGGGGTTTTTCCACATTTCCCAGCTGGTCTCGAACTCTGAGCTCAAGCAATACGCCCGCGTCGTCCTCCCAAAGGCACTCGCCACCGTGCTCTGCCGCAAATAGATCTTGAAGACCCACAGCTTGGTTTTCTGTGACCATTTGAGCAAGGTAGTAACTTCCTTTGAAAATCAGTACTCTTACATTATTCTTCCATTTTAATAACAGTATATTGCAAAAAGAATGCTAAAATTTGTACCCAGTGTATTAGACTACTATATAATATGTATTAAATGCAAGTTCAGAAAAACAAGAATATAAAACCTTATAGACACTAACTTCTCTGTGGGAACTGAAGGGTCTATCAAAGATACCTTTTCTTTTGCATGACTAGAGTGCTACTTTTCCAAATTAATTGAACGTTTTGAGGACTTAAGAAGAAAAAAGGAAGAAGTGTATTCATAAGTGGGAGCTAAGTAATGTGTATACAAGGACAGAGTGTGAAATAATAAACATTGGAAACTCAAGGGTCTGAGAAGGATGAGAAAGTAGTAAGGGAGTGAGTAATGAGAAATTACATCATGGTACAATGTACACTATTCACGTGATGGTTACACTAGAAGACCAGACTTCACCACTAAACAATATATCCATGTAACCAAACTGCACTTGTAACCCCTTAAATTCATACAAATGGAAAAAAAAAAAAGAAATAATTGTAGACTCTTTTTTTGAAACATATACATTTTTAAGTACCCATATTTCTCTGGAGTACCACATACCTAAATCGTTAACTCATTTATTTAAATCTTAGCTTACATACGAAAAGTGTCTTTTAAAGAAATGAACTAAAGCAATATAATTTAGTGTGTGTGTGTGTGTGTGTGTGTGCGCGCGCACATGCATGTATGCCAAATGCCCTTAATTATAGGGTAAAAATATTTTTAGCAGAGAATACCTTTTTGCAACATAATATCAACGACTCACATTTGTCTGCAATGTTGAAGAATACAATACTTTGTATAGGCCATGTCCAAATCATGGATATAGTAGATATTGATGTTGGTATATATTCTTTCACATTCAAATCATTTGTCTGAACTTTAAAGTGTTTTAATAATTGTTAAAATATAGTATGCTCCATTACATAGTCATAGGGTATCATCAAAAAATTAAAAGATATTTTATATCTTTTATAAAAATAACTTATGTAACGATTACTGCAATAAAAATTACTATAGAAGATATTATGCCTTTCCTTGCAAGAAAACAGAAAATGATCCCTAACTTCAGTTACTTCCATTGGAGTAGAATAAAGATATAATGACTTAGTATAGGCCTACAGTCTTTCCCTTTAATTCAACTGTAATGTTAAGTACTGATTTACTAAACCATTTTCTGACAAAATTCAGAGTTTGTGTTTTGTTTGTGAAGGTAATATATCAGATAAGGTGGGATAAGTAAGCATAGGGAGAAGAAATGCTATGGGGAATGTGAGAATTGCCAATGTAGATCTTTCTACTGAAAAAGATACTGTTGTCTTGAATAGACCATTTAAATTGCCATTTTTTTTGGTATCATAAAGCTCATCTCACAAATATCTTAGCCCTACTCCATATTTACTTGTGGGGTTTTCAGGTAAATCACTTGGGTGAACCGGTATAAAAATTGTTTGTGTCTCCTAAGGCTATAGTGTAGAGTGGAGATAATAACTAATACATAATACAGAAAAGGTACTAAGAAGGATAACTGGCACATGATACAGTCTGCCTCTGTTCTCAGCTAACAGACACACAGCAAATGTAAATGTGTGGATACACAAACACACACATACATGCAACAAGTTGCATTTGGGTCCTTAAACTTATAAAATAATACTTAGTGATATTTTTAGATTTCTATTAATGCATATTACTTACAAACAATATTCATACCCCTATGAGTAAGTGGGTAGAAATGATCAAATGAATGGAATAGTTATGCCTGAGATAGGGTTGTGTGCAGGAGACCTCCGCTTTTCTTTTTTTATTCCAGATGAAAAGAAAACAGTAATCACAGGATTGGCAAAAATTAAAAAAAAAAAAGTAAGAAGACATTATTTTAAATGAATTAATTGCTGGAAAAATAAGTGCAGTATCTACCTTTGATGCATTGACAAGTTGGTTGAATAAGCCCTGAGAAAACTAAATGCAAGGCAACCTGAAAAGAATAGAGCAACTCATCTCCACAAATACCTGTTAACTATTCCGAGCATCGCCAGTGCTGATTATGTCATTTGGTTTGGCACCCTTTGAATACATGGCAGTGAAATTGTTTCCTGCCAAGCTATCTTGTTAAATGAGTGTATGGACTTTGTATTCCAATTAAAAGCAAAGGGTTGGTGGCATTTGTGTATGCTGCTGATGCCTGTCCGTTTTACTTTAACTAAAATTGAACCTGTTTTTTCTCTTATCAAAAAAACCTCAACATGGTAACTCAGCCCAACACCTCTGTTTCTTTTTCTCTTCTGACCACCTGCCTGACATATATTTTTTTAACTGACTACTTTTTATTCAGTTAAAGAGGAGTGTTAGCATTGCAGCCCAGGAACACTTGGTTCTATTTAAAACAAAAGCCTACTGTTGAATTCAATGTCATGGTTAAGGTTTACAGCATTGAAGAACTGCCTTGATAAATGGCCCTGACATTAAAGCTTCCAGGACTCCACCTACAATGTCATCACAACACAGTGTGTTAAAGTATAGCCATGGCTGCCTCCCCAAAACATATTAACTTGATGCTTACTCTATCTCTGGATCCCATAGGCACAATAAATAGAAAAAATAACACATTTACAAACTGATAAAACCCAGTAAAGCTAATAAAATCAGACACTTTATAGTTCAGCTAATCGTGTCCTTTGAAGGGCATCAAATAACACATCATGTACTGCTCAGGGGGAAATCAAATTAGGTGCAGCAATGTCCCTTCAGAACTAACACATTTGAATAGACCGGAGCTATTGTAGCTAATCAACTTGTAGATGTTTTATCCTTAATACAATGTTTATATTAACTGAATTTTATGCAGTTTGGGTATGAAAAGGTAGAAAATACTTCCTTAAAGTGTTGCTCAGTTTGTTTTCTGAATCCTTTGGCTTTTATTTGTAATAAGTGTGTCACAACGATGTATACAAATCTGCAAAAGGTGTTCAAAAATCACTTAGCCTACAAGAACTTGACTGAGTTACTCAGTTTTCAGAGTGACTCTTCCCTCCATTTGTTGCTCTTCATGTCTCCAACTCCAAATGATCACCATATCATTGGTTCAGGAAGACATAACTGATAAAGCCAAGTGTCTTTTTCCAGGGTGTTTAATTCTGCCTTAAACAAAAGTCTATTCAGAGAAAGCTGCTATATTTGTTAATCTCCAAATTCTTAAACTCAGGATTAATATTCTTTTATTATGGGCCACTTCTTTTCCATTAAAACTTTTAAATTGCCAATAAAATATAAAAACACCCATTTATAGGAAAGACAGTTAAGAATACACAAGACTAAAGATATCCTTTAGGGAAGAGGACATTGGGGCATAGAAAGAGGATCTGTGAGTAAAGATCTTAGAGAAGAAATGAGACATTAATGTTCTAAAACAGGGGTCAGCAATCTATGGCCTGTGAGCCAAATCTGTCACACTTGCTTTTGTAAATAAAGTTTTATTGGACACATCTACATTTAATTGTTAACATATTATCTCTGGATGCTTTCACATAGTTGTGCTACCTATCATATGTCCTGCAAAGCCAAAAATGTTTTAGTGTGTGACCCTCTACAGAAAATAATTGCCAACCACTATTACAAGGTTCTAAAGTCCTTATTAAAGGAAAAGGAATGAAAAAAAGATAAAGAATATGATTCCCACTTATGAACACATGGACACAGAGGGGAACAACACACCCTGGGACCTTGTAGAGGGTGGAGGGTGGGAGGAGGGAGAGGAACAGGAAAAATAACTACTGGGTACTAGGCTTAATACCTGGGTGATGAAATAATCTGTACAACAACCCCCAGGACACAACTTTACCTATGTAACAAACCTGCCCTTGTACCCATGAAATTAAAATAAAAGTTAAAAGAACATAAAAGGAGGCTATATCATGTTCATTAACATGAAGACTCAATGTTCTAAAGTCATTATTCTTCCTAAGTTAATTTATAAGTTCATCAGAATCCTCATAAAGCATGTATCAAGTTTAAATAAATGATTCCTATAGAATAAAGCCTATATATTTAAGTGTAACCAAATAACATCTTTGCCACGAAAAAATCTAGGTGTCAGTGAGACCACATTGATCAAAGTGAATGATTTAACAAATAACTAAATAATAAATTGGGGTACTAGACAAATCTTCCATGTAGAAGAATACCAAATAGCATGTATATTGTCTGTCCTTAAGAAGGTGAAACATTTACTTCCCACTTCTTAAATGTGAGCTACACATAGAAACTTCTTCCAAAGATTACAAAATGGAAAGGAAGAAAAAAAAAAAAAAGAGTAACTTTATAGTGAAGAACCTAACAAACACTTCCTCATGCAGGTGATCAAGGTCAACATCAACAGTGATAAGTCAGGCTGACAATATGTACCCTTGGCATGTTGTGATAAAAGTGACATTTTATCTCTGTAGTCTTTCCCTCAAAAACACACAACCCCAGTCTAATCATGAGAAAAACATCAGACAAATCAAAACTGTGGGACATTCTACAAAATGTCTGACAAGGACTCCTGAAACCTGTCATGGTCATTAAAAAGAAGAAAAGTTTGAGAAATTCTCACAGATAGGAGGAGCTGAAAGAGACAGGACAATTAAGTGTAATGTGGTATCCTGGATGGATCCTGAAACAGAAAAGGACTAGATAAAAAATAAGAAAATATGAATACTATGGGCTTTAGTTATCAATAATGTATGACTATTAGTTCATAAATTATAACACATGTTTCATACCAACGTAAGAAGCTAATAGAGGAACTTGGATGTGGCATATTTGGGAACTTTGTATACTATCTTTGTTTTTTGTTTTGTTTTGTTTTTGTTTGTTTTTCAGTTTGTAAATCTAACCTGTGTTAAAATTTAAGAGTTTATTTTTAAAATCCTGGGAACTATAGTATAATACCATTTGATCATTGCTTTCTTCAGATCTTTTTAATGATTTTAAATGTAGTCAAAACTATATTTCACATATAAGGAAGATTACAAAAGAAAGCAAACATCGAAGAACTGTGTGATGCCTTATATGTTGAGTATTAGGACAATATGAAGTTCCTTTATAAAAATGCTTAACTAGTCTAAACACTATAAACAAAAAGTCATTGTATGTAGATAACTGCAAACCTGGAAAAGAAGAGTCTGTGGGGATCAGAAGAAATTTTAGTTCCTGCATTACTATTCCTCTGCCATGCTTCCTATATCAAGAGCTGCTGATAGGCTTTAGTGAGTTGGCCAGGGCCTCACAATTACTTCCTAACCCTCAACCACTCTTGAAGTCCTGTATCGTACTAAAGGATGAAGAGGTATGTGATTTAACCACTCCATTCATTTTGTTTCCCTTTTGTCTTTGTTCCCTCTGCTTTTGTGAAGCCTCTACGTTTTCATTTATACTATCTACAGAGTTGCCAAACAAGTATCTGTAATTTGGGGAAAGAAAACATATATTTGTATTCCATGCTATCATTTTATCTTTAGGATGTTATCAGAACATTAGAACCACCGGAAATCCATATGCCAAGATTTTAAAATCATGTATAAGAGTGCATTAGCTGCTGTACTGATTTTGAGGCATCAAAAAGAACATGGGAATAACTTGATTTGAGTTTTTACACTTTTAGGTTGCTTTTAAGTCTACAATACATATTCAGATTCATATTTCTGGAAATTTGTTCATTAAAAGTGCACACCCAATATAGATAAGGCTTGAAGTTGTGCACCCCTCATTTTTTCTAGTTATTTGATCTTTTAAAAGTTACTTTACCTGAATAATTTGAGTTTAGGTTTTGTTACATTCAAAATGGTTGTAAAGATAATAATTATATCACTAATGACATTATATCATGGTGATATAATGAAAATATACTTTCTGACGTTTAATAAATAACCAACAGTTGATATGTTTAATTAATGACAATAAGTATTATAAATATTATCTTCATGGCTTGGATAGTCAATTGTGATTCAAAAATAATTAAATGACTTCTTATTATCATAAAACTAGCAAATGGCAGTATTAAAGTTTGAGCTATTGCCTTTGGAATACCTTTATTCATTTATTTGCTTATACAAAAAAACCCTATCTATGATCTAGTATCAGCAATTCTTCTAGATCTTGAAGCTTGAATTCAAGCAGGAAGGGAGAGAAAAACAGTAAAAATGAATGATAAGATGTACAGCAAATATATAGTACTTCAGAAGGTGGTATGTGCAATAAAGGTGACAGGGACTATAGGAAGTAGGAAAGAAATATTTTGATATCAGAGGTTTTAAACAAGGCTAGCTGCTGAACAAGAATGAAGACAAACAAGGCTGATATGTATAAAGAAGGTAGAGTATGGCAAACTAATTTCTATCATTAAAGGCCTCCCATCATTCATACATATTTTTTAGTAATTAAAACATACTCAATGTAACCTCTTTCATACTACAGATAAAAAGTATTGCAATTTTAATTTCGAATGTCAGAAATAAATTTACAGTAAATGCAATGGTCATTAGAATGCATCTCTGTGATAATACATAGTTGTATTCTTTTTTCCTAGAAATAATAACTAATAGACAACCTTTTAAAAATAATTTTGTGCTCATGCTCTGAAACTTTTTTCTGCCATAACCTTGTCTAGTTGATAAATGTTAACATAAAATAAACATCTATATTATTCAAAAACAAGAATTGCATATTATGATTTCAAAAGTAGTTAATTATTAGCAGAAGGAGAGGAGAGAAATGGTAGGCAGCACTTAAATATCTTTTAAAACATAAGTTAGGTGTAAAAGGAAGCATATGAATTTAAATTTTAGAAGTTTCCTCTTGGTTTTAGCAGCTCCAAAACGCTATCAGATCTAAACTTATTGGAAAAATAAATAAATAAATAATAATTTCAATGTTGCATTTGTGATAAATCAACCATTACGGGTTTTGCTAAGTATCTTGCCTGTGCTAGCTATAAAACTACCACAAATTTATAATATCACTATATTTAATAATATAATTAGTTTAAGCTAGAATGTTTTCCAGAAAGGCAAATAATTATTTTAGCATTAATAATGGACAATTTATATATATATATATATATATATATATATATATATATATATATATATATATATAAATCTCTTTCCCTAGAAACATCATCTCAAATTTCTTACAATAGATTACAAGAAAATAAAAGCAAATGGATTTCAGAAAAATATAGATTCCTCCAGAGCCGATTCTGGAGATGATCATTTTTTTTCTCAAATAAATGAAAGTTTCACCACTCCACTATGAGATTCATTATTTTCATTGAAGTCTGTTGAGAATAAAAGAGAAAAATACTCATATAATCCACAGAATTATTAATAGTAATACCTTCTTACATATCCTTCTAAGATGAATTAGGTTTATTTTTCACATAAATACATAGTGGCTCTTACTTCTCCCCTTGTAACTAAAGTTCATTGTCATCTCATTTCTCTTAGCAATTCAGTGGACATTACTTGAGGTTAAAATCATGTCAGTTAATCAGGATCTTCAGCTCGTTACAGAGAATGGAAGTTTGCTGCTTGCCAGAACACCTGCGCTCCTCAAACAGCCCTGGTACCTAATTGTTTCCAGGTGCAGCACATGCTCATTTTGGGCTAATTCAGAATTGTGAATTTCTGCTTCCAGAGAACGCAGTTTGAAAGTTAGAGTTAACTAATTAAAGAGAATTAACCCTCAGTTAGAAGAGTTGTATGTGCCGCTAGTCCTTAAGATGGAAATTTACAGAATATTAGTTGATGTTCAATTCAGAAACAGATTTTTCTTGTTGAGCCAACAGAAGCTATTCTTACAAACCTAGGAGACACATTTACATCTGTTAGGGATTACTTTGTGTGGTTCACTCTATAAATATTAAGGACCCTTTATGTGTCAGGCACTTGAAATACAGCAGTGAGCAAAACAAAGATCCTTCATAAAGCTTATATTATAGAGGGAGACATAACTTTTCTTTCTTTTTCCCTTCATAGTTTGGTACTTCCTTAAGCAGAGAAAACATATTGGTAGGTTCTAGTATCCATAAAATAATTACACCTAACTTTATTCCAATACTAGATTTTAACTTCTAGCATCCATGAAATAATCACACTTAGACTTATTCCACCCAAATTAGTAGATACTCAGTTTGGTTCTGCTCTGAACTTTAACATACCTCCAGTTCAGGATACCACAGAATAATCAACTCTATTTTAGAACTTGGTCACTCACATTTCTAATTTCTTTTTATCAGAAATAATACTCGTACTCTATATTAATAGCCATCAAACACACACACACACACACACACAAAGACAGACAGACACACACACACACACACACACACATACACACAAACATACACATACATATTTCCCAGTTAGGATATTTGAAGGATAATGGAGTATTATCACCTACGCTAGCCCTCTCCCTTTGGACTTCACTTTCTTCTGGAACATGGTAGCCAAATTATATTTCAAAGGGTTAAGATTTATACCTTCTCCAAAGAAGAAGGTGTGGTTTCCGGTTTCTACATCAAACAACACATTTTCTACAGAACCTTTGGAGAAATATTGAGTTCAGTTTCCTCTGTTTCAGTTTTTGCCCTGCCAGATGGTATTGCTGGGATCATATCCTCTGATGTTTGGTAAAACAAAGAAAAGGAAGTATCATAGTCCTAGGAAGTCATGAAGTCCATGTGATCACCATTCATGAGCAGGATTGCTGATCAAAGATTTTGGCTTTTTTGTTCATCATTCACTTTTATTCCTTGCTAGGTTAATTTGTGCTGTCTAGCTTGTTTATACCTATAAAAGGGTCAGAAATCTAAAAGTAAATTTGTCCCTGACAAAGCCAGAAACATATATCCTGGGATGATAGTACAGGCAAATTAAATCTTTTTGTAAGGCTAAAAATAACTTGATCACAAATTACATTAGTTTGAATTCATGATTATCTGAAAAACTCTCTTAAATATTCCCAAACAATAATAATCATTATACTTTATTAGTATTATTATTTTAAGTGAACTTTGCAATCTAACTAAGTTTAAGAGTTACTTTCTAAAGGATATGGAGCTCTTTTTGTCATGATTAGTTTCTGGGGGTTTTAAAATGTATTTTTCTTTCCATTGTATCTTTTTTTGTTTTTAGTATTCACTGCATTTTCAATTCTGAAATAAGATCATGTTTAACTTATTAGACTAATGATTTATTAGAGTCCATTTTCACACTCTTATAAAGAAATACCTAAGACTGGGTAATTTATAAAGGAAAGAGGTTTAATTGACTGACAGTTCAGTATGGCTGGGGAGGCCTAAGGAAACTTATAATCATGGTGGAAAGGCAAAGGGGAAGGAAACTTGGACCTTCTCACATGGTGGCAAGAGAGAGAGGAAAGTGAGCAAGAGACAATTGCCAAACACTTATAAAACCATCAGATCTCATGAGAACTCACTCTCTATCACGAGAACAGCATCGGGGGAACCACCCCCATGATCCAATCACCTCCCACCAGGTCTCTCCCTCTACACCTGGATATTACAATTCAATATGAGATTTGTGTGGGGACACAAAACCGAAGCATAATACTTGTCCAAGTCATGTATAGCTCTTCCTCTGACTCTTTTTATAGTATGTCATTTCTATTCATCAGTGCACTCTAAATTGTGTTTCACAGAATACCAGTGGTTTGTGCAATATTCACTGCTAATATTCTAATAAGAAAATAATGCTTTTCCAGAAATTATGCCCATTTTGTGATAGATATGTGTGTGTGTGTGTGTGTGTGTGTGTATACTTTTTTTTTTTTTTCTGAGATGGAGTCTCACTTTGTCACTCAGGTTGGAGAGCAGTGGTGCAATCTCTTCTCGGTGCAAACTGAGCCTCCTGGGTTCAAGTGATTGTCCTGTCTTAGCCTCCCAAGTAGCTGGAATTATAGGCATGCGCCATCACAGCTGGCTAATTTTTCTATTTTTAGTAGAGACGGGTTTCACCATGTTGGCCAGGCTGGTCTCGAACTCCTGACCTCAAGTGACCCTCCTGCCTCCCCTTCCCAAAGTGCTGGGATTACAGGTGTGAGCCGCCATGCCTGGCCTAATAAATACATTTATTACCCAACTAACTAGGTCATTGAAAAGACAATGAGTAACACAAACACTGTTGATTGTCTATTCAATATCTGTCCTTTCTTCTATGCTACCGATTCACTGAGTTTTTCCCAAATGTCTACTATCTTCTGTTTGTCAACACATTTCAGAATAAGCTTATCCCAAATTGTTCTAATGCAATTATGGTGGTCCCAGTTCCACTGCTTAATCATCATGATAAGAGCAAATTCTGGCAATGATTGATAGTGAGCAGTGTCATTAAGACACAGGAAAAGATAATCTTTTTCTGCCTTTAAACTTTGACATATCTGAGTATTGTTTTTAAAGTTGTGGCTATTCTCAGGTTTATAAATTTGATACATGAATGTAGGTTACTCTTTCAAGTATTGCTAGTTCCAAAGGAGAACACAAAAGTTATGTGAAAGCTTTCAAGAATAAGGGAAGAAGATGGAAGAAAAATTGGATATACGGATGAAAAAGATTCAGTAGAAAATAAAATTAATGGTACAGAAAAAGGTAGGAGAGGATTGCTGGAATTATATGCTTGAATAGGCAGGAAGGTCTAAGAACTAGGGAATAAGTATAGAGAAGGCTTTAGATGGGAGTTCAGATAATCCACCTATGGCATCAGGCAGTAAGAAAAAGTGTGTGGATACAGAAGAAGGTAGACGAAAACATACAGTGGAGGAGTCTGGAAAGCTTTCTTTTAATCATTTCAGTTACTTAAGGGTTCTTTTATTTCTGTAATTTGTTCAAGGTCCCATCACCAATAAAGAGAATAAACAAATTTAAACTTGAGTTTATTCATATGCCTTTCCTGTAAGCATCAAGCATCTGAGAATTAGGCAGATGTTGCAGACAATGTTGCTGAGGCAAGATCAAAAATATCACCTTTCTTAACAGAATCTCATTTATTTTGTAGTGGAAATGTGAACAAATCCAGACATTGAAACATAAGACAATTAGAGCAATTCTTGTTCTCATTTTCTCAGCATCACTCCAAGATATAGATAGTCCAATTCTGAACAACAAAGAATAAGTTTGTTACAACTGTTTCTGAAAAAGTATTTCCTTTCTCAATTAAAAGAAACACTATGTGTCTAGCACTGTCCCATCTTATTTTCTCTCCTTATATCTGCTTTGAGCCATCATGGTTGCTCGCCTGGGCAACAGAAACAATCTTGCCATCATTACAAACAAACAGACAAAGAAACAAACAAAAGCTTGTTCTTCAAGGTTGGTCTGAAAAGATGGAGTTCAGATCATTAGTGACTTCATAGGATAGTTAAACTGTGTCAAAATTGATCAACTTACTGTTATTTAGGTATTTGCTTGCCTGTTATGGTTCTAAATATGACTTGAATTCCATAATTCCTTAACATTCTGGAAAAAATTAAAACAACACTGCTCTAGTTTGAATATCCCCTTCAAAACTCAGGTTGAAATTTCATCTTCAGTGTGACAGTATTGAGAGGTGGGGCCTTTAAGAAGTGATTAGATCATGAGGACTCTGCCCCATAAATGGATTAATGGGAAGTTATCATGGAAGGGGAACTGGTGACTTTATAAGAAGAGGGAGAAAGACTTGAGGAAGCACATAAGCATGCTCAGGCCCCTCACCATGTGATACCCTGCACTGCCTCAGGACTCTGTGGAGAATCCCCACCAGCAAGAAGGTTTTCACTAGACCTTGGGGTTCTCAGCCTTCAGAACTTTAAGAAATATATCTATATATATCTATATCTCTCTCTATATATGAATGTATATATGTTTCAATATATATAAAATACATAAAAATATATATTTTCTATATATAATTCAATAACATATAAATTAAATATATATTTAAATTATCATTTCAGATATTCTGTTATAAGCATCAGAAAATGGACTAATACAAACCCACAACTGTCAGTTGTGACTGAATTTTCAAAATGCGGATATTAATTATGAAACTATTCATCTCATGATTCTGCTGTGTTCTAAGAAATGCAAAATTAGTTGTAAATTTTTAATCAAGACAGAAAATAAATCCTACCACTAAATGTTTAAGTAATGCTTGGCCCCTGGTCATTTAGAAATGTTATTCCCTTTGACGTACTGCTGAGGCAGTATATTTTAAATATCTTAAAATTTCTTTTATATTTGCTTGAATTAGGAGATATTAGACATCAAATTAAAATTAAAAGTTTGAATATCAAGATGGTGTCAAAATGAAACCCATTTTATTATATGAAAAATTTCCCTTAATACTACTATGCAGAATTACATAAGTCAATTAGCATGTCAGAAAACATTTCCAAAGTTGTTTTAAATGTTTTGACTTGTCATTTATGTTATTTTATTTATTTTAATTCCAGTTTATTGAAGTATTATTGACCAATAAAAAGTGTTGATATTTGGTGTATAATTGACAAATAAAAAATACATATGCAGTGTACAACGTGATGCTTTGATATACACATCTCTTGTAAAATGATTATTGAAATAAAGCTAATTAATATATTTATCACCACACATAGCTACCATTTTTTGCTTGTTTGTTTTTGTAATGAGAACATTTAGGATCTATTCTCTTAGCAAATTTTAAGTACACCATACACTATTATTAATTTTATTTCAACATACTGTATATTAGAGTTCCAGAATTTATTCATCATGAATAACTGAAACTTTTTAACCTTTGACCAAAATCTCCCAATTCCCCCACTCCCAGCCCCAGACAACCATCATTCTATTCTCTGCTTCTATGATGTCAGCCTTTACCTTACCACATATAACTGATATCATGCAGTATTTTTTTGGGGGGGTGCTGGCTTATTTCAGGTAGCATAATATCTACCAAGTTCACCCATGCTGTCACAAATGACAGGGTCCTCTTCCTCTTCCTCTTCCTCTTCTTCTTCTCTTTCTCCTTCTTTTTTTTTTTTTTTTTTTTTTTTTTTGAGATGGAGTTTCACTCTTGTTGCCCAGGCTGGAGTTCAGTGGCTTGATCTCAGCTCACTGCAACCTCCGCCTCCCAGGTTCAGCTGATTCTCCTGCCTCAGGCCTCCCGAGTAGCTGGGATTATAGGCACGCACCACCACACCAGGCTAATTTTTTGTATTTTTAGTAGAGATGGGGTTTCACCATGTTGGTCAGGTTGGTCTCGAACTCCTGACCTCAGGTGATCCACCCACCTCGGCCTCCCAAAATGCTGGGATTACAGGCATAAGCCACCACGCCCAGCCAATTTTCTTCATCTTTAAGGCTAATTAATATTCCATTGCATGTTCATTATTCATTCATCTGTCAGTGAACACTTAGATTGATACTATATCTTGAACATTGTGAATAATGCTGCAATAAACATAGGAATACAGGTATCTTTCAAGAAATTGATTTCAGTTTCTTTGGATATATACCTAAATATGGGTTTGCTTGATTATATGAAAGTACTATTTTTCATCTTTTGAGGAGCCTCCATAATGTTTTCCAGAATATTTGAACTAATTTAAATTTCCAACAGCAGTGTACAAGCACTCATTATCTTTTGTCTTTTTGGTAATAGTCATTCTAACAGGTGTAAGGTAATAGCATAATGGCTTTGATTTGCATTTCTCTGATTATTAGTGATGTTGAGAACCTTTTCATATATATGTTGGCCATTTTTATGTTTTCTTGTGAGAAATGTTCATTGAGGTCATTTGCCCATTTCATAACTGTGCTGTGCTATTAGTTTTCTCGTTACTGGGTTTTTTAAGTTCTCTCTCTATATTAACCCCCTGGAAGAAGTATGGTTTCCAAATATTTTGTCACATTCCTATGTTGTCTCTTTACTCATTTGATTTTTTGTTTGTTTTTGGCTGTGCAGTTCTTGTTGTTTTTTTTTATCTTGGTGCAAAAGAAATTGTGTTTTTTGCTATTACTTTCAATGGTAAAAACTGCCCTTACTTTTGCACCAACTGAATAGTTTGTCACAATGCAATTTGTCTGTTTTTTTATTTGTTGCCAGTCTTTCAGGGTCATACCAAAAAAATAATTGCCCAGACTAACATAATGCATTCTCCCCCTATGTTTTCTGCTAGGTATTTTAATGTTTCATGTACTATGTTTAAGTATTTAATCAATTTGAAGCTTCTTTGTGCATGTGGTGTGAGAAAAGGGACAATTTTCTTCTTCTCTATGTGGATATTCAGTTTCTCCAACACCTTTTACTGAAGAGACTATCCTTTCTTCATTGTCTGTTCTTGGAAGGGAAGCTTTGGCAAATATCAATTTATCATAAATAGGTTAATTTATTTATGGGCTCTATATTTTGTTCCCTTGATCTATATGTCTGTGTTTATGCCAGTCCCATGCTGTTTGATCACTATAGTTTGTACTGTATTTTGAAATAAGTAAGGTAGAGTTTAGTGAAATAATCTGTCTACCTCCTGTTTTATTCTGCTTGCTCAAGCTTGTTTTGGTTTTTTGGATGTTTTGTGCTTCCATATACATTTTAGGATTTTTTAATGACACTGGAGCTGGGCGAGGTGGCTCATGCATGTAATCACAACACTTTTGGAGGCCAAGGTGAAAGTATCACTTGAAACCAGGGGTTCGAGATCAGCCTGGGAAACAAAGCAAGACTCCATCTCTAAAACAAATTTTAAGAAATAATATTAGCTAGCCATAGTGGCACATGCCTGTAGTCCTAACTACCCAGGAGGCTGAGGGACAGAATTGCTTGAGTCCAGGACTTTGAGGTTGCAGTGAGCTATGATTGCGCCATAGCACTCCAGCCTGGGCAATAGAGTGAGACCCTGTTTCTAAAAGTGAAAACATAAAATAAATAGAAATGCCATGGGAATTTTGATAGGAATTGTATTGAATCTGTAGATTGCTTTGGATAGTACAGACATTTTGTCAATCTTAATTCTTTCAGCAATGCACGGGTATGTAGTAGCTCCAAGTCCAAGGGGACACAGTGGCTGTGAGTTCATGTGCAGTGTTGATGGCTGGGGTCAGCAACAGGCTCTGTGGCTAATTACAGGTGGAAGCATGATGTAAACATGCAGTCACAGGACTCAGAGCCATGGATACATGTAAACACATACTGCTAGAGCCAACTGCAAACATGAGATTGGCAGTGGGGACCAGAAACGAGGGTCAGGGCTGGCTGCATGTGTTCACATAGATGTGGGGGTTGGACTTTGGCATGCACACATGCAGTTGCAGAAGCTAGTTGCATGAGTGTTCACATAATCATAGGGAAGGGCAGCAGCAGTCAGGCTTAGCTGCGCACATACATACAGTTGTGAGGTAAGCCACAAGCCTACTCATGGAAGTGGGAGCCAGTGTCAGTGGTGGGGGGTTAGATCATTTGTGGGCAATTGTATGGTGCTGCAATTGATGCTAGGACCAAGGAGGTCATGACAGTGTCAGCTGGAAAGGCTACAGTGTGGTTGACAGTTGTAGCAGTGGCTCAGGCAGCTGGATTCTGTGAGGTCTTCAGTAGTGAAAGCTGCAGCAGCTCCTCAGTTACTGTAAGAGCTGTTGAAGTTCTCAGCAAAGGCTTCTGAGTTTCCTCACAGAGCAGGCCACTAGGGACCACAATGGTTCTCATCACATGGATGATACTGATGGCTCCCTTTTTCTTTGCTCCCAGCTATATCGAGATGTGTCAGCTATGCTGTCTCTGTGATCTGGTTAGGTTGAAACAGAAATTGATCCTTCATGTAATGCCCCCAAAGTCTAGGAAACTTGGTAGTTCACCTTAATCTTCTTTTTCTGTCCATAGGAACTTACATGCTGGGGAGTTTCCTCTTGGTGCTGAGCAACTGGCCAATCTCATTGGCTGTCAGTGAGATTAAGCAGGCAAAAGAAAACTGTTCTCACATTTTGTGTGTGTGTGTGTGTGTGTGGTTATCCCTGGGTTTTTTGTTACACTCTGTTGCTGAACATTCTTAACTAGATTTTTGTGCTCTCCCATCATTATTTTCATTCATAGATATCTGTGTGTTATTTTTCCTGGGTGGGTGAAGCCTGGGATCTCCTTCTCCACCACCTTGCTGACATCTCTCACTGAGCATTCCACTTGATCAAGTATGATACTGAACATTGCTATAGGATTTTTCAAGGCAGTCATTGTGTTCTTCTTCAGATCCAGAGTTTCTGTTTGGTTCCTAATAGTTTCCATCTCTTCGTTGAACTAGTCATTTTTTAATGTGTTGCTTTCCCGTTGTTGTTACGTTGTTTGTGTTCACTTGTAGCTCATTGTGCTTCATTAAAACAATTACTTTGAATTTGTTAGGCACTTCGTAAATCCCCATTTCTTTGGAGTCAGTTGCCGGTGCTTTATTTTGTTCATTTGGTGGTGTTATGCTTCTCTGTCTTTTGTTTTTGTGTGTGTGTGTGTGTGTGTGTTTGTTTTATCTTTTGGCCTTGCATTAGTATCCACTCATTTTAAGATGTATACACAATACACACCTCTTTCTGTCTTTACAAACTGGATTTGACAAAGAGGTCCTTCATGATTCAGCCTGGCCAGAGATTCCAGGCAGCCTGCCTGGAGAGACTGCAGGCAAAATTGCTGCTGTAGTGCTCAAGGAACGGGAGGTTGTCCTGTTCCCCATGTCACCAACAATAGGCCTGGAATCTGGATCCACTGGGGTGGGTGTACAGCATGGGACTGGGTAGGCAGGTCTGGTGACTAGTTCTGCAGAAGTGACCCTGGGATTTGTGTCTATGGGAGCAAACATGAAGCCTAGGTCCATGGGGGACAACCTGGTACTGAAACAAGCCTTGACCCTACATTATGGGGGTGAGCCTAGCACTGGGGTGGGCCTAGTACTTGAATCTGCAGAAATGGGTCTGGTTCTGAGTTTGTTGGGGCTAGCCTTGTTCCAGGGTTTATAGGTGTAGGGCTGGTGCCTGAGACTGTGGAGGTCATCCTGCAGTGTGTGTCTGGAGGTACTTACCTGGAGCTTAGATCTGGCCTGGTGCTGGGTTGTACCTGATGCCTGGTGTTGCAGGAACAGGCTTGGATTTTCGGGCCAAAGGGGCTGGCCCGCTACTGGGGTATGTCTGGAACCTGCATCTGAAGGGATTATCCTAGAGGCTTGGTTCACAGAGGTCAACCTGAAGCCTGGGGCTGGGGTTTACTGGATGGGTCTGGTGCTGGGGTCTGCAGCAAAGTCAGGTGTTCACTTTATTCTCCTTTCCCATACAGAGGGTATTTCTCTTCATGTCCTAGCATATTTTGTAGGAATTTTACCGTATCAACTTGAAAAATAATTAAAAGTTGATGTTGGCAGAGTGGAAAGAAGAGAGATCATGTGTTCTTCCTAATTTTGTTGATACATTGAACTACTTATCCCAAACTACTTATGGGTTTTGAGAAATGATAAATGGCCTAATTGGTTAAGCCAGTTTGGGTTTCCTTTAACTTCCACTTAAAGGTCCTAACTGATTGAATAGGTAAACAACTTTGGAAAACACTAAATTTAACATATAAATAATCTTATTTGTTTGGAAGGTTAGTTTTAGTTTGTTTCTTATTTTTTGTTCACTGCAGAACTTTACTAAGCCTTTAGTATGCTAAGGTACATATTGAATTTCCTAAGCAAAGAATAGAGTAAGCAATGATTTGCAAATTTATTTGGTTATGGAAGTTGTTATCTTAGAAGCTGTTTTTTTCCACAGACATTGCTTTAAAACACATACTTCATGGATTCTAGCATTCACAGAATCAACATTCTAGCCTTGTAACACAAGGAGAAAAAAAGCATCTAAGAATCCAAATATGGGTTTAAAACTGAGCTTTCACTTGACAGCCATGTAGCTTTAGGCAGGTGACCTGACCACACTGAGTTTCCATTTCTTTATTTGCAAATTAGAAAAAATGTACATGCCCATATGAGACCACTTTTGGAAGAATTCAGATATCGAACTTTATTGATTATCTGGAACCCACTGACTACATAATCAGTGATGGTATTCACAATGGTTGCTTTATTAGGACTGCCAGCAATGATAATCATTCAAGTTTTTTTTTAATTATTTTTTATTTTTGAGACGGAGTCTCGCTCTGTCACCACGCTAGAGTGCTGTGGTGCTAGAGTGCTGTGGTGCAATCTCGGCTCACTGCAACCTCCAACTCCCTGGTTCAAGGGATTCTCCTGCCTCCGCCTCCCGAGTAGCTGGGATTACAGGCATATGCCACCATGCCCGGCTAATTTTTGTGTTTTTAGTAGAGATGGGGTTTCACTATGTTGGCCAGGATGGTCTTGATCTCCTGACCTCGTTATCCGCCCACCTCGGCCTCCCAAAGTGCTGGGATTACAAGCGTGAGCCACCACGCCCGGCCTCAAATTATGTTTTAATATTATTATATATTCCATTTGTCTATGCTATCCCTGACCTTGAGAGGGCCAAGAAATGACCCCCGCCACCTTTGATAATTACTTTGTTCATGTAGTATATTGTAAATCTGAAATTTATTGGACCTATGAGAAGATAGGAACGAACAGTGAAAAAATTTGAGAAGTTAATTTTTGCTAAATTACCCATGTGTTGCATGAGAAAATCCTTGGAGTTTTAGAATTATCGGGGCCATTTGAATTGTCAGGTTATAGTTATTTCTCTAGAATTTGGTGCAGAAGGTATTTTTTTCTTATCCCCAAAAATGAAGAGGTACAGTTGATTTACTGTTTCATTTGTGGAAGACTAGGACATTCTCACAAGATTCTACTTAACTTTCCTTCACTACAGTAACTCTTATATCACAGCCCAAGAACCCAGTTTGGAAGTTACCTCAACTTCCAAGTATGTCCCTCCTTCACAGACTGGGAAAATGAACACTGAAAACTTTGCTTACCCAGTGGATACATTTGAAGCCAGACTTTAGCTAAACTCCATTTATGCGTGTTCCCCAGATTTACCACCAGACCGCTTAGGTTGACATATGCCCTGTATTCTAACTGGGGGACCTTGATGACACTTCAGGTCTCTGAGCATCAGCATCAACTCAGCTGCTCTTCCTAGTCATCCTCAGAATATCTGGCTACTCTCCCTTCTCCACTGTACAGTTAACTGAGTACATGGCCATAGATACCTCTAGGGATAGATAGGAGAAATCTTCACAGTGTATACTTGCCAAGGTGTTGCAGGATCTACCTCTTCAGTCAGTTTGCTCCATATCTAAATATTGGCTCCCACTGGGGAACTGAGCAAGGTATTGTGACTATTTTTGTGGCACAGTCATATTCAGCTTCTGCGTTTTCATTCTTGCCTTCCTATTGTCAATGTTAAGAAGCACCCTCACTGGCGGACCATCTGTGTTTTTTCCAGCATGGCCATACTCTTGTTTCCTTGAGAGTTAGGTCCCTTTGGCTGCATGTCCATCATTGTCTGTCTACAGTAATTGCTGTCTATTGGCATCTTGTGTTTAACTATGTGGCCTCTATTATTTCAGTGTCCCATTGTCCCCACATATATTGAGACCAGCTCTGTCATGGTTAAGTCATTCCTGGACTTCAGAGGAGAGAGACCTCTGACCGCTTATGCAAGTACCCCTCCGAATAACACAGTTCTTATTGCCATAGTGCACTCCGGGATCTCCTGTGAAACATAATCCTGGGTCTTCTGGCCTCATTATAACATATTCTTTCCAGTATGGCCACCTCCTGGAATCTCTTTTTATCTCTTTATTTTTTAAGAAAAAATTAGGCATTTTTTCCTCACTCATCAGAGACCATTCTTACTCCAGACTTCTAAGAGTCACCTTAGCAGCAAGTTTGCTTTATCTTCTGGAACTCTTGTCAGGCGTTACATGCTGTCTTCAGAAGCCGTCCTCAAATCAGTGAGATATAGTATATTTAGTCATACTTTCTGGCACCTTTAATGAAACATGACCAAAATTCAATTTTATAGATATTCCGCAGGTCCTTCCCTACATGCTAGCTAATTTTGTATCATGTTCAGAGTGCAATGTCTTTCCTCCCTTACCAGACCCAGAATATCCCAAGCTAGGGCATGCTGGGATTTAAGCTACTGATAGGCCTGGCAGCCAGGAGAATATCTGATGGCCAGCACTGTTACCTGGAGGACAAGAAGCCTCTGCAATGTCATTCTGTAAAAGGCAGGTAATAGCTCTTAATAGGGTGGGTGGTCTACCCTCAAGCTCAGAGTTTAGGAATGTCTGCAGAACTGAAATCCTTAAGAATATTCATCCAGGCATCCCACACCATTTTTTTTCCAGGATTTTCTCTGCTAGGAATCTAAATTTAGTGTAAGCTTTGGCTGAGCATTTAAATCTCTGGAGCTTTGACACTCTATTAATCTTAAACTTTCTCCACAAATGTACTCACTCTTCTTCTGCAAGAGGTAAGTGACTTTTTAAAGCTACTAAAGAAGCTGGCTCTCTGGTACTAAAACACGGTCTTTAACTGTTAACCTCCAGAATTTCTCATTAATTCACTGTAGGGTGTCAATACATCTTGGTAATGAGCAGCCAACCCACTGTCCTTGTAGGTATTGGCTCTCCATATGTTTCAAATGCCTGAATCATTGCATTATCAAGGGCATCTCTTTCTATCAAGCCATTTGCTCAAAGCAGTGAAATCTTCAGCAATTTTCACTACAATTCTCCAGGACTGTTTTCCATATTCCACTCAGGATGGGGTCTTTCTTGTCAGCCACACAGTGAGTAATCCAGTTTAAAAAACAAACCAACAGACAAAAACCTTATTGCCTGCTCTCTTGAATTATTTCTGCTGCCAATTCCATTAGTTCAGAACCTTGGAGAAAAATACTCGAAAATTTATGTCCAAGACATTTTTAAGCTCAAATACAGAGAGAAGACACAGGAGTAAGGGGAGAAAGTCCTTATACAGGACTGCAGATCTGACACCAATAAAAGAAGCGAAAAAATAAAGAAGAATTCAGTGGGAATGGTCTTAGACTTCAGCACAGTTCTGAGAAAGGCTGATTTGACCCCTAATTCAAACAGTGTTTGTTTATTTGTTTTCCATTTCTCCATGGGACTCTAATACCCAGACACCCATCTCTATTTCTAGACCATAATCCCTTCAGACTCTGACTTACCACTGTATGTTTCTTTTGTTTATTTGTTTCTTGATTTAGAAAACAATTTTATAGTGTGTTTTGCTTATTTTTTGTCTGTCATTGCTGGCTTTGAAATGGAAGATTGAGTTATATTATAAACTCACAGTACTATCTGGACCCTAATTTTACAAGTAAGGTTTTTCAATAAATAGGTTTTCAAATAGGAACTGAATTTCAGAATGATTTAACTGGAAAAAGTATGCAAGACATAAAAGAAACACGAGCAAAGACAAGATAATTATAATAGTCCCAGATTATATTATTAACAGACTGACTATGGGTAGTAGCAGAAAAAAATGTTCATCCAGAATCAGCAGGACTAGGTAACTGATAAGATACGAAAATCAAAAAACAAACAAGTGCCTCTTATTTACTGTTTTCAGTTTTCATTCTATATGTAAAGATATTGCCAGTTTTATTCATTCTTCTTTTTCATTGGTTTATTTTTATACTCCATTTTTTCTTTCTAAAATAATAATCCATTTTTTATTCTTTGCTATGAACCACCATGTTATATAAAAATTCTAATTTGGATTAATCAATAAATGCCAGTATAAATATTTAAAACAAACAAAAATCCTTAACTATAGTATTTTTAAAATAATGATATAGGATATGACTTCCTAATTGTTCAAACATGATTGATTAAGTGAGAGATTGATTCCATTGACTATAGGCTGGGGGATCTCATAGTAAATGTGAATTCAAATCCTTGATTTGTTGTCTATTAGCTTTGTGACATACATATATTATGAAAGCCCTAAGACATTTCCCACATCTATAAAAAAAAGGAATATTTATGCTATCTATATTATAGGCTGATATGACCATTTATGAACTAAGTAATACATTGAAAGCATGTAGCATAGGACTTGGCATAGAGTATGTGCTCAACAAACAGTACCTACTAGAGGATATTGAGTTGCCACGTTCTCCCTTCCTTCCATTCCAGGATATATTTTATCATCAAATATCTGCTCAAATTCAACCTTATTTATAAAATATTCATATAAAATTATAGTTAAGATAATCTTTGACGAACTCCAGAAATATTTTTCTGTGCCTCATTTATGTCATTTGTACACTAATTTCTTATATTTTGATATTTATATATTTTTCCAACACATTATAGGTATTTTTAGAACCGGCATTCTGTTTTGAATACTATCTTATCCTCCTACACCATTCCTCAGAGTCTTGCGTGGAATTAGTGTTCAAAATACATGTTGTAAAACAACGTTCATTAATTTCTAAGTAATGTTGATCTTATCAACAATAAAACTGTTATAATTACTCCATCCACATGTAGACATCTTGTAATGACAGAGAGAAATATAAATTATAAATTTGAAAAGGAAATTGGGGAGTAAATTTTAAGCAGTTGTACAAGTTAAAGAATTATCATCTTGTAAATTCATTTCAAGTTTACAGATTTGTACTTTATAAGTAATTATGCAATAAGCTTCATAACTTTCAAGGACAGAGGGGTAGTGAAATCGTGGTGTGGAATAATGCTGGGTTAGCACTCAGACATAACTGTATAATCCATAACAAATCCTTAAGCTTTCGAATGAATTAGGAAAAAGACAATTTTACAGCTTCTTCCCTCCGTCTTTTATCATATCGTTTTCTTGTTTTTATCTTATTACAAAGCCTAAGTGAAATTAAAAAAGAAATGTCTATTTTATCCAGACTATTATGAGCCTTTTGTAAAGCTCTTAATTAGCCTATCATTCTAAATAAGACATTTGTATCTATAAAATATATGATCCTTTACTTGTCTGTCTTTAAGTGGGCAATGTAAATGGAATAGAATGGCTTCATTATTCTTCTCTTTGGCACAGCATAACAAATACATATTTACATTTAAGCATAAAATGCATATAAATTGTTATTATATAAGAAAACATTAAATTATTGTTTGAGAATTTCTATGAATATTTTTCTTTTTCTAAAACTGATTACTATTAATCTTTGTAACATTTTGAAGCTACTATGAAGCAGGAATGAGAAAATATTAACCTTGCCCCTTACTTTTTTTGAAGAACCTGAGAAAAGTTAAATTATTTGGTGTCATTAAGTAAATTATGACATATTAACATTGAAAATAAAATTAAGTACTACTACTTACACTTACATTTGCATATGCAAAGTATTGACAAAGATTCACTTTCTAGGTGCAGAATTTGAATTAAAGTTAATGATAACTCTTCTCTTATAAATAAACTATAGCATAGTTTAGACTTGGACATTTTATTAGTAGTAATATAATCAGTTTCTGAAATATATTCTTTAAGGTGTTGACCACATTTCTGTTTGATAATATTTTCAAGAATATATACCAAGTTTTCTAATGATTTACTTCTAATTAGTTTAAAGTAATAAGGGTTCTACCATAATTTCTCTATATAACATATCTTTTTATACGAGGAAATGTAAAATTTCAGAAAATGCAAATAATCAGTTAAACAGTTGGTGCATATTTTAAAGATATAAATCAATCAATATTTTTCTAGTCTAATCGTTTTCTTAATATATATTTTCAATTTCAAAAGAACAAGAATGTAGAATTTTCACTTCTTATAGATGAAAAAAGAGGCATAATTGCTGAAATAATAAAAAGTTTAACAAAAATATATTTTAGAATATTATTAGATGGCATTGATATGATTAATAAGAAGCCTGAGCAGCAAAAAAAGAATAGAAAAGCAAAAAGTCATTAAATGACATGGACTCATAATATAGCGTTAGAGGCCATTCATAGTTGAGTTATAATAGTTTGTCCTCTATTTTTCTTTTTGTTATGTTAGTTCTTTATTAACAAGAAACGAATGAGTCAATTGGCCAACCTAAGAAAATTTGTACTGTCAGGTTACATATCAAAGTTATTATTGTTGTATTAAATAAGGCCTTATCATCATACTACTTAATTTTAAGACCTACTAGAAAGCTAGAGTAATCATGATAGACTGATATTGATGTAAGCATGGACATTTAGATCAATGGAAAAGAATAAAAGGTCAACAAATAAACAAATAAATATAAGGTTAATTGACTTTTGGCAAAGGTGCCAAGAGAATTCAATGAGAGAATGAATAGGTATGCAAGGTTTGAGAAACCCATGTCTGGTGGGCACTGTGCATACATGATTGACTCCCAGTAAAAACCCAAACTTGAGTAAGTCTCTCCATTGGCAGAACTGTGCAAGTGTTGCCATAATGTCATTGCTGTAGGAATCAATACATCCCTGTGTGACTCCATTGAAAGGAGATACTTGGAAGCTTGTGCCAGGTGTCTTATGGATTTTATCCCATGTGCCTTTGCCCTTTGCTAATTTTTAATCTGTATTCTTTCATTTTAAGAAACTATAACCATGAGTATAATAATAATAATAACCATGAGTTCCATAAGCACTTTTAGCAAATCATTAGGCATGGTGGTGGTCTTGCTGACCTATAATCCAGTAGTCTTTTTATCTAATGGTACCGGACTTTCTGTCTATTTATTTGGAACTAAAAACAAAAAGAAAACTTGATTCCTTCCTTGTACCATAATAAAAATAAATTTGGAATGGATCAGGCCCTAGTCAAGTTAAAGCTGTAAAACTTCTAAGAACAATTAATGTAAAATATTCATCTAATTAGGATAGACAGAGAATCCTTACATAAGATGCAGAAAGCAAAAATCATAAAAGAACAATAAATTTTACAATGTTTAAATTTAGAAGTTTTCTTTTTTTTTATTATACTTTAAGTTTTAGGGTACATGTGCACATTGTGCAGGTTAGTTACATATGTATACATGTGCCATGCTGGTGCAATGCACCCACTAACTCATCATCTAGCATTAGGTATATCTCCCAATGCTATCCCTCCCCCCTCCCCCCACCCCACCACAGTCCCCAGAGTGTGATATTCCCCTTCCTGTGTCCATGTGATCTCATTGTTCAGTTCCCACCTATGAGTGAGAATATGCGGTGTTTGGTTTTTTGATCTTGCGATAGTTTACTGAGAATGATGATTTCCAATTTCATCCATGTCCCTACAAAGGACATGAACTCATCATTTTTTATGGCTGCATAGTATTCCATGGTGTATATGTGCCACATTTTCTTAATCCAGTCTATCATTGTTGGACATTTGGGTTGGTTCCAAGTCTTTGCTATTGTGAATAATGCCGCAATAAACATATGTGTGCATGTGTCTTTATAGCAGCATGATTTATAGTCATTTGGGTATATACCCAGTAATGGGATGGCTGGGTCAAATGGTAATTCTAAGTTCTAGATCCCTGAGGAATCGCCACACTGACTTCCACAATGGTTGAACTAGTTTACAGTCCCACCAACAGTGTAAAAGTGTTCCTATTTCTCCACATCCTCTTCAGCACCTGTTGTTTCCTGACTTTTTAATGATTGCCATTCTAACTGGTGTGAGATGGTATCTCATAGTGGTTTTGATTTGCATTTCTCTGATGGCCAGTGATGATGAGCACTTTTTCATGTGTTCTTTGGCTGCATAAATGTCTTCTTTTGAGAAGTGTCTGTTCATGTCCTTCGCCCCCTTTTTGATGGGGTTGTTTGTTTTTTTCTTGTAAATTTGTTTGAGTTCACTGTAGATTCTGGATATTAGCCCTTTGTCAGATGAGTAGGTTGCGAAAATTTTCTCCCATTTTGTAGGTTGCCTGTTCACTCTGATGGTAGTTTCTTTTGCTGTGCAGAAGCTCTTTAGTTTAATTAGATCCCATTTGTCAATTTTGTCTTTTGTTGCCATTGCTTTTGGTGTTTTGGACATGAAGTCCTTGCCCATGCCTATGTCCTGAATGGTAATGCCTAGGTTTTCTTCTAGGGTTTTTATGGTTTTAGGTCTAACGTTTAAATCTTTAATCCATCTTGAATTGATTTTTGTATAAGGTGTAAGGAAGGGATCCAGTTTCAGCTTCCTACATATGGCTAGCCAGTTTTCCCAGCACCATTTATTAAATAGGGAATCCTTTCCCCATTGCTTGTTTTTCTCAGGTTTGTCAAAGATCAGATAGTTGTAGGTATGCGGCGTTATTTCTGAGGGCTCTGTTCCGTTCCATTGATCTATATCTCTGTTTTGGTACCAGTACCATGCTGTTTTGGTTACTGTAGCCTTGTAGTATAGTTTGAAGTCAGGTAGTGTGATGCCTCCAGCTTTGTTCTTTTGGCTTAGGATTGACTTGGCAATGCGGGCTCTTTTTTGGTTCCATATGAACTTTAAAGTAGTTTTTTCCAATTCTGTGAAGAAAGTCATTGGTAGCTTGATGGGGATGGCATTGAATCTGTAAATTACCTTGGGCAGTATGGCCATTTTCACGATATTGATTCTTCCTACCCATGAGCATGGAATGTTCTTCCATTTGTTTGTATCCTCTTTTATTTCCTTGAGCAGTGGTTTGTAGTTCTCCTTGAAGAGGTGCTTCACATCCCTTGTAAGTTGGATTCCTAGGTATTTTATTCTCTTTGAAGCAATTGTGAATGGGAGTTCACTCATGATTTGGCTCTCTGTTTGTCTGTTGTTGGTGTATAAGAATGCTTGTGATTTTTGTACATTGATTTTGTATCCTGAGACTTTGCTGAAGTTGCTTATCAGCTTAAGGAGATTTTGGGCTGAGACAATGGGATTTTCTAGATATACAATCATGTCGTCTGCAAACAGGGACAATTTGACTTCCTCTTTTCCTAATTGAATACCCTTTATTTCCTTCTCCTGTCTAATTGCCCTGGCCAGAACTTCCAACACTATGTTGAATAGGAGCGGTGAGAGAGGGCATCCCTGTCTTGTGCTAGTTTTCAAAGGGAATGCTTCCAGTTTTTGCCCATTCAGTATGATATTGGCTGTGGGTTTGTCATAGATAGCTCTTATTATTTTGAAATACGTCCCATCAATACCTAATTTATTGAGAGTTTTTAGCATGAAGGGTTGTTGAATTTTGTCAAAGGCTTTTTCTGCATCTATTGAGATAATCATGTGGTTTGTGTCTTTGGCTCTGTTTATATGCTGGATTACATTTATTGGTTTGCGTATATTGAACCAGCCTTGCATCCCAGGGATGAAGCCCACTTGATCATGGTGGATAAGCTTTTTGATGTGCTGCTGGATTCGGTTTGCCAGTATTTTATTGAGGATTTTTGCATCAATGTTCATCAAGGATATTGGTCTAAAATTCTCTTTTTTGGTTGTGTCTCTGCCCAGCTTTGGTATCAGAATGATGCTGGCCTCATAAAATGAGTTAGGGAGGATTCCCTCTTTTTCTATTGATTGGAATGAACTCAGCTCTGCACCAAGCGGACCTAATAGACATCTACAGAACTCTCCACCCCAAATCAACAGAATATACATTTTTTTCAGCACCACACCACACCTATTCCAAAATTGACCACATACTTGGAAGTAAAGCTCTCCTCAGCAAATGTAAAAGAACAGAAATTATAACAAACTATCTCTCAGACCACAGTGCAATCAAACTAGAACTCAGGATTAAGAATGCCACTCAAAGCCACTCAACTACATGGAAACTGAACAACCTGCTCCTGAATGACTACTGGGTACATAACGAAATGAAGGCAGAAATAAAGATGTTCTTTGAAACCAACGAGAACAAAGACACAACATACCAGAATCTCTGGGACGCATTCAAAGCAGCGTGTAGAGGGAAATTTATAGCACTAAATGCCCACAAGAGAAAGCAGGAAAGATCCAAAATTGACACCCTAACATCACAATTAAAAGAACTAGAAAAGCAAGAGCAAACACATTCTAAAGCTAGCAGAAGGCAAGAAATAACTAAGATCAGAGCGGAACTGAAGGAAATAGAGACACAAAAAACCCTTCAAAAAATTAATGAATCCAGGAGCTGGTTTTTTGAAAGGATCAACAAAATTGATAGACCGCTAGCAAGACTAATAAAGAAAAAAAGAGAGAAGAATCAAATAGACACAATAAAAAATGATAAAGGGGATATCACCACCGATCCCACAGAAATACAAACTACCATCAGAGAATACTACAAACACCTCTACGCAAATAAACTAGAAAATCTAGAAGAAATGGATACATTCCTCGACACATACACTCTCCCAAGACTAAACCAGAAAGAAGTTGAATCTCTGAATAGACCAATAACAGGAGCTGAAATTGTGGCAATAATCAATAGTTTACCAACCAAAAATAGTCCAGGACCAGATGGATTCACAGCCGAATTCTACCAGAGGTACAAGGAGGAACTGGTACCATTCCTTCTAAATTTAGAAGTTTTCTATTTAAAAGACAGTTAAGAAAATGAAAATATAAGTAAAGATGAAGAGAAAAAGTTTGCAGTACACACATACACACACACATGAGATTAAATTGTGTTCCCCTCAAAATTCCTGTGTTAAAGGAGTAGCCCCCAATATTAATGTATTTAAGATGGTATTTGTAAGGAGGCAACTAAAGTTAAATAAGGTCATGGGATGCCTTGATTTAATAGGATTAGTGCCCTTATTAGAAGAGACACTGAAGAGCTTGCTCTCTGCCATGTGAGGACACAGTGAGATGGGGTCATCTGCAAGCCAGGATGAGAACTTTTGCCAGAATCTAAATTGGCTAGCACCTTGATCTTGGACTTCCCAGCTCTATAGGCATGAGTAAATAAATTTCTGTTGCTTGAAACCAATAGTCTGAAGTATTTTGTTATGGCTTCTTAAGATGACAAATGCAGATGACAAAATATTTATATTCAAAACATGTGAACAACACCAGCTAATCAAAAGCAGCCCCAAACTGGCAAAAATTTGACCAGCTGCTTTCTAAAAAATAAATTCAAATGGCCAACTAGCACATGAAAAGATACTTAACATTATAAAGAAATGTCCATCAATATCACAATAAATACCAATAGATAACCACCAGAGATGCTTTTTGAAAGATTAAGAAAACCAAGTGATGAAGAGAATGCACATCATTATTCTTGTTCATTGCTTGTGTGATTTAAGTGATGACAGCCACTCTGGAAAATGTTTGGCAGTTTCTTAAAGAATTTATTTTACACTTACGGTATAACTAAGTAATTCCTAGAAATTTATCCAATGGAGATGAAAGCATATGTGCATAGAAAAACTCGTAATGTGCATACTCATGAGAACTTTATTCATAAGAGCCAAAACTAGAAATGATGTAAAATTTGTATCAACAAGGGGGTAGATAAATAAAATGCGTTATACCCACAAATAGAATAGTAGTTAGCAATAAAAAAGCAAAAATCTACCAGTGCATAAAAAGTATATAAAACAAACTCAGAAATATTATGAAAGGAGAAATAAATCGGGAACAAAGGTATACATACTGTATGACTTCATTCATAGGAAATTCTAGAAATGGAAAAATCTAACTTATGATGTCAGAGAAAAGATTGTTGCTTGGTATGATGTTAATGTGGGGGTGTTGTTTGTAAAGGAACACAGATGAACTTTGGGGAAGATGCAAGTATTCTAGATCTTGATTTTGGTAGTGCAGTTATCCCTCAGTATTCATGGGGGATTGCTTTCAGGACCTCCTGTGAATACCAGAATCCAAGAATGCTTAATTCCCTGATACAAAATGACATTGTATTTGTGTATAACCTATGCACATCTTCCTATATAATTTAAATTATTTCTACAATGTAAATGCTAGGTAAATAATTCTTGTAATGTATTTCTTTTACTTGGTTTTTTTAATTTTTGTATTGTTATTTTATACTTTTTAAAACTATTTTTGAACCATGCTTGATTGAATCCATGGATGAAAAATGCATGGATACAGAAGGCCAACTATATTTATACTGTGTAAATACAGTTGTTTATACTGTAAATACATTTATTACATTTCATTGAATTTTGTTCTTAACTGGTTGATTTTATCATGTGTATATTATGCTTCAATACATTTAAGAAGGAGAAGGTGGAATATGCAGCATATATGTATTTCATTGTATATGCAGCTATTAACACACAGGAGAAACTGCAAACATTCGCTGCTCCTATAGAGAGCAACTGTGAGGCTTGGTACAAAGTTTTCAGAGGGTCATTTAATGGTGAACCTTTGTATGCAGTTTGAACGTAAATTTGTGTTTCTTATTACAAAAAGAATTATATTCTTTATGTCAGATCTTTGCATCATTCTCAGAACAAAATAAACACCCGTGAATGTATATCTAATTAAGACTAAGACTATGGGCTGATTCATGACTCATTGTTTTCTACATATTGAAAATATACTATAAAGATAACTTTCAAAATATCTGAGAAGAAATAGCATCTCAAGCAAGTACTATTTTAGAAAAATAAGGGAGAAAATTTTTCTCAAATATCATTTGTTCTTTTAGCATTCTACAAACTGGTTCTCATGAGATCTGATGGTTTTATGTGTTTGGTAGTTCCTTCTGTGTTCATTCTCCTTCTTGTTGCCTTGGGAAGAAGGTGCCTTCTTCCCCTTCACCTTCCACCATGATTGTAAGTTTCCTGAGGCCTCCCCAGCCATGCTGATCTGTGACTCAATTCAACCTCTTTCCTTTATAAATTACCCAGTCTCAGGCAGTTCTTTATTGCAATGTGAAAGAGGACTAACACACCTCCCATCTCAGCCTTCTGAGTAGTTAGGACTACAGGAGTATAAATATTTACCCTGTTGCTCATTTGCCTCTTTTAAATTTGTGCCACATCTGCGATATTATGTTCTTTTCTGAACACCATGTATTTTACTTGGGATACTGACAAGTTAAAATAGAAAGTGACCTGTGAAGTGGGTGGGAAACTATGTTGCAGATGTTCGACTCTCCTAAGATTACCAGGAAAACCTGTGGGTGAAGTAAAGCTGAGTTTAGACTTACCCTGGAAAAGGCGAACCCCAACCTTGAGAGCATCTTAATAGTGATTGAAAAGAGGAAAATTAGAGAAAGATATTTACACTATTTTAAGACATAGACTCAGTGATTTTAGTGGGCAGGGATGGGTTAGAGGGGCAGAGTTTATGACACGTTGTTTCTGGATTAGTGAGCAGGGTAAGGTAATAATCTCAAAGACAGCTTTAATGAGCAAAGTTTTGTCTTAATGAGGAAGATATTTTTGTGGTTCAGTTTTACTCAGCACAGAAAAGGATAAATATCATCCCAGGATTGTTTAGCATAGGCACATAACTATGTCGGGCTTATTTCTCTGTGTTGGATGAAGAACAATTAAAAAATCCAGGGGTGTGTAGTTTTAATGAAAAAACAGAATTCTCAGGTTGGAGTCAAGAAGACTGATGGTCTTCATTAGTTTCTTAAATAAAAATCTATTGTAAAAATAACTGTAAGAGAGATTTGGAAATTGCAGTATTAGTCCTGAAGTAAAATAATAGTCCCAGCTTAGTTTCTTGGTGTCCTAAACAAAACAAATATCCTAACACAGTAAAAATAAATCACAATACTGTATATGGAGGTTTGGAATCTCAGTGGACATCAGAAAGATAGCAAATTGGGACTTTTTAGTGCTCATCCCTCTGCAGAAACATCAATGTGACCAACTATTCACATGCAAAAATACCTTCAGCAGAGCTAAGGAAACCAGGTAAAGATTATAATACCTGGGTGTAGCACAGAAATAAGAAAAGGTTCATTGAGGAAGGTAGGAAGCCCACTTTTACATCACCCACATTACCCCTCCCTCAACCTCAGGCAGCACAACCTGGAGGGAAATACCCTCTGCTTGGGGGAAGGAGAGCAAAGTGAGCATAATACTTTCTCTAAGACCACAGCACCACAATAAAACTTAGTGCTGAGAAGGAACCCATGATCCCAGACTCCAGGTCAGTACCCACAGACTGAGCATTCAAGCTCACCTTGGTACTAGGCAGGAATCCACAGCCCCAGACTCCAGGCCTGTCAAGTGGATTCATTTACCAGGCCTGCCCTACCAACAGAGTAATCCCAGAAACCTCAGGCTCTTAACTGGCCCCAGCTCTAGGCTGGTCCAAAAGGTTCTTGGCTTTAGCCCATCCCAGTGCCAGGAGAGTCCCCACAGACTCAGGCTCCAGGCCTGCCCCAATCCAGGCTGACCGCAGAGATCCTGGGCTCCAGACATAGGTCTGTCTAGTGCAAGGCCAGTTCCTGTGGCACTACCCTACAGGATGATCCCTGCAGGTCCATGCTCTGGCAGACCCAAGGGTCAGGTCGGCTCTAGGAGGAATAGGGTCCATTCTATTTCAATAAACCCCAGTGCTAGACAAGCTACCACAGACCAAGGCTTCTGGACCACTCTTGTGGGTTTAGCATACACACTAGCTTCTAAAGCCCCAGGACCCAGGCTGGTTTTCAAAGTTCTAGTTTCCAGGCCAGCCCCAGTATACCCAGGCAACAGGCCAGTCCCCATGACACCTGGGAGGTCCAGGCCAGCACCTGTGAACCCAAGCTCCAGACTGACCCCCTCAAAACCAGACCCCATGCCAGCACTAGCACCAGACAAGATATTATCTCTAGACTGGTCCTGATGGCACTAGGCCCTAGTGGACCTAGATTTCAGAACTTCTCTGGCAGACCAAGGGTTAAGGCCTATCTCAGTATACCCTCGTACCAGGCCTTTCCCTCTGGATGAAAGCTCCAGGACTACCTCTGCAGATATAGCTCTAAACCAGCCCCTGTATCTGGAGGTTCCAGGACCATCCCCACAGACACAGGCTCCAGGCTAGCCTCTGGTGGACCCAGGTCCCAGCACTGCCCCTACAGATTCAGGACCTAGATTAGAGTCTCCAGCACTGAGCCAGTCTCTGTGGGTCCAGATTTCAGGCTTGTCCCAGTAGACCCAGACTCTATGTCTATATCAGTGCCAACTTAGCTCCTGAAAACTCAGGCTAAAGGCTCACCTCTGCACCAGGTAAGTTCCCATGGACCCAGGCTTCAGGTCCAACTCTATAGACCCAAGCATCAGGCTATCCTCCTTGAGAACTTTAGCAGCAAACCTACCCAGACTACTCCAGACAGCTTGTCTAGAATCTCTGGACAGGCTGACTAGTGAAAGACTTTTCCAGACAAAGTCAATATGCAAAGACTGAAATAGTTTCTGCTTCTTTAAATTTGCAAATATTATTGTAAAGCAATAAGAAATATGAAAAAAAGGAGACATAACATCAGGAAAAGAACACAATGACCTCCCTGTAGTTAAACCCCCCACCCCAAAATGGAGATATGCAAACTGTCTGATAAAGAATTCAAAATAATTACTTTAAGGAAGCTCAGTGAGCTTCAAGAAAATATGAGAAACAAGTCATTGAAATCAGAAAAGCAATAAATGACCAAACTGATAGGTTTAACAGAGATTAAAATTATTTAAAAAAAACCCCAAACCCAGAAATTCCACAGCTGAAAAATACAATGAATGAAATAAATAATGCGAGGAGAGAGAGGATATCAGCAGCGGAATTGATCAAGCAGAAGGAATTACCTATGAACATGAAGATAGGTGTGACAGATATATAGTGAGAGAAGAAAAAAGAAAATTAATGAAAAAAAATGAAGAAAGTCCATGGGATTTATGGTACAGCACCAAAAGAGCAAATTTTCAACCTATAGTATTTTAAGAAGGAGAAGAAACAGGCAGAGGGGGTAGAAAGTGTACTAAAAAAAATTAGCAGAAAACTGTTTAAATCTGAGGGGAAAAGTAAATATTCAGGTACAGGAAGTGTAATGTGCAGGTGAGCTAATATCTCTTTTCTTCATATTTTAAAGAAATATAGTCTGGAGATCACTTTTTGGTGGTCTCATATTAAGCACGGCTCCAATTTCTACATTCCATTTTTCAGACAGTATAACAGAAATTTTCACTTCCTTTTGTTAAAAAATGAAACCATGTATTTAAAATCCAGGATTATGTGGAATCTAGGTATTCAAGCAAAGAATATATCAATAGTGTGTGCGTGTTTGTCTTTTTCTGTTTCCAGCAAATGTGAACCATTGAGTTAAATAGCTGTTGAGTTTTTCCAATTGCCCAAGCTGATTCAATTTGTAAAAAGAAGGAAATGTTTTCTAACTAGCGAGATTCTTAATTTGGAGTCAGAGCTTCTCTGAACTAAATGGGGTTGCACACATAATGTTATAAATATTATTTTCCTGTCCATTTTATTCAAATTAGCTATTACAAAGTCTTTGAGTTTTGTACTAGCCAGATATTCACTGACAAATATGTAGAACTTTTCCACATCCACATTTGTAATCTGAGTAATTATTTTCCACAAAAACTAAAAGGATTTCTCTGCCCCATATAGTATTGTCTCTAAGGTTTAATTTTATTCAAAATTGTATATAGAGAATTTATTTTCCCTGCTATTAATGTGGGAGGAGTATGAAAAAATAGTGCCAATCAACTATTAATAAAAAAAAAGCATTGCTCTCCAGTTTTGAAAGGCAGTGAACAAATGAGCTCTGAAGTTAGGTTATATGAGTTTGATTTTCTTACTCCACAATGTGAGTGACATTGGGTATTATTTAACTTATTTTAACTCAGTTTCCTTATCTGCAAGATGAGGATAATGATATCTATGTTATAGGGTTGTAGGAAGTTTAAATGATGTAATAGATACAGAGCACTTCACAGTATCTAACACAGAGTAGACACTGGATAAATATTAAATATTATTGAGAATACTCTTTCCTTTCCAATGGCTATTCGCACCTAAAGACACATATGCGCAAGTTCACACGTGCACAATTTTATTATCCACATTTGTATTTTTAACCTATGAAACTCTATCTATGTAATCCATATCTAATCTGGTGGTTTGAGGAAGATATTTTTTCATAGACATCATAAAATGACTTGTTCATGGACTTGTTTAGACATTTTTTCATGGGATCGTTGACAGCAATAGGTTAGAAATGCAAGAAAAAAGAGTTACATATGGTGAGTCTAGAGAAGTGATTCAGCATGCCATCCTGAAATGTAGTTTGCTCTCTTAATGGTGAATTAGAATATTGGTTTAATTAGGAGCCTGCTGACTGTGAAGTTAGAAACCTGTGCTTAATGCTCTCTCTAAGGAGATTTAACTTTATATTTTCTGCTACATGAGTTGAGAAGTGAAATACAAAAATGGAATGAAAAGCTTTAAAGAAAAAAGTGGAGGAAACAAGTACTTTGCCTGCACACAAAGTTTTCTAACTGGCATATTTAGTCTAAATAATGGGAGATCTGAAATCCAAAGTAGAAGAAGTGTCATTTTTCAATAAAATTAAGTTTTAATTTAAAGTAAAATTAAGCAACAACAGTATTTGTACATTATTTTTACATCCTATACTTTATTCAACAAAAAAATTAGTTCAAAATTCTAAGACTCATGAACAAAACTATTTGCAAATCCTCTAATTTGTTTATATCAATCTTCATATTTTATTTTTCTACTCTTCGAATTTGGTAGGTTCTCCATATTTCTAATGTAAATTTCAAGCAAGAGCCAAATTTTAGAAAAAAAAATTGCATAATAATTAATACAACCTAAAGAATTTTGCAGCCTGAGGACTTGAAGTCCCTGCCTCCCTCAGGGAGATTTTTCACATAAGATTTTTTTTTAATAAAATTTACATCATTTTCTTGTTCTTACATGACCCATCGACATTTTTTTTTTCACAATGTCTATCTCAGCTTCCCGAATCACATCTGATTTACAGTTCCGTTGACACATGTATTTGGAAAGTTCTTGACTCCTCTTTAACCAAATCATGATAAATTCGTCAATAGCATTGTTAAAAGCCATACATTTTGAAGGATATATCCTTAAAGGTATGACTAGCACTGAGAGATTTGAGTAAATTGAATAACAATTTAATCAGAGCAGTTAAAGTTATTCAAATAACTCCTTTTCTTCAAAGTCAATTAATTTGGCAGAAAATAATATCATTTTTCATTTAATAAACAATTAATAAAAAAGCATTGATCTCTAGTTTTGAAAAGCAATGATTAACTGAGCTCCGAATTTAAATGAGTTTGATTTTCTTACTCCACAAGGTGAGTGACATTGGGTATTATTTAACTTATTTTTACTAAGTTCCCTTATCTGTAAAATGAGGGATTTATAACGCCTCCATCGAGATTCTTAGAGTCTTCCTTTGTTAAATAATAATTCAAATCTGTCATATGTGTACATGGGTTCCCACGTGTGTTTAATGCCCTGTGTATAATAATGGCAGTTGTTAATTCACACTTACTTGATTTCTATAATTTCTCATTGGCTTAACTTTTTATATCATATTTCCTTTCTTAGGAAAAAGTAAAAAGAAACACAAACAGGATTGTTTCAATATTTTTTCCTTCATTAGCAACCAATTGCTTCACTTGAAAACGTATAGGACTTTATTCTGGCACTCAGTTAAAATTTTAGCAAGCCAGTCTTGTCCATTTGATGCTTGTTTTCCAGTATTGCTAGGGCAGGCACACAGCAGCCTCTGGTTTAGAGTAAGACCTTTCAGATAAGTCTGGTCGATGTACTGAATAGTATGAGATCTTTCCAATCTGGCTCGCGTGGGCTCTAGAAATGCTTGCCTTACATTTCTTTGGCGCTTTTCTAGCCTGGTCGAGTTTCACTCCATTTATGAACAAATCGAATGCAGCCGAAGATGGAAACACTTCTGCAAGTAGTCCCCTCTCTATGCCAATCTTTCCTCTCTGCAGTCCTGAAAATTCTAGCCAACATCCTGAACTCATCTCAGCCTCCTCAACTCAGCAAGAGTCAGAGTTTGAGAGTCCATACCCTATGCTCTCCCATAGCAGTAGGATGGCACGATTTTAGGGTACATCTAATTTGTTTCTTTTTTCTCAGGAATCACATTATATTGCTTGTTGTACAATGTCTGAAAACCTTTGTTTCATCTTTTCCCTTGGTTGTCTAGTTGTTTAAAGGAAAACGACCACTCCCTTGACAAATATTCCTTCATAAGCTAAAGCTGAAATCAGGGTGGTGGTTTCTTACAAAATTAAATCTCAGTTTAACATATAAAACAGAAATTCCAGTCCTAGATATTAAACAAAAATAAATTAAATCATATGTCACAAAAACAACTTATGCACAAACATTCATAGCAACTCTATTTATAATAGATAAGCATTCTAAATCATCTAAAACCCCAACAAATTCGAGAGGATGAAAAAATTTTCATATGTTTATATAATGGAAGATTAGTCAGAAGTATAAGAATAGACTACTGGTAAACATAACATGAATGAATTTCAAAAATATTTTGCTGAATGAAACAAGTCAGAGAAAAATCGAGTACATTCTCTATTCATATGAAGTTCAGAACAAGCAAAACTAACCTATAGTGAGAGAAGTTAGATTGGTCATTACCTAGGTGGTAGGGTAGGGAAATTGAATGCTAAAAGCCATAAGGGAACTTCTTAGAGTGACACAATATTATCTAATCTTGATTAAAGCTCTGAACACTCACTCACACACACACACACATACACACACACATTTCTCTATAAATTAAACTTAACTCTTAAATACAATCTTTATGAAAGGTTGTTTAGCCCCATATGGTGGCAGTGGAGATGAAACAAATAATCATAAAAATTTAGATTTACAAAACACAGCATTTAACCATTTAGTGATGGAAATTTCCATGAAAGGAGAGGTATAGAAACTTTGCAGAGTGACTCTGAGATTTCTGGCTTGGGTAGGCTTGGATACAGGTTCATTTGCTGAAATAGGGAACCATGGAAAGGAGCTAGACTGGAGAAACCTGAGGGATAGCAGAAAGATGGCTATAGTTCCAACATGAATTTATAAGTATTTTAATATATGCAAGTGAAAATGTAATGTAATAAGTGGATGTCAGGGATGTGCATTAGAGAGATTTGTGTGTCTTTGGCGTGTAGGAGTAATTAAACCATGGGTGTAGATCAAGCTACCTGAAAGAGTGAAAAGGAAAGTGGGCTTTAAGAAATTGCAACTCTTACCAGTATTTTTAAGAGGGTGCAAATAACAGATGAAACACGTTTTGGATTTACTCACTGATTCAGCAAGTAATTTGGTAAGCTTTTTATTTGCCAGATGCTATTTATTGTAAGCACTAGGGAAAAACAATAAATAAAATGGAAATAGAGTCCGACATTTTGTATAATTTTTCCAACAGTGCATTCACTACTAGGTGCATAATCAACAGAGTCATATATTTACATTGATTCACTATTGGTTTCTTAACAGTCTTATTCTAAACAATTTTACAAAAAGTTAACAAATTTGCAGTGTGATATTTATCACCATGGAATCCGAGATGGACAAGAAGGAAAATAAAAACAAAGTCAATGTTATAATTAACAACAAAATTATTCTTCAGAAAGCAAACATATTAAAGATTAATGAAGATGACTTCTGTTGGACATGACGTAGTTGTTCCTTACACGATGCAATGCGCTAAACTTTATGTTCCATTCACATATGAAAGCTCTCTTTGGAGCCATTTTCATTTCATAACAGAAGATGGCTACATGCATGCACACATACACACACACACAGACATGCAAAAAGCAAGCAGTCATGTCAGACCTTTTCTTAATATGTTCTCCTACTCTTTTTCTGCATTGTTTTAAATTAATGAATAAAGGAATTATCAACTATTCAAATAAACTCTTTCTTTCACCAAGATAAAATACTTTGCAGAAAATTAAAGTTGAAATCGTAATAGAGACAGGTATACTCTCTTAAAGAAGTGTAAAATTTATCTCAGGGAGCAATTTTACAGCAACTGAAAAACATAATATAAACAGAATATTTGGGTAAGAGTATACCTATGAAACAGAAATATTTATTATATTTTATGACACTACGAATAATTAACAGAAACTTTTACAAGGGGTGAAATGTTACAATTATATTTAAGAAAATAGATTAAATGTTCATTAGCATTAAATTAAAATTGAATCTGTTGATGTAGCAGATGCTTTTGCAAACAATGTTATAGGAGGCATTTATTAACCATCTAGCCAGAGCAACATCAGATGGAAAAGACACTCACAAACATCAGGCTACCCTCTTGTATCAGGGAACTGCGCTTCATTGACAAACACCTCACGCCAGTTTCCTGAGATATTTAAATTTTAGGTTCCTTAAAAATACTTCCACACCCATTTGAGAAGTCAATACCACAATTGTTAAGTGGTTATAATGTGTAATATGGTTGTTATAAAATAATTGTTGATATTTAGCTGAAAACTACTTTAGTGTGTATTTGCTCTTTAATATCTGCCTCACCATGATTACTGTAAATGCATAATTTGCATTAACATGGTAATTCAGACACAGGTCCTCATACAAACACACACAATTTTATATCACTCATCCTTTGAAAATATATGCCTGTGTTGATGTTCTGTCTTTGAATGATGAAAAATACCTATCTTCTGTTCCCTGAGACTATATCCTGTCTTTCAGTTGCAGAGATCATTATTTGCAACTTATTTTGCCAAGTGATTGAATATAAGATGAAGACCACAAATATAAATATAAAAATTATAGGTTTGGAGCCAGACTACCTGTATCAAATAATAATTTCACTGTTTAGTAAATACGTGACTTTAAGTGATTGCTTTTAATCGCTCTAACCGCAGTTTATCTGTCAAATAGAGAGAATAACAGTGGATATTGAGCATATATAACATACTAGGCAAAGGTCTAGGAGCTTTTCATATATTAAGTTGTTAATTCCCTCAATAATCCTATGAGATTATTATTGCAAGTATTTAATATAAGATGAGGGATTTGAAAACGGAGGAATGTAATAATATGTCCAATGTTATATACTTTGAAGCGGGTAAACTTTAGTTTATGTAATCATAAAAATGGAACAGTACTTATCCCCACACTCTCATCATGAGATCTACTGCTTAGTAGAGTGTGTAGTATATGATATTTATTCCAAAAATAATCTATCATCTCATTTGTTGTCACGGGGTTGACCCAGCTTAATTAGCTAATTCACAGATTCCCTTTCTTTTTTGCCTGTGTATAGGTAACCCTTCTCAAGCTGTACATATAGTTGAAAGTTCCAAAATACAGAATTATAAACAGCAAAGTATTAAAGTCCATGTATCCTCCCCCAGTGCCAACCAAAACACAGTCATTAATAATATATTGTGTTTCTATGCAGTTATTATTCTTTATATTCCCCCATACACCCATAGACTCACATACAAATGCCTTACTTTTATTAAACAATTTGCTCATTACCTAAATATGAGATTATACTGTACAGTCTTTTGTAAATTTATTGGTCTTTGCTACCATTAGGTATGGATCTCACTGCCAAATCTCTGTGGGAGTTCCCTGTCCTAGGTCTCTTGGACAGGGATATGGCTTTTCTTTTTGTTGTATTTCTTCCTTATTTTTGGTCTATGTTTGGCTGCTCAAGGTTTGGAGGGCTCCCAACACCCACATAAATATGTATTGAAGATAAAAATAAAACCTAGGGAATTCACATGTGTCCTTTCTTACAGTTTTGAGGCCCCTAGCCAGTTCATACAACACTTTCCACCTTTCAGAGTCCTTTTATGATTGTCTATTGAATTATTTCCAGGGTATTAATGAAGTTTAGTCAAGAAGAACAAGGAAAATTGGTTCTACAACATCATATCTCAGAACTGAAGGTTGAAAATCTGAATTTTTTATTGTCTTTGTCATTAATTTTACTTTAGTTTTAGTAAGTCCTCTCACACATGTATGTTTATTCTGTTGTTTTTCTTCTAAAGGATTGAGTCTTCTAAATGATTGATAAATGTCTAGTACATTGAGTTTAACTTTCTTTGTTTTCTAATACAGTTGGCTTGACAAGTTTTGTTTGTTTGTTTGTTTTTCTTTGAGACAGACTCTCGCGCTGTCTCCCAGGCTGGAGTGCGATCTCCGCTCACTGCAAGCTCCCCCTCCCGGGTTCACGCCATTCTCCTGCCTCAGCCTCCCGAGTAGCTGGGACTACAGGCGCCCGCCACCACGCCCGGCTAATTTTTTGTATTTTTTAGTAGAGACAGGTTTCACCGAGTTAGCCAGGATGGTCTCGATCTCCTGACCTCGTGATCTGCCCGCCTCGGCTTCCCAAAGTGCTGGGATTACAGGCGTGAGCCACCGCGCCCAGCCGACAAGTTTTTTAATGCCCACAGAACAGAAATGGGGTCACACATAAATTTTTATGTGTAATCATTTCAATGTCTTTTGAAAAGAAGAAGGTCCAGTTTACCAAGATAAATGTGGGACCTGTTTTCATAGGTGGAGTTTATGCTGGAAGGGGCAGCCAACCAGGAACTGCCTTCACAGCCTTTTTTTCTTTTTTTGCTTTCAGAAGTGAACTTGTGACTAGTTCTGGCCACTGGAGTATGAGCAGAGGCTTTTGTGTCATATCCAATCCTGATCAATACAACTTTCCTACACAAGCAAAAAATAGCACAGACTCTGTTACCCTGAACTCACTAATATCTCTGAAAGTAGCCTTTCCTTGTTCATATACTCAGTACTTTCACATGGAAAAGAAATAAACTTAAATTCTATTTGTTTCTTTATACAGGTTTAGGCCTATAATTTTTACAACTTATTTGGACACTGCATAAGATTCATTCATGTGCGCATGAGTTATTTGGAAGTGCTTGTCATTAAATTAAGTAAGTAGCTTATCTTTTTTTAGTATTTCAACATTATTTTCTTACTGCATTCATTGCATTTAGAAAATATAGACTAAGAAAATTTGCTTTTTGTGATTTGTGGACACAATCTTTATAGCCCCATATATGATCATTGTTGTGAATATTGCAAAGGTATTAGGAAAAAATGAAAAATCTATATTACTGAAATATAGAATTCATAATTTACCTATTAGATCAAGCCTACTAATATATATAGCTTATTCATTTCCTGTGCATACTTACTAATACTTTATTTCATTTGTTCAGCAAGAAATGTGCTACTTTCAAATATAAATATGAATTTGACAAATTCAATGTTCTTTATATATTAAAATAATGCTTAAACACCTTAAATTCACAACTATTATATCATCAATGTTTTTATCTTTAGTAATACATTTTTTCTTATTGATTTAATTTCTCAAGCAATTCTTTTAAATATTAATAAAGTAATACATGCTATATTTTATGATATTTTAATTGTGGCATATGCACTTAACATGAGATCTAGCCTCCTAATAAATATTTTAAGTATTATTAACTATAGGCACAACATTGTACAGCAGATTTCTAGAATCGTACTTACCTTCCATAACTAAAATTTTGTGCCTATTAAAACGCAACTGCTCATTTCTCCCTCCTCTAGCCTCTGGCATCCACATGGGCTTAACTGTTTTTGATGCTTCATATACATGAAATAATTCAGTATTTGCCTTCTGCAACTGGCTTATTTCACTTAGCATAATGTCCTTCAGGTTCTTCTGTGTTGTTGCATATGACCAGATTTACTGTTTTAAAGGTTGAATAATAGTCCATTGTATGTATATATCACATTTTCTTTATACATTCATCTGTCAAGAGATATTTAAGTCATTTCCATATATTTGCTATTGTCTATAATGCCACACTGAATATGGGGGTGCAGGTATATACCTAGAAGTGGGATTGCTGGGTCACATGGTAGTTTTATTTTGAACTTTTTGAGGAAACACCAAACTGATTTCCATAGTAACGCTAACATTTTACATTGCTACAAAATGAATGTTCCTAGGGTTCTAATTTCTCCATATACCCACAAAGATTTATTTCTTTCAAGAATAATAATAACAGCCATTCTAACAGGTATGAGGTGATATCTTGTTGTGGTTTTGATTTGCATTTTTCTAATAATTAGTGGTGTTGAAAATCTTTTCATATACCTATTGGCCATGTGTATGTCTTTCACACAACAGAACAATAAAATAACCTTAGAATTTGTGTTGTTAGTTTCTATATACTAACAACAAACTATCTAAAAGAAAACTTAAAAAAAATCCCATTGCCAAAGCAAGAAAAAGAATGAAATACTTAGAAATAAACTTAACCAAAGAGGTGAAAGATTTGTACACTTAAAACTATGTAACATTGATAAAGCAAATTAAAAAAACACAAAAATGGAAAGATATCCCGTGTATATGGATTAGAATAATTAATATTTTTCAGATGTGAGTACTACCCAAAGCAGTGTACAGATTCAATGTAGTCCTTATCAAAATCCCAATGGCATTTGTTATCATTGTTATCATAATGGAAAAAACAATTTTAGAATTTATGTAGAAACACACACACACACACACACACAAAGTTGGAGGCATCACACATTGTAATTTCAAAATGTATTACACAACTATAGTAATTACAATAGTATGTTTCTGGCATCAAAAAAGACACATAAACCAGTGAGATAGAATAGGTAACCCAGAAATAAACATACCCATCAACTAATCTCAACAAGGTTGCCAAAAACACCTGGTTTTTGGCAAACCGGGTGTTTTTGGAAACCTTGTTGAGATTAGTTGATGGGTGTATTTACATAGTCTATAGAATTGATTGCTAAAAATGTATTTTTAAAAACTCATTAAAATATTTAAATGTACAAAGTATTAAAACTTTATGATGAAAACATGAGCCCCTACCACAAAGCTTAAGGAAGGACTGATTTTTACAAATGTATTTGAATTCCCAATGAATATACATCATGCTTCCCACCTACCTGTCCCTAATGAAACAAATATCTTGAATTTTGATCTTATTATTTCCAATAGTTGTAAATATATTAATAATATGTGAATGGTTCCTAGATAATATATGGCATTAATTTGAATATTTTATACTCTTATAGATTAATTCTGCTTCATTTAGATTTCAGCAAGTTGTACATTAAGTCCTCTCTTAATGTCCTCTGTATTTTCTTAGAAAGATGAATTTTAAGCTAAACAGCGTACAGCAGGCCCTCCAATAACGTCATTTAGTTCAACATTGTTTAGTAATAATAGTGATGAAAAAGTGATTTTGTTACATGTCATCTTGCTTAAAGATGCAGTTTCCAAGAACCTACCGATGACGTTACGGTACTTTTGATAAAAACGAAGTTTGTGACTTAACTGTATTGCTATTTTTACTCTTGTATATCATTACAGTATATGCTCATGCCTTTATTTCTTCATTTTTGTTCTTTTGAAAAATATTTACATAATTTCCAATTGATTACTCTCAAAATCAATGTTATTAATTAATTCATGCTTTGTTTTTGTCAACTTGTATACATGTATTTCTTGTAGAAGATACACACATACACAAACGAGTGAGATTTCAGAATCATAGGTTTTTTTCAACTTTCATTTAAAGTAGTTATTATAATAGTTTCTAAAATGTTTGTATCCCGTTATATCTTTACCCCCTTGTCAGCACTGTGTAGAATTGTCATTACTTTACCAAGATTTCATATGTATTATATTTTAAATGTAGATATAGACACTGATGCAGTACATATATATGTGTGTGTATATATGTATTTGTACACACAATCATACATATACACACGTCAGTTGTGATTATATATAATAATTACCAACATAATTAGAAGGACCTGAACATTTAAATATTGTTCAATGAGCATTATACAATTTGGCAATGTGGATTGAAAACATTAAAATTAAACCGGGTATCCATACACTAGGTTCATTCTAAAAGAAAATCAGGCTCATCTGGAAAGATTTATGTACAACATTATTCACCAAACATTATTCATTATTCTATATTTAAGTACAATTTAGAAAAAAAAGTCTAAAATGTATGTTGTTATAGATATGACAACACACAATTTGCAACATATGATAGCATACTGATCATTTTATTAAGTAAAATTTGGACGTTACAAAGAATTGCTTATGCAACAATTGTATTTTCTAAAAACATCAATCTGTTTATCTCTAGCTGTATCTCTATTTATTTCTAGGCTTTGGTAATTTTTTCTTCTTTCTGTCTGAAATAATCCCAGAAGTTTTTATCTTAATTCATTCAGGTTTCAACTAAACTATGCATATATTCTAGCCTTTGGAACAATATTTTAAAATGCAAAACTTTAAAAAACAGTTTTCTTAAATAAATACTCACGTTTAAAGAATATATTCAGTTTAACATATTTGAAAGCATTGAATTGAACCAGATCTGCTTTAAATATTGTCCAGATAACTGATTACACCAGAGACATTTGGATTTTAAAATTTATCTATTACATTTTGTATTGCCTATTTATATTGTTAATAATATAATTATCATAAAACTGTGCCACTACCCATAGTCAAAAAATTTGATAGCATTAAAAAAACTGGTTCACTATAATTGTCTGGAATATTAATTATTTATCTGGCAGCATTAGCTTACAAAATGATATTGTAAAAAACTACCTAGTTTTGGCTGTGTTACAATTTTTATGTATATACATGTAATATATAAAATAATTCAGAAAATTATTTTTTATTTTTAATTATTAAGGATACAGAATAGTTGTATATATTTATAGGTGCAGGTGTATTTTGATATAAGCATATGATGTGTAACAATCAAAATAGGATAACTGGGATATCCATTACCTCACACATTTATCATTTTGTTATGTTAGAAATATTCTATTATTTTATTTATGTTGAAATATACAATGAATTATTGTTAGCTATAGTTGTCCAATTGTGCTACTAAACACTAGATCTTATTCCTATGATCTAACTGCATTTTCGTATCCATTAAACATTCCCTCTTTATCCCAGTACCCTACTTAGCTTCTCGTAACTATCGTTCTACTCTCTATCTATATGAGTGCCTTGTTTTTATTTATTTATTTAGGTTATAGGTCTCACATACGAGGGAGGACATGCAACATTTGTCTTTTGCTTTGTTTTGTATTGGAAATACAAATGCTGATGAAAAAATGATTTTGTTACATGTCGACTTGCTTAAAGTTGCATTGTATTGTATTTGTAAATACAATACAAAACAAAGCAAAAGACAAATGTTGCATGTTTCTGTCAGATTCATCATTCAATATTAATAGTCATTTAATTCAATATTGATATTCATTTAATATTAGCTATGCCAATATAAGCTAATATTAATCCAATAATAAATCAATTTTTGTTAGAAAGCATGGAATTTGCAGTTTCAATTACAATATTGTATGAACACTTGACAACATAACTCCTGAAAAAATATTACCCCAGCTGTTATTTTTTAACCTTTCAATAATATTTAGTCTAATCTGATCAATAACTAAAGACAAATTTAGACAACTCTCCGTATCCAAGTTACATATTCAGTATGGAAATTCAAAGCAAAATGTATAAAATAGTATCATATTGGTTTTTGTTTAAGTAATTTGTTTGAATTTTCTAACTTGAAGTGTCTTATGACTGATGAACTTCCATTGCTGAACTTCCATTGCAGTACATGTTATCCAGACAGAAATTTTGGATGTGGCACAAAATACCATTTATTTTCTATTTTATAGGTTGGATTCCATTATGTTCCTTGGGGACATAATTTATGAACTTTGTTTTCTTATGCAAAATAGCAAGAATGGTTCATAAACTACAACAAAATTTTTGTCAATGTATATCTTTAAAACAATCAGTTTCCAAGAGGCCAAAGACAGCCATTATAGTTAAATAGCTCTGAGATTCAATCAGATCTTATTTCTGCTATTGCTACTGGAAACATTTTGGTAGCCCAAGGGGCCAGATATTAAATTAGAATTTTCAGAACTTACATTTTGTTTCTTGTGTTAATTTTTCAGAAAGTGTTTTATGGAGACAGGGATATACACAGTTCTCCTATGTATATATTTCTATGCCATGCTATTTCCTCTCCTGAAACTTTTATAATAAAAGTACCACTTAAAATTTCAAACACTTATTCGATTTCCTAAAGCAAAGACCTTATGGTATAACAACAATTTCTGAAAACCTTAAAAAAAAATAGGTTTAAAAGTTCTGAGTCAAATGTAGAAAAGTGATCAAAACCTCTATTGCCTTCAAATTCTACTAGATATGAAAATAGTTTTATGAATAATTAAGAGTTGTTTAAAGAGATTAGTTACACAAAATAAAATTATAAAAATAGTTACCCTGAGCAGATAATTATTACCTTTTTCTGATGATGGACTTCGTAATTCCTTAAAATAGAAAATAATATCCAAAGAGGAATTCCATGACTTCAGATATACAGGGAAAAAGTAAAATTAGCACATTTGCTTTAGAATACTACTGGTAATTAACAGAGAGAAGACAAAATAGGGTTGCAGGAGGACAAAAAATAAAACAGTTGACTTATCAGATGGTGAAACCTGGTGAAACCCTTTGTTCTAAATGAACAAAAATTCTTAGTCATATATCCTTAATTACATTTATAACTGGACTCCATTTGGTTAGCTTCTAGCATTACCATTTAATCAGTGTCTTCTGGAAAAATACTTGACTAAGCTTTAAATGTTAATGACTGTTTGAAAATATATATTCAAATCTTTGCTATATTTAACTTAGGACAACAAATATATGTTATTTTTCTAATATATTTGTGAAATGGTAACATTATAATAATTTTAAGGCAATATTTAAGGAATAATATGCATTTCTATTCTTCGTCAACTTACTGAAATAATATTTATTGGTGGAACTTATATTGCCTATGTGTTCCAGTTTCAGGAATAAAATATGGCCATTTTATTAAATTGATACAGTAGTAAATATTCAGCAATACAAAATAAACTTTCTCATTCATTGTATCACACTATAACTCAATTTTAAAATAATATTTTGGTTGTCTTTTATAAAGGTCCTATTACAGACATTGCAGTGTATACCAAATTTACAAGATGTGTTGGAAACCTTGAACTATGTAAAATCAAGTAATGAAAACAAAAACATCTAATTGAATTATAAGGCATTATTAAATAGGTTTTAAATTATAAGTATAGAAAAATGTTATACTACAGAAAAAGAGAGACTATGTTTTCAGGTCTCAGTAGTTTAGAAAGACTATGTGAGACAATGATAACAGTTTCAGCAAAAGCACAGAGGTGTGAAAATTCATGCTTTGCAAAGGAAAAGGTAAGTAGTTTTATGGTACTTAAAAATTATACATCTTGGGTAGTGCAGAGTGGGAAATGTTATTTAAATGATAGTATAGCACCATATTAAAAGGTAATATGAATATTAAGGAATTTACATTATTTCATGTAAGCAAAGTGACTTATTTTTGATTCCCCCACCCCAGGATAAGGTATAAGCACAATTTTGCTTTGTCTTCCAGAAAGCTCAATTTGTCAACATCCATTTCTGTGTTAATCCTTACTAAAACTTATTTTTCAAGTGACATTATTAATTTTCAAAAAACGATATTTTAAATGTTCAAAAATCTGTAACACCCCAAGTATCCATCGACAGCACAAAAATAAATTGATGGTATATTTATACAATAGAATATTTGTTAGCAATACAAATTTTAAATTAGCAGCTATGGAATATAGCTATATATAGATATAGATATATAAATATAAATGAAATTTCTACATTGCACAAATAATATATATATTCAACTGTACTATATAATAATTGTTCTCACAGTGCACTTATTTTTGTATTTATTCTCCTACCTGTGAATATTATTTCTGTTTCTTTCCTACTTTTCAAACACTTGGTATTTTCAGTCTTTTTAAATTATTGGTAGACTTCTTGTTATAAAGAGGGTGTTTCAGTTCGGATTCAATTTGCTTTCATTGATCATTATTTCAGTTGATATTTATAATTATTTTGTTGAACAAAATATTTATTGAGCAAATTCTATATGTAAGATACAATTTTAGGTTTTGGGAAAATAGTGGTGAAAACATTGATAAAAATCTTTGCCCTGTGAAGCTTACATTCCATAAAATATATATTTTCTTATTTTCCTTGATAGGTAAGTATTTTGAATATATTCTGAATATTAATTGTTTTCAGAAAATATTTTCTTAGGTCATTGATTTCATTTTTACTCAGTTTTGTTTATTATCTTGTATCTTTGGATACATGAAAATTCTTAACATTTTCAATTTCATCTACATTTTCCTTTAGGGTTTGACCTTTTGGAGTTTTATTAAATAAATCCTTCTAAAATACTTCTCAGTGCTTTTCCATAAAGTTGATCAAAAGTCTAAATACTACTGATTGATGTTTACCTTTCACTTCGGAGACTGAGCATATCATCTTCGGTCTGTTTATGGCCTCTGGTTTCTGTTCCATTGTCTTTGAATTTCTATGCCAATATAATGTTCTCTTATCATTAAAGTAATCAAATTATCTGATAGTGTTAGCCACCATGACATATTTTTCTTCCATGGTGTCATACTATGGCTTTTTAAAGACCATTGTTATCCTATTTAATAAATCTTAAATGTTTCACCAAAAAACTTGACTGTGATTGGAATTGCATTGAATCTAAAGATAAAAATGTAGAGAAATGAATCTTAGTAATAGACATATCATAAAAGTATTGTTTCACTCTAAATATATAGATATTTTTTAATTTTTACATGTGATTGTATGTTTATTTTATTAGTCCTTAATTTGGTGTCATTTCATAAAGAGATGTTCTTGATTCCCATGTAATCCTATTATATTTTTCTATATGTCTAATGCCCTCTGTCTTGTTTAAGAAAATATTTCCTTTACATTGAGAAAATATTCTATGACTTTTTTACTTTTTAAAATGATGTTTCATGTATTTACATTTACAGGCTATCCGGAATTAATACTTGTGTATTTTGAGAAGTAGGGGTCAATTTCTGATTTTTTTTCCCAAGGATATCATAGTAACCTACTCAGACTTCATAGAGGGTTCTTTCTTTGCTCACAGCACAGCAGTAACATCAGTGTGAAAATCAGTATCTGAAGTTTCTGTTTGACTGGTCTATTTGTCAATTCTTGTACCAATATCACACTCTATAATTAATCTTCCTCTATAATAGATATTAATTTCTGGTAGTACAAGTACTCTAGCTTTGTTGCTCTTCATCAAAATTGCCATTGGCATTTTTAGGCTTGGCATTTCCACAAAAACTTTCTAGCCAATTTGTCGATTTCCACAAGAGAACCAGCCAAGAATTTTTATTGGAATCAAAAATTTTGTTTGGCATACATTTATATTTGTACAATTTTGTTCTACCAACCCATAACGTGATTTTTCCTTTTGCTTATGTATTTCTTCTTAAATATCTCCTCATAATAGGTGGATATTTTATATCAAAGGTTTTATATTTTTCACCTATTTGAGATGATAGTGTTAACTGCTTTTGTTAATGTGATTTAAAAAAAATTCAGTTGGTTTGTTGCTGGTATTAAAAATACAATTAATTTTTGAATAGCAATCTGGTTTACAGTAGCTTAAAGATAATTTTGAATAGAAATAGTGATAAAAGGCATTTTTGTGTGTTTCTCAATCATAATAGGAATGTTTTCATAATTTCATCCTTAAAATGATGATAATGGCTTCTTTTAGATAACCTACAGATTGAATACATTACTTTTATTTCATAGTCTGTTAGATTTCAAAAATATGAATCCATGCTGTATTCAAATGCTTTTTAGCTTTTGTGATGATCATGCACTTTTTATTGTCTTAATGTGATGAATATATTTACTTATTAAAAAATTATATTACAGGATATTGGAGTCTATTAGATAAATAGACATATGGATAGATAGAATATATTTATATGCCTTAAGTTTACAATGTTGTTTTAATGAAATAAATTGGAATATTATTTTCCTTTCTTATAAGATTCTTGCCAATTTTTAGTATCAAGGGTTTTCTATACTCCTAAAATGATTTGGAAAATGGTTTCTCTTTTTTATTCTATATAAGAGTTTGACTACAATTGATCTTTCATCATCAAATCTTTAAAATAATTCACAAGTGAAAATATATGTGGACCTGATTTTTTTTTTTGTGGGAAGATATATATACATATATGTATGTGTGTGTGTGTGTATATATATATATACACATATATATATATACACACATACATATATATTTACAATAGATTTAAGATAGATTTAAGGTACAAAATAATTTTAACATACTTTGATTTTATGTTTTTTTATGTCAGAATTAATCATTTGTTTTCAAAGAATTTGCATAGCTCAGCTATATGTTCATTTATTTATTCATATATTTGTGGAAATGTAAATGAAAGTATATATTTATGACAATTTTTCTGAGTTGTTTTTGCCAGGAAGGCATGTTAAATATTACAAAATTCCTTTTCAACATATATTATGGTGATGTTTTATTGTTCTCCTTGTATTACATCTCTTTGAATTTCTGTTCTACTTCTAGTCTGAATCATGATTTTTATTATTTTTTAAATTTAGGGATTAAATTATATATGTATTTATCATATAAAATATTATGTTTTAAAGTATATATACATTTTGGATTGACTAAATCTAGCTAATTAACATATGTATTATAACCATAGGAGATTTTCTTAATCACTTTTTGCTACTATAACAAAATACCATAAACTGAGTGGCTGAAAAATGGCCTACGCCATTTATTCTGAAGGCTCTAATGTCTATGATCAAAACACCAGTAATTTAGTTCCTGGTGAGGGCCTTCTTCATGGCTTGCCAATGGGAACCTTGATCATAAGTGGAGAGAAGGAGAAAGAGACAGAGAGAGAGAGAGAGAGAAAGAGAGATCTTATAAGGACACTAGTTCAATCATGGAGCTCCACCCTCAAGACTTCATCTAAATTAAATTATCCCCTAAGGGCGTCATTGCTAAACACTATCACGTTGAGGGTTAGGGCTTCGACATATGAGTGTTGGGGGAGGCACAATCAGCCCACAGCATCAGCAACTGACACCCTTCCCTACATTACATCCATGTCCTGCTTACATGCAAAATATATTCATTTCATCCAAACAGGTCCAAAAGTCTTAACTAGATCCAGCATCATATCTAAAGTCTAAAGTGCAAAGTTTCATTAAAATATCATCTAAATCAGATAAGCTTAATCCTGAGACAAACTTTCTTTACAGCTGTGAGCCTGTGAAATTAAATAAGTCACGTGTTTCCCAAATACATTGGTGAGACAGGCATAGGACTGACATTCGCATTCTAAAGGAAAAAAAAAAAAATGGAAAGAAGAAAGAGATGATGGATTCCAATCAAATCCCAAACTTACTTAGGCAAATACTATTAGATCTAAAGGGCTTAAAAATAATTCTCTTTGGTTTTATGCCCTTTCTTCCGGACCACCTGGGGAGGTGCATCTGCCTTCTCAATTCATTAGGGTAGCATTTCCGCCTCCTAAGGTCTGCTGAGAGTAGATCACTTTCCCAAGACCCTGCACCCAAGGTTCCACACAGCTGTCACCTGAACTGTTGAAACTAAGGTGAACCCACCCCTTTCCTGGCTTTTCAAACTGAAAGAGAGCCCTGGTGATCTCTGAATAATCTTTGAGGTCATTCTTCCCTTGTCTTTAAGAATAACATATTCACAGTCAAATGGCTCTAGAACTCAGTCTTGTAGGATCTAAGAATTCCAACAAACTTCCTTCATTTGGTCCCCTCTTTACCCTCTTCAGTTCAAACTGGCAGTATTACTGTGGAATGGCTGGGTAGATCTGTGGTAAACACCCATACTAATCTTACATCCTTAGGGAGCTCTTAGAACAAGCTTTTTAGCTTTTTGCAATATGGATAGTCTGAACATTTTTCAAAATTTTAACTTCTTGTTTCTTTTTTCTTAACAATTCCTTGTTCAATTCATCCCTTGCATTTTACTATAAGCCATCAGATAGAAGTAAGCCAATCCTTCAACACTTTCTTAGGAATCTCCTTAGTTAAATAATCAAATTTTACCACTTACCAGTTCTACTTTTCACAAAACACGAGAGCACAATTCAGCAAGTTCTTTGGCACTTTATAACAAGGATCACTTTCTTTTATTGTCCAATAACATTTTCCTCATTTCTATCTGAGACCTTCACAGAATTGGCTGTACTGTCCACATTTCTATTAACATTCTATTGATAATTATTTATCTATTATCTAAGAAGATAGATCCTTTCTCGACAGCTCTCTTCTTTTATCTATGAGCCCTCACCAGAACCAACCTTAATGTCCCTATTCCAGCGTGCACCTCAAAACTTCTCCAATCTCTACCCAAACCCAATTTCAAAGTCACTTCCACATGTTTAGAAGCAGCACCTACTCTTGTTACCAAAATCCATTTCACTCAGCTTGGGCTACTATAACAAAACACCATAGACTAGTTGGCTTAAACAAAAGGCATTTATTTCTCATAGCTCTGGAGGCTGAGAATTCCAAAATTAAGGTGCCAACAGGTTCACTTCCTGGAAAGAGCCCTCTCCTTGGCTTGCGGATGGCCACATTTTTACTATGTTTTCACACTGTCGAGAGAGCTAGGGACCTATGGTCTTTTTTCCTCTTATAAGGACACAAGTCTCATCATGGAGGCCCCACTCTTACGACTTCATCTAAACCTAATTATCTCCCAAAGCTTTCACCCCTAAGTAGCACCATTTTCATGAAAAGCAACATATGAATATTGCAGGTAAACAAACATTCAGTCCACAACAGAGGTAAATATAACTTTATTTGGCATATGATGTATCTTAAATAAAAGTCTTATTATTCATAATTAACCTTACCGTAATTCTCTTTAGAAAAATAGGGTGAGTTATTTATATTCTTGAAAATGTAATGATTATAATAGAAAACACATTTTTTCATATTCCCTGAACATATTTTAAAAGTGTATTCCTTATAGGAAGAAAAGTAGACAATAGAATATAATTAATCAGCCCAATTAATTGTTTTTATTATTTGCATAATCAAAGGCTTAAAAAATTAAATTCTACATTACATTTTAACTTTGTGAATTTCTCTATTTCTAAATGTTTATTGCTTTAATTACTTCTTTGTCCTTCTAAAATGAGAGCAATAAAAAATAAATTATCAGACCAACAAAGAGCAAGGTAATTTGTCTTATCGGTTGAGCTATAATAAATAATAGAGGAAGCTTAACAAGCTGAAAGAAAACAACCCTAGATGGAAACAGAGAAAAGTAAGAAGAAAGTATCAGAAAGGAAAATAGTTTGGTAAACATGAAGACAACTTTTGAAAGAAGAAATAATGATATAATATTGCAATGTTTATAGGTATGTTGAAGCAAAATATATGACGACAATAGTAAATAAGGTGGGTGTAGTGTAAATAAGTTAAAATGTGAATGGTTCTTGCGTTGTTTTGAACATGTTCAAAATACTAATTTGAGGCTAAGGCAATTAATTTAGGAGAATAGAGTTTCAACAACTTCCTAAGTTGCTTAGCAGTTTCTAATGTGGTTTGATTCAGTTTACATGGATATGCAAATGTATCAAATTTATTTGCATTGTACACTGAAGACTTCTTGTATGTATTATACCTCGCTTAAAATTTTAATAGCAAATGGAAGTATTTTATAATTATTATAAATATTTGTTATATTATGCAAGAGGAAAATCATAACAAACATTACAATAAATTTTATTTTTATTCTAAAAAAGATATATTTTACAATTAGGTGAAAAATAACTCAAATAGCTTGAGTAGAATAGAATTGTGTATGGCTATTAGGAATAATCTTAGCCAAAGAGGAGAAACATTTATACAGTGAAAACTACAAACTATTCATGAAATAAATTAAAGAAGGAACAAATAGACATCTCATACTAATAGATTGAAATAATTAATATTGTAAAAATGTCAATTCTACTCAAAGAAATCTATAGATTTAACACAATCACTATCAAAATTCCAATGGCATATTTTACAGTAATAGAAAAATCAATTATAACATTCATATGAAACCAAAGAAGGCCCTAAAAAGCCAAAGCAATTTTGAGAAAGTACAAAAGTACAAAGCTGTAAGCATAATACTTCTTGATTTCAAATCATTTTATAAAATTGTTGTAATCAAAATAGTATGGTACTGGCATAAAACACACACATAGACCAATGGAACAGAATAGAGAGCCCAGAAACACACCCATACATAAACAGTCAACTGATCTTCAATGAAAGTGCCAAAAATGACCCATGGAGAAGAATAGTCTCTTCAACAAATGGTACTATGATAACTGGCTAATCACAAACACGCAAATGAAGCTGGACCCTTAACTTACACTATACACAAAAAGCAACACATAGGGATTAAAGATTTAAATGTAAGACCCAGAACTGCAAAACTTCTAGAAGAAAACATAGTGGGAAAACTTCATGGCATTGGATTTGACATTATTTTCCTAGATATGACACCAAAATCATAAGCAACAAAAGCAAGATTAATGAAGTGTGACTCCATCACATTATAAAAGGTTCTGTACAGAAAAGGAAAGAAGTGACAGTGAAAGAAACCTACAGAACAGGAGAAAATATTTGCAAATTATGTATCTGGTGAGGGATTAATATCCCAAATGTACAAGGAACTCCTTACAATTCGGTAACAAAAGGATAACAAAAACAAACAAGAAGAACTCCACAAATGCCTAAATTAAATAATGGGCAAAGGACTCCAACATTTTTTCCAAAGATGTTACACAACACATTTTTTTTCCCAAAGATGTTACACAATTGGCCAATAGATGTATAAAAATATGTAAAATAGCATTAATTTTTATGTACATTCAAATCAAAACTCAAAACTGTCCTTGTTTTTATGAAAAAGAAGAGATATTCCTTACACCTGTTAGTATGGCTATTATAAAAAAGACAAGTGGGGTGAGAATGTGGATTAATTAGAACACTTTTACAATGTTTGTGAAAATGGAAACTGATTCAGTCCCTATAGGATAGTATAATGTTTCCTCAGAAAAGTAAAAAAACTCTACCATAGGGTTTAACAATCCCACTTCTTAGCACACTAATAATTCTTGACTTACGATGGTTCCATTTACAATATTTTGACTTCACGATGAATGTGTTGGCACCTAACCCCATCATATATCAAGGAGCACCTGGACTTATGATAGTCAAACTTACAGTTTTTTACTGTACAATGGATTTATTGAGGCATGAAATATATTTTTGACACGATATTTTTGAATTAAGATGGTGTGATAGTTAATATTGAGTGTCAATTTGATTGGATTCAAGGATGCAAAGTATTGTTCCTGGGTGTGTCTGTGAGGGTGTTGCCAAAGGAGATTAACATTTGAGTCAGTGGACTGAAAGAGGCAGACCCCCTCAATCTAGGTGGGCACCATCTAATTAGCTGCCAGTTCAGCCACAATAAAAGCAGGCAGAAGAACGTGGAAGAACTTGACTTGTTGAGCCTTCCAGCCTTCATCATTCTCCCGTGGTGGTTGCTTCCTGCCCTCAAACATCGGACTCCAAGTTCTTCAGCTTTTGGACTCTTTGATTTACAACAGTGGTTTGCCAGGGGATCTTGGGCCCTTGGTCACTGACAGAAGGCTGCACTGTCGGCTTCCCTACTTTTGAGGATTTGGGACTCAGACTGATTTCCTTGCTCCTCAGCTTGCAGACGACCACAAGGTGAAGACGACCTCACCTTGTGATCATGTGAGTCAATACTCCTTAATAAAACCCCCTTCATGTAATCTATCCTATTAGTTCTGTCCCTCTAGAGAACCCTGACTAACACAGATGGGTTTCTTGGGACATAGCCCCATCATAAGTGATAGAGCACCTGTATAATCAAGATAATCAAAATTGGGATCTCAAAGATATATCTGCTCATTGGAGCTTTATTCACAATAACTAACATGTGAGAAAAACTTAAATGTCCATCCATTAGTGAATGGATAAAATGCATTATATATACTACATCTGTATGTAGTATATGTAGATATATAGTATATCTATATACAGATATAATGTAATATATACATATAAATCTCTCTATATATATCAACGTGTATATAGAGATGTGCAGTATATAGGTATGCAATATATTTAAATGCAGTATATAGATATATAGTATATAAATATGTGGTATATAGATATAATTGAATATTATTTAACCAAAAAAAGGAAACTCTGCTATATGTGGCAACATGGACGAACCTGGAGGATATTATGCTAAGTGAAATAAGCCAGTTACAGAAGGACAAATACTGCATGATTCCACTTACTGTAAGGTATATAAAATATTCAAACTCATAGTAACAGAGAGTAGAATCATAGCTGTTAGAAGCTGTGAGGAGGCAGAAGCTTGGAGTTGCTGTTGAGCAGATAAAACGTTTTATTTATGCAAGATCAGTAAGTTCCAGAAATCTACTATACAATACTATGCCTATAGTTAACAATACTGTTTGAACACTTAAAATTTTGTTGAGTATTGATCTCAACAAATCTCCTAACAGATCTCATGTTAAGTGTTTTTATTGCAACAAAAAGTAAACTAAAAACACAAAACTAAATGTATTAACACTTGAAAATTATAACACAAATTTAAGCCTAAAGTTGTCTGCTAGTAAATACAAAATATTTTAAAATGATATGGCTGAAAATAAATGTTATTTCTATAAAAAACAAAAAAATGCACAGTCTCTGCACTAAAAACTGTGCAACATTATTGATAGTAATTAAGAAAAATCTAAATGCAGGAATGTACAATGTTTATAAATTAGAAGACTCAATACTTGTATGCATGTCTCCTTTCATAATTGATCTAGAGAATCGAAGTAATACCAAGTAAAATCGCAGTGAAATTTTTCTATGGTAGGATGCATAGAGGGGCACAACAAACACTGGGGCCTTTCGGAAGCTGGAGGGTGGGAGGAGGAAGAGGGCCAGGAAAAGTAACTAATGGATACTAGGCTTAATACCTGGGTGATGAAATAATCTGCATAATAACACCCCATGACACATGTTTACTGATGTAACAAATGATGGTGCACATCCTGCACATGTACCCCCTTAGGCTTAAAATAAAAATTTTAAAAATAAACTCTTCATGATAACATTTCTCAACAAATTAGGTATATAAAGTATGCACCTCAACATAATAAAAGTCATGTATGCCAAACTCACAGCTAACATTACACGGAATGGGAAAAAGCTGAAAACTTTTCCTCTAATGTCAGAAACAAGATAAAGATTCCTACTTTCACCATTCCTTTTTTTTTTATTATTATTATACTTTAAGCTCTAGGGTACATGTGCACAACGTGCAGGTTTGTTACATATGTATACATGTGCCCTGTTGGTGTGCTGCACCCATTAACTTGTCATTTACATTAGGTATATCTCCTAATGCTATTCCTCTCCCCTCCCCCACCCCACAACACTCCCGGGCGTGTGATGGTCCCCTTTCTGTGTCCAAGTGTTCTCATTGTTCAATTCCCACCTATGAGTGAGAACCTGCGGTGTTTGGTTTTTTGTCCTTGTGATAGTTTGCTGAGAATGATGGTTTCCAGCTTCATCCATGTCCCTACAGAGGACATGAACTCATCCTTTTTTATGGCTGCATAGTATTCTGTGGTGTATATGTGCCACATTTTCTTAATCCAGTCTGTCATTGTTGGACATTTGGGTTGGTTCCAAGTCTTTGCTATTGTGAATAGTGCCACAATAAACCTACGTGTGCATGTGTCTTTATAGCAGCATGCTTTATAATCCTTTGGGTATATACCCAGTAATGGGATGGCTGGGTCAAATGGTATTTCTAGCTCTAGATCCTTGAGGAATTGCCACACTGTCTTCCACAATGGTTGAACTAGTTTACAGTCCCACCAATAGCGTAAAAGTGTTCCCATTTCTCCACATCCTCTCCAGCACCTGTTGTTTCCTGACTTTTTAATGATCACCATTCTAACTGGTGTGAGATGGTATCTCATCGTGGTTTTCATTTGCATTTCTCTGATGGCCAGTGATGATGAGCATTTTTTCATGTGTCTGCTGGCTTCATAAATGTCTTCTTTTGAGAAGTGTCTGTTCATATCCTTTGCCCACTTTTTGACGGGGTTGTTTGTTTTTCTCTTGTAAATTTGTTTGAGTTCATTGTAGATTCTGGATATTAGCCTTTTGTCAGAAGACTAGATTGCAAAAATTTTCTCCTATTCTGTAGGTTGTATGTTCACTCTGATGATAGTTTCTTTTGCTGTGCAGAAGCTCTTTAGTTAATTAGATCCCATTTGTCAATTTAGGCTTTTGTTGCCATTGCTTTTGGTGTTTTAGACATGAAGTCCTTGGCCATGGCTATGTCCTGAATGGTATTGCCTAGGTTTTCTTCTAGGGGTTTTAAGGTTTTAGGTCTAAGATTTAAGTCTTTGATCCATCTTGAATTAATTTTTGTATAAGGTGTAAGGAAGGGATCCAGTTTCAGCTTTCTACATATGGCTAACCAGTTTTCCCAGCACCATTTATTAAATAGGGAATCCTTTCCCCATTGCTTGTTTTTGTCAGGTTTGTCAAAGATCAGATGGTTGTAGATAAGAGGTATTATTTCTGAGGGCTCTGTTCTGTTCCATTGATCTGTATCTCTGTTTTGGTACCAGTACCATGCTGTTTTGGTTACTGTGGCCTTGTAGTATAGTTTGAAGTCAGGTAGCATGATGCCTCCAGCTTTGTTCTTTTGGCTTAGGATTGTCTTGGCAATGCAGGCTCTTTTTTGGTTCCATATGAACTTTAAAGTAGTTTTTTCCAATTCTGTGAAGAAAGTCATTGGTAGCTTGATGGGGATGGCATTGAATCTGTAAATTACCTTGGGCACTATGGCCATTTTCATATATTGATTCTTCATATCCATGAACATGGAATGTTTTTCCATCTTTTTTTGTGTCCTCTTTTATTTCTTTGAGCGGTGATTTGTAGTTCTCCTTGAAGAGGTCCTTCACATCCCTTGTAAGCAAATCAATAAACGTAATCCAGCATATGAACAGAACCAAAGACAAAAACCACATGGTTATCTCAATAGATGCAGAAAAGGCCTTTGACAAAATTCAACAGCCCTTCATGCTAAAAACTGTCAACAAATTAGGTATTGGTGTGATGTATCTCAAAATAAGAGCTATTTATGACAAACCCACAGCCAATATCATACCTAATGGGCAAAAACTGGAAGCATTCTCTTTGAAAACTGGCACAAGTCAAGGATGCCCTCTCTCATCACTCCTATTCAAAATAGTGTTGGAAGTTCTGGCCAGGGCAATCAGGCAGGAGAAAGAAATAAAGGGTATTCAATTAGGAAAAGAGGAAGTCAAATTGTCCTTGTTTGCAGATGACATGATTGTATATTTAGAAAACCCCATCGTCTCAGCCCAAAATCTCCTTAAGCCGATAAGCGTCTTCAGCAAAGTCTCAGGATACAAAATCAATGTGCAAAAATCACAAGCATTCTTATACACCAATAACAGACAAACAGAGAGCCAAATCATGAGTGAACTCCCATTCACAATTGCTTCAAAGAGAATAAAATACCTAGGAATCCTACCTTCACCATTTCTATTCAGTATAGCACTGAAAATCCTGGCCAGAAATAACAGGGAAGACAAAGAAATAAAAGGCATTCAGATCGGAATAAAGACAGAAAAGAAATTTTCTTTACAATAGCTATACAAAGAAGATATACAGAAATAAACATAACCAAGGAGGTGAAAGGTCTTTTAACTCAAAGCAGTAAAACTTTGAGAAAGAAATTGAAGAGGGCACAAATAAATGAAAAGATAACACATCTTTACAGACTGGAAGGATTACAATTATTAAAATGGCCCTATTACACAAAGTTATTTACAGATTCAATGCAATCCCTACTAAAATACTAATAACATTATTCATAGAAATAGAAAAAGAAATTATAAAATTCACATGGAAAAACTGACCCCAAATAGCCAAAGCTATATTGAGCAAAAGGAACGTGGCTGGGAGTATCATGCTACCTGACTTCAATATACTACAAAGCTGTAGTAACCAAAACAGCATGGTGCTGGCATAAAAACAGATACATAGACCAATGAAACAGAATAGAAAGCCTAGAAATAAATTTGCGTACCTATATCCACATGATTTTTGACAAAGGTGCCAGGAACATATACCAGGAAAATGGGAGTCTCTTCAGTAAATGGGGCTAGGAAAATCTGATATCCATATGTCTGTCAAAGAATGACACTAGGCCTCTAACTTTCACCATGTATCAAAATCAACTCAAAATATGTTAAATATTTAAATGTAAAACCTGAAACTATTAAACTACAAGAAAGCTGAGGAAATGCTTCAGGACATTGGGCTGAGGAAAGATTTTAAAAATAATACCTCAAAAGCACAGGTTGCAAAAGCAAAAATAGACAAGATTTAAATCAAACTAAAAAGCTTTCACACAGCAAAGGAAACTATTAACACAGTGAATATACAAACTACAGAATTGGATAATATATTTGTAAACTACACATCTGACAAGTGATTAATATCCAGACTATATAAGGAATTGACTCAACAGAAAAAAATAAACCAATTAAAAATAAGCAATAGATTTTAACAGCCAGTATCAAATGAAGATTATAAATAGCCAACAGGTATATTTAATAATGTTCAATATCTCTAGTCATCAGAGAAATGCAAATCAAAACCACAATGAGTTACCACCTTATTCTCTTTACGGCTATTACCAAAAAGACAAAATAAAACAAGTGTTGGTAAGAATAAGGAGAAAGGGAATATTTACATACTACTGGTGGGATTCTAAACCAGCACAACCGTTTTGGAAATATGAAGGTTCTTCAAAAAATTAAAAGCAATTCTACCATGGGTATATATCTAGAGGAAGTAAAATAAGTATGTTGAATAGATATCTGCAGTCACATGTTTATTGCAGCACAACTTAGAATAGCAAAGATAAAAATCAACCTAAGTGACCAACAATTAATGAATTAGTAAAAAATAAACGTATTGTGTGTATACACACACAAAAACACATACACACACAATCAAACACACACACATATAATGGAATATTATTCAGTTATAAAAAAGAGGAAAATCCTGTCGTTTGTGACAAATAGATGAACTTGGAACTTGGAGAAATGTCTGTTAAATGAAATAAGCCAGGAACAGAAAGACAAATCCTGCATGATTTCACGCACGTGGGATCTAAATATATATCATAGAAGTAGAGAGTAGAACAGTGATTACCAGATACTGGAGACGGGAGTGGAGACGTAAGGATGGGGAGACGTTGGTCAGTGGGTACAGAGTTACAATTAGATAGAAGGAATAATTTCTCATAATCTTTTGCACAGTAGGGTAACTATGGTTAACAGTAAAATATTCTTTATTACAAAATAGTTAGAAGAGGGGTTTTTAAATGTTTTTACCACAAAGAAATGATACATGCATGAGGTGATGGATACAGTAACTACTCTAATTAGATTATTATACAACATAAATATGTGTCAAAATTTAAAACTGTACTTCATACATAAGTACATATACAATGTGTCAATTAAAAATACAAAAAAAATTAGCTGGGCGTGGTCGTGGGCGCCTATAGTCCCAGCTACTCAGGAGGCTGAGGCAGGAGAATGGCGTGAACCTGGGAGGTCGAGCTTGCAGTGAGCCAAGATCATGCCACTGCACTCCAGCCTGGGCGACAGAGCAAGACTCCATCTCAAAAAAATAAAATAAAATAATAAATAAATAAATAAATAAATAAATAAATAAATAAATAAATTTTGTTTAAAAGTTTGCTCTCAGGCTGAAAAAAAAAAGAGAAATTCACCTCTAGAATATGTACCAAACTTTGAAATTAGTAAGACAAAGACATCAATATAAAAAAATTGTCAAAAAGAATTTATCAGAAACCTCACAAAAAAAGAATATTCACTTGGCTAATCAACATATGAAAGTACGTTCTACTCTGTGAGATATCCTGAGAATACAAATTTAAACCACAATTAGATGTCTCCGCGCTTTTGCTGGAATGACTAACTCATTTTTCAAAAGATAAATAATAACAAAACTGATGACGATCTGGAGCAACTTGAACTCTCATACAATGTTGATGGGAATGTAAATTGATATTATTACATTGGAAAATTCTTTGGTAATATATGTTTATCAATAGATGCATATACTCTGTCCTAGCAATTCTACTCTTAGATTCTCTATATACCTAAGGGAAATGAATTACATATTTACCAATACACATATTTACATACACACACACACACACACACACACACACACACACACGAATGTTAACAGAATACTATTTGTAATAGCCATAAACTGGAATCAACCTAGTAGAAGTAAAATGTACTGACGATATAATATCATAGATTATTAAGAATCATATCACAGATTATTAATAAATCATGTAAATCCAGTAAAAAAAAAGGAAGATCTACTGATACATACAACACTTTGGACAAAAACATTATGCTAAGTGAGAGAAGCCAGACACAAAGGTCATGTATTATATCAAGCTTGTGCAAACCATAGCACATAGGCCACATGTGGCCCAGGTGATTTACCTGGAATCCATTTTTCTTCATAGCATCTCAATAAATTCATTTTATCAACTGTCTTAAATATACAACACTAAACTAAATCTACAAAAGTTAAATAATGTATCACAAATTACACAATTAGGACTGATTCATAAGTGTGCAACCTGTGTGGTCACATGGGGCTTCATGCTGAAAAGGGCTCCACAAATGGTTACTGCTTTGCTGTTGTCATCTTGAAATTTTTAACAATATTTCAACAAGGGGCATTGCATGGTTATTTTGCACTGTGTCTTACAAATTATGCAGCCAGTTTCATTTACAATAAACAGGTGAACTAAGGTTCAAATTCATACAAATTCATTTTAAAACAAAACAAAACAAAAGCATCTATGCCCTTGCCAGAACAAACGTAAGAATTTTGATATAAACTGAATGTAATCTGCCTCTGACTTTGGCACTGAAAGTTTTAACTCTACTAAATGTAGGTAATTTTGATCTCCTGTTGAGACATTTTTCTCTATTTTTACACTTAATCTTGAGAAGAGCCATTGTCATAGATAAAAATTTAAAAGTTAAACAACATAGATTTTTGCCTTGAGACAAAATACTGATTTTTTTCTCTTAAGTTATTTTCATAATATCACATAATAAAAGCACTTTTTCATTGAGAATATTATGATGTGTTTTATTTTTTATTTGAGAGTCACTGTAATAAAAATATGTCATAAAATTACAATTTGAGTTACTACTCAGACACAAAATTAAAGAGTGTTTATACTGAATCTTTAAAGACTCCTCAAATCTTACTTGATAAGTTTATTTATAACAATGCTTCCTGGAGATGCACGACTTACTTTAGAAAGTTTGACTTGGATCATGATCTTTTGACCAAATGTGATGTGGTAATATTATATAAAGTAAAATTCTAACTTGCAACTTACTGCAGTTTTTTTCCCACTTCTGCGATGACTTGCCTTATTACAGTTTCTCCATATTATCAACTTATTGATATACTTTAGATAGTGGAATTGATTTTCAGCAGCCAATCTTTTCCCTCTTACATTATTTATTATTTCACAAATTCAGTTGAGATGAGAGAAAATCGTTTCACTTGACTTGTACATAGACTAACCTCATTTTCAGGACATTGTACAGTATAATTTTGCTATTTATTCAGATGACTAAAATATTGAGCATGAAGATTACTCATAATGAAAATGATGAATAAATAAAATCCCTATTTGATGGTACACAATATTGAAACTCTGGGTACATCTCATTATGAGAAACAAAATCTACCAATAGTCCAGACTAAAAATTTGATTAATTTCCAAGGTAAGAAATATAAAGTTAATTCCTGCTAACACTAACACAGAAAATGTGAATAAAGGTTTTCAAAAACTTTTTTAATAAAAGAAGCATTTCTGTAGTTAAGGTGATTAAGAAGAAATGAGGTAAATGAGAACAAACTTTATGAATCAGGAGAAAAATAATCATTTGTAAAAAAAAAATCTTCAAATGCAGTCATCTTATGCTAAACTCTGCTCATATTTTTGTTCAGTAAACAAGCAATATTATATGCAAATTGTTATGTAGTTAACATTTTTGGAAATTTAATTATAATGAAAAGAGTTTGGGGTTGTTTTGAAAGACATAAATTGAGTCTTTATTCAAATACCAACTACATGATTGTAGGCATGGCATATGTTCTAGATCATGGATTTTCATCTGCAAATTGGGGAAGCTAATTTCTTTTTAAGATTATGTCCCAGTACATTATTGCTTATTGTATATATTTTGCAGTATTGCCTAATTCCTTGTGCCTGAGTTTATTGTATAAATTACTGAGGGCCAAAATGAAGTTGTAAACCAACATTGAAAAAAGAAGCACACTAAAATCAAATAGTAGGCTGAAAAATAACTGGTTTAAATTTCATCCAGATGTGTCTGCTCATATGTCATTCAAAATCTTCAGCCAATTATTATTTACATTTAAAAAATGCAAATGATATCTGCTAGTACATTGGGAGTTTTACTATTACAACATTTAATAATCTTCTGTGAAGGTAAAACAAAATTGGAATGTAAAATAAGAATATTAAGGCCTGTTTCACTCAAAAATCTATAGGAGTGACACTTTTGATCTTACCAAATCTTATGTTTTGGTCCCATTGAGGACTATCACAGATTTGAAATGATTTAGAAGCATCCTTGATCAATGAACTATTTACTGTGCACTTAAATATAGTAGCTACCATGGAGAAATGTACCAGAACTTATGGGATTTTTGTTATTGTTTGGTGTCTTCACTTGGGTGCCATCAAAAGTAGTGGCTGAGATGAGGTCTTAGGTGTGAGCTGGTTACTTATGAGGAAAACACAGAAAGTTAGAAAATGGAAATAGGGAAAATGCGATGGAGGGAAATCCAGTATAATGTTGCAATACATTGCATTTTCAAGGTGGCTGATTTACAGTACATGGACTCAATTCAAAAAATATGTTTCTCTTGAGAAACATAAACAGATGTTTATGTAAAAGATAGGAGACCAGATTACTTAGTTAGGGCCCACAAGGTCCTGTGTCTCAAATTATTGAGATTTCTTATAACAGAAATGATATTTCCATCTTGGTTCTTTTATATTACCTAAGAATATATCCTGGAGGTTACTGCATATTTGTATCAAGAAATTCTGCCTCATTTGTTTTTATATTCCTCCACGTATATGTAGCAGAGAATATTTAACAACTCCACTGCTGATGCACCTTTGAATTATTTCCAACGTCTTATGTTTACAAATGAAATCATGATAAATAGTCTTGATCATATGTCACTGTGAATTATTAACAGGTTGTATATGGGATATATTTCATGGTAATGTCAGGTAAAGGCATAAATGTATATGCAGTTTTTCAAGATGATGTCATAGTCCCCTTCACAAAGATTTTGTTATCTTGTATTCTCACCAACCATGTGCAAAAGTGCCTATTTTGGTATAATTTTACCCACAGGGTATGTTGTTAAACTTTTGAGGTTTTTTTTTTCTATTTTTATAGATGAGAAATGGCATCACAATGTTGTTTAAATTTGTATTTTATTCATTATTATTGAAGGAGGAAAATATTTATAATGTATATTGGGATTTTCCATGTGGAATGCTTATATATTGTGCCTGCTTTAAGATGGTTTTTGGTCCTTTATTTTTATTTTTTAACTTTTATTTTAAGTTCAGGGGTACATATGCAGATTTATTATATAGGTAAACTCATGTTACGGGAGTTTGTTGTACAGATTATTTTGTCATATAGGTATTTAGCCTTGTACCCATTAGTTATTTTTCCTGATCCTCTCCCTTATCCAACCCTCCACCCTCTGATAGGCTCCAGTGTTTGTTGTTCCCCTCTATATGTCCATGTGTTCTCATAATTTAGCTCCCAGTTATAATTGAGAACTTGTGATATTTTGTTTTCTGTTCTCGCATTAGTTTGCTAAGGATAATGGCCTCCAGCTCCATCCATGTTCCTGCAACGGACATGATTTCATTATTTTTTACAGCTACATAGTATTCCATTGTGTATGTGCCATATTTTCTTTATCCACTCTACCACTGATGGTCATTTAGGTTGATTCCATGTCTTTTCTATTGTGAATAGTGCTGCAATGAACATACACAAGCATGTGTCATTTTGGTAGAACAATTTGTTTTCTTTTGCATATATACTCAGTAATGAGATTGCTGGATCGAATCATATTTTTGTTTTAATTTCTTTGAGAAATCTCCAAACTGTTTTCCACAGTGAATAAACTAATTTATATTCCCCTCAACAGTGTACAAGCATTCCCTTTTCTCTGCAATCTCACCAACATCTGCTTTTATCTTTTTAAAAATAGCCATTTTGACTGGTATGAGATCATATTTCATAGTGGTTTTAATTTGAATGATCAGTGATGATGAGCTTTGCTTCATATGCTTTTTGGCTCTATGTATGTCTTATTTTGAAAAGTGTCTGTTTTGCTCACTTTTAATGGGGTTTTATTTGTTTTTCCTGCAAAACTGTTTAAATTCCTTATGATGCTGGATATTAGACTTCTGTTAGATGCATAGTTGTTTGAAAAGATTTTCTCCCATTCTGTAGGTTCTCTGTTTACTTTCTTGACAGTTTATTTTGCTGTGCAAAAGTTCTTTAATTAGATCCCATTTGTCGATTTTTGTTTTTGTTGCAATTGCTTTTGGCATCTTTGTCATGAAATATTTGTCCATTCCTATGTCCTGAATGGTATTGCCTAGGTTATCTTCCACGGTTTTTATAGTTTGGGTTTTACATTTAAGTCCTTAACTCATCTTTAGCTTTTTTTTGTATATGATATAAGAAGGAGGTTCAGTTTCATTCTTCTGCATGTGGCTAGCCAGTTAACCCAGCAGTATTTATTAAATAGGGAGTCCTTTCCCATTGCTTGTTTATGTCAGCTTTAGCAGAGATCAGATAGTTGTAAGCGTTGCAGCCTTATTTCTGGGGTCTATGTTCTGTTCCATTGGTCTATGTGTCTGTTTTTGTATCAGTAGTATGTATGCTGTTTTGATTGTTGTAGAACTGTAGTATAGCATGAAGTTGGGTAGCATGATGCTTATAACTTTGTTCTTTTTGCTTAGGATTGCCTTGTCTACTGGGGCTCTTTTTTTGGTTCCATATGAATTTTAAAATAGTTTTTCCTAGTTCTGTGAAGAATGTCAATGACACTATAATAGGAATAGCATTTAATTTATGAATTGTTTTGAGCAGTATGGCCACTTTAATGATATTGATTCTTCCTATCCATAAGCACAGACTGTTTTTCTATTTGTGTCATCTCTGATTTCTTTAAGCAGCGTTTTTCAGTTCTCCTTGTAGAGATTTTTCACCTCCCTCATTAGCTGTATTCCTAGGTGTTTTATTCTTTTTGTGGCAATTGTGAATGGGTTGTGTTCCTGGTTTGGCTCTAAGCTTGGTGTTGTTGGTGTACAGGACACTAGTGATTTTTATATATTAATTTTGTATCCTGAGACTTTGCTAAAGTTGTGTATCAGCTTAAGAAGCTTTGGGCCAAGACTGTGGGGTTTTCCAGATATAGGATAATGTTGTCTGCAAACAGGGTTGGTTTGACTTCCTGTCTTCCTATTTGCATGCCTGTTCCTTCTTTCTCTTGTCTGATTCCTCTAGCCCGGTCTTCTAATACTATGTTGAATAGGAGTAGTGAGAGAGGGCATTCTTTGTCTTGTGCCAGTTTTCAAGAAGAATGCTTTCAGCTTTTGCCTGTTTGGTATGATGTTGGCTACAGGTTTGTTACAGATGGCTATTATTATTTTGAGGTATGTTCCCTCAATACTTAGTGTATTGAGGGTTTTTTATATGAAGGAGCATTGAATCTTACGGAAAGCCTTTTCTGTATCTATTGAGATAATCATGGGGTTTTCGTCTTTAGTTCCATTTATGTGATGAATCACATTTACTGATTTGCATATGTTGAACCAACCTTGCATCCCAGGGATAAAGCCTACTTGATCGTGGTGGATTCACTTTTTGATGTGCTGCTGGATTCAGTTTGCCAGTGATCTTTTGAAGATTTTTGCATGGATGTTCATCAAGGATAATGGACTGAAGTTTTCTTGTTTCTGTTGTGTCTCTGTAAGGCTTTTATATTACGATGATACTGGCCTCAGAGAATAAGCAGTGTATATGAGGAGTTAGAAAGGAGTTCTTTCTCCTCAAGTTTTGGAATAGTTTCTGTAGGAACGATAGTACTTCTTCTTTGCACATCTGGTAGAATTTGGCTGTGAATCTCTCTGGTCCTGGGCTTTTTTTAGTTGGTAGGCTATTTATTACTTATTCAATTTTAGAGTTTATTATTGGTCTGTTCAGAGATTCAATTTATTCCCTGCTCAGTCTCATGAAGCTATATGTGTCAAGGAATTTATCCATTTCTTCTAGATTTTCTAGTTTATGTGCATAGATATGTTCATACTATTCTCTTCTTGTTATTTTCATTTCTGTGGGGTCAGTTGTTACATCTCCTTTCCCCTTTGTCATTTCTACTTGGGTTTATTTGTACCTTCTCTCGTTCCTTTTTTATAAGTCTAGTTAGTGGTCTACTTGATTACTTTTTTCACAAAAACAACTCTTGGATTTGTTGATCTTTTGAATGGCTTTTTGTGTCTCAATCTCCTTCACTTCAGCCCTGATTTTGAATATTTCATGTCTTATGCTAGATTTGGGGTTGGTTTTCTCTTCGTTCCCTAGTTCTTTTATTTGTGATGTTAGGTTATTAAATTGAGATCTTTCTGACCTTTGGATGTGGGCATTTAGTGCTATAAATTTCCCACTTAACAATGCCTTAGCTGTGTCTCACAGATTCTGGTACATTGCATATTTGTTCTCATTAGTTTCAAAGAACTTCTCGATTTCTGCCTTAATTTCATTATTTACCCAAAAATCATTTGGGGATAGGTTATTCAATTTCTAGTAGTCGCCTGGTTTTAAGCAAATTTCTTAGTCTTGATTTCTAATTTGATTATGCTATTGTCCAAGAGACTGGTTGTTATGATTTCAGTTCTTTTGCATTTACTGAGGAGTGTTTTATGCTGGATTATGTGATCTGTTTTAGAGTATGTGTCATGTGATGATGAGAATAATGTATATTCTGTTATATGGGCATGCAGAATTCCATATATGTCTATCAGATCCACTGACCCAATGCTGGGTTCAGGTCCTGAATATCTTTGTCAACTTTTTTGCCTTGATGATTTGTCCAATATTGTCAGTGGGGTGCTGAAGTCTCCCACTATTGTTGTGTGGGAGTCTAAGTTTCTTTGAAGGTCTGTAAGAACTTGCCTTATGAATGTGGGTATTCCTGTCTTGGGTGAATATATATTTAGGATAGTTAGGTCTTCTTGTTGAATTGAATCCTTTACCATTATGTAATGCCCTTCTTTGTCTTCTTTGATCTTTGTTAAAGTCTGTTTCATCTGAAATTAGGATTACAAAGCCTCCTTTTGCTGTTTTCCATTTGCTTGGTAGATTTTTCTTCATCCCTTTATTTTGAGCCTATGGGTGTAATTGCATGTGAGGTGGGTCTCTTGAAGACAGCATAACAATGGGTCTTGGTTCTTTATCTAGCTTGCCACCCTGTGCCTTTTAATTGAGGGTATTTAGCCCATTTACATACAAGATTAGTATTAATATGTGTGGTTTTGATCCTATTATCATGCTGTTACCTGATTATTATGCCGACTTCTTTATGTGGTTGCTTTTTAGTGTCACTGGCCTGTGTACTTAAGTGTGTTTTTGTAGTGGCTCCTGATGGTCTTTCCTTCCCATATTTAGTGCTTCCTTTGGCAACTCTTGAAAATAAGGTCTGGTAATAAAAAATTCCCTCAGTATTTGTTTGTCTGAAAAGGATTTTATTTCTCCTTTGCTTATGAAGTTTAGTTTGGCCAAATATTAAATTATGGTTAGAACTTCTTTTCTTTAATAATGTTGAATATTGACTCCTAATATTTTCTGGTTTATAGGGCTTCTGCTGAGACATCTACTGTTAGCCTGATGGGGCTCCCTTTGTAGGTGAACTGTGCTTTCTCTCTGGCTGTCTTTAACATTTTTTTTCATCCATTTCTACCTTTGAGAATCTTATTTTCATGTGTCTTCCTGTGTAGTATCTTGCAAAATTTATCTCTGTTTTCTGAATTTGAATATTGGCCTGTCTAGGTTGGGGAGGTTCTCATGGATGATATCCTGAAATATGATTGTCAAGTTGCTCACATTCTTCTTATCTATTTCAGAGACACCAATGATTCATAGGTTTGGTCTCCTTACATAATTCCATATTTCTAAGAGATTTTGTTCATTCCTTTTAACTCTTTTTTCTCTATTCTTGTCTGACTGTTTTATTTTAGAAAGCCAGTCTTCAGGCTCTGAGATTCTTTCTTCTGCTTGGTCTATTCTGCTATTGATACTTATGATTACATTATGAAACTCTTGTACTGGGTTTTTCAGATCTATCATATCGGCTAAATCCTTTTCTATACCGGCTATTGTGTCTGTCAGCTTCTGAATAATTTTATTGTCATTCTTAGCTTCCTTGAATTAGGTTTCAATGTATTCTTGCATCTCAATGATCTTCATTTCTATCCATATTTTGAATTATATTTCTGTCATTTCAGCCATATCAGCCCATTCAGAATGCTTGCTGGAGAGGTAATGTGGTCATTTGGAGGAAAGAAGGCATTCTGACTTTTTGAGTTGTCAGGGCTCTTGCACTGGTTCTTTCTCATCTTTGTGGGCTGGTATTCCTTGAATCCATGAAGTTGCTGACCTTTGGGGAGTTTTTTTTCTTTTATCCTATTTTATGACTTTGAGGATTTGATTGTGGTATAAGGTGAATTCAACTGCCTGGTTTCATTTATGAAAGATTTTAGTGGGGCAACACTTAGTTCCCAACTCTTGGAATGCATGCTCTAATTCTGTGGTACTTGTATCAGGCCATGACTTTGTTCTCTGGCTCCTTGACATTAGGAATCCACCCCACTGGGGCAACTAAAGTACTCCCATACCACTGGTCACTACACTTCAATGGGTGGTGTCAGCACCAAAGCAGCATCCATGCTCATTCACACATGCCAGCAGCAGTGGCAGGGGAAGTGTGGTTGGGTGCAGACTCATTTGCTGCAGCAGGGTGCAGGCATTCACTACAGTGGTAGAGGCAACATGGTCCAGTGGGGCAGGAGACCCCTGCTGGCTACTATGCATATGGTCCAGTTGGTGGTGCTGTTGGCATGGGAGGGATGTTCATGAGTGCAAGTGTGTGTGCATTCTTTGTGTGCTGCAGGTGGGGGTGGTCTCTCAGGGGAGGGGAGGGTTCACTGTTCTCTGTGCCTAGTTTCACTCCTGAGGCAGCGTTGGCACATGGGCAAGGTGCTGGCAAGGGTAGGGCTGGCTGCTTCTGTGCCCCTCAAGGCTCTGACTTCAATGGTGATTGGTGGTGGCAGGGGGCAGACTGCATTTCTACCACAGCAGTGGCAGGGCAGGGTGCATGAATATATGTGTGCTGGAGGGGCAAGGAAGGCAAAACTTACTTGGGCACACATGCACTGGCAAAGTGATTTGGGAGGTTGCTGTGGACCTAGGGGAAGCTGCAGTGTGGTGATGGAGTGGGCAGGTTGATGCGCGGTTGGAGGCTCCATCACTGGTGCTTTATACCCGTCAGGCATAGTCTGCCAGCTCAGGAGTTATGATACGGGCCCCCAAGGCACCCAAGGCTTCCCTGCAAGCAGGGGCTGTCAGGGTGGGCCCCCAAGAGAAGCGAGCAGACCAAGTGGTGCTCAGGTCAAATCAGCCCCATCTATGGGCAAGATCACCCTGCAGAATTCTGGTCCAAAAATTCCCCTAGGGCTAAAATGTCCTATGGGGTCAAGTAAAGCCTAGGGGGATGGCTGTCCCTGGCTGTGCTCCAACTATAGGGCTCCAACTCAGCTGGCTTACTACCTCTATTATTTCTATAAGCAGCTCTCCCTGCCAACTTGTGTCTGTGGTGGCTGATGGGTCTCCTCCTGCCAGAGTTCCAGGGGCCTGTGCCAAGAAGGGCTTGCTCCTTACTAGTTCAACTCACTCATTCCCTTGAAGTTGCTGGGGACCAGGAATGAATCCCAATGCATAGTAGCCTCATGCAGGGTTCCCATTGTCCTCCCCCTTCAGCCCAGCTTCTTGTGTCTTTCCTCCATCCACTCTCAGTGCCTTCCTTCTGAAGATCTGTTAGGAGCACGCCAGTCATCTTAGATGGAACATGCAGCTAGGTGTTCCATCTGGCTGCATCTAGTCAGCCATCTTGCCCTGACTCTATTTTTTTGTTGAGACAGAGTCTCACTCTGGCACCCACGCTGGAGTGCAATGGTGCAATCTTGGTTCAACTGCAACCACCACTCCTGGGCTTAAGTGATCCTCCTCCCTCAACTTCCTGAGTAGCCTGGACTTCAGGCATATGCCACCATGCCTGGCTAATTTTAATAGTTTTAGTAGTGGCAGGGTTTCGCCATGTTTCCCAGGCTGTTCTTGGACTCCTCAGCTCAAGCAATCTGCTTTCCTTGGCCCCAAATGCTGGGATTATAGGCACAAGCCACAACACCCAGCTTTTTAATTTTCAGAATTTCCTTGCTTATTAGGCATTGTAAGACTTTGAGATATGTTGTAATTTTTCCCCAGGCTGTCATTTGACTTCTGAATTTGTACACAAATGTGTGTGTGTGTGAGTTTTAAAATTTTGCCATTTACACAGATATTTTCTTCCTCTTTCTCTGAACTTTATATAATCAAATTGCTCAAACTTTTATTTTATTGCTTCTGAATTATGTTATATTTAGAATAATTTTATCCACTCTGAATTTATAATAATCTATTCATAGTTTATTTATTTTAAGACTGAATGGTCTCAATATTTTAAAATGTCTAATTCTGATCCAACTGATTTTATTCCACAGTGTGGTGGTGGGAGAACACATCTATTTTAATTTTTGTTCATTGTGTCTGTTCAGGTGACACAATGACATTTATTAGAAGTTTTGTCTTTTCTGAACTGTTTTACAAGTTTGTTTTATTCCATAAAAGTTCTATAACTTTTTGTGAATATTTTTGATTGCCTACTTTTTGCCGTTGCTTAGTTGACCCATTCATGTACCAATATAACACTTTTAGTTAGAAAGATTTTAGTGTTATTTATAATCTGGCATTATTCTAACCACCACATGCTCTCATAGTTGCGATTTCACTGTCTATTCTTGACAATTTACACTTTCATTCGTATTTTGATGTCAATATAGTTTAATGCCAGGACACAACTTACTTTGTTATAGGCCACTGGCTTCTTTCCCATTCCTTACCCCAAACTACTACCTGAAGCTTTTGCAAATACTACTCCTCTGCATGGAATGCTCTTCCCAGATATTCTGCATGGCTTCTTTCCTCGCCTTACTAATGTCCCTGAGCAACTGTTATCCCTTTAAAGAGTCTATCAGTGAGCTCACGTTTTATGTCACCTATCTAAAATGGCACCACCCTCTGCCCTACTCATCATACTCTATCCCTCAAACAAATTTGTTCTTAAAGGATTATCATTTGTTACGGCCATGGAGATGCATTGCTCAGGTATTCCTTCAATAAATAATTTGATTCAGCTTGCAGGAGTGAAGTTAATGGACAGCCATCAGCTGTACCACCTTCAGTACCAGCCTCAGCTTTTTAGCCAAAATTCAAATTTTTCCTATGCAGACCTCAGCCAACAACTACAAGTCCTGGGAATAATACAACGAAGTCATTTCTGTCCAAGTGGGGCCTCCTCTAATTGACAATCTTCGCTCCAAAGATCCATATTTGGTTGGTAAAATCCTTGTCAGATCTGCATCATAGTCTGAGGTTCTCCCAGCTCAATCTTGCTTTCTCCCTATTTTTTTTGTCACAGAGATCAGATCCGCTGAAAGCTTTTTGTCTAAAAGCTTCCCTGCCCAATTGTGCTACCTGTCTCCTTTATTTTTCACAGGTAGTATCCTCCAAACTCACTGAAATCCTAACAATCTCAGGGACTGCTTTCTGGAGGGCCCAAGTGATAGAGTACTATTTTACATTTTGTTTATTTGCTTACTGTGTCTCTTCACTAGAATACAAACTTAGAGCAAATTAAAAAAAAAAAAAAGTCTTGAGTGCCTAGAATATTGTCTGACATATAGTAAATATTCAACATAATGCATTATATGTCACTTGGTGTACGTACAACCAAGACTGTTTCTAAATATTAAAAAAACTTAATTGAGGAATGTGCAAGTTATTGTCCTGTTTCCCCATTTCTAACTTAATTTACCACACGATTAGAGAATTATTCTGAGAACTCAAGAAACTCTGACTAACTGAGTTGGCCTGGAAAATATAGAAAAGCATAATAATTTATTATTGTCTTAAGCTTTATTAGTCATTCATAAACCTAAATCCTTTGAGCAGGGTAAGCAAAAATTAAGATGGCAATATAATAACTCTCTTTTTTCATTATAGACAGACCTCTGACATCCTCCCTGGTAGGAACAAGATGAGAAAGCAAATAAAGAATATGAGAAGTATTTCACCCTTCTATTGATTTTCTGGTTTCAGCTTCACACTAACTTACCACTGAATGCATATCTAAAAAAGAAGCTGCCTGTGAAAGGATTAGAAATGAATCAAGCAGAAGACAAATGAGAACACATTAGGAGTTATATAAAAATCAATTTTTTAAATGTTAAACATAGATATATCTTCTCTAATTTCAACCACATAATGTGTATTGTCCCACTGACCACAAAATATACATAGCTGAATATTGTGCTTGCCTAAGTCATCATACGTTACACTAAATCCTTCTTCTATTATATAAGAATACTAAAAATATATGCACTGCTAAGATCAAATTATGAAATATATATCAAACATAATTCCTAAGAGTCTGCATTGCTTGTAAACTTAGACTTACTAAGTTTGAAAGCTATAAAAGTTAATGATGTAAAAACCCTTTGCACCAGAATCCTAATTTTAGAGCTTATACCAGGGTTATGCATTTTGTAATATGCAAAATAAAGTTGAATGTAAGAACTCAAATGAATAAATAGAAAATAAAATTATAATAACTTAAATGTTAATAGGATGCTGGTTAAATGAACTATAATGTATCTCTCCAATGTCATACACAAATAGGTGTGTCAATACCTAGGTAGCAGTATTATAATTGTTCCACAAGTTAAAAAATTAAATTGAACAAATGCATGAGCAATATGAAAATATTTGTAAATCAAAGTATGTAATATTCATTTGAAAATGAATATTTGTAAATGAAAATATTTGTAAATAAGTTTACTTTTATTACCTCTTAACTTTTACTTAACACAATGAGATAGGTTCTATTATCATTTCTATTATATGAAGGAAGAAACTGAGGCACAAAGAGGGGTAGAAATATTTGAAAAGTTATTTGAATATGTCTAGCATATGTACATGTTCTCTTTAAGTCAAACAACTAAAAGGAAATAAGTATGGTGTGCTGGATATTCAATATGAGTTATTTTCTATGAGGAAGAAACAATTTTTTCCAAAAATCCTAGGAAGAGATTAAATACATCAATCTTCTAGAAAAATGGTAAGTTATAGACAAAAATTATAAGTTTATCAATTTACATGACTGTTGTGTGAAAAAGTAATATTAAATTAGAATATCTTCAGCTTGCTTAATAATGGTCAGCAGATATTATGACACATCGTTTTCTATTGATGTTTATGCATTCATAATTTCTGTTCTCTCTAAAATATAACTCTGGCCCTCGAGGCAGACACAGAGTTTCTGAATAAAAATAAGCATAACTTCTCCCCTAGGGAAAGAATACTGTGGATCCAAATATATGACAGGAAATCTAGCAGTACATTATAATATATTTTTAAGAGGAATGCAGGATTTGGCTAAACGACTCTCAGTAAAACTTACCCCTAGGATCTCTTTTCTTTCTTTTTCTTACCTCATTGCTCTAGCTAGTATTCCCTGTATTCTGTTGAATAGGAGTGGTAAAAGTGGGTATCCTTGTCTTGTTCCAGTTCTTAGGGGGAATGCTTTCAACTTTCCCCAGTTCAATATGATGCTGGCTGTTGTTTTTTTTCTGAATTTTATTGAATGCTTTTTTTTCTGCATCTATTGTTATGATAATATGGTTTTTGTTTTTAGATCTGTTTATGTGGTGTATCACATTTATTGATTTGTGTATGTTGAACCATCCTTGCATCCCTGGAATAAAACCCACTTGATTGTAGTGTGTTAGCTTTTTAATGTGCTCTTGGATTCAGTTGCTAGTTTTGTTGAGGATCTTTGCATTTATGTTAATCAGTGATATGGGTCTGTTGTTTTCTTATTTTGTCACATCCTTGCCTGACTTTGATACCAGGGTGAGACTAGTTTCATAGAATGAGTTAAGGAGGATTTCCTTCTCAATTATTTGGAACAGTTTCAGTAGGACTGGTACTAGTTTTTCTTTGTATGTATTGTAGAATTTATGTGTTATTCCATCTGGTCCCAGGGCTTTTTTTATTGAGAGATTTTTTATTACTAATGCAAATTAGAAAAGAGGAAGTCAAATTATCTTTGTTCACTGATGATACAATCTTATACCTAGAAAGCCCTAAAAAATCCCTCAAAAAGACTCCTAGATTTGGTAAATGACCACAATAAAGGATACAAAATCAAGGTACAAAAATCAGTAGCATTTTTATATACCAATAACTTTTAAGCTAAGAACCAAATCAATAACTCTATCCCATTTACAACAGCTACAAAAAATAAGTAGCAACACATTTAATCAAGGAGATGAAAGATCTCTACAAGGGGAACTTCAAAACACTGATGAAAAAAATCATAGATGACACAAACAAATGGAAAAAATTACCATGCTCATGGATTGGAAAAACCAATATCATTAAAATGACTGTACTGCCCAAAGCAATCTACAGATTCAATGCAATTTCTATCACATTACCAATGTCATTTTTCACAGAATTAGAAAAAGCAATCCTGAAATTCATATGGAACTAAAAACAGCCCAAACAGCTAAAGCAATTCTAAGCAAAAAGAACAGAGGTGGAGGCATCATATTACCTGACTTCAAGTTACACTACAAGGTCGTTCATGTAGTCCCAGCTGCTTGGTAAGCTAAGGTGGGAGGATCACCTGAGCCCAGGAAGTGGAGGCTGCAGTGAGCCATGATCTTGCCACTGTACTGCATGAGCAGTTACAGAGCAAAACCCTGTCTCAAAACAAAAGAAAACAAAACAAAAATGAAAACAAAAAACTATCAGTTGATTCACCAATCCCACTACCGAGTATCTACCCAAGGAAAAGAAACAATTATATCAAAAAGACAGCTGCACTCCTATGTTTATGGGCAACACTATTCACAATATACACATACCACATATGTGTATATACACCATATATACATACACCATAGATATGTACCATATATATACACACGCACACCATATACCCACCATATATATACCATGTGTAGTTATATATACAGCATATATATACCATGTGTAGGTATATACACAGCATACATATACCATGTGTAGGTATATATACAGCATACATATACCATGTGTAGGTTTATATACGCCATATATATACCATGTGTAGGTATATATGTGCCATATATATACCATGTGTAGGTATATATGTGCCATATATATACCATGTGTAGGTATATATGCGCCATATATATACCATGTGTAGGTATATATGTGCCATATATATACCATGTGTAGGTATATATGCGCCATATATATACCATGTGTAGGTATATATGTGCCATATATATACCATGTGTAGGTATATATGCGCCATATATATACCATGTGTAGGTATATATACAGCATATGTGTATATATATATACACACACACACACACACCATGTATAGGTATATATACACCACATATACCATGTATAGTTATATATACACCCTATATATATCATGTATAGGAGGTATATATACACCATATATAAGCCACATATGTATATATGCACCAAAGAATGCAACTCATCCATTAAAAAGAATGAAATCATGTCTTTTGCAACAACATGGATGGAACTGGAGGTCATTGTCCTGAGTGAAATAACTCAGAAACAGAAACTCAAGTACTATATGCTCTCACTTATAAATGGGAGACTAAAAATGGGTATACATGGACATACAGAGTGAAAGAATAGACATTGGAGACATCAAAAGTTGCCAGTGGGTTGAGGGTTGAAAAATTACCTGTGGGGTACAATATTCATACTCAGGAGATAGTTACATCAAAAATCAGGACCTCACCACTGTACAATATATCCCTGTAACAAAACTGCACTCATATTCTGTAAATCTGTAAACAACAACAGCAAAAAACAAAAACAGTAACTTACCCCAGGAACAATCCTTCCATCCCCTTCCCATCACCTTCTCTTCCTCTTTTTTTCTCTCTCTTTCTCTCTCTCCCTTTCTGTTATTTTTCTCTCTTTCTTATTAATTTTTGGCTTATAGACCGAAGTTTAGCTTTTTTGCCTACCCACTCCAGCAAGGCAAGGAAATTCTGACTTACTGGGCTTACATGTGCCACCAGTCTTGATTTTAAAGAGTTCTCTTTCTTTCCTTTTTGGATCAGATGAACTCACTTCCGATACAGAAGTCCATGGAAAGCTAGAAGCGGTATGAATAAGGAGTTGTTTGAGAACTGTTTTAAGAACATCAAATAGATCCTCTCCAAATCAACATAGCTTCAAATGGCTACATTCTGGAGTTTTTTGAGCCATTTGTATTCATTGTTCATGTTCTACTCTCTTCATATACTGCAGATCTCAATAGCATACTAATAAAAACCATGGATTTCTTCAAATGTTCCAGTTATTGGAAGGGAAAAACAAAATCTTTTGTTTATTATGAGAAAATGAAGTATAAAATATTAAACAAGGTTTTACAGCATTGCTTCAAAAGAAGGCATCAAAAACAAGGAAGGAATCTTACACAGAGAGGAACCTCTCTTTGGTCCAGGGATGCTTTATCCAGATGGTGTGTGAAAACAGTATCTTGAGTCAATAAGAAAACTGAAATGAAACTATGGGCTTTGATTCACTGATTAATTACACTGAAGTCGTGCTTCCAAAGGCTACATTTAACTAAAGAGGGTGAAGTCATCTCCGATGGCGAAGTCATGCACTGGGGCAATGTCATCTGACACAATGCCATCTCTAATGGCAAGGCCCTATGCCAGGTGACATTATCTAAGATGCCGGAGTGAGGTATCATTTCCAAAGGGGACTCAAGTTGACGTAAGTCTTGTTTTTACAGACATATAGTATTATAATGAGGCTAATGCTGGAGCTCCAGCATTAGTTTGTAGGCAGTCCTTCTAATTTGGCCAGTTACTAGGGGCTGTTTGCCTCAGTAATTAATTTGATTGGTGATGTGAAAGATGGCAAGGTCTTTGGATCATAGGGCTTGTATTAGCCAAACCAGGTGGCATAAGGGCCTCAGAATTTGCAGTGTTTGGTTGAAACAGCAGTTTGTTTGGAAGGTTTAGGCTTATGGATTGCAAATCAATAAAAGCACCCTGAACAAGAGTAACAAGATCAATAGTCAACACAATCGTGTGCAGCTGTACTTGGCAGGGTTTTGCTGTCTGATGTTGGTTTTTCTCTGGCATGTAGTATAATCAAGGAAGCATCTGGTTTCATCAGTATGGGATATAGCGTTGATTTCATTATTATTTCCAAATATATATTTTTTCTTTTACTGAGTAGTGTTTTCTATCTTTTTTTTTTTTGTCGTTGTCAAGACTGTCTGTAAAAGTGGCCTGGTAGTAATAATTTTAATTTCCTGGAGGGGTTTAGAGGGAGAGCCTGAATTAATTATCTACTTTTATAACCTAAACATTAAGGAGGATTGATGTGTGGTGGAAGTTTAGAGTCTCAAATAAGATGGACAGCTGCCCGGCCTGTGGGATAAGCCACGGTCAATGGGTCCTAGGAGAATATTCACCCTCAATCTGTCCTCCAGCTCCTGCATGTTAGCGGCAAAATGGGAAATTTATAAAGCTGTCACTTCAGACATTTAGGTACTGGGAAATAGGTTAGGTCACAGAGTTGTGCTCAGGTGGTGGAAACTTGGTGAGGACTCAGAACAGAGTTGCACATTTTAGGATGGAAAGCGATGGCAAAACTAAAACAAACAGCATATAGTGGCAGTGGTCAGAGCTCCAGGACCAGCATGCCAGCAGGCAGCAGTGTCTCCCTAGGCTGCCTCCCCATTTGGTGAACCTAATTGGTAAGCCAAGGGCAGTCTAGTGGCCTGTCTGTCTATCTGGGGCCAAACTACCCTGTTCACCGTGCCACTTGTTTTAACCATATTACTCTGGGTGAGGTATGATAAGGCCAGTCACAGATCTAAAGAGAGAAAGTGGAAAGAGTTTTACAGATATGTTATAGTCACATTTCCCTGGAGAGAAAAAAGCAGGTTTGGCCGGGCTACTTAGAGGACGAACCTGGGTCAGGCACAAGGATGACGGAAAGAGGGGAACTGTGGGCAAGTGCCTTTATGGTGGTTTCTGCTGTAATGAAAGGGTGAGATAGGGTAAGCAGGTTTAAGGTGGGAAGATTTGAATAATTGCAGCCAGGCACTCGTGATTAGGACAGACGTATAGATGCCTGGAGCCTGAAAACTTGATAAGAGTGGTGGTTCGGGGTGTGGACTCAATCAGCTCCTTGAAAAGTAGAACCGAGCATCCCCTACCCAGGGTCTTAAAACTGGATCAATATAGCATTTTTAAAAGCCGTATTAAAGGTTGTCATTTCTAAATTTGACTTTCCTCAACACTTGTCTTGCCCCTCTTTGAAATACTAGATATTTGTAGATCTGACATTTCTCCTAAATTTATGGTTTGTGTTAAATTTATTTTCTTTTTCTGTGACTAAGTGATTTCAACTTGCACATCCAGATCCTTTTCTATTTTAAGTTGTTTATCAATCCCAGATTGAAAAAGCAAACCAGCCCTACTTTAAGTATGGTCCACAGATTGCTAGACTTCACATAGTATATGTTACCAATCCACAATGAAGAAGCATGGAAGTGAGTGTATTTCTCAGAGTGATTTTATGTCTGTTGCAATATATAATAATAAAAAACCTGGCTTGTATTCTGTACATATATTTATTAATTTTACATTTCTATTAATTCATCTTTATAGTATCAAAAATACTGCCCTATCAGATCATTGTGTGGTTTTCTCCTCCTTCACTTATGTTTCTGTGTAACTTTCTTCTCCACTCTGTTTCAGGGTGTTACTTCTACTTTTCAAGACTAATTTTCCATAGATGTCTACTAACGTCTTGTCATCTTTCCTCTTGTGGGATAGTTATTATTTGTTTTTACATATCTTTTATTTCTTAATTGAATTTTTTCTTCTCCCCTGGCTTCTTCCATTCTCATTTAAATTCTCTCTCTCTCACTTCCCCTCCACCCCCCCACTTTCCAACACAAGACTGGTTACCATTCTATTTGTCTGACACTTCCTCTCTGCTTCCTCCCTTCAGACTGGACTGTTGCACATTTGATGGCATTATTAATACAGGGATTAAATAAGGAGAATAATAAGGCAATAGCAAGGAGAACAGTGTAAGGATTAGTTTAAAATAAAAATGTCTGAACTGAGAAAAATAAAAAGCTGCGGTAAAACTAATGATAACAATTGCAGCTATATCTAGAACTTGGCTATAAAGCCCATATAATAATACAAACCTCAGAAATATATATACCAGTCAAGGAAGCATCACTGATACTCATTCATTTATTTCTAAGCTGCTATGATTATTTTCAGGAATATTAGAGAACAGTTAATATTATTCTGAAGAAATAGGCAGTATAACTGTATTAGACTGTTTTCACACTGCTGATAAAGACATATATGAAACTGGGTAATTTATAAAGAAAAAGAGGTTTAATATACTCATAGTTCCACATGGTGGGGGCAGCCTCAAAAGGCACATCTTGCATGGTGGCAGGCAAGAGAGAGAATGAGAGCCAAGTGAAAGGAGTTTCCCGTTATAAAACCATCAGATCTTATGAGACTTATTCACTACCAAGAGAACAGTATGGTGGAAGATGACACCATGATTCAGTTATCTCTCACTGGGTCTCTCCCACAACATGTGGGAATTATGGGAGCTACAATTCAAGATGAAATTTGGGTAGGGACACAGCCAAACTATATCAATAACCATATGTTATTTAATGGAATTTGCATTTTACCACTACTATGTCTAGCACTGGGCCGCTGGATTACCTAATACCTTCTGAAGCCTTCTGCAAAATGTAACTTAAATGCCATCTCTTCCAAGGAAACTCTAGTTGTTATCAATTATTGATTACCTCAGTTTTCTAAAATTTCATATTGTTTAAGACTTTTTAAATACTTTGAAATATACATTTTTAAAAATTTTTGAGAAGCGGGGCCTTACTATGCTGCCCAGGTAGGTCTGGAACTCCTGGCCTCAAGTATTCCTCCTGTCTCAGCCTCCAGATTATCTGGAATTACATGTTTGCACCATTGTACCCAGCATAATATTTTTTTAACTTTATATATAACTGATTAATTTTGTATTGCTTCTACTATAGAAAGCAATTCTGTCATCACTAAGTTTGTCATTGTGGCATAGTTGTATAAATGTATAAAAGACCTGATGCTGTGGTAAGATATTCAGATGATATTTACAAATGTTTAGATAAAAATATTTGAATAGCTGTGTAATAATTACTGAAATATTTAGTTTCATAAAAGGAAGTGATATGAAGTGATTATATTGAAACATAAATGAAATTTTATTAGTAATTAGTGAATATCATAAGCTTTATTGAAGATACACGACAACACATTATTTCCTTGATTTAAAAAAACTTCTCTCCAGGTCTATATCTATTTTTATTTTTTTATTTTTATTTTTTTTTGAGATGGAGCCTTGCCCTGTTCCCCAGGTTGGAGTGCAATGGCGCGATCTTGGCTCACTGCAACCTCCGCCTCCAGGGTTCAAGCGATTCTCCCACCTCAGCCTCCCGAGTAGCTGGGATTACAGACGCCTGCCACCATGGCCACCTAATTTTTTGTGTGTGTGTGTGTTTAGTAGAGATGGGATTTCGCCCTGTTGGCCAGGCTGGTCTCGAACTCCTAACCTCATGATCCACCCACCTCGGCCTCCCAAAGTGCTGGGATTACAGGCGTGAGCCACCGTGCCGGGCCGTCTATGTCTATTTTTAAATTTATATCTACAATTTCTTCTTGTGTTTTTTTCTCCCATTTTCTTGTTTTTGTCTTTAACCACTTTGCCTTTATTTCTACTTTTTATTTCTTTTTTTCTGTAGTCAACATTTTTTCTTTTTTTACATATTTCGTATTGTTCTTTCATCAGCTCATCATTATAGAAAATAAAGAGCCAATGTTTTTCCAAGATAAGTATTATTCTCAATGCAATGTGTCCCTCATTTCTTCACTAAGCACACTCCAACATTTTCATTAAAGTTTCTTATTTTGTGTGTTCCTTTACATATATATTTGGCTTCTGGGCCAGTATTCCTCACAACCTTCAACAAAACCATTTGCTGATCTTGCCTTTGTGCAAGTAATATCTCCATTTTATTATAAATGCATAAAATTCATGGCCTATTCAATAGCCAAATGACACAGATGATATATTACAGTAATATAGTCTCCCTGATATAAGCATGAGTTAAATGACGACTTTTTGATCATCAGGAAAATGCACACTCTTAGAATTTACTCCAGAAATTGCAAAGAATGTCATCTAGATCTCTGCATTTTTGAAAGTAGAAGCTATTAACATTCTTTCTGATAATCATCTAATTTCTATAATTGGATTTGTGGCCTTTGAGGCATGAAGAAGGGATTGCGACAAATATATTTGTTTTAAAAATTCATGCTCTAAAGTTACTATTTGATTTGACTTTTTTCAAGGAATCATGTAATGATTTTCATTGAAACTGATTTTTTAAAAAGAGCTTTGGCTTTAACTACTGGGTTATATAAAATTTAAAGAATGAGAAGAATTTTCTTTTACAGTTTATATTTGCATGTTCTCTTTTACCCAAATTCACAATGCTATTGCTGCAAATTTCATTGTTCATCATTAGGGTTAATACTCTCGGAAAAGCAAGTCATATGTGTCTGCAGAAGGCATCTGGCACATGTTTCTAATACATAATATTCTTTCTGAATGAATAAATTAATACATTTGGAACTATATTATTGACTCTGATAAGCAATCAGAGCCATACTGCATAATTTCAAGACATGTGGCATTGAGTAAATTACCTCAATTTCTAATCCTCAATATATTCTGCTAAATGGGAATGAAAATAGTGCTTAGTTCACAGAGGCATTTTAAAGATTATTTGAGAAACTTTATATTAAAATTATTATCAAAATATCTGACATAAAATGAACTTTCAGTAAATATTAGTTTTTATTTGAAAGCAATTATAGAAATAATATAATATTTTTTCTACATTTTCACATTGGTTAGTACAATAGAAGAAATAATTCCTTAAACATAACTTAAAACATCAAGTAAGTGAGAAAGCTGGGATTCAAACCCACATTTATTTGACCCCAGAGGTAATAGTCATTAACAGCCATTAAAAAATATCAACACATTGGAATGAAATATAACAGACCAAGAAAATAAAATAGAAGACTTTGAGAGAGACAATCAACTATGCAATTATGTTCTTTAAATCCATTTTCCCATTTCCTGTATGAACCAACTATGTCAGCAATAACTTAATGAATCCTTAGAAAACCACGCTGATGTGCTCTAGGTAGCTTTAAAATAATCAGCTAAGAATACCATACATAATAAGAGAATAGATATAGGGATAGTAAACTGCCCACAAAGCAATCACTTCTGAACTATCCAAAGACTGGTAAAGCTGTAAATGATGATTCAAAAGAGAAACACGTAATCTATATTTGTTGCAATTTCTTACTGCTATGAGCTATGGTAAAATTAACTATACTGTGTAAAACTGCCCTTTCCTCAATTTATCAAGTTTAAATTGCTTAAGATCAAGCAAGTTATTCCTAATGATCTCTATATTTCACTTATTTCCCTTTCTTTACTGCAAAGGTGCCCAGGATCAAAAAGAGATACTAATGTTAGAGGAAACAGAAGCAGAGTGAACTGGTTTTATCTCATGCAAGCTTTCATCTAATTTAACCTAGGACCCAAGCCTCTCTTGCGTTAGAACATTGAACCTGGGGCATTGTTACAACATCTCAGAAAAAACAATAGAGAGATAGCTGGATTTTTCTTCCAAGAGAAGCTAAGGTCTTTTTCCAGCTTTGATGATATAGATGAAAGAAGTAGAAGAGAGAGCCCCACAGATGTACTTCAGTCACTTATAGTAATCCTCACAGAGACAAAATATTGTTGTTGTGAATGACTGAAACTATACAACTTTTTAAAATTAAATGCATTCACTCATTACTCTCTATTATAGAAACAAAAGGAGAGGAAGGAAAGAGGGAAGACAGGCTGGCTTCTACTTTGGACAGACTTCTACTTCAGAAGCATGGACTAAATCATAGCAGCCTAATACCATTTGTTAAAAATGGCCAATGGTTCAAAAAGCTACAAACACATTTCAATATTTTATATTTATTTTTGAAATTTTGATTTACAATTTTAAATAATTTCTCAGGAAAATTTGCAAACTACTATAAAGAATTCTGTGTAACCTTCACCCAGATTTCTCAAATGACAGAGTCTACGATAGTAAAATGATAAAAATTAACCAGGAATTTAATGATATCCTACTTGTAAATTATCTGCTTACTCTGTTCGCATTTCACCAACTGCCCTGTTAATGCTACTTTCAGCTCAGAATCCAATCAGAATCATACATTGAATTTAGTTGTCATGTCTCTTATTGTCCAATTTGACATATTTCCTCAATCCTTTCTTCATGACCTTGACAACTTTGAGAATTTCATCTTGTGGGATTTCTCCATTGGGTTTGGCTGATGACTCTTGATTAAATTTAGCTTATCCATTTTTGGTAGGAATAACACAGAAGTAATGTATGCCTTTTCAGTGTGTCATAACAGGAGATACGTGATATGTCACATTATTAGTGATGTAAAATTTCATCCCTTTGTTATGGCTTTATTTGCCAGTTTTCTCTACTAAAAGTTCCTTTTGTCCCTTTACAGTTAATATCTTATGGGGTGTTGTTAATATCATGTATCTATCTTGTTTCTATCATACTTTTGCTTACCAGTTATAGCATTCGATAGTGATTTTTGCCTTCAACAAATATTACTGTGTTGTTTGTCAAATGGCGATTTTCTATTTTCATAATGTCCCCATTTAGTAATTCAAATTCTACTTGCAAGCCTCTAACCTGTTATTGTTTCCTAGTAATGGAGAGAAAGAGACAAAGATAAACAGAGAGAAAGAGAGAGATTCCTACATCTATCTTATTGTGTGTTTCTGTGTAAACAACCATAAACTCATATTGATAACACCAATTGTAATCCAAGACCAGAGGGTTTATTCTAGTCTTCCCGCCTTTTCTGTCTGTAACTCTTTTTTCTCGTATTTATTAAGAAATTAGGATCTTATTATGTATATTACATTTACTTTTGTGCTCAATTCTAGAATATAACGAAAGTAATTTCAGAATTGCTAACTCATATTCTTATGAAAAATTTGTTAACTGGAGTACAATATTTGTGTATAGTACTTTTTGTCTTTCAACTTAGATCATATGACCAAAACACTGTCAACTGTAGTGAGGTTAGTTATTTTGTTCTCTGCAATTTTCAATGTTTTAATATTATTTACTTATAGTACTTATGTTAATTTGTTTCTATTTGTATTGTGTTGGAGTTTCCACCCACATCCAGATTGAATTTATGTATGCATGCATGTATATATTTATATTCTAGTTTTTGTAATGTTGACATGGCTTTAAAAGTAATAAATAAAGAATTATGCTCAGAAAAGTGTCACTCTATTTGTTTATCCTGTCCCCATTCGTCCATTCATTCCACTCCATTCCCACCTACACTTTTAGGTAACATATGAATTTTCATATTTCCATGGCTTTCTTGCATAAAGGTGGCATTGTGGCAGGTAGACTAATGCCTCCCATTAGTGATGCCCAAATCCTAATCCCTGGAAATGGATTACACCGCAGCAAAAGAGACTTTGAAGATGCGATTAGGGTTAAGGAACTTGAAATGGGTTATTATTCTGAATTATCCAGAGGGGTGCAATCAAATCATACAACTGCTTAAAAGCAGAGACCCTTTTCTGGGTGTGGTGAAAGAGACAAGAGAAGAAGAACCAGAAAAACTAAATATTGTTGGCTTTGAAGATGAAGAAGGAGAGTCAGAAGCTATGAAATGTGGCTATCCTCTAGAAGCAGGACAAGGCAAGGAAATGGGTGATCTTCTAGAGCCTCCAGAAGGAGAGCAGCCCTGCCTACACCTTGAGTTTAGCCAACTGAGATTTATATTGGACTTCAGACCTATAGTATTGCCAAATAATAAATTTACATGGCTTAAGCCACTAAGTTTGTGGTAATTTGTTATAGCAGCAATACAAAATTAATACTAATCTTTCTTTTGCATTTAATGTTTTCACTTAAAAATATAATTTGCAAATGATACAATGTCATTTCATAGATTCTTTTTTATTATTTTTAACCCTGTATAGCATTCCATTGTGTGGGCCTAATATGATTTACTCAACAACTTTATGTATGAGTCTTTAGTCTTTTTCAATGTTTTTCAATTATACACAATGCTACAATTAACAACGGTGCATATATATTTCCATCTTATTGAAAGTTAACCTTCAGTACAAATTCCCAGAAAAAATATTGCTGTATCAAAAAAGTGCATCAGTAGTTTTGTTATATTTTGTTAAATTAGCATACAAAAGAGTTGTAATAATTTTTATTCCCAACAATGTGTGAGAGCCTAATTGCTCACAATCTCACAGATGTGTAATATTACTTTTAAAATTGTATTTCTTTCAATGTGTTAAATGAGTAATGGTAACTGTGTTATTTTAGTTTGTGATTATCTTAATTATCAGTGAGTTTTAATGTATCTTTAAATCTTTTACTGTGGTTAATAAAATCAAACAATAAGTTTACCATCTTAACTATTTTTAGTATGTCATTCAATAGTGTTAAACATATTCACATTGCTGTGCAACAAATTCCTAGAAATTTCTCATCTTGCAACACTGAAATTTTATACCCACTAAACACGAATTCTGTCTCCCACATCTCCCTAGCCCTTGACAAAGACCTTTTACTTTCTGTTTCTCTGATTTTGACTACTTTAGACATTTCACATGCGTAGAATGGTAGCATTTGTCTATTGTGACAAATATTATTTTTGCTTAGCTTAATGTCCTTAAGGTCCATACATGCTATGGCATGTGATATAATTTCTTTTTTTATATAAGGCTGAATAATATTCCACTGTGTGTGTATGTGTTTTACATTTTCTTTATCCATTCATTTGTTTGTGGACATACAGGTTGCTTCTGCTTCTTGGCTATTGTGAATAATGTTGGAATGAACATGGGTATGCAGCTATCTCTTTAAGATATCTTTAAATTTTTTGAATATATGTTCAAACATGGGATTGATGAATCATATGGTAATTATATTTCTGGGTTTTTCTTTGAGGAAAAAATCAATGTTTTTCCATAAAGACTGTACCATTTTACATTCCCACCAACAATGTACAAGGGTTATATTTCTCTGCATCTTGACCAACATTTATGATTTTCTGTTCTTCTGATAGTGACCACTCTAATGGATGTGAGATGATACCTCGTTGTGGTTTTAATTTGAATTTTTCTTATACTTAGTGATGTTGAGCATCTTTTCATATGCTTGTAGGCCATTTTCATATGTTTTTTGGATGATTGTCTATTTAAGTCTGCTGTCCATTTTTAATTGATCTATTTGGTTCTTGTGTGTATGGTTATAGAGCTTATATATTCTGAATATATATATATCATATATATTAATATATATATTCAGTATATTAATGTCTCAGTTTTCATATATAATTTGCAAATATTTTCTCTTGTTCTGTAAGTTACCTTTTTACTCTGTTGACTGCTTTGACATGCAAAAGTTTTTGTTTGTTGTAGGCCTATTAATTTATTTTTGTTTTTTTGTTTGTTTGTTTTTTTGAGGTGGTGTCTCGCTCTATTGCCCAGGCTGGAGTGCAGTGGCGCGATCTCAGCTCACGGCAAGCTCCGCCTCCTGGGTTCACACCATTGTCCTGCCTCAGCCTCCTGAGTAGCTGGAACTACAGGTGCCTGCCACCACGGCTGGCTAATTTTTCTTTTTCTTTTTGTATTTTTATTAGAGACGGGGTTTCACCGTGTTAGCCAGGATGGTCTCGATCTTCTGACCTTGTGATCTGCCGGCCTCAGCCTCCCAAAGTGCTGGGATTACAGGCATGAGCCACCGTGCCCGGCCTATTTTTGCTTTTATTGCTTGTGCTGTTGATATCATATCCAAGATATCATTGCCAAATGAAAATTCATGAAGCTTTTCCCTAAGTTTTCTTTTAGAAGTTTTATTTCAGGTCTTACATTTAAATCTTTAATCCACTTTGAATTTATTTTTGTAATGATGTAAGGTAGTGATCCATCTTTATTTTCTTGCATGTAGATATTCAGTTTTCTCAACTTTATTATTTAAGAGACCGTCTTTACTTATTGTGTAATCCTGGTAACTTCGTTGAAAAGCATTTGGCCATATATGCATAGGTTTCTTTCTAGGCTAGATATTCTGTTCCATTGGTCTATATATTTGTCTTTACACTGGTACCACACAGTATTAACGACTATAACTTTGTAGTATGCTTGGATATTAGAAAGTGTGAGAACTCTGACATTGTCTTTCTTTCTCAAAATTGCTTTGGCTATTTTCAGGGCCAGATAAAGGGCTAAATTCATGGCCCCTTGAAATTCCATATGAAATTTAGATCCTTTTCTCAATTTCCACAATAAATACCATTGACATTTTGTCAGTGGTTGCACTGACTTTGCAGATCACTTTGGGGATATGGATATTTTAACAATATTTAGCGATTAAGCCCTCCAATCCATGAGCATGAGATTTCCATTTATTTGTGTCTTCTTTGATTTTTTTAACCAGTGCTTTTTTACTTTTCTGTGTACAAGTGTTTTCACCTCCTTCATTAAGTTTATTATCAAGTATTTTATCATTTTTAATGATATAGTAAATGCAATTGTTTTCTTCATGTTTTCAAATTCATAATTGTTAATGTATAGAAATGCACCTATTTTCAGGTGTGTGTTGATTTTCCTTTTCCCCAACTTTCTTGAAATCTTGTATTAATTGTTATAATTTTTATACAGTCTTTGGCATTTTCTACATAGTAGATCATTTCATTGGTGAACAGAAATAATTTTACTTCTTTTCAAATTTGGATGCCTTTTATTTCTTCGTTTTCTGTTTCCTTTTGTATAAAGTTAAGCTGTTGATTTGATGTCTTCTTTTTAATGTATTTCTTTATAACTATAAACTTTTGTTTTAGAACTGCTTTTGGTGCATCCCATAAGTTTTGGTATGTTGTGTTTAAATTTTAATTTGTTTACAGATATTTTCTAAATCACTTTGTGATTTCTACATTGACCCATTGGTTGTTTAAGTTTGAGTTGTTCAATTTCACCATAATTGTGAATTTTCTAGTTTTCCTTCTTCTATTGATTTCTTATTTTATCTCATTTTGATTAGAGAAAATATTTTGTATAGTTTCAAGTTTCTTAAATTTGTTAAGAGTTGTTCTTTGGCTTAACATGTTGTCTATCAGGGAGAATATTCTACTTGCACTTGAGAAGAATATTATGCCATTTGGGGTTGGAGTGTTCTGTATATATCTGTTAGATCCAATTGGTGATAGTGTTGTTAACATCTGTTTCTTTATTAGTCTTAAACGTGGTGTTCTGTTAATAACAAAAACTGGATATTAATGTTTCCCAGTATTGTTTTGTTGCTATTTCTTTCTTCAGCTATGTCAATGTTTGCCTCATATATTTGGCAGCTATAAGTTTATACAAATAGATATTCATAATTGTTGTAGCTTCTTGGTAAAATGATTCCTTTGTCATTATTTAATTTCCTTTTTAATCTCATAACAGTTCTATGCAAGTCTATTGTCTGATATAAGTGTGACTATCTCTGCTATTGTTAGGCTCCCTTTTGCATATGATATCGTTTTCCATTATGTCACTATCAGTCTATGTGCAGCTTTAGATCTAAAGTGAGTCTCTTGTGGTCAGCCTGTCAGTTGATATTATTTAAATCAATTCAGTCACTCTTTGTCTTTCAATTGGTATATTTGACCCGTTTATGTTTAAAGTAATTGTTGATAAGGGGGAAGTTATTATTGCCATTGTCTTCATTGCTTTTTGTAAGTCTTGTAGGCTTTTTTCCCTCCTTTCTTCCCTCTCAGCTTTCTTTTGTGGTATATTGGCTATTTTGTAGTTGTATGTGACATGTTTTAATTTTCTTCTAATTTTCCTTTGTGCATACACTATTGGTATTCTCATTGCATTCCATACCACCTCTTAAAGTTATAACAATCTATTTTAAAGTGAAAATAATTTAACTTTAATCATATATAAAGACTCTGTTCCTTTATATCTCTCCCACTCACCAATTTATGTTATTGATTACACAAGTTACCATTTTATATTGTGTATCTAACAAAAATTTATAATTACATTTTATGCTTTTTTAAAAATTATACACCATATTTGAAAGTAATTTTCACACCTACATTACCATAATAAAGAACTCTATATTTATCTACATATTTACCTTTAGCAGATAATTTTATATTTTCATATCATTTTGCATTGCTGTTTGTCAGCCTTTTGCTTCAACATGAAGGACTACTTCATCATTTCTTGCAGAGCAGGTCTAGAGGTAATGAACTCCCTCTGCATTGGTTATCTTGGAAAGTCCTTGTTTTTTCTTCATTTTAAAATGACAGGTGTTCCAGATACAGTATTCTTGGTTGCAAAGTTTTATTTATTTTTGTACTATGAATATATCATCTGGTCCCTTCTAGCTTATAAGGTTTCTGCTAAGAAATCTGCTAATAATTTCATAAGAGATTTTGTATGTTATGAGTCCCTTTTCTCTTGTTGCTTTCAAGATTTTTCTGGAGGGGGAGGTGGGGGTGACTTTTGCCAGATTGGTTATGTCTAAATGTCAGTATCTTCAGATTGATCCAAGTTGGACTTGAGTTTCTTAAATTTATATGTCCATTTCTCCTCCAAATTTGGGGGATTTCTGACTATTACTTCTTTAAATAAGTTTCTTCTCCTTTTTCTCTTTCTTCTCCTTCTGGAACTCAATATGTATAAGTTGCTTCACTTGATGCTGTCCCATGAATGTTTTATACTCTCTCTATTTTTTCTTTTTTGTGTGCCCTTCTTGCTTCAGTAATTTCAAGAATTATGTCTTTGAGCTCCCTGATTCTTTCTTTTGCCTCATCAATATGCTGTTGAGTCCCTCTAGACAAATGTTAATTTTAGTTATTATATTCTTCAGTTCAAGAATTTTTGGAAGTCCTTCTTCATGTTTTCCTTATTTTAATTGATAGCCTCATTTTGTACGTGGACAGTTTTAATGATTTTGTTCACTTGTTTATCTCTTCTCTTTTAATTCATTAAAATATCCTCATGATGGTTATTTTGAATTCTTTAGCAATTCATATATCTCCATTTCTTTAGAGTTGTTTTTTGATGTTTAAATTTGTCCCTAAAATTGGATATGTCTGTTTCTTTGCATGTCTTACAATCCTCTGTTGGGAGTTAGACATTTGAAAAATCATCCAACTTTCTTAGTATTTGCTGTCTGATTTGGTACAGGAAGTACTTTCTCCACTCAACTTGGCTAGATTTTCTAGACTCTTCAAGCCTAATCTGGTCATTTTTTTTTTTTTTTTTCTGTGTGTATCTACAACCTCCTAATTGAAATTTGCTAGTTTTGACACAGGAGGACCTGATGTTGACTGTCTGGTATTCTGCTGCATCTCTGGTGAGGTAGTAAGGTACAATACTAGCACTCCACCTAGTGTCTATCTATGATACTTCACACTCTGATGCATATTGATTGCCTTTGTTCTCAGAGGCACCCCATTTCTCTTGGTGATTACATTCAGATGGTACTGAAACTAGTATCTGAGGGAAACATGCCTAAAATCATAACGTTGGAAATAGGTTCTACTTGTTGCCCTTCTCAAGGAGAAAATTGGAGTTGGAGGTTTATTCCAAATTAGGGAGAGTTCCTCTGGTGAGAGAAAATATAATGAATTTTGTCTGGAAAACAGAAATCTCTTAAGTGAGAGAGAGGCAGTTGATTTGTTTACTGTTGTTACATCTGTTTCTCTGAAGGGGCAGGAAGGTTTATAGCTTTTTATTTAATCATCTTGCTGATGTTATACACTCTACATGAATTTATATATTTTATATCATTCTTATAAATTATCAGTTTATATTAATTTAATTTGAGCTTTGGTTCTTTGTTCTAAAGGTTAAAATATTTATTTAAAATTATGGATAACAGTTTATCAACTGTGCAACATATTGCAAATGTCTTATCATAGTCTGTAATATAGTTTGGCTCTGTCCCCACCCAAACCTCATCTTGAATTATAACTCCCACAATTTCCACATTTTGTGGGAGGAACCTGGTGGGAAGTAATTGAATCATGGGGGCAGGTCTTTCCCATGCTGTTCTCATGATAGTGAATAAGTCTCATGAGGTATGGTGCTTTTAAAAACGGGAGTTTCCCTGCACAAACTCTCTCTCTCTTTGCCTGCTGCCATCCATGTAGACGTGACTTGCTCCTCCTTGCCTTCAGCCATGATTGTGAGACCTTGCCAGCCACTTGGAACAGTAAGTCCATTAAACCTCTTTCTTTTGCAAATTGCCCAGACTTGAGTATGTCTTTATCAGCAGCATGAAAATTGGTTAATACAGTCTGAATTTATTTTTTACATAGTTTGTGGTGTTTTGAAAAGCATTTAAAATTATTTTTAGGAAGACAATGTATTAATTCTTTCTTATGGATGTCATTTAAAAAGGATTAAAAAGGTTTTCTAAATACAATTATATGTCTCAGTCGTATGAGATGGCTTCTTTATTGGGTGCTAATTTTCTGTAAGTATTTAGATCTATTACTATATTTTCTATTCTAATGAATGCATCTGTTTATCTATTCATTAGCCAATACCACACTGCACTACAGTAATTATACATGCTTTGCACTGTTATTTAATATATTTTATGACTAGATCTTCTTTTTACTTTTTGTTTTCAATATTTAATTCAGTGGGTTTTTTCTTCGTATGAAATCTAATACCAATTGGCCTAAGTCCATAAGAAAGATATTTAGCATTTTTATCAAATAGCCATAAATTTAAAAATTAATTTAGGGGAACTACATTCAGAAAAAGGAGGGCTTTCTTTTTTTCCATATGTTCAAACCTATTTTTGTGTTTTTCAGAGTGTTTTAGTTTTTCTAACATAAGTTTTGTATATTTCTTGTAAAGTATTTTCTTAAGTGTTTATCTTTCTTTTTATTAAAAATCATGCTTTCTATCATTGCTGTCTTTGTCAGTGTTTATGAATATGAAGGATATTTTTATGTATAATATTTTCATACCTTGCTATTGTTCTGAATTATTTTATTGATTTTGTTAATCTTATTATGGATTCTTCTCAGTATTTCAAGTATACTATTGTTTTATCTGCTAATAGAGTTGAAAAAATTTTTTATGTTATTATTCCCAAAATCAATTTATCTTATCTAGTAGAATTATCTAATACCTCTAGTGTGTTGTTGAAGAGTAGAATAATGTGCAACTTTGTCTTTTTTTCTAGTTTTAGTTGGGAAGCCTCAGTATTTTTTTTTTTTTTACTAAGACATTAGATTTAGTAATTGGCATATTTTATAATGTTAAGAAGTATACCTTCATTTTTATGTCCTTGAGTGTTCTTTTCATGACTGAGTGTTGATTTTATTCAAAAGCTTTTGCAGCACGGATGGAAATAATTACAAGTTTTCTTCAGATATATTAACAGGTGGATGAAAGTTAACTAAAACCAATAAGGCTTAGCAAGAGGGATTGATGATACATCGTAAATCACTTTATCAGGAATAAAAATCAAGACAATGTTATACATCCTTGAAATTTCACTAAGATAATAACGATATTATTGAAAAAGCACATTAATAATTTGATAACATAGATGACATGAAAAAATACCTCAAAGTAGTCCTATATCTATTAAAAAATGAAACCATTATTTGCAAACTTGCCACAGAGAACACTTTAGGCCAAGAAGGCTTTATTGGTGTTTTATTTTTTCAAAATAGTAAGTAGTAAATAGCACTAATCTTGCATCTACTCTTCAAGAGAATGAAAAAATAAGAGTTTATAACTCATTTTTGGAGAGCATCATAACCTAGATGCTAGAGCCCAACAAGGAAATTTTAAGATATGAAAATTACAGACCATTTTCTTTTATGACATAGTTGCTAAATTCCTAAGGATGATGTTGTCTTCAGCCAACATTTCTGCTGGTCTAATTGCTTTCCAAGTGGGGTAAACTAAACCTTCAGTTTTCAGAGGTTAAAAGATCTAAGCACATGATTGTCATGCATTTGTCAGAACATGGTTCCTTCAAGTGCCTATTACTAGTTGTTAAAACTGCCTTTGCAAAATTATAACAATAAGACTCCATTTTGCTTCTGATCTCCAAGTCGTCCTTGGTCATTCCTGGGCATTAGTCAAGCTAATTTGGGGAGGAATTTAGTTTAAAGCTTAAGTTTGAAACAAGAATAATATTAGTCCCTCCCTAAAACTAATCCCCTCCACATTTGGGGGCTGAAACCACCTTTATAAGACTAATGAAAGGTCACAAGATTAGAATTATGGGAGGGGCCTAAACTCTGTTTAAATAGAGGCATAGTTTCTATAATCCCTTACTGCTCAGGAGTCATGTGGCCAGAAGTCACAGATTTGTGACTTCTCCAATTGCTCCTATAGATAATATCACTATTGTCAAACTTACGACTGATTTTTTGAGATATTTTTCAGACTGATTCCACCAGAACTTGTGACTCACGTGTCAACTGGTCCTGTTGCCCCATGCAGAGGCAGACTCAGTGCACAAGGACTGTTTTCTACACCATTATGATTTCATCCCCAACCAATTAGCAGGACCCATTCCCTAGCCCTCTGCTCACCAAATTGTCCATTAAAAACCCTAGCCTCTGAGCATTCAGCGAGACTGCTTTGAATAATAACCCCAGTTCTCCCACATGACTGGCCATATAATAAAACTCTTTCTCTACGGCAATGCTGTGGTTTCAGTGAACTGGTTTTGTCTGTGCAGCAAGCAGAAAGATCCCATTGGGCAATTACATGATCGTAAGACATAGAAAAACATAGAGGTAACCAAATTAATATTCCAAATTGCAGGTATCCTATTCTCTACCACCACTATATGGCAACAATTCTATAGCTATTTGAAAATAAGGGTTAATTGCCCTTGCTGCTATAATAAATGTTTTCTATGCTTACTAATTTACTGGCAAGAGGTTCTCAAAGAAGAAGATTTCTAGTCCAACAGAGCACAAAATATAATAACAAAGATGACTACTTCTAAATAACAACACCCAATGCAACAGGGTCACTTTTGAGTAGGGTTATAATGTATCCACATTCTATAGTCGGCTTATACCAATATAATATGCCTACTAATCAAATATTCAAATATTCTATCAAGACCCAAGTATGTGGCCAGACTAGAACATCCCCATACAATATAGCAAGTTTTGTAACTTTGTACTATAAAGTGAGCTTAGTTACTCTTGCCTGTATTTGAAGGATACCCATGGTGGTAAGCCATATACTTTGTACAAATTCAGAGTAGTAGTGTCCAAGATATTGCTGCAGAACCAGCAAACACGTTTGAAATGTTTATACCATTATGGATTATGCACAGTATAATCAATATGCCACCAAGTGATTAATATTCTCTTTGAAGACATGACATATCAAAGGCTCAGGGTCATATTTTGCTGCCAGTAGTAGAGAAAGTCAGCAGTTAACAGCGTGAAAATGAACTCATGCTGTTAGGTTCATGCTTAGTCTCCTCATATACAGTTTGGATTTTTGTCCCTGCCTAAATCTCATGTCAAGTTGTAATCCCCAATGTTGGAGGAGGGACCTAGTAGGAGGTGATTGGATCATGGGGTGGATTTCCCCTTTGCCGTTCTCGTGATAGTGAGTAAGATCTCACGAGATCTGATTGTTCAAAAGTGTGTAGCACTTCTTTCACTCTTTCTTACTCCTGTTCCAGATATTTAAGACATGCCAGCTTCCCTTTTGGCTTCTGCCATGATTGAAAGTTTCCTGAGGCCGCCTCAGCCATGCTTCCTATACAGCCTGCAGAAGCATGAGCCAACTAAGCCTCTTTCTGGAAAAAAAAAAAAAAAAAAATTACCCAGTCTCAGGTAGTTCTTTAAGCAGTGTGAGAACAGACTAATACAGAACATTGGTGCTAGTAAATAAGGCATTGCTATGAAGATACCTGAAAACGTGAAAGCAGTTATGGGACTGGGTAATGGGCAGAGGTTGGAACAATGGGGGGCTCAGAAGAAGACAGGAAGATGAGGGAAAGTTTGGAACTTCCTAGACACTTGTTGAAGTGTTGTGACCAAAATGCTGATAATGATATGAACAAAGAAGTCCAGGCTAAGGAGGTCTCAGATGGAGATGAGAAACTTATTGGGAACTGTAGCAAAGGCCACTGTTGTTATGCTTTAGCGAAGACGTTGCAGGCATTCTGCCCCTGCTCTAGGGGCCTGTGGAACTTTGAACTTGAGAGTGATGATTTAGGGTATCTGATGGAAGAAATTTCTAAGCAGCAAAGCCTTCAAGATGTGGCCTGGCTGCATCTAGGAACCTATCCTCATATTTGTGAGTAAAAACTTGACATAAACCTGCAACTTATATTTAAAAAAGGAAACAGAGTATAAAAGTTTCGAAAATTTGGAGGCTGACCATGTGGTAGAAAAGAAAAGTCTATTTTCAGGGGAGGAATTCAAGCCAGATGTAGAAATTTTCATAAGCAAAGAGGAGCTAAATGTTAATAGCAAAGAGAATGGAAAAAAAATGCCATGAAGCCATTTTAGAGACCTTCATGGCTGCCCCTCCCATGACAGGTCTGCAGGTCTTGGAGGGAAGAATGGTTTTATTTGCAGTCCCAGGGCCCCAATGCCCTGTGAAACCTCCAGCTCTAGCTGTGGCTAAAAGGGTCCCAGATATCTCAAGGCACTGTTTCAGAGGATGCAAACCATAAGCCTTGGTGGCTTCCACATGGTGTTAAACCTGCAGGTGCACAGAGGGCAAGAGTTGAAGCTTTGGCGCCTCCACCTAGATTTCAGAGGATGTATGGAAATGCCTGAATGTCCAGGCAGAAGTCTGCTGCAGAGGTAGAGCCCTCATAAAGAACTTCTATTAGGACAATGCCGATATTAAATGTGGGATTGGAGCTCCCACACTGAGTCCCCATGAGGGCACTGCCTAGTGGAGCTGTAAGCAGAGGCTCACCATCCTTCAAAACCAAGAATGATAGATCTACTAACGGATTGCACTGTGCACCTTGAAAAGCCACAGGCAATCAACACTAGCCCTTGAGAGCAGACATGTGAGCTGAGCCTTGTAGAGCCACAGGGGTGGAGCTGCTTATGGCCTTGGGAACCCATCACTTCAGTGTGGCCTGCATGTGAGACACAGAGTCAAAGGAGATTATTTTGGAGCTTTAAGATTTAATGACAGCCCTGCTGGATTATGAACTCACACAAGGCCTGTAGCCCCTCTCTTTTGGCTGGTTTCTCCCTTTTGGAACAGGCATATTGCCCAATTCCAGCACCCCCATTATATCTTTTTTAAGGGTTCATATTTATTTTCCAATTACTTTCTTTGATCTTACAGTATAGTGTCTTGGTCTCTCTACTGCATTCAACAACATGAAAAATCTACAACTCTGATGTCAACAGCAATAATTACTAAAAATTGAGCAAGCAATTTACAACTAACTGCAATTAAGGAAAATGGATTCCAGAGGTATTTATTGTAATAGCAATAGTGTTTATGTGTGTTAAAACACAAATAGCCAACAAAACTTTATTACCTCAGGCATTTTTCTAATTGTAATATTTGCACAAATTTTGGAAATTGAGGAGCACACTGGTCCCCTTATTGTATCTTGAAAATATCTAACTTGATTTTTATTTTATAGGCTCATAGGCAAAAATGACTTGCCTTTTTCCAGATGAGATTTTGGACTGTGGACTTCTGAGTGAATGATGAAATGAGTTTAAACTTCGGGGGATGATTGTACTTTGCAATGTGAAAAGGACATGAGATTTGGGAGAGGCCAGGGACAGAATTATTTGGTTTGGATTGTGTCTCCACCCAAATCTCATGTCGAGTTGTGCTCCCCAGTGTTGGAGAAGGGGCATGGTGGGAGGTGATTGGATCACGGAGGCAGATTTTCCTCTTGCTGTTCTCGTGATAGTGAGTGAGTTCTCATGAGATCTGGTTGTTTAAAAGTGTGTAGCACTTCCCCCTTCACTCTCTCTTCCTCCTGCCCCAGCATGTAAGATGTGCCTGCTTCCCCTTCATCTTCCACCATGATTGAAATTTTCATAAGGCCTTTCCAGCTATGGTTCCTGTACAGCCTGCAGAATTGTGAGCCAATTAATCATTTTTTCTTTATAAATTATCCAGTCTCAGGTAGTTATTTATAGCAGTGTGAGACTGGACTAATACACTATCTCTCACATGAGGGTAACATTATTCACATTATATTTTATAATGAGAAAGGGACTGAGCTTTATTAGATGAGTGGTCCAATTCACTTGATTGCTCAGTGCCTCTATTGTACATTAGTACATCTTTACTGATGGACGTTGACATAAAAGATAAAGTTCTGCATTCACTGCATGCATAAGTAAATCCATATACTTCTTCTACAGACTTCTTTTCCCCTAATTTCAAATCTTTTCCTTTCTGGCCAACCTATGAAGTCATTCATTATGGTGCAGAAGCTTATGAACATTTTTCCATTAAGTCTGTTCTTTCACACAAGGTTGATGTCCAGACATGTTGCTCAAACTTTGTCTGTTAGAATCACACTCCCCCAAACCCCATGTGAATCTGTAGTGCAGCAGCACCCCATTTTTGGCTTATATCTATCTATCATGGTCGCTCATCTATAAACCAGACCTGGAATTTTTCATCATCCATCAGCTGGTTGTATGAAAACACGCCTTTTTATTCAAGGTTATAGTTATTAGTTGAGGAAGAGAACTTTGTGCAATAATCATAGGTGATATAGGAACATAGGCCACCTATGCATGTAACATTTTTGTCTTCTAGACTTGTTTGAACTCTTTCTCTCAAATGCCTCCTTTTAATCATATGGCAAACTGCTCCCACACATACTGCAATTTATGACTTCATAGATATGATAATAAAAGGTATATGCTAGTGCACTTTAGTAATACAGTCACTTGATATCCTATGGTCATGTGTGTAGTGTCTACTAGGGCCTGGTAGCATGCCAGAAGCTGACTTTTAAACAACACATTTCTCTTCTTTAGAAAGCATAGACTTACTATAGAGCCCTAGGAGACTTCACTTGTTCTTCTCTTTACTGGGACTTACTAACAACTCCACAGAGTGAGTTAACCTACTGCAGTTACTAAAGCACCATGAGATCTACTAGGTCATATGGGACAAGAGGCAGAACCACTGTTCTACAATTTAAATCTGATGCAGAATATTGTTTTATTCTGAATCCCAATAAGAACTTGCATCAGAATTTAATAAGTGGAAACAATTAGAATTTTCAAATGTGTTATGTTCTGTCTCTCAAGTTTAAGTAAGCCCACTGAGAGCAATCACTCTTTCCTAGTGACAGGAAGTGAAAGATGGAATAACTTCTTTTTAACAGCAGTGAAGATGACTTTGAATGCCACAGTTTTTATGTGCAATTAGCAATTGACTACTTCTTGCTTTCTGGTCATCAAGTTATCAGTTTCTGATATCTCATCCCAGGGATGTTCATCCTGGGGACATTCAGTTGGACTATTTGTGGCACAACTGTCTTAGCTTATGTTCCTCCATGTGTAGACCCTGTGACAAGGATCCAAGTACAATTATATACTTGGGGGGTGGAATAAATCCAGATAAAGAAGTGGCTTTGTAAAAAAGAAAATTGAAGGTATACAATAAAATGTGGCTTATCAAGTCAGCTACCACTTTTAGCAATTGGAACTTAATCTGCTTGTGAAATTCTGAGATGCAGTATATAACACACAGCTCAGAGTTAGCCTACCTGTGGTGTAAGGGAACTACCATATTTATGCATAGTTTCTAATTCTCATCAGTTATTTGCTGAGCGTTGCTCTGTAGAAAGGTGACGTCAGTGGCACTTCTGGTCTGCCCAGATTGAAAATCTGAATATGAAAGTCAAATAAATAAAGCTATTTAACGTGATCTTGAGTAAGAAAGACTTTTTAGAAAGAGTGCAAAGTATGCCAACCATACAGAGAAAAAGGATAATTGGAGAAAAAATATTTATCAAAAGACATCATTAACAGAAAAAAAATGCAAGTCTCAGATAAGTAAAATATATTTGCAATTCATGTATCTGACAGAGAACTCCATATATATATATATATATATATATATATATATATATATTTCAAAATAATTTTTCAGTCAAAGGAAAAGGCACAAAGAAAATAAAATGAAAGGGCCTTTAATACTCACTTCACAAAAAAGATATTAAAATAACCAAAAAATATGGAAAGTTCTTCAACTTCATGAATCAATGGGGTAATGGCTGTTAAAACCACAATGTGATACTGCTACAGACACCCACCCCAATGGCTTGGAAGAATAAATAGATACCACCAAATGGTGGCAAGATGACAATGTGATATGCTGATTGTGATATTCTAAATTGGTGCAAGTGCCTTGGAAAACTTTCTGGAAGTATCTACTAAAGCTGAACATGTACATAAATCACATAGTCATGTAAAAGTAAGAGACAGGTAATGTGATTTAGGTCGGAAGTAATTTGACTTTTGGACTTAGGGAATGAAAGTAAGCAAATGGGGGCCTTCCATTTTGTTGGAAATATTATATATTTTTGACCTGCTCATTACACAGGTATGTTATATTTAGGATGGTTTAATGAACTGGATATTTACATGCAAATTTTTGTATCTATTGTTACATTGAACAAATAAATACAAATTTATTATTAAAATTATTTAAAATTTTAAAATGTTTGAGTACTCATTAGTATATATTTTGACTCCAGGTTAAAAATCTATTGAAATAAAAATAATTTAATAGCAAAAAGCTTAATAAACCTCAATATATTTTTACATAATAGATCATGGGCCCCAAAAAGTGTAATGGAATTTAACACTAGCAAAGAGAAGGAAATAAATATTAGAGCAGAGATAAACAAAATAAAGAAAAGAAAAAAATTAAGGAAAAACAATGTTTCTTTCTATGAAGAGATCAACAAAATTGACAAAACTTTAGCTAGATGAACTAAGAAAAAAACGGATGACTCAAATTATGAAATAAAAATAAAAAGGATATTACTGTCAATCCTACAGAAATAGAAAGAGTATAAGACTATGCTATGAGCAATCATAAGTGAAAATTTGGTTAAGGTAGATAAAATGGACACATTCTTAAAAATATAATATTTATAAGACTAAGCTATAAAGAAATAGAAAATCTCAATAGACCCGCAAGGAATAAAAAAAAAATTAATTAAGTCAGTACCATGTTCTTCCCTTATTTATGCTTTTGCTTTTGGCTGTTTCAGTTACCTGCAGTCAACCACAGTCCAAAAATATTAAATGAAAAATTCCAGAAATAAAAAATCATAAATTTTAAATAGCATAATGTTTGAGTGGTGAAATCTCATGCTGTCCAGCTCCCTCCCTGCTAGCCTATCAGTCATCTCTTTGCCCAGCATATCTACACTGTATATGCTAACTTCTCATTTATCGTTTAGTAGGGATTAATGTCGTTTTCAGTTTTAGGGATTCAGTGAAGGTCTTGGGATGTATATTCCACGGATAAGGGAAGACCACTACAATTAAAAAAAAATTCCAACAAAAAATATCTCTGGACCTGATGGCTTCACTAGTGAGTTTTATCATACTTTCAAAGAACTACCACCAATCTTTTTCAAAACTCTCCAAAAACTTTAAAAGTGACCACTCCCTAACACATTCTATGAGGCCACCATTATTCTGATACCAAAGCCAGACAGATACTACAAGAAAAGAAATTGCAGACCAACATCCCTTATAAACATTGATGCAAAAATCCTTTAAAAAACTAGCAAACTATATTCAACAGCATATTAAACGCATTATACCTCATAACCAAATGGGGCTAATTTCTGGAATTAATAATATGTGTCAATGGCAGATAAACAGATGAGCAAAATGACACACACACACACACACACACTTGTATATGTGTAAAATGGAATATTGTTCAACCTTAAAAAAGAAGGCAATTCTAACATGGTACAACATGGATGAATCTTAAAGATATTATGTTAAGTGAAAGAAGCCAGTCACAAAAAGATAAATACTTCATAATTCTACTTATATGAGGTACTTAGAGTAGTCAAAATTATAAAGACAGAAAGTAGAATAGTGATTACCAGGGGCTGCGAGAAGGAGAGAATGGGGAGTTATTGCTTAATTGACATTATGGTCTAAATGTTTGTGTCTCCTCAAAATTTATGTTGAAACCTAATCACCAACGTAATTAGAAGGTGGGGCATTTAGAAGATAATTAGATCATCATTAAAGAGCCCTCATGAATAGAATTAGTGTCCTTATAAAACGGACCTCAGAGAACTGCCTTATCTCTCCTACCATGTGAGGACAAAGCAAGAAGGTGCCATCAATGAACCTGAAATTGGGCCCTCACCAGCCACTGCATCTGTTAGTGATCAGTGGGCTTCTCAGTCTCCAGAATTATAAGGAATAATGCTCTGTTGTTTATAAGCTACCCAGTCTAAGATATTTTGTTATAGTCATCCCAAAGGACTAAGATAATGAGTATAGAGTTTGACTTTTGTGAGATAAAAAGAGTTCTGTAGATGAACAGTGGTGACAGTTGACAAATAATGAATGTACCTACTACAACCAAACTCTACACTTAAGAATGGTTAATATGGTAGCTTTTATGTTATGTATATTTGCCACAAGAAGAATATTAAAAAAAGAAAACATTGAATTGAAAAATGTAGAAAGATAGGTATTGAAATATGGGTACACTGATTTGATTGAGATAATCAATAAAGCCAAAAGTTGGTTCTCAGAGAAGTTAGTTTTTGCCAAGAAAAACAGACAAATGTACTGATTAAAAGAAATAAGCATGGTTAGACCAAACTGATATTTACAATATAAGCCCCAAATTGAATATTGCTAAGGCAAGAATCTAGTGTTTACACATATTGATTTCCTATTAACTGCTTCTCACCTAGGCAAATTCTTTGTGCAGTTTTTCCCCTCTGGTGACTAGTAATAGATTTTTCAAGATAGTTAATAATTATCACTGTAATATAAGCTCCTTGAGGTTTGTTTGTACATTCATTTTAAAAATAACCTTAAAACAATGCCTAGTGTATATAAGAAACTCAATAATTAATTGTTGAATCACTGAATTGTATCACAAATCATCATGGAAACCTGCTAATCAATCAGCCAGTTATTGCCCTTCTAGTAAAGACTGAGACTGGGTTTGAAAAAGAACTTTAAACTGAGAAAAAGGTCAAGCATTTCTGATAACAGGCTGTACACCTTCCCTTGATTTGTACATCATTTTAATATGAAGTTTTGAAAAGATTTCATAAATTAACTGCTTAAGCAAGTGGGGAAACAAGAATGATAAAATATGAATACATCAACAAATAGCCATTGGGAGTCAGATATAAAAATTACATTCAGATGGTCTCCAGACATAGCTTTCAGTTTACAGAAAATTTGTGGAATAAACTAACATCATAAATAAAAATCATATTTTTGCTACCAGCAAAATCCAGTCTATAGGAAACTCCAGAGGGAAGAGCCTACTATTTTCAACAAAATATATTATAAGGAAAAAGAAGAAATGGTACGGATATCTATAGTTGAAAAGAGACTGACTATGAGTTGGAAATTTTTGAAGAAGATGGGTGATGAACACGTGTGGTGTCATTGTATTAATTTCTCTACTTGGGTGTATATTTTAAATTTTTCTTAGTAAATATTAAAAACTATACACACAAAGTCATAGTTGTTTAGGAGAATCTATGCTAAAGCACTTGGCAAATAAATTTTTATATGCTATATCATTAAAATATATTGTGAATTTGGTATTTCTCTTCAAAATTTTAAATAACACTCCATTTTATATAATTAAAATATATCACCTGTGTCCATGACTAATAAGAGAGAATTAAGCTGAGACATGATGAAATATTTTTGGGGTATTTTTTATTTGGATAGTTAATAGTCAATTTCAAGATAATCTATTTGGGAGATCCATTTTTATTTTCTTATTTTCTTTTTTCTTTTTTTTTTTTTTTTTGGTTTGTTTGTTGGTTTTTGTTTTGAGACGGAGTCTTGCTCTGTCACCCAGGCTGGAGTGCAGTGGCGCGATCTCAGCTCACTGCAAGCTTCGCCTCCCGGGTTCACGCCATTCTCCTGCCTCAGCCTCCCGAGTAGCTGGGACTACAGGTGCCGGCCACCAAGCCCGGCTAATTTTTTGTATTTTTAGTAGAGACGGGGTTTCACCGTTTTGGCCAGGATGGTCTCGATCTCCTGACCTCGTGATCCGCCCGCCTCAACCTCCCAAAGTGCTGGGATTACACGCGTGAGCCACCGTGCCCAGCCGGGAGATCCATTTCTAACATAAACAGAAAATGCTGTCAGATAGCACACTTAACCTCCACTTGTTTTCTATCTACTGTTCAACGTAGATGGCGTTTCCCTTATCCAAAATTCTTGAGACCAGAAGTGTTTCAGATTGCAATTTTTTTTGTCAGATTTTGGAATATTTGCAAATACATAATGAGATATCTCAGAGATGGGACTCAAGTCTAAATAAGAAATTCATTTGTTTTATATACATCTTATAAACACAGCCTGAAGATAATTTTATATAGTATTTTTAATAACTTTGTACATGAAACAAAGTTATGACAACATTTTAACTGCAACCCATCACATGAGGTCAGTTGTGAAACACTTAATGTGTGGCACCATGTTGGGGGGTCAAAAAGTTTTATATTTTGAAGCATTTCCAATTTTACATTCTTGAATTAGAGATGCTAAACCTGTACTCAAAGAAGAAGTTATGCTAAAATATATTTTGTTGTGAAGTCCCATGTAATTATTGAGAATGGGAGAAAGTTATTTGGCCTTGTTTAGCTATGTTTAGGGAGAAATAACTATACGCTTTTTACAAATTCATAGGCATATATAGAGACAGATTAATCGGAAGAAGATTGAGGCTCTTAAAATAAAGACTTCAAATAGTGTTTCCTATACGTAGAGGTAAAAGAACATGAAGAGTCTTCAGTAAATAAATAAATAAACCAACAAATAAAGGCACTCTCTCGTACCCCCTCCACATTGTTTTGTTCATGTTTAAGTAACAGATGAGTTTCTGTTGTGTAATTTTGTTGTTGGATCTATTGCCTTTTCCAAAATACTTGAGTTTTAGACATTAAACTAGAAACATACACATGAAATCAGCATAGTGAACAACCAAATGTCATACTCCTGTTTATAGTATGAGAAAATGAATATCTTTTATAACTGAGAACCAGACTTCTTAGAACTCTAAAGAAAAGCGTTGAATAATTAACACTGCAAACTATCTAATTCTTTTAGCAAAGCTTATTTCACAGTTTTGCTTCAGTTTCACCAGCTGTAGAGAAGGCAATTCAAACTCCCTAAATTAATCCCAGCTGCAGCGCTTGCCACACAATTAACACGTTTAAAAGTGATAAATATATGTTAAAAAACAACAACTTGGGGTCAATTTAAAATGAGCTGTCAGAAAATCGGAGATTGCCTAAATCCTTTTCATTTCTTGTCTATTAATTGTAAATTTCCATAATCAATTTGGATTTCGGGAAAGGTTTAAAATTACTAAAATATTAGTACTATTTTCATAAATGCGTCTTCTCTTTAAACTGAAAGCAAGTGATTTAACTAGAATAGTATTTTATCATTTCAAAGAACATGGAAGAAAGATACTGGCATTTTCATTTTGACATTCCAAAGAGAATGGAGAATAATCATCCTGACTCTATCAAGGGGATACATCTTGGACCAATAATTACGAATAACATATTATATGACTAGTATGTTAGTTACTTTCTCACTTATTCACAACAATGTTATTTTCATGCCCATCAGTCTTTAGAGTAGTATATGATCAGAAGGAAATCCTCATGATTTGGAGAGTGATAGTTTGATGACTCGTATACATGAAACCGCTTTGGGGGCTTCCCACTGCCATTTTTTACCTTAATCCTATATTCCTGGAATCAATATTTGGAAATGTACCCAACTTGACTGAAAAAGTATTTACCAAAAAAATAGTAATACGTTTTGTTCCAGGTACTTTCAGGGTTTTATTTGGCAATTAAATTGTTCCTTTCCTTTTTATATGAAAATGAAAGGTGCATTGTGTACTTGGCATTCTGCTTTTTATGTCCACTTTATCATTTCATTCTCGCAATAACCATTTGAGTATTTAATCCATTTTTGTGCTTGAGGAAAGTGAGCCTCACGATAAATAAAAATTCTCCCAAGATTAAATACACAAATTTATTAATAAAAACCAACAAAATGCTCTAATTTTTTACTTCAATGTTGTAGTGTTTCTAAACATTTTACAACTATGTTATTCAATATAGGCTTTTTTTGTTTTTATAAAGTAAATAAAAAATATAGTTAAAACTATAGTATCTTCCTTTGAGACAATTTAGCATCTTAGGTTTCAGTGTTAGTTGTTCATACTAATAGGTTTGAATCAGAGATGTCACAGACAAAACAGTTATCGGGCCTAGAGATAAATTAAATATAGGTCAACAGAAAACAGAAGTAGATCAGCATGGTCCCTCAGATTGGGAATTTAGGTGTTTGGAAAAATATAGAACTTCTACTGAAAGCAACAGCAAACTTGTAACAAGAAATTTTGTTTTCTAATTTTAACATATGGAGCTTTAGATTTGGAATGGACATTAAAATAAATATTAAGAAAGTGAATGATTAGCAAAATAATTCTTCATACAATAGGTTCATGTTGGTCAATTTAAATTCAAAGCAAGGAACATTTAAAATAAATTAGAAGAAAAATATTAGGTAGTAAAAGAAAAGATCTAAGAAAATTTGACTAAAATAAAGTCATAGAGCTACTAAAACACATAATAATAGAGATAATTCTTAGATAAAGAGATATAGTAGGGACTGTGTACTATTAATAATAGCAAGGAAACAATAAATCTTGGTTATTATAGGAAAGAATAGATTCCATGGATGAAGGATTCTCATAGAAAACCAAATATTAATAAAAAAGAGAATGTTAATTAACATATAATTTTGAAAAATATATATGAAAAGAAAAATTTATATTATTCAAAATTTGCTAACTTACATGGTGAAAAATAGAGCAATTGTTATACTACTAAATCTTTACAATAACATGAGCTAGGCTCTTTTTAAAAATTTTTTGGGTATAGGATTTCTATTGCTTCTACACCCTCAGGAAGTAGATGGTACTATCTTAATTTTACAAAACTTTAGATAATAAGGTGCATGTCTTTGCCCATAGTCATTCAACAGATAAATTGTGAAACTGGGACACAAATACATCATTTCAAAGCTTCATTTACATTTTACATGACCTTCCACTATGGCCATTTTGTGGAAATAAAATAAAAATCTGTATATAAAATTAGCAGTGAAGAAATATCCTCTGAAAATCTTCCCCCTTGATTTTCTTTGTATTGTTTACAGTTGTTCTGTATCATTTTCCATAAAATTATTCTGTATGGCACTATAATGGATACATAGGATTATGTATTTTTTTCAAACCTATAGAATATACACCACCAAGAGTGATCCCTAACATATACTGTGGACCTTGGGTGATAGCGATGTCAGTATCAGTTCTAAGAAATGTACCACCTGGTGAGAGTTGTCAATAGTGGGGAAGGCTGTGCAAATGTCTGGGCAAAGGATCGATGAGAACTCTCTGTACTTTCCACTCAATTTTGCTGTGAATTTAAAACTGTCCTAAGAGATAGCTAAGTAAATATGTGAAAATAAAAATATGTGAAAATATAACAAAAACAGCATCAAATTATTTTTATAACAAGTTTCTGATATAGTACTTTATGATATATGTGGTTTCTATAGAAAACTAAAATATGATGATACAATAGGCCTATCACAGACTAAAATTGTGAAGTAATAATAAAGGTATATTATATCTTGAGAAACCTGCCAAAAATATATCTGCATTTGAATTTTTGTTAGTCATGGACATTACTACTACTGCTTCCTACTTTTATAGCCATAGAGGTTATTGAAAATAAATATGTAATTGTTTTTCCCTACTGCACTATTAGATACTTTGAATTTTACCCCCAAATCTTTTGGGATTCATGAAACAAAATCAAAGAACTCAGATTCAGAACTTCTCTGTAAGACAGAGGCGAGTTCTCTTGTGAGACAGTTTTGCAGCATGATAACGAGATTTTTTTCTGAAATCTCTGCCTAGCATCTGTTTTGTCATCCTTCACAACTAATTCTACACTCATTAAAAAATTATTTTGCCTGATGCTGAAAAGAGTGAATTCTCTTTTCTGCAATAAGAACTTTGACAATATGGTAGGTAGGAGAAAAAGTTGTGTCTGGAATACTAGTTCTCTACATCTTGTCTACACCAGTTCAGCTTTAACCACAATAGTACTATTCGTGAGAGTTTTACACATAGAAATCAGAAGTTACAAAACAAAAACAAAAACAAAAACAGAAAACAATTTCCATTACTTAAGGAAATTGACACATTGAGAGCTGAGACTCCTATCCAGATTTTCAAAAATATTTTATTTTAGAATCCATGTTCTTTGCATATTGCTCAATGCTAGTATACATCGCCTCCATTTTAATTTCATCCAAGAGAAGAACTATGTTACTGTGAAGCCCTGCCTCTTTAAGAAGGACTGTACAACAACTTTCTTTTGGTTGTTTACTGTACAACATCCATGTAAAATAAACAAACTAAAAAATGCTTTAAGAGAATTGTGAGATTCTTACAGTGTTCGTACATAAATAATTTTAGTGCTTCCCCATTTATGCTTAATCTTAAGGAAATATTCCAAGATAAATGTGAGAACAAATTGAGCAATGGTAAAGTCCTCTTAAATCCTTGAAAAAAGATTAGTGATAGACTAGTTTCTTGGACATTGCTTTAACGTATGGGAGAGAAACACCAGAGAGCTTGTTTTATATCTAACTTGAGATCTGATTCTCTTTTATATGGTAAAGGAGAATGACTAGAATATGTATGGGTCTGCTAGTAAAAGAGCAAAAAGAAGAGACTCAGAAAGCTCAAGGTTCATACTCAATAATGCAGTCTGAACTGTTGTCCAAGGCCACAATCCAGAGAGCTATTCAGATCAGCTGTGCATTATAAAAGTTGCTGTCCTAAGGATGAGACTTTTTATGGATCTTTTTTTTCTTCACACCAGGAACTTTATTTCTAAGGGAGATTTCAGTTGCTTTCTGTCGAACCTTAATAAATCTGGGCCAACAACTGAACTGCCAGAGGGAACGATAAAGCTGAATGAGATCTAAAAAGATTTACTATTAGTCAATGTGTAGAGAGAAATTTATTCAACCATTAAAGATTATATTTCCCAACCAAAAAAGAAAAAAAATAGTGTAGGAGTCTTATATCAACATATTGCTGATGAAATCGGAGCTCTTAATTCAGTGGGGGTCTACAGCATTGCCTTTATCCCCGTCTCCATCTCACAGCATCCAGTGATCTTCAGAGACAGAATGAGAGTGACACACATTTTGTGGAATGCATCATCCTTAAAAGTCCATGCAGAGAAAAGCAATTCCCACCAGGTTTAACCTGTGAATTATATCTGAAAATATAGCTATTACAATTTTCCATTTCTAAGCTGATGGCTGGATGTGTCCACCTTGCTGTAAAGTTCAATTTCTCATATGTGAAGATAGAGGGAAAGTCAATGTAAAATATATAGGAGGTGGTAATACGTAAACTTCTCAAGGATTCATTTGATTGACTGCACTGAATGAAACATTTATCTGAATTTACTTTTCTTCTTTTCTATCATCTTTCAATTGTTCTACAAATTTTTTGGTGAAGTTGTAAAAATATTACTTTTTGGGTAGAGAGACAGTTTGAAGCTTTGTTACTTTATTGATGTCACTCCCAACCAATCTTATTTGAAAAAAGCTTATTTTAGTGAAATGGAAAATTAGAACTTAGAAATAGTTTCTTCAGTAATTCCACTTTTGCCAGTGACTTTTCATTGAAATATTAAAAGTTTAAGTTGCTATACCTATGCTATTGAGAATATTTTTCCATGAATCTGTGTGTGTGTGTTTCATTTATTCCACATCATTGATCAGAAAGTACATGAGAACAAGAATTAAATTTAACTTACTTGTCATTCTTTACTAGGTGCTACTAGATTGTTTTATAGATGCCTTGCTATTAGCACCTCTTGAAGAAATACAGACTTGTGTAAAAGACACACAACAATTAAGTATACCCACTAACTACAATGGGCATGAGAGAGACTTGAAGAAAATGAAATGGAAAGAGGATGCGGACCCACGAGTAACTCCAAACACTACCTAGTTTTGCCTTCTATTAGCCCTAGTGATAACCTACTTATTGAAATAATTGGCTAACTGTAGGGAAAAAGTTCATTTTTTAATATTTTTTCCTGATTACAAGATGATATGGTTTCACTGTGCCCCCACCCAAAAAATCTCATCTTGAACTGTAGTTCCCATAATTCCCATGTGTCATGGAAGGGACCTGGTGGGAGGTAATTGAATCATGAGAGTGGGTCTTTCCCATGCTGTTCTTTTCATAGTGAGTAAGTCTCACGAGATCTGATGGTTTTATAAAGGGGAGTTACCCTGCACACGCTCTCTTGCTTGCTGCCATGTAAGACCTGACTTTGCTTCTCTCTTGCCTTCCACCATGATTGTGAGGCTTCCTCAGCCATGTGAAACTGTAAGTCAATTAAACCTTTCCTTTATAAATTACCCAATCTTGGGTATGTCTTATTATCAGTGTGAGAACAGACTAATACAGTAAATTGGTACTGGGAATGGGGCACTACTGTAAAGATACATGAAAATGTGGAAGCAACTTTGGAACAGGGTAACAGGCAGAACTTGGAACAATTTGGCGGGGTCAGAAGAAGATAGCAAAATGTGGGAAAGTTTGGAACTTCTTATAGGCTTGTTGAATGGCTTTGACCAAAATCATGATAGTGATATGGACAATAAAGTCCCAGCTGAGCTTGTCTCAAATGGAGATGAGGAATTTGTTGGGAACTGGAGTAAAGGACTCTTGCTATGCAAAGAGACTGGTGGCATTGTGACCCTGCTCTAGAGTTCTGTGGAACTTTGAACTTGAGAGAGATAATTTGGGGTATCTTGCAGAAGATATTTCTAAGCAGAAAATCATTCAAGAGAAAGCAGAGCATAAAAGTTTGGAAAATTTGCAGCCTCACTATGTGATAGGAAAAAAAAACATTTTCTGGGAAGAAATTAAAGCCTCTGCAGAAATTTGCATAAGTAATGAGGAGCCAAATGTTGATTGTCAAGGCAATGGGGAAAATGTCTCCAAGGCATGTCAGACACCTTCACAACGCCCCTGTCATCACAGGCACAGAGGGCTAGAAGGGGAAAATAGTTTCCTGGGCCAGGTCCAAGAAATGTGTGCAGCCTTGGGACTTCGTGCCTTGCATCCCAGCCTCTCTAGCCATGGCTGAAAGGGGCCAAGATACAGCTCAGGCCATGGTTTCTCAGAGGGTGCAAGCCCCAAGCCTTGGCAGCTCCCATGTGGTGTTGAACCTGTGATGTACAGCAGTCAAGAATTGAGGTTTGGGATCCTCTGCCTAGATTTTAGAGGATGTATGGAAATACCCAAATGTCCAGGCAGAGGTGTGCTGCAGGTGTGGAGCCCTCATGGAGAATCTCTGCTAGGGCAATGAAGAAGGGAAATATTAGGTGGAAGCCCCCACACAGAGCCCCACTGGGGCACTGACAAGTGGAGTTGTGAGAAGAGGGCCACTGTCTTCCAGACCCCAGAATGGTAGATCCACCAACTGCTTGCACTGTGTGCCTGGAAAAGCTATAGCCACTCAATGCCAACCTGTGAAAGCAGCCAGGAGGGTGCTGTACCCTGCAAAGCCACAGGGGTGGAGCTGCTCAAGGCCCTGGGAGCCCACCTCTTGCATCAGCCTGACCTGGATGTGAGACATGGAGTCAAAGGGGATCATTTGTAACTTTAAGTATTAATGACTGCACTATTGCATTTTGGACTTCATGGGGCCTGTAGCCCCTTTGTTTTGGCCAATTTCTCCCATTTGGAATGAGCATATTTACCCAACACCTTGTACCCCCATTGTTTCTGGGAAGTAACTAACTTACTTTTAATTTAAAGGATCATACGTAGAAGGGACTTGCCTTGTCTCAGATGAGACTTTGGACTGTGGACTCTTGAGTTAATGCTGAAATGAATTAAGACCTTGGGGGACTGTTGGGAAGGCATGATTGGTTTTGAAATGTGAAGACATGAGATTCGCAAGGGGTCGGGGTGGAATGATATGATTTTGCTGTGTCCCTACCCAAAAATCTCATCTTGAACTGTAGCTCCCATAATTCCCACATGTCATGGGAAGGACTAAGAAGGAGGTAATTGAATCATGGTGGTGGGTCTTTCCCATGATGTTCTTGTGATAGTGAATAAGTCTCACAAGAGCTAATGGTTTTATAAAGAGGAGTTCCCCTGCACATGCTGTCTTGCCTGCCACTATGTAAGACATGACTTTGCTCCTCTTCTGCCTTCCACCATATTGTAAGGCTTCACCAGCCACGCTGAACTGTGGGTCAATTAAACCTCTTTCCTTTATAAATTACCCAGTCTCAGGTATGTCCTTATTCGCAGTGTGAGAACAGAGTAATACACAGGAGTAATTTAAATGATTATGTTCTTTATTCTATTTTCCTCATGACTTTGGGTATATATTGCTGGTATAAAAAGTGTTATACCTTCAGTTAATAAATTTGGATGAGGAAATCAGTAAACTAAATTAAAAAAGGACATACTACATATTTTGCTTAAATGATTAATAAAGAATATAATATTATAGACTATAACATAATTATTACATTCCAAACAGTAACATTTAAGCTGACCACTAATAGATTTGAGAAATGAGTGTTGGAATTCTTACATTATATTTTTAGATAGTATCAGAATTAAAATAAAGATAAAGATAATTATGTAAGTTAAAAAATATCTTATTACAAAATTCAATTCATTAATATTTACCAATTTTTTTCTATTCTAACTTATAAGGAAAGCAAATCCTTAGTGACTTTAGGGTTTTTGCTTTGTATCATTAAAAAAGGCAGCTGAATTTTGACTAGGAGAGGATTCCCTACATTTAATATACATCCTATCTTTTCTGTTACCTAGAAACTTGAGATTCCTTATCTGAAGAATAAAGACTCAACTCAAGCAACAGAGACACTGATAATGGCAGTGATTATAGTAGTAATGGTGTTGGAGAAGGTGGTATATGTGGAAGTGTGGGGGTTTTCAAGAGGAGAGGGACATAATGAGGGGAAGATAAATTATAGCAAAGTCCTCTCTTATGTATTATTATTTTCCCACTAGTCCAACCTCTCCTAATCACATGCCAGAAAGACCAAGGAATCTGAACTGTTGATATTGTGAGTTGAAGCAAAATTTCCATTTCAGCAGAACAGGACACATCCTGGACCAGTGGGAAGCCTGGGATATTTTTCAGGAAGTCTAATTGAAACTGGCATTATTATTATTTTCGGTGTATCTTCACAGCATCTAATATGCCTTATTATTAAGGAAAGAATATTTTTAAAAGATATATCTAGTTTAATATTTGTCAAAATTAACTAAAATAGCACAATAAAGTTACCTTATTTGCTAATTAGGTAAAGAGATCTAATGTCATTTTCCCTATATCCATGCATTTCTTAAAGTTTTGTGTGAAAATATATGAAATGCATTGATATATACAATAAGGGATAAGAATAAAAAATTAGTGTGTATGATCCTGAAATCCATCATGCTATACATTTTAAAAAACATACCGCATAAAGACCAGTATAGTCATCACTCCCGACCTGAAGCGATGGTCACACTGGAAAGGAAAGACTAACACACCTGAACCAACAGCAATGGGAAGAGAATAAACTGTACAGTATCCATGTATGCACTATGATTCTTGAAAAAGGGAAAATTAGGGAACTTTTAATTTAAAAAGTAAACGACATTTTTATGCATTGAAGCATTGGTTGAGGAGAAGCAGGAGAGCAATACAGGGGAAATGAAAAACTGGAGTGAAGCCACAAATCAGAGATGCACTTTGAGGAAAATGAAGGACAACGATATAAACAGAAGGTAGGAAATGTTTTTGGAAGCTTTATAAAGTAGCTTAGTGCAACACAAAATTCACCAAGGAATTGTTTTTAATAGCTGAACTTCCAAAATGTCCTAATTTCTGTGTATTAAAAATAGCATTTCTTTGTAAATTTGCAATTAGTTTCCATTTTTAAGGAGTTAATTCCCAGTTTTTAAAGACAGAGAATAGCTCATTCATTATCTTTTTGTCTCTCTTCTTTAGCATTTGTACATGAGCATCTCACATTTCCATCACATTAACACAACCCTGGCTTCCTGCCATTTGCTTATTATCACCTCCACTGAAGAACACCAAAACTTGAATAACTCATAGGAAAAAATGCACACTGGTAATGTATGCTCTTAAGCGTTTTGTTAATATTTGGGGTAAGAAAAGAGGTTTGAAAATATGTGTTCTCATAAAGCTTGAGGATTTTCTGTGAAGTTTAACTACCTATAATGTGACTTAACTTTTTAATAGGGATATGGCAACTTAAAGGAGAGCTACCTTGGAGTTTATTGTCATTGAATGAAAGAGTATTTGCTAATCATATTTTTTTCTACTGACACCATTAAACTTGACAAAGAAGTAGATCTTGAGGAAATTGAGTAATATTTACATCTAGGATATAAAGTTTCTAACTATTCTATGAATAAAATTTTAATATTTGTAATACAATTTATTTCAATAATTTGAATTTTACTTATTCTTGAGTATATACATGTATATATACTCAAGAATATATATACTCAAGAATATATATATACTCAAGAATATATATACTCAAGAATATACATATATGTGTATATATATACACTCAAGAATATACATATATGTATATATGTATATATGTATATTTGTACACGTATATGTATATATGTATATATACATTTTACTTATTCTTGAGTATATATACACTCAAGAATATATATATACTCAAGAATATACATATGTGTATATATATACTCAAGAATATACATATATGTATATATATGTATATATGTATACTCAAGAATATACATATATATACACACACACAAGGGATAAGAGGTATGGTTATTTTAAATATACATTTTGGACTAAATGGAAGAGAATTTCTGAGAAAATAGTGGGTAGAGAGTAGAATGTGCTGAAAGAGGATGTGAGTTCCTCTTAATTGCCTAATATTTAAATATTCATTAATAGTCTAGAAAAGACAAAGAGCAGTTTTCCAAGAAAGACTAATAAAAAATAAAACTAAAAATGGTAATTGTGATTATATCTGGGAATAAACATAAATTTAAAAGGGATAGAGAAAATGTACATTCACTTTTTATTCTATATGCTTAGATATTACTTGTATTTTACAAGCCTCTATAACCTTTTTGTATAAACATATACAAAATAAAACAAAAACTACCATCCATCATTATGATTTACCCACAAATTAGGATATTTATTTCTCTGTTGTCTTTATACTATAATCACACAATAACATGAAATTATTTAAATTATTTCAGAAATAAAAATTTATTATATAGTTTCCATTTTATTCTCTTGCCATGGACCCATTAACAGCAACCACAATGATAATGACAATAGCTAATGTTTAAAAGCCCATTTTATATGCTAAATACTGTTCAAGATATGTGTGTGTATGTGTGTGTGTGTATGTGTGTGTACAAATTCTCAAGGTGGGGAATATAATGCTATACCACAGGCACTATTTTAAATATTACTTCTAATAGAGAAGAAATCTGTCCTGGAGACATTATATAACTTAATACAGGATTTAAACCTAGGCAATTGTTAAGGATTGACCTCTATCCTTACTATTTTATGGTTATAAGGTATTACACAAAACTTTAAAATGAGTTGCCAAAAGGAGGAAGCTGTGAAACTAGTGAAGATGACGATTTTGCATGGACTAATTTTGAAAATTCTTGGGGAAAAGTATCAACTGTAAGGCTGATTTTCAAATAAGCCCAGTGACACTTTATTGGAACTGAAGAGGGGGAATGCCTTACAATGTGAGGACTGTTATATTTCGGTTTGGTTAAAATCAACAATAATTGAAGGATGTTTTTTCAATAATAACATTTTTGTTAAGTTTATATCACTATTTCAAATATATTTACTTTAGACATACTGGGATTGTCATCAAATCATGTTTTGGAGGAACAAAAGAAACTCATGATTTGATTTTTTATTTGCCATTTATTTCAAGTTAATCTCATAAATTTTGTACACAATAGAGGAATAAGTATAAATTTAAATATATGCACATATATTTGTATGGGATATTTTCTAGTGGACATCTGTTAAATTTAACATTTTGATCATCATACACATTAGTTAATACTACTTTTAACAATAATACTATTATTTAATGATAATATTGAACATTTGTGAGCACTTACTATGGTTCAAGCTATATATAGTAGTTTCTCTTTCTCTCTTCATATCAGTCTCAAGAATCCTGCCAATTTAAAAGTCTTTTTTTAGCTATTTTTATTTTTTGTTAACATTTTCAATATGGTTTTTAAAAATGTGTTAGGATTCCAAATTTTCAGGCACTGAAAAATGTTTTCAAACATGGATTAATGAGCATCATGGGATTATCTGAGAATGTGAGAGAAAGATAATGACCTCTCTAATTCACAAAGTCACTGCATTTATTTCTTTATTTATTCAAATCTTGTAGAGAATGTTCTGTCTCTGGCTCTGTAAGAGCACCATCTGGTGGTATCCAAGTCTTTTAAGACAATCTGTAGACATCATTACCAACGGTTTTGTGGGGTACAGCGCTAAACTTGTTAGAATGTAGATTTATATTTCTTTTGATTCTTTTTTGTTCTAAGTTTCACAAGACAATTATTTATTATTTTGAGTGAATAACTTACACATAAAATCAAATCCCATGTATGAAGTACATAAAAGTCTATTTTTCCCTCAGGAGAAAAAAAAAAAACAAAAACTACTTTTCCTTATTATTGAGTATTGGGCAGAAAAGTTTACAATGGCTAGGACTAGCTAAAGTATAGAAAAATCAACTTCATTCAAATTTAAATATGCACAACCTCTTAGGGTTAGAGTTAGAAGACGACAAGCTGTTAATACTCCAACAGGGTTCATTGCCAAGCATTCTAGGTATTCTAATACTTTGTAGTTTCAAAATAAGTAACAATTTCAATAATTTTCCACTGAAAATACTACTAAATGTTGGGATGATTTTACTGAACTTTTGAAACACTTGTTACATTCACAGTCTTGCCAGGACAATCCTCACAGATATATATTTTATGCAAAAGAATGTCTACAATGGTGAATAGCTTACCAGCTTGTGACAAAATATAATTCCAATAGAATTTGATAGCAAATTTAACCAAAAATAATCATCCAATATTCTATTCATAATATATTTTGTTAAAAAAATAAAATTTTCTAGAGAAATACATATGGATTTATAATATCTACAGAGAAATAACACAAATGTTATGTAAGTGGAAAATTATAATTTATTAGAATACAAAGAACCAATTCTCATAGATTTAAATTTTTTCTATGTTAAAATAATAGTCAATATTTCTTTCTTTATGGCTAATTAAAGTTGTACTTGTTCTTCTGTATCAGTGATAATTAAAACTTAGATACGTAAGTACATTTTGTAAATTTTGAGACAAGAAAATTTATTCCCAATATATTCTCTAGGATTGAAAATATTATTAGTTACTTTATGTAAATTTTCACTCTTTTTATTTGCAAACTAAAAACATAGCTATAGTAAAAGACCATGGGTGAAGAATTTAAGTTCTGAAATAAAGTTGTTTGGGTTTGAATCTTGCTCTTTTTTAGCTATGTGCTCTTAGACAAATTACTTCTATAGGGCACTATCTATAAAATGCTGATAACAACTCCAGTCTAAGGCTGTAATAAGTATTAAACAATTTAAACCAGTCTAGAATTTGAAGTTGTACTTACTTTTATCAAGCATTAAATAAAGGTTAGCTAGTAACTATTGAAATGTTTTCATAAGAGGTATTCAGTTATGACTCCACTTTGCATTTTCCTGTGGAAATATATTTAACTAATATTCCATTTGTTGGTTGATTCATTGTAAGAGTCACTTATGAAATATAAAATGCATTTCTATGGCACAGCTTCCTAGCACTACTGAGGATGAATTCCACATGCCATGATCATTGGCTACCAAAGTCCCTGGGCTTTATTCCACTATCTGTGAAAACGCTGTCTGTCACATTGGTATGTTGAATACATATTTCTGTATCTTGTATGTATCATGACATGTTAGTGTTTGTATGAATGACATGAAGCAATTTCTATCACCAGATTTGTCATATTTAAAGCCACAACAGAACAAAATACCTAGATATACAGGTAACCAAGGATGTAAAAGATCTATCTATTCAACGAAAATTGCAGAACAGTACTGAAAGAAATCAGAGATGACACAAACAAATGGAAAAATACTCTAAGATCATGGACAGGAAGAATCAATATTGTAAAAACAGACATATAGCCCAAAGTAATTTAGAGATTCAATGCTATTCCTATCAAACTATAAACATCATTTTTCATAGAATTAGAAAAAGCTACCTAAAATTCATATGGAACAAAAAAGAGCCTGAATAGCCAAAGCAATCCTAAGCAAAAAGAACAAAGCCAGAAATATCAAATGACTTTACTTCAAACTATACTACAAGACTTCAGTAACCAAAACATCATGATATTGATACAAAAATAGACACACAGACAAATAGAACAAGTTAGAAAACCTGGAAATAAAACTGCACACCTACAACCGTCTGATTTTTGACAAAGTCGACAGAAACAAGCAATGGGGAAAGGACTCTGTATTCAATAAATGATGCTGGGATAATACAGGCTGGTCACTGCAGAAGATTGAAACTGGACCCCTTTCTTTCACCACAAACAAAAATCAACTCAAGATGGTTTAAAGACTAAAATGTAAAACTTCAAACTATAAAAACCCTAGAAGAAAAACTATAAAATACTATTTTGGACATAGGCCTTGAAAAAGATTTCATGACAAAGGCTCGAAAAGCAAATGCAACAGAAAGAAAAATTGAAAAATGGGACCTAATTAAACTAAAGAGCTTTTGCACAACAAAGGAAACTATCAACAGAGTAAACAGAAAACCTATAGAATGGGAGAAAATATGTGTAAACTATGTATTCAACAAAAGCCTAATATCCAGAATCTATAAAAAAAACTTGGACAAATCAACAAACAAAAAACAAACAACCCCATTAAAAAGTGGGCAAAGGACATGAACAGTCACTTCTCAAAAGAAGACATACAAATGGCCAACAAACATTAATACTCATCACTAATCATTAGAGAAATGCAAATCAAAACCACAATGAGATATCATCTCATACCAGTTGGAATGGCTATTATAAAAAGTCAAAAAATAATACATGGTGGTGAGGATGTAAAGAAAAGAGAATGGTTATATGCTGCTGATGGGAATGTAATTAGTTCAGCCATTGTGAAAAGCAGTTTGGAGATTTCTCAAAGAACTTAAAACAGAACTACCTTTTTACCTAACAATCCCATTACTGGGTATGTACCTAACGGAGTATATATTGTTGTACCAAAAAGACACATGCATTTGTATGTTCATAACAGCACTTTTTACAATAGCAAAGACATGGAATAAACTTAGATGCCCATGAATACTGGACTTGGTAAAGAAAATGTGGTACATTTACACCATGTAATACTATGCAGCCATAAAAAAAAAAATAAAATCATGTCTTTTCCTGAAACATGGATACAGCTGGAGGCCAATATCTAAGGGAAATAGTGCAAGAAGAGAAAACCAAATGCTGCATATTCTCACTTATAAGTGGGATCTAAATGTTGCATACATATGAACACAAAGAAGGGAATAATAGACTCCAGGGCTTACTTAAGGGTGAAGTGTGGGTGGAAGGAGGGTGAGGATGGAAAAACTACCAAGCTGGTATTATGTTCACTGCCTGGGGGACAAAATCATTTGTGCACCAAACCCCAGCAACACGCAATTTACACATGAAACAAATCTGCACACATACCTTCTGAACCTAAAGTAAAAGTTGGGAGGAAAAATAAATAAATAAAACTCACCATATTTAAAAAGAGTAGTTATACATATTTCAATAATCCATTATATTGTTGGGAAGACTTAGGGGTGTATAACACACCAATATTATATCCAAACAAACTCTAAATTAGTCAGATATTTTAAGTGAATAGTTCTTACATACATATTTATGTAATTCTAGTGAGTATCTTTGATTGCCTCAGGGAAGGATAAAAAACCATTGCCAATTTTCTTTACTGATAGTTGAACTTTCCATAATAACGCCAGCTGTTTAAACTCTAGATTTTCTCATGAAAATATGTTGTTTCTGGTAAGCCTCAACAGCTTTTATTTACCTGCTTAGAAAAATGTGTCTGTTTTAATTCTATGGTTCTTTGAAATCAACTTTACAACGTTTGACTCACTATTGATTTTTATTTTTGTTTTTAGATAGCATATCATCTAAATACATTTTATCATTTTATTTTAGCTACGACCCAGCAAATCAAAACAACAATTTATGTACCAAGCAAATTAAATTTCCATCTATGAGACAAATTCAGAACAATAAAAATTGAAATGATAAACTGGGTGTGTTCAAGGAGTTTTTGTATGTGAATATATAGTCTAAGCCAGAGTTCAATTATTCTATTTTGAAAATTATCAAGTTAATGGAAAAAAACTTTGCACCAAAACAATTGTACTTTCTAAGATCTGGACATAACCAAATAATTTAGTAGGTTCAATATTTTTCCATCTGATATTTGCATATATGTGTTTATTATCTAAGGATAATAATGTTTAAATAGGAATAAAATTTTATAGAGCAAGACATTACAGAAATGAGTTGTGTACAAATAAAGCAGAAATAAACTAAGGTTATCTAAAAGTATAATGAACTGTTGATTAATAACACATTAGCAGTTAACACAAAAATCAAATTAGTCATCTAAAGAAGTTTGCATATATATGTTGCTCTTGTCATTGATGGGGCTGTAATAGGTTTTAAAGCAAGTATGCCTGTATGATGAGTTCATCTGGTATTCAGTGTAATAGCACAGATAATAATGAAGTCATTTGGCTTCCATTATATAAACATTAGATAATGGATACCTATATTAAAATGCAACTCTTATGTTTGTGCTTATTTTTGTCTTCATTTGTACATAGTACTAAATCTTAAAATTGAGCTTTCATGCAGCTTGTTGACATTTATAACTCTGGATTTTGAGTGACTTTTATGAACAAAAGCATCTCATTACATTGCTTTAGATTCTAAGATAAACAACAATTGGATTTCTTAAAAAGGGCATCGTTTATGGTTATTACCTAGTTATCTAATCTTATTTTCCCCATCCCACTTTTTGCTACTTTTTTGTATTGGAAGCAGGCATTCACAATAACATCTTGAGAAAATATACCAGTACACAAGATCTTTGAAATGTTTCATTTTATGTTTTATTCCTCAAGTTATTTGGTTTGTTTGTTTCTTATGACAAATATATTTTTTAGAAACCAAAGATCATTAAACAAAAATAAGATGAAAGTTGATATTTCAAAATTTAAATAAAATATTTTCCTCCCAGAGGCCTCCACAGCTGACTTATAATGGTTAAACAATGAAAAGTACTTTCAGATGTTTTTTCTATTGGATGTCATTGGTTATTTTTTACCATATGAAGTGGTATAAACTCTTTTTGTGAGGAGGGCAGGATTGCACTTGCTGTTTTTCTCCATGTTTATGCTTCTATTAAATTGCCTATCTCAGAATTTGAAAGCATGAACTATGGCTGATTTACCGATTGCAAAAACAAGCAGATCTAATCAAACATATTAAATTTTTTCCTATATGTTTATACGTTCTTGTATATTCTTGTAAATCCTCATTGATATATATATGTATATACACACACATATACACACATATATATATACACACACACAGATAAATAGAAATTATATAGATGATTATAATAGTGTACTAAGTAACTATAATGTCTGAAAGCAAATTGTACTGTGGAGCCACAGAAAATTTGGATTAATCTTAATTTTTCATGGCCTGTTGTAGAGAATTCCAAGATAGTTCTTACTTAAATTACGGAGAGAATAGGAGGCTGAGATTAAACTCTTCTCCAAATGTCTTCTTTGTGTAATGAGAAAATCTTTAGTGCAAAAGAAGTCTCCAAAAAGTGTTAAAAATGAAAGAAAAAAAGAATTTGGTAGAAGGATCTTACAACTAAAGTATGGGGTTGGCAAATGGCCTTGTGTTTGATTACTCTCTTGTCCATTCTCTAAAACCTTTGAATATAAATCTCTTCTTCCTTCAGATTGAAATAGGAAGCCCTCTTTAACCCTTCCTGGGTTGGGTAATCCTCAGTTAGATTCTCATGTCTGTTCCTGCACTTAAATTAATACAACACGTTTTTTTATTTTAAATATATATGAAAAATCTAGCTTCACTTACACATATAGGTAATTGGGAAGGAGAAGAGTATTTTAATTGCTGATTCAGATAATAGTGTATATTATTCTTTGGTGCTATAGCAAAATTCAACAATTGTAATTTTTATGGAGGTAATATATAGTATGAAACCTAATATCATATCAGTGAAGTTTGTGTACTCTGCTCTGTGAAAATCCATTGGTCTCTCATGCATTTTTAAATGAAATTTATTTTGGCATGACTTTGTCCTATCATGCTTTGGTCATTTGGAAAATATAGGTTTGCTGAATTATACTGATATTTGTAATGGTGACTCATTTCATTCTAAAACACCAAAAACTTACCTTTGTCAATATCATAACTCTCATCAGAAAGGCCTTTAGTATAAGGAAGCTGTAAAGCTCAAGGTGGTAGATGCAAGTTTTCCAAAATTCCAATTTTCATTTATTGAATTATTATCTAAAACAAATACTACTAATTGTTTTTCTTGAAGTGTCAGACTTAGTTTATTTTTTAGAAGACATCTACCAAATACTTATGTATGAATGGCTGCACACTGCCTGTCAATTGGCATTTCATATGAAGACAGTTTTGTATAAAAAAGAGGCACATAAGTACTTTACTTCATGACCACCATAATATGTAAGTATACAGTGTTAGTTCTTTTTGCATACTTCCCTTTTTGTAACACAGAATATTAAACAGATACGTGCTCACATTATGATTTCATAAAATTAATTTTATTGCTTCATTGAGGACAAATTTTAAGTGAAACTGGTTTTTCATTTTGTTTTTTCTTACTACAAATGTGTGGCAGTGCAGTATCAAAATCATCAAAGTTAATATTGTCAATGAAGGATAAAATTAATGTCACATTAGATTACTAGTATGATGCATTGAGATGGACACTATATCACTTCTATGGTATTCTCACCAAAAATTCATAACCCAAATTGAATCATGGGTAAACTTAAGACAAACCCAATTTGAAAATCAATCTGCAAAATAGTTGTCTGGTTGTCTTCTAGAGTCAAAGAAAAAAGCAGAAAAAGACTGAGTATTTGTTACAACATAAAGGAGACTAAGGAACATGATAGCTGAAGGAAAATGCTATTCTTGTTTGCAATCCAGACCAGAAAAATATTTCTCTTAAATTATAGTATGTTAAAGGAACAAAAGTAATACAGAAGGAATTCAGTTGTAAATATGCAATAAAATTATATACCATAATCATAATATTTTTCATAATTTATTAAAAATAGAAGCACTAGGATATCAAAGGGATAGCAAATTTTAATAAATTATAAAATGTAGAGTACTAAGATAAAAACTCTAGAGAATGCCTAACAACTTTAAGCATTAAACTGATTAGCAATATATAATTGAAATTTTATTAATTTCTAAATGTTAACTAATTCTTGAAAGAAAAAGTAAAAAAGAGCTCCAGGAAGTCATGTGGTAATACCTGATTTAATAGTTATCTATCTAGTGATGCCTTAGAAATAACAGAAATTAGGAGAATCAAAATATAAAGATTATCTATTTAAAAAATTGAATTGCTTATAAAGACACTCCTCACTTCCTGGTCCCCATTCCTTATCACTCTCTCCTGAGATCATTTTTTGACACTTCTATGAATTTGATTGCTTGAACAAGACTAAATACCATTGCTTCACTAGATACTTATTATCTGTCTGCTTATATTTACACAATATTCTGTGTATTCAGTATTTCTCTTTCAATTTTCCTCCTAGACTCTAGGCTACCTAGTATATAGGTAAAAATCATCTAGAAAGTCCAAAAGAAGTTTTCAGACACATCATTTATCCTTCAGGGTAAAGCAATACAACAATGGTTTTTCTATAAACCTCTCTTTTTCTTTCCTATTAAAATAGAAAACACAGATGTCAGTCTTCTTGATTCTTGTCATAATTTTAATGGTAGTTTTTGGGATCTGTAGTGTAGAGTCTGTCTTTCATTCTTCCATTTGTTGATTTTATATATAATTTTCATACTTCTATTCAAAGGGTCTAAGCCCTTTTCTACATGATTGATTGATATCAACAATAGTTTTCTCTGAAACTTCCAATGGGTGCTCCATGTGTTCTCACAAAAGTAGTGTATGCCTCTTCTTCCATCTTCTTGCAGCTCTTACTCTGGCTCACTTTGGCTCTACTTTACTGACATAGTGAACCCCTGAAGTAGCAGTTATCTTAATTACTCCTAAGAATTTTCTTTGTGAGATTACCAATGCATATTCCAGGGTCTCAGACATTCCCAAAGCAGCCCTGAAATCTTTACTTATATTTGGAAAATGGCTCACTCCACAGGTCCATGCCACAGGTGATCAGTTGTTTCCTGAAGTAGTATTGTTTACTTCCTGAATATCCATGAATCTGGCAAGGATTAACATATTGGAAACAATACTCAAAAATCAAACAAAAATATTTGTTTGGTTGGAATGGGAAATAATTCAGCTGAGTCCCATCTCTGTATTTCTCTTGACCAACCTCTACTCCAAAAGTAACCAAAACCTAAAAATGTCTCTTGACCAAAATGATAATTAGCTTCAATACACAATTTGATATATTTTACATACAACAATTTTCATTTACAAAATACAGAACATAAGCATTAAAATTTAAGTTGATTTTGCAGCTTTAGAAATAAACAATGCTTTACATTTTTCACATTGGTAAATTACTTAAACAAAAATAATTTTGTCTGTAAGTAAATTTTAGTCTCCACTTCCAGAAAAATAAATTTGCATATAATTCTATTCACATTCTATTTCATTTTTCAATGTTTTTAAAACAGTAGTTGTTCAGATTCAGCCAGGAGATGGATTTGGAAAAATTCCTCACATTGAGTTCAGTCATTAAGGTTTGCTTAGGTCACAAAATAACAGATAATCTAATCCTGGCCCTTCTATTTACACATTATCTAGATTTCTAGGGTGGCACATAATGAGGAATATGTTCCAATATATTATGCCTCTCTTTCCCTTATAAATAATTACTGGTTCCGTGGCTAGCATAAGGGGCTATGAAACTTGTCAGAGCCTTTTGTAAGTTGTGTCAGTCCTATTTAATTTGCAGTAATAAAAATTATTTATAACCATAGTTTGTATTATTTATAACCATAGTTTGTACTGTACTTCTGATTAAAAGTGTCTCTGAGGGTATTTTACTGAATGTGTAGATGACCTGATCAAAAGACATATGGTGACTGAACAATAAAAATTAAAACCCAACTATATGCAGTCAACAAGAGACTCACTTTAGCTTTAAGGACACGCTTAAGCTAAAAGTGAACAGATGAAAAAAAGATATTCTATGCAAAAGGCAACTGAAAAAGAGCAGGGGTAGCTATATCAAAATGAAATAATAAACTGGAAAATCCACCAATCTGTGGAAATTAAACAACAAACTCCTGAACAGCTAGTGGGTCAAAGAAGAAATCAAAACATACATCTAAAAATATTATATATATATATATATATGGAAATACAACATATCAAACATAGAGTATGCAGCAAAAATAGTTCTAAGAGGAAGATTTAGAGTAATAAATACCTATATTAAAAAAAGAAAAGCCTCAAACAAACAACCTAACTTTTCCCCGCAGGGAACTAAGAAAGCGAAGAAGAAGAAACTCAGTTTAAAGTTAGCAGAAGGAAGAAAATAACAAAGATCAAAGCAGAGATAAGTGAAATAGAGGCTAAAAAATCATAGAAAATATTAATGAAACCAAAAGTTAATTTTTTGAAAAGATTAAAGAAAAAAGAATTTCCAAGCCTTTAGATAGACTATGAAAAAAGAGAAAAAACTAAAATCAATAGAATTAAAAATGAAAGAAAAGATATTATAACTCTTATGACAGAGGTACAAAGGATCATAAGCAACTACTATAAACAATTATATGAGAACAAATTGGATAACCTAGAACTGGATAAATTCCTAGAAAGATACAACCTACTAAGACTGAATCATAAAGATATAGAAAATCTGAAACGACCAATACTGAGTAAGGGGACTGCATCAGATATCAAATCTTCTAACAAAGAGATGATTTTACTGCTGAATTTTTACCAAACATTTAAAGAAAAACTAATACCAATTCTCCTCAAACTTCTCTAAAAATTTTAAAAAGGCACATTTCCAAACTCATTTTATAAAAACTGCATTACCCCAGTATGAAAGCCAGATAAAGACACTACAAGATTAGAAAACTGTAGGCCAATATTCATGATAAGCATAGTTGTAAGAAGATGCAACAAAATACTAGCAAACTGAATTCAACAGTATATCAAAAGGATCTTGTCTTGAAATCAAGTGGGAATTTCTCTTGGGATGCAAGAATGGCTCAACTTCTATGAACAAATAAATGCAATATACTACATTAACATAATAAAGGACAAAATCTATTTGATTATCACAATAGACACAGAAAATGCATTTGACACAATTCAACACCCTTTCATGGTGAAAATTCTCAACAAATTAGGAATAGAAAGAATATACTTCAACGTAATAAAAGCTATATATGGCAATCCACAGATGACATAAACAACAGTCAAAACTGAAAAGCTCTACTTCTTAGGCAGAAAGAAGACAATGGTGCATACCTTAGACACCTTTGTTTAACATAGTACTAGAAGTACCAAATCAAGCAATTAGGCAATGAAAAGAAACAAAAGGCATCAATATTGGAACAAAAAAAGCAAAATTATTTGTTTTCAGATGACATGATCTTATATGTAGAAACCCCTAAAGACTCCACATAAAACTGTTAGCACTAATAGGTGAATATGGTAAAGTTACAGGATACAAAATCAATGTACAAAAACTGGTAGTGTTTCTAGACACTAACAGTGAACTATACTAAAAGAAATCAGAAAACAATTCTATTTAACACAAATCAAAAATAATAAAACATTTAGAAATGAACAAGGAGGTTAAAAATCTGTACACTGTAAGCTATGAAACATGGAAACTGAGGGAGACACAAATAAGTGGAAAGTTGTCTTGTGTTCAGTTATTATAGGAATTTATATTTAAAAACGTTCATACTACCCAAAACAATCTACAGATTCAATGTAATCTGTATCAAAATTCTAATGGCATTCTTCACAGAAATAGAAAGATATCCTAAAATTCTTGTGGAACCACCAAAAAACACCAAATAGCTAAAGTCATCCTGAGAAAAAAGAACAAAGCTGGAGGCATCACACTTCCTGATTTCAAATTATATTGCAAAGCTATAATAATCAAAAACAATATGATATTGGCATAAAAATACATACAAAGACCAATGGAACAGAATAGAGAAGCCAGATAGAAACCTACATATACACTATCAACTTATTTTTGACTAAGGAGCTGAGAATACACATGGGGGAAAAGAGTCTCAACAGTAAATGGTGTTGGGAAAACTGGTTGTCTACAAACAAAAGAATGAAGTTGGACTCATATCTTATACCATACAAAAAATCAACTCAAAATGGATTAAAAATTTGAACAAAGGACCTAAAACCATAGAACTCTAATAACAGAAAAATAAAGGAAAATGTCCTTCACATTTCCCTTAGCAATATTTTTTTTGTTATGACACCAAAAGCACAGGCAAATAAAAGCAACAATAAGTGGAACTACACCAATTTAAAAAGTTTTTTTTCACAGCAAAGGAAACATCAAAAGAATGAGAAGGCAATCTAGGAAATGGGAAAAAATACTTGCAAATCATGTGTCTAATATGGCATTGACATCCAAAATACATAAGTAATTTATTCAAGTCAATAACAAATAATAATAATCCAGTTTAAAATGGGCAAAGGACTTGAATAGGCAATTTTCAAAAGAAGATGTACAAATGATCTATACCTATATAATAAGGTGCTCAACATCACTAATCATCAGAGAAATGCAAATTAAATCTACAAGGAGATATCACTTCATACCTGTTAAGGTGGCTATTCTCAGTAGGCCAAAAGATGAGGCATTGGTGAGATTGTGGAAAATGGGGAACCATTGTACACTGTTAGGAAGGTAAATTGGTAAAGCCGCTATGAAAAACAGTATGAAAGTTACCCCCAAAGTTAAAAGTAGAACAACCATATGATCCAGCAATCCCACCTCTGAGTCTAAATCTAAAGAGAAAGAAATTACCACTTCTTAAAGATATCTGCACTCCCACATTCATTGTAGCCTTACTTCCAATAGCTAAGATATGGAAACAATCTAAGTGCCCATCGACAGATGAGTAGAAAAAGAAAATATAGCTGCATATGTAATGGAATGTTATTTGGCCTTAAAAAATGGAGGTAATCCTGTCATTTCTGAAAATATGGGTGAACCTGGAGGACATAAGCCAGACACAGAAAACCAATACAGTATGACATCGCTTACATGCAGAATATGAAAAAGTTGAACTCATAGAAACACAGTGTAGTATGATCATTACCAGAAGCTTGGGGGTGGGGGAAATCAGCAGATGCTGATCAAAGAGTGCATATTTTCATCTATAAGATGAATACATTTTGGAGCTCCAGTGTACAGCATGGTGACTATAGCTAATAACAATATATTGTATACTTGAAATTTCCTAAAATCTTAACTGTTCCCACCATGCACACACAAAAAAGTAATATTGTGTGAGGTGGTGGATATGTTAATCAGCTTGATTGTGTTAAGCATTTCACAATGCATATGTATATTAAATCATCACATTGTAAACCCTGAATACATACAATTTTTATTTATCAATCATACCTCAAGAAAGCTGAAAAAAATAATTCTCAATAGCTACAAATTTTAGGAGAATGCAGAATGAAGACCATATCACTTAAGGGCACGGAATCAGACTAATCTGGGCTCACTCTGGTACTGATCATTGTAAGATATGATTTCTGAACAGGCCCTTAACCTCTCTGCTTTTAACAGTTCTTGAAATCTCCTTCACAGGAATGTTATGAGGAATGAAATGAGAATTATATCTATCAAGAACTCGACATAGAGTCAGAGGTAAGTAACTGGTTGTAATTCTCATTAACAGTAGTAACAGCATCACAAGGTCAGAAAAAAAGTTATAATGCCCTTTTCAGCTTTAAAGTCATCTTTTTTACAGTGCTTTCCACTTGATAGGCCCAGTGCAAGATGGCCATATCCAGAGGCTCTTAAATTTTAATCACCACTGATGAATTATATTGTGCAGGTACTGTTCTGAAGGCAGCTTTTGGAATGGAGACTAAACTTTCACTAGTGGTTGGAAGTGGATAAATTAATTTATCTTTTCATCTTGGGTGAGCCCTTGGAGAAAATCATTATCATAAAACATTGTAAATCTATAGACTTGGCAGCTTTTGCCCTGCAGAGTCTCGGGACCTGAGTAAATATGGAGATTTAGAGATTTACTGTCTTTTCCTTTGAAGAGGTGATTTCCCTTGGTAGAGAAAGATGGACATGGCAATAGAAAAAAAAATCTTGTTTTAACTTTGAACCTGAACCAGCCTTGAAATACATATATCTCTTTACCAAGCTAGCTTTCATAGCTGCAAAGCCATTTTTATTAAATTACAATATTAAACTTTAGAGCAAAGATGAGCTGTGGGAAAAGATCTTACTCAATATATGCACCTATCATGAATCAACCTTTAAAGTCTGCAAATCATTATCAACATTTCCTCTGAGGCCTGGTGAGACAAAGAAACATCATTAGTATACTTCGTCAAGCCAAGAAATTGAAAATTGAAAATAAAATTAACCATTCAGCCTAGAAGTCAAAGGTTGCATTTGTTTGAAACAAGCAAAAAAGTTTTTAAGAAAATGTATGAGTAAGCTTCTCACAATAATTATAAGGATTTTAATATAAATTTATCATGAGGTACACACAATTAAAGTCATTATATATTCTTCATAAATATGTGTCTAAAAGGGGCATTTATTCATCTGAGAGCATGAATCCTTGAAGTTAATAAATTTTTCACCCGAAATCAATTATACGTGACAGCATATAACAATAAAATAGGCTACAAGCCCAATGGTATTATGTAAATAGAACAAAAGAAAATAAGAGAAAGTTTTAGAAGCTACATGCTGATTACTGAGAAATGGAAAACATTGTGACTTAAGGTGGGTTGGTGTGTGTGTTTGTGTGTGTGTGTGAATGATAGAAAAAGACTGAGAGAGAGTGAGAAAAGTATATGTGTTTAATAATGATGCAAGCTCTCCACCTCTATTGCTGTTGACTGGACAGAGGTCAAACTTTCTTCTTATTCAAAGGGAACTTTCCGCTTTCTTTTGTCTCTCTTTTCATTAGTACCATTGAAAAAATTATTAAACAACTGGTTTAACAGGGTAGTAGAATCACTTTCCCTGTGGCACAAGTATAATAATAGAGAATCAATCAAGAAAATATAGGACTTGACAAAAAGAAAGCATATAATCTAATTACCAGTATTGGCATTATCTGTAGTGACAGTTTTCAAGAACATAGGCCAGCCAGAATACACACATTGTGCTTTCCAAAGATTATCCAGATAATAATCTATTACTTATTTCATTTAACACTATTTAACAAATTCAGTTAGCAAAAGATAGATTACTTAGTGATCCCTTAGATCTGAATGTCCCTGCCTCCCACTGACATTCCAACTCCTCTCAGAACAGGCTTCTCTCTGAGTATCTAGTATGGCTGTGCTACCCTCCCACTGCTTCTGTTCTTCTAGCTGCTGGTGCCCAATAGCATTTTCCTTAAAACATCCTAGGAAATAGTGGTTTTATTGTGTCTCCTGAAACTCTCTTGGATAAAATTTCATTTAGCAAGTATGTGCTTATAATCACTATAGTCACTTTTGTGATTATAAAACCAACGAATAGGTGTGCAATATACAAAAATCATATTTCACTTTCCATGCTTTACTCCGTTCTTTTTTTTTTTAATCCTGTACTTTGACAATTTATATCAGCTACAATTCAGAAGAAAAAAATACACACAATTCTCAACAAAGAGCAGCCTGACACTGTGAAAAATAGCAATCACTTTCTACAAATATTCTTGTTCCATAAAGTTTTAAAAATATGTTCCTAAAAGTCTGATTACAAGCATGTTAATATCACTGCTTTTAAGAACACAGATTGTGTTTTGTGATATTTTTGGGTCATTCAACAAAGAAACGAGAAAATAGTTTATGCATTCATTTTAGCATACATTTATCAGGCATGTTATATAACATACATCTTCTATTGCTAAAATAGTTGTAAAATTTAAATTTTAATGACTATGACTTTTTCTGTAATGTTATTATAGGATATTTTTAATAAAGTGGATATTGGAAAACTGTAGTCTTTAGGAGTAAATAAATTTATCATTTGAATGCAGATAGTTCATCTACAAAACGCCAAGGAAAAACAAATTGAACTGTTTATAAATATTACATATACACAAAATAAAATAATCTCCTTAGAAAGTATTTCAATATCTATTGTAAGCAAAACACTGGAAAATAATCATTAGAAAATGAACACAATCTACATGGGTTTTTTACAACTCTGCCAATAAATACAGTGAAAATAATCCAGTGAACACCAGAAATAGATCTTCTCTACAAGGAATTCTCAATACAAATATATAAAAATAAGGCATTTATTTTTCACTAGAATCTCCAAGCATACATCTTAGCAAACATTTAGGGCCTAAAGATAAAAGACATGTTACCTCCTTGAGCCAACTGCCTGCATTTCTGGACTTCATCAAGTAGGGTTGCTTTATGTGAGCTATGACTTTGGAAAGAACTTGATCATTCCATGTAGATTTTAGTGTGAGGACAAGAAATAAAACTCTTAATAAAACAATTAGGAATTTATTAATAGAATGTATTAATACTAACTTCTGGAGTACTTTTTAAAGCCTGTATATTTCTTTATGTTTATGTAAGTAGGAAAAAAAGAGAGAAAAATACATATTAGGCAGGTTTCTAGAAGTGTGTGAAGGATTCATATCTCCCAGGTTGCCTAAGGAGGATGGGAACTAGGGAGAGTCAGGGGGAGAGTAGGATATTGACTTCTGTGCTAATCTTTGCATTATTTGGCTATGTATAATGATAATAAATAATGCATTCTCAGGAAAAGTATAAACAATAGTAAATATTCTTCAAAGTCCTAACCTAATGATTTTCAACTACTATTTTAAACAACAGACTTATTCTCTTATTCTTTGTCTAAGCTTCTTCATCTTCTCTTTTCTTTCTTTTCCTCCTTGTCATACACTTTTTTTGACAAGTGGATAAATAGAGCCTTATGTAAAACTTTACTATATAAACTACGAAAAAGAAACAAAGCTAATAAGATCAAAACACATATAAAGGAAGGAAACCAAGTTCTACATATCCATTAAAAACCAATATCTTTATTCTTAACTATAGGGTCTGACCAGGCAATATGCAGAACAATAGCATTTTGCATAATTCAGTTTTAAAACTGTATCCTTAACTAAAAGAAAAATGTCTGTGTATTAGTCTTTTCTCATGCTGCTAATAAAGACATACCCAAGACTGGGTATTTTATAAAGGAAAGAGGTTTAATGGACTCACAGTTCCACATGGCTGGGTAGGTCTCACAATCATGGTGGAAGGTAAATGAGGATTAAAGTCACATCTTACATGGTGGCAGGCAAGAGAGAACATGCGCAGGGGAATTCCGCTTTATAAAACCATCAAATCTCATGAGACTTATTCACTACCATGAGAACAGTATGGGGGACACTGCCCCCATTATTCAATTATATCCACCTGTCCCTTCCCTTGACACATGGGGATTATTACAATTCAAGTTGAGATTTGGGTGGGGACACAGCCAAACCATATTAGTTGGCAGTGATAAAATTTCAGATACCACTTCAGACCTATAAGATAGTTATGTTAGCAATGCAGTTGCCTACCTACAAACTCAAATAATACCATTAAGGCAATGAAAAGTTTTTCCCATTATATCTTTATCTTGGAAATTTCAATATGTTTTTACCTCTGAAGTTAAACATTCCCTACTAGCTACTTGGTGAACAAAAGATGTAACTTGAATTCCTAGACAAGGTTGTTCAAAATATTTTGGGAATAATCTTACTTTCCCCAGTTAATAGAAAACACTCTAAAAATGATATTCACATGTTTCAGTAAGAAGACTTATTTAGGGCCTTATCAGATCACTTTCTTTTTTATAGAAAACATACTGCCTGACATAATCCAAAATACATTGAAATGCTGATAATGTGTCCATGCCCTTTGTTCTTCCCTTTGACGTTCATGGTCCCGTTACCTATGTTCCCAGGTGCAGCTGAGTAAATCAGTTCCAAGACATGAATAATCAAGTTTGAAACTGATGCACTTTAATACCTCTGGTGGTTATAACCATCTGTAACTCAGGAGAATGGAGAGTTTGAGGGGAAAAGAAAGGAGCACAGCATATATCCCCTGTAATATCTCATGCACCTTCTTCTTCTAAAAATAATTTACTTTTTAATCAATGATTTTATGTTTATTTTCGTTACAAATGCAATACATGTTCAATGAAGGAAATCTGAACAACAAAGGAAGGCACAAGGAAGGGGAAAAAATCTCTTCTATCCTATCCTCTGAAATAACCTCAGTTAACACATTGACTTGCTTACTGAAAATTTTGTTTCCTATTCATACACAAAAATACAAATTCTGTTTTACATAATTATTTTAAAATTCTATTATGGGTATATACTTTCTTAACATTTTAAGCTTTAAATGAGAAACATTTTAATATCATTAAATATAAATATGGTTTTTAAATAGCTTCATTCTATTCCATGATACTGTGATTAACGTAATCATTCAACTATTTTTAAGCATTTGGAATTTTCCCATATTTCGCTATTATGAATGGTGCTTGATAAACATCTTTCTATACAGATCTGAGATTACATCTGATTATTTTCTTACAATAGATCAGTACAAGTGGATTTAGGAGAACAGATATTTGCATCTTTCAAGGCTTTGGGATGATGCTGTCGAATTACTCGTAAGATTTTACCATTTTAAAGTCATGTCAAAGTGTTGTTCCAGAAAAACTTTCTTCTCTGGAATAAAAGATATTTCCTCTCTAAGATATTTGTATTTTTTCTTTCTCTTCTTCTTCTTTCTTTTTTAAAATAAGAACATCTAACATGAGCTCTACCATTTTAATACATTTTTAAGTGTACAGTACAATATTGTTAACTATATGCATGTTGTAACTTGATGGGGAGTTGCTGTTTAACTGTATAAACTTTCAGTTATGCAAGATGAATGCATCCTACAGATCTGCTGTAAAACGTCAAAGAATGAATGTCTTAGCTAATTTACTCACTTTTTTCTCTCTAAGAAGCAGTTCATCTTTATCAATTTTTCTATGACCACCAAAACAAGATATTTTTACATTCCTTCCTTAAAATTTATGACACTGAGAGTAATGAATTAATCTGATTTTTACCACTCCCCATTACATTTTTACCACTAGAGCCACCTGGAAGAAATTTATTAAAAGGCATACTGAAGAGGTATTACATAGAGATGTTTTAAGGCAAACCAATATATTCTATAAAATTGTAATTTTAATTCCAATTTTTGGCTCACTTTCTTTGAAAAAAAGTTTTGTCCAGCTTGATGACATTTATCATCTTGAATAATAAAAGTGAAAAATAATCGAAACAATAAAGTTTTTAAAAATACTCTAACAACACAGTACTTAAATCCATGAAAAGATCACATTGAGTGTACAAGTACAAGAAGCTAGAAAACAATGAAGAGTGGAAAGAGCAAAGATAGCAACTAGATGCCGTCAGGAAAAGCTCCTCCTACTGAGAAAGACCAGACCATCAAGTAGACTGGCACACTCTGAACAGGTCTTCAGAAAGAGGGTATTCAGTGTGGACAGAGGGAGGATGCAGATATTGTGCTGAAGTCGGAAGAAATTGGAAGCTGTATAGGAAGTTGACGAGCACCAGGACTCGTTCCTGGCCCCAAGTGGCTCCTAGCAAAGAAGTGAGTGAAATAGGTGTACGGTGGCCCACTCTCACCATGGACCTCTAGGATTCTGGGTACAGGAAACACTGCACCCCCACGGATATCTAAGCTGGCAAGGAGAACTGCCAGCTTCTGTCAGTTCTGTCTACAGAACTCCAGCTTGCACAGAGTCCAGAAGGTTTGGCATGGATACAGCTTCAGTGGAGCATGGCCATGGGGACTCATCCCTCAAAACTCACCATACTTCTCTGGATGGCTTTTGTCTTTGTGAGCTGTTGGACATGGACAGAGTGGGGCTCTCTTACCTGTGGGAGGGGGCCATCTGGTCTGAGCATAGCCCTGTCTACCAGTATCGCCCAGGATCTGGGCCTGGTCATACTGGCTTGTAGCACTGCATCAGCTTGCCAATGGCTATCATCATAGCTCTTTAGCTGGCAAACACTGCCTACGCATTGAGATACATTTGCAGATGGACCCCAGCCAGCATGTACTCACCTGGAACTGTCCTCTACCAGCATACACTCACCTGCTGGTATCCCACTGCTGCACACAGGAGAGGGGAGCCATCATCACCCCACTAGGATGTATGCATGTGGGGACCCACTGCCAATCTGCTTGCATGCAAGCAAGCAGGTACCCCTGCTGCCCCACCAGTGCTCACATGATTGGGGACCAGCCACTACCCCACCAGTGCATATGCATTCAGGAACAAACTGCCTAGTACACAAGCAAGCAGCGACCTCAGTTGTCCTGCCAGTGTGTATGCATATGCAGACTCACCATCTGCACAAATGCATGCGAGGACCACTGACATCCTGCCAGAGCACACTTGCCAGCAGCCTCCATTGAAATGCTGCTGCCAGAGGACTGGAAACACATTGGCCCCTTCAGCACAGTTGGTGCTTGCCCTTGAGGTGCCAGAGAATAAAGCCATAAGCCTGGTCCTAGTACCCCAGAGTTAGAACACACAAGGCCAGGGGTGGTGAGCTGAGCACTGGCCCCTGAACGTATCCAGAAACAAAGCCAATTGACTCAACCCAACTTTTACCACAGTCAAATTCTCAAGGGCGTCAAAGAATATAATAGCAAGAAGCACCATCTGAAAGACAGTAACTTCAAAGATTAAAGGAACATCAGCCTACACAGATGAGAAAGAACCAGATTAAGAATTCTGGCAACACTAAAAGCCAGAGTAGCTTCTTACACCCAAAGACCACATTAGCTCCCAAGCAATGGATTTAAACCAGACTAAAATTGCTGATATGACCAACATGGAATTCAGAATCTGGATGGCAAATAAGCTCATCAGGATACAGGAAAAGGATGAAACCCAATCCAAGGAAAACAGAAAAAATGGTCCAAGAGTTGAAAGACAGCATAGCAATTTTAAGAAAAAAATCAAACTGAACTTCTGTAAATGAAAAATTTACTACAGGAATTTCAGAATGAAACTGGAAGCATTAATAATAGCATAGACCAAGCTGAAAAAACAATTATAACAAAAACAAACAAACAGAAAACCTCAGAGCTCAAAGACTAATTCAAAACAATAAAAGCAGAAAAAATAAAGAGAATTTTAAAAATGAACAAAACCTTTGAGAAACACGGGATCATGCAGAGACCAAACCTAACACTCATTGGTATTCCTGAGAAAGATGGAGAGATAGCAAGTAACTTGGAATATATATTTATGATATTATAAATAAAATTCCCCACCTTACTAGAGAAGTTGACATGCAAATTCAGGAAATTCAGAAAATCACTACAAGATACTATACAAGATAACCATCCCTAAGACATATCATCATCAAATTCTCCAAAGTCAACACAGAAGAAAATATCTTAAATCCGTTACAGAGAAGGGGAAGGTCACATAAAAAGGGGATCCCCCCATGCTAGCAGCAGACTTTTTATCAGACACCATACAAGACAGAAGAGATTGGGAGTCCTATCCACTGAGAAAAGGAATTCCAACCAAGAATTTTATATTCAGCCAAACAAAGCTTTATAAGTGAAGGAGACATAAATTCATTTTCACACAAGCAAATGCTAAGGGAATTAGTTACCTCTGCCTTACAAGAGGTCCTTAAGGGAGTTTTAAACATGGAAACTAAAGACCATTACCTGACACCACAAAAATGTAGATACATACATAGCCCACTGATACTACAAGGCAACTGTCTAATCAATATTATATGACTGGCTAAGAGCATAACAGAATCAAATCCTCAATTATCAGTATTAACGATGAATATAAATAAGTTAAATACCTCACTTAAAGGACTCAGAGTGGCAAGTTGGATAAAGTAGCAAGAGCCTGTCTTTATGCTGTCTTTAAGAGACCCATCTCACATGCAATGACAACTATAGATTCAAAATTAAGGGATAGAGAAATATCTACCCAGCAAACAGAAAATAAATAAATAAATAAACAAACAGATGGTGCTAGTCTTATTTCAGAGAAAAGAGACTTTAAACCAAGAATGATCAAAAAGAACAAAGAAGGGCATTACATAATGATAAAGGTTTCAGTTTGAAAAGAAGATTTAAACTATCCTAAATATATATGCACCAAATACTGGGGCACCCAGACTCATAAATTTTCGTACAGGCCTATGAAAAGACTTGCATAGCAAAACAATAATAGTGGGAGACAACATCTCACTGGCAATGTTAGATTATCAGTGCAGAAAACTAACAAAGAAACGTGGGACCTAAACTCAACACTTGAACAAACGGAACTAACAGACATCTATAAATACTCTACCCAACAACAGAATATATACTTATCTCATCTCCACTTAGCACATACTCTAAGATTGATCACACACTCAGCCATGAAGCAATTCTTAATACATTTTAAAAAAGAAATAATACCAATCATATTCTCCAGTCATAGTACAATAACAATAGAAATCAATACCAAGAAGATCTCTCAAAGTCATAAAATTATGGCTTTGGAAATAATGGAATAAAAACAATAAAACAGCATGCTCCTGAATGACTTTGTGGTAAAGAATAGAATGAACTTAAGACAGAAATCAAAAAATTATTTGAAACTTATGAAAACAAAGACGTAACATACCAGAAACTCTGGGACACAGCTAAAGCAGTGTTAAGAAGGAAATTTATAGCCTTAAATGACTGTAGCAAGAGGTTATAAAGATCTCAAAGTAACAACCTAACATCACAGTTAGTGGAACTAGAAAGACAAGTACAAACCAACCCCTCATCTATTAGAAGGAAAGAAACAGCTAAAATCAGAGCTGAACTGAGCAAAACTGAGATGGGAAAATCCATACAAAATATCAATGAAACCAAAATTTGCTTTTGAGATCCCTCAAAACTAAGCTTCATAAGCAAAGGAGAAATAAAATATTTTCCAGACAAGCAAGTGCTAAAGGAATGCATCACCATCAGTATAGCCTCACAAAAGATCCTTAAATAATTTCTAAACATGGAAACAAAAGAATGAAATCTGCTACCACAAATACACACTTAAATATATCGCCTGCAGATACTACTAAGCAAAAATACCGTAGAAACTACAAAGTAACCACCTGACAACATGATAGGACCAAATCCTCATATGTCAATATTAACCTTGATGGCAAGTGATGTAAGCGTCCCACTTATAAGGCGCAGAGTGGCAAGTCAGATTAGAAAAACAAAATCCATCCATCTTCTGCCTTCAAGAGAACTGTCTTTCATTAACAACATCCATAAGCTCAAAGTAAAGGGTGGAAGAAAGATCTATCATGACAATAAAGACAACAAAAAAGTAGGGTTCACCTTACTTCTGTTAGATGAAATGGAATTTATTATATTTTATTTGGAGGCAGAGTCCCACTCTGTAACCCAGGCTGGAGTGCAGTGGCATGATCTCAGCTCACTGCAACCTCTACCCCACTGCCAATTTAAGCAACTCTCCCACCTCAGCCTCCCAAGTAGCTGGGACTACAGGTGTGCGCCACCACACCCAACTATTTTTTGGTAGAGACAGGGTTTCACCATGTTGGCCAGGCTGGTCTTGAATTCCTGACCTCAAGTGATCTACCCAACTCAGCCTCCCAAAGTGCTGGGATTACATAAGCCAGGGCATAAGCCACCACACCTGGCCAAATGAAATAAATTTTAAACCAAAAAAGTTTAAAAAGACAGAAAATGACATTACATATTTATAAAGTGTTCAATTTAACAAGAAGATTTAACTATACTAAATATATATGCCCCATCACCCTAATTCATAAACCAAGTACTTCTAGACCTATGAAAAGAATTATACGGCCACATAATAATAGTAGGGAACTTCAACACCCCACTGACAGTATTAGACAGATCATTGAGGCAGAAAACTAACAAAGGAATCCTGAATTTTAACTCAACACTTGACCAACTGGACCTAATAGACATCTACAGACTACTCCACCCATCAACCATAGAAGATACATTCTTCTCATCTGCACACAGAACATACTTCAAGATTTAATATATGCCTGGCCATAAAGCAACTCTCAGTAAATTCAAAACAATCAAAATCATACCAATCACACTCTAGGACAACAGTGAAGTAAAAGTAGAAATCAATACCAAGAAGATCTCTCAAAACCACACAATTTCATAGAAGTTAAACAGCTTGATTTGGAATGCCTTTCATTTAAACAATTAAATTAAGGCAGAGAATTTTTAACATCTTTGAAATTAATGAAAGCGGAGACACAGCACACTAAAATCTCTGGGGCACAGCAACAACAGTGTTAAGAGGGAAGTTTATAGAGCTAAATGTCTACCTCATAAAGTTAGAAAGAACTACAATTAATGATCTAACATGAAAACTAGAGAAACTAGAAAAATAAGAGCAAACAAATGCCAAAGCTAGCAGAAGAAAATAAATAACTAAAATCTCAGCAGAACCAAACAAAATTGAGACCCAATAATCTATACAAAGAATCAACCAAAACAAAAGGTTGTTCTTTGAATAGATAAACAGGAATAATGGACAGCTAGCTAGATTAACAAAGAAAAAAAAGAGAAGATTCAAATAAGCACAATCAGAAATGACAAAGGTGACATTACAACTGATCACACAGAAATGCAAAAGATCCTCAGAGACTATTATGAACACCTCTATGTGTACAAATTAGAAAATCTAGAGGACATGGATAAATTCCTGGGAAGGCACAATCTCCTAAGAGTGAATCAAGAGGAAATTGAAGCACTGAACAAACTTTCGAAACTGAATCAGTAATAACAAAAAATTTAAAAAATAAAACTGACCTTGGGAAATAATTTATGGCTAAGTCCTCAAAAGCAACTGAAGTAAAAATAAAAATTGAGGAGGACCTAATTAAATGAAACAGCTTCTGCACAGCAAATAAAACCACCAGCAGAGTAAACAGACATAATAGGAGAAAACATTCACATACTATGCATCCGATAAAGATGGATTCACAGCTGAAATTTATCACACTACAACGAAGAGCTAGCACCAATTCTACTGAAACTATTTCAATAAATCTGAGGAGAGATTTCTCTTCAATCCATGATGAAGCAAGCATCAACCTAATACCGAAGGCTGAGAAAGACACAACAAATAATAATAAAAAAACCTAACCACCAATATCCCTGACAAACATAGATGCAAAATTCCTCAATAAAATACTAGCAAACTGAATTCAATAGCACATCAAAAAGTTAATTCACCGTGATGAAGTAGGCTTCATACCTGGGTTGCAAGTTTGGTTCAATATATGCAAATCAATAAATTTGATTCAACATGTAAACAGAGCTTAAAACAAAAATCATTCATCATCTTAATAGATGTCAAAAAATCTTTCAATAAAACCCAACATTCCTTTATGATGAAAACCCTATGAAACTAGGCATTGACAGAAACTATCTCAAAATAATAACCGCCACCTATGACAAATCTGTAGGTAACATTGTACTGAGTGGGCAAAAACTGAAAGCATTCTCCTTGAGAACTGGAAGAAGATCAGAATGCCCATTCTCACCACTGCTATTTAATATGGTTATAGAAGTCCTCACAAAAGCACTCAGGCAAGAGAAAGAAATAAAAGCCATCCAAACAGCAAAAGAAGTCAATTATCTGTCTTCACTGATAATATGATTCTATATGTAGAAAACCCTAAAGACTCCATCAAAAGGCCTCTGGAATTGGTAAATGACTTCAGCAAAGTTTCAGGATAGAAATGCAATGTACAAAAATCAGTAGCATTTTTACACACCAATAATTTGCAATCCAGAATGTAATCCCATTTACAACAGCCAAAAAACAATGAAATGCCTAGGAATATAACTAACAAAGGAGAAGAAAAATCTCTACAAGGAGAACTGCAAAACACTGCCATAAGAACTAGTAGATGACATAAACAAAAGGAAAACATTGCATTTTTGTGGACTGGAAGAATCAATATCATTAAAATGACCATAATGCCCAAAGCAATGTAAAGATTCAATGCTGTTCTTCTCAAATTACCAATGTCATTTTTCACAGAGTTGGAAAAATCTGTTCTACAATTTATGTGGAATCAAAAGAGAGCCTGTATAGCCAAAGCAATCCTAAGCAAAAACAACAAAGCTGGAAACAACACAATAGAAAACAAAGAAAGAATGCCACACACCTACATACAACTAATCTTTGAAAAAGTTGAAAAAAATAAGCAAAGGGAAAAGGACTCCCTAATAAATGGTGCTGGGATAGGTGGTTGGCCATACACAGAAGAATAAAACTGGAGCCCTATCTTTCAACGTATACAAAAATAAACTTGAAATGGATTAAAGATTTAAATGTGAGGCCTGAAACTATGAGAATCCTAGAAGAAAAACTCAAAAACACTATCCTGGACCTTGGCCTTGGGAAATAATTTATGACTAAGTCCTGAAAAGCAATTGAAGTAAAAACAAAAATTGACAAGGAGGACCTAATTGAATGAAGGAGCTTCTGCACAGCAAATAAAACCACCAGCAGAGTAAACAGACATAATAGGAGAAAACATTCACATACTATGCATCTGATAAAGGCCTAATATCCAGAATCTATAAGGAACTTGAACAAATGAACAAGCAGAAAACAAACAGTCCAATTAAAAAGTGAGCAAAGGATATGAACAGACATTTTTCTAAAGAAGGCATACAAGCAGCCAAGAAACATATGAAAATATGCTCATGATCGGTAATCATCAGAGAAAGGCAAATCAAAACCACAGTGAGATACCATCTCACATCAGTCAGAATAGCTATTATTAAAAAGTCATAAAACAACAGATGTTGTAAAGCTGCACAGAGAAAGGGAACAGTTGTACACTCTTGGTGGGAACGTAAATTAGTTCAGACACAGTGGAAAGCAGTTTGCAGATTCCTCAAAGTACTTAAAACAGAACCAGCATTAGAACCAGCATTCCCATTACTGGATATATTTTCAAAAGAAAACAAATTGTTCTACCAAAACAACAGCAAAGACATAGAATCAACCTAGGTGCCGACCAGTGATGGACTGAATAAAGAAAAATGTCGTACATATACACCATGGAATACTACACAGCCATAAAAAAAGAAATCATGTCCTTTGCAGCAATATGGATTCTACTGGAAGTAATTATCATAAACAAATTAATGCAGGAACAGAAAATCAAATATTGCACATTCTCACTTAAAAATGGAAGCTAAATATGGATACTCATGGACATAAAGATGGCAACAATAGATCCTGGGAAATACTAGAAAGGGGTAGGAGAGAGGTGGGCAAGGGTTGAAAAGCTAATGTTTGGGTACTATTCTCAGTACCTAAATGACAGGATCATTTATATCCCAAACCTCAACATCACAAAATATACTCAGGTAACAAACTTGTACATGTATCCCCTGAATCTAAAAACAAAAACAAAACAAAACAAAAAAAGTTGAAAATAAACAAACAAATAAATAAAAAATAATTCATATGGAGCTCAAAAGAGCCCAAAAGAGCCCAAATCACCAAGAAATCATTAGCAAAAAGACCAAAGCAGTAGATGTCATGTTACTTGACTTCAAACTATGCTACAGGGTTACAGTAGCCAAATCAGCATGGTTCTGGTACAAAAACAGACAGACCAATGGAACAGGTTAGAAATCCCATAAATAAAGCTGCATACCTACAACCATCAGATATTCAACAAAGTTGACAATAACAAGCAATGAAGAAAGAACTCCCTATTCAATAAATGGTGTGAGGATAATGGGCTAGCCATATACAGAAGATTGAAACTAGACTCCTTCCTTTCACCATTTAATAAAATCAACTCAAGGTGGATTAAAGACTTAAATGTGAGACCTAAAAGTATAAAAACCCTAGAAGAAAACCTAGGAAATACCATTGTGGACATAGGCCTTTGCAAAGATTTCAATTTGGAAGTCTCCAAAAGGAAATGCAACAAAACCAGAAATAGACAAATGGGACATAATTAAACTAAAGAGCATCTCCGTAGAAAAAGAAATTATCAACAGAGTAAACAGACAACCTACAGAATGAAAGAAAATATTTGCAAACTATGCATCTGACAAAGATCTAATATCTGGACTCTATAAGGAATTTAAATCAATAAGCAAATAATAGCCAACCACATTTTAAAAAATGGGCAAAGGACATGAACATACTCTTGTCAAAAGAAAATATATACACAGCCAACAAGCACATGTAAAAATGCTCATTATCCTTAATCATTAGAGACATTCAAGTAAAAACTGTAGTGAGATACCATCTCACACCAGATGGAATGGCTATTTTTTTTTAAGTTTGAAAATAACAGTTGTTGATGAGATTGAAGAGAAAAGGGAACACATGTACACTATTGGGGGGAATGTAAATTAGTTCAGGCAGTGTGGAAAACAGTTTGGAGATTTCTCAAAGAACTTAAATCAGAACTTACCATTTGATCCAGCAATCCCATTAAAGAGTATATATTCAAAGAAATATAATTTGTCCTACCAAAAAGATGCATGCATTTGCATGTTCATTGCAGCACTATTCACAATGGCAAAATCATGGGATGAGTCTAGATCCCTATCAAATGTGGATTGAATAAAGATAATGTGGTACATATATACCATAGAATACTACACAGTCATGAAAAAAGAATGAAATCATGCCCTTTGAAGCAATATGAATTTAACTGGAGGTCATTATCCTAAACAAATTAATGCAGGAAGAAAAAAACAAATATTGCATGATTTCACTTATAAGTGGGAGCTAAACATTGAGTAAACATGACACAAAGAAGAGAAGAGTAGACACTGGATACTACCTGCAGGTGGAGGATGGGAGGAGGGTGAAGATCAAAAAATGACCTACTAGATATTATGCTCAATATCTAGTGATGAAATTATTTGTAAACCAAACCACAGGGATACAAAATTTACCCATGTAACAAATCTGCACGTGTACCTCCTGAAACTAAAATGAAAGATAAAAAAAATGAAAGGGAGTAAAAAATCTTAGACATTATGAATAAAATTACTAAAATACTATTTAAATAACAGGTCTGGAAGGAAACGGAAGATATCTGTGAAAAACAATTCAAACACACAAAGACAAACACAGGGTACATGACCAATGCATGGAGGTTCAATAGCCAATGAATAAAAGTCCTTGAAAAGAAAATAATAACATTTGACTATGAAAAATCAAAGAAATATTAATAGAGATTTTCCCAGACCTGAAGATATAAATCTTCAAATTGAAGGATTCCACTAAGGGCCCAGAAAAATGACTAAAAATAGTCTCATATTTGGGTTCTTTATTATGAAACATCAAAGGACCAAAAATAAGGACATATAAAACCTTCTAATGAGAAAAAGAAAGGAACAAAGCAGATTTATATCCTTTTGGTTTTAGCAGCTGCAGTGTACTAACAACAATACAGCAATTTTATCAATATTGCAAGAGAAAACCCATTTTAAATCTAGAGTTTTGTTATTCATATGTTACAGCATTATATAAACAGCTATATTTAGCAATGCTAGGATTTGGGAAGTTTGCCTTTTACACACTTTAGCATAAGTAGTGAAAAGAATTACTCTAACAAAAGGAGACATATACCAAGAACAGCAAGCCATGTGTGTAAGGTGGCAATGGTTTCAACTCCGACAAGCAATGAAGAAAATTTCCACTATGACGAACATCACCAAGAGTCGGAAAAGAAACAGATTTGTGTGGAGCCAGACAAACTGACTCTAAACTTTGGGAAATCTATTTTTAGGAATGTAGGGACTAGATTGGAGAATATAAAAGTTTGAGCGATTGGAAAGATGTAGGAAAAGTTTAGAGTAATAATTGCCTTTTTTACAAAATAGAAATTTATTATTGAAAAAGTTGATGTAGAAAAAAGCAAGAAAAAGCTAAATAAGAGTAATACTAATATGAATGTAGTTGTGAAATATTTGGCATAGAGAAGGTGGTAAATAAATTAAACGTGTTAAGTTTTGTTATTTATTTTTGAAAATCAAAAAGTATCATGTAGGTGATTAAAACATCAATTGCTAAACAGATTTGTGAAACATATACGTGCATATATGAACTAGATTTCTTTGATTCTACAATGAACATATCCTTCAATGCACATAGAAAAAAATATGTTAAATGCACATGGTGAATGCAAAGAGCACTTAGCAAATATAATAAGTAAACATCAAATAAGAAAACATACATTTTTTATTGGCCAAATGAAGAGTAGCCTGAGTTAGTTTAGGTGGCAGGGGAAGAAAAGGAGGCTGGAGTTACTGCTGCTGTTTGGTGATGTGTGACAGCAACAAAGAGAATTGAAAGACTAAATGCCCAAGATTTGCTCAGGAGAACATGGTCTTATGCTGAAATACATCTACCTTAACTATACGTTTTCTTACCAAAAAAGCACCATTTAAGTACTTTTCACTGAAACTTGAAAGCTGATTCATTATAGTCAGTTTTGTATTCAGATGGTAGCTTTTGAGTAAAAACTTATGAGTCATTTTAGTGAATATTGAGATAGAATTAAAATAACAAGGCATACCACGTTAATTGTAAATATTTATGAAGTCACATATGCCATTTGTTTCCTTTTAACTCTAAATCAATAGATTTATTTTCTTCAAATATGTGGTTTATCCATTTTTATTTTCTTTTTTACATATTTAAAGTACTAAAAGTAATTTTATGTTTCTAGAATACGGATATTTTTTCAGTTTCCATCTAAATATAACCTACATATACTGTTTTAATAATTATTTTTGCAGAAAATATTGTATAATCTGGTAGATGTTAAGGTTCCTTTCCTTATTATTTATTATTATTTAATATTTTTAATTAAAACTAAACTGAATTTGGAATCACTTGATCAGGCTATGTAAAGCGTCCTGTAACATTTTACTCTATTTTACCTATGATCATATCAAACACCTTTTGTCATTTTAAACACTTAAATAAATATATTCCCTTTTCCATATCTCTAATGAGAGTGTGTTTAATATGCGAGAAAAGCTAACATGACGCAATTTTAGTTTAATCTTTATAAATTATTAGTTTATAATAATTTATTTATATAAATAATTTACTTATTTATATAATAAACTATTTCTTAGTACTTATAAACTATTATTTAAAAATAACCAAAGTAATTGGTATAGGGGAAAGAAATGTGGGGAGCTCAGAGCCAATGCTGGAAGAATGAATTTAATAATGGATGATGGAAATGATGGACCAAAAACAAATCCTTACAGAATAAAAAGAAGACTCAATAATCGAAGTTGATTCACCTACAGAGGCTTAAACAGAGGCCATGAGAGTAGACTACATAACATAATTCAAATATGTAGATGTGTGAGCATCAAGGTACAGTTGTAACTTAGAACTTAATAATACTTCTGAAGTTCATTTAAAAGTATCTCTCTTTTACACAACAAAAACAACAACAGGGCTTGCTTCAAATATTCACCTTGGAGGCAAAATATGTAAAAACAGAAAATCACAACATTTAAGTGTTAAGCGGTATCAGTCCATTTAAGAAGTCCAGTTCTTCTGGATTGCGTGCTAAAAGGTCCCCTTAGTGTAGTAAACTATTTGAACTTCATGAATAAATAGTCATTTTATTTAGACCTGGGCAAATGACCATAGAGGACAAATGATTAACAGGGGAGAAGAGCTAAATTTTATCTCAAGAGATAATTCTAAAAAGAAGAAACTTTAAATAGAGCTTAGCTGTGGTGGAAGTGCACTGACGTGATCCCAGTAGCTTTTCCACTAAAGGGTTTTTTAACATTTGTGTCACAGAGAAATGTTATTTTTATTATTTAGTGAGGAAGATGATCATTGCATGTATGTATTAGGTTAATAATAAAAACCAAAGTATCCAGTAGTCTCAAAGACATGTATTAGTGACTGTAGCTGCTTATGGCACAAGCTAAGAAATGTCATTTAATATATATATATATGACCAGGCCCCTTTGTCTCAAAATGATCATTCCACTTAAGTTTATATTTTGTTGGACTATTGTGTCCATGCTGGGAAAGCATTATTATCCAGCATGTATTTATGTAGGTTATTTTTTAGTACTAGTAATTTTGCCTATGATTATAAAAGTAATACTACGTATTATATAATTATACTAAAAAATTTAACATTTTCATAACCTCCCCTAGAGGTAACCACTATAACTATATTAGTATATATACACTAGCTACTTATAAAAAGATAGCTTAGTATTATCATCTTAAAGAAAACTGCTTCATGCTCATAAAATGTATGGGTGAATTAGCTATTGTAATTCATATTTTTTAAAAGTCAAATTGTGATAACTTGACAAAAGGGGCAGTGAAAATCCCTTTAAACAAAATGCTTCTAATTGTGAAATAAATAAATATGTACATTTACATGCAGGTATATATATACATATAGGCATTTCATATGTATTTGGGAAATATAGACTACTATACACAATTGCCATGAAGATTAATAGAGATAACATGTGTAAAGCATTTAGCCCATCTAGCTCAATACCTGGCACAGACTTGTTTTCAGTGGCTATATCGTGAGTTAGAATACATTAGGCTGATATTTATTATAGTCTTTATGTCACAAAACAATATATGAATATAAATAAGATCTTAGAGGAATTTTCTACAAATAAAATATCTTTCCAGGAGAAAAATATAACTATCTGCAATATTCATGTTAATTGTAAACATTTAATGCCTTTCACTAGGCAATAGTTCAATGATCTCATTTGAATTACTACAAATTCTTAAAAGTACTATGTCTACATTTTTGGTGAAATTATAATTTGCTATTGTTTACATTTTCTTTTCCATTAATTATTCCAGATTTGAGAGTATTCTAACATTTGTATTTTTTACATTGCCTTTAACATGCAAATGATATTGCAAAAATGGAAGAAAATCTACTATTTTTCAGGGAGGTTAAACATTCATTTGCTGGTCACAAAGTTTTTTTATAATATAAAGTATTAAATATGCCCCAGAGCCCTATAAATACATCTCAAGGCTAAACTAAGAAAATCTTCGTGCTAATTCACTTCTAATTAATATGGTCTGAATTAAATGTATCTTGTTGAGACTTCATTAATTCTACTGATAGCCTGGCCTTTTATTTTTAAGTAGTAATTATTCCAAATCTTATGTGATTAAACCTATATTTTCTACTTCTTTGATATCAAAAAAGATATCAAAAAATGTTATCTTTACAATCATCCTTTCAACCAATGTTCACTTTTCCAGAGCAGTTGTCTTTCATTAACCTTCTCAAGAAGCACTCCAAAAAGTTCCATACGTTTTTTAAAATATACCTTTCCAATTTCCTTTTTTTGTTTTTTTTTTTTTACATTGCTAACATCTTTTCCCCCTTTCCTGGTAATGTGAAATGTCTATGATCTAGGTTCCCTTTGAAATAGTCAATTGAATCCTCCTTAAATTGTTTTTTGTTTTAATTAAAATAACAATACATGTTGGCAATGTTTTGTAAGAATTTCTTTTTACAATGTATTATTTATTGCGTTGATTTTCCAGAATTGTTCATGTGTATTGTAACTTTGGAATTCTTCTTGGTGACATCTCTGGTAAGGCTCTATCTGAACAACGTTTTCCTTTTCTTGATTTGAGACATGCAATTAGGATCTCTTGCTTATTTCTCTAGTCAAATTAAGGGTATTTGAGGAAACAGGTTAATCATAACTTTGGCATATCCTTAAAGTAAAATTTAAACTATTTGTTAAAAATGGTATTTTTACCATTTAAGTAAAACATTCTTTATAGTAAAGTTTGTGAAACGCCACTGTTAACGCTACTGATATAGTTAAGTCTCAATAGATTTTGTCATAGGTATAATCCCCCTCAGACTCAGGGGCTAAAAGTTTGCCTTGTTCTATTTATGGTCTTTTAAGGCCATTACAATACTATCTAGTGGGCTGAAGTAGTAATTTCTGAATAACACCCTAGTGGTCTAGGAATGCTAATGCAGATCAATGCAGATTCCTGAAGTTCAGCTGAATAATGTAGGTAATGGATTGAGAAAAGCTATTTCAATAGATACATAAAATGAAGCAAACTTACGTGAAATAATACATATGTACTAATGCTTTTAATATTCTTTTCTCTAAAATTTTATACTTAGGTTAAGCTCTTTAAAAGCAATTTACCAGATTTAATATCTACATTATATAATAGTACCTAAACTCTTTCAAAATATGTCAAGGTTCTTACTTGTTAGATCAATTCAAATTGATTTTGAAGTGAGAAAAGATTACACAGATTAAAAACAAGATGAAGGTCATAGAAATGATAATGCAAATGTCATCTATTAATATTAATGAAACATTCCCCAAAATAATCATCATAGCCTCAGATATGGTTGAATATCTATATTATAAATCTAGAGAGTAAAAACCCATATGTCATAAAGAAGCGATTAAACTCTAAGTTGTTGAAATTATCAATGAGGTTAGAATCAAGGTACTTAGCCCAAAGAAGAACATAAGTAGGGAAAAAATAAGAAAAATGATATATTTAAAATCTGATTCTTTTTGTGTGCTATACAGTAATGTATTAATTTCTACTGAAGCAGAAAAATTTCAGTTCAAATGTGAGCTCAGCTTCTAATTAGCTACGTAACCTTGGATAATAAAAATTATAATACTGGTCTGATGATAATAGTAATAATATAATTAAAATAGTTAACAGTGAGAGCTTTCTACTGGTCAGACATTATGTAAATGATGTCCATGCATCTCTTAATGCATCTCTTAATACTTCCTACAGCCTATTTATAATGTTATCACAATTTTACAGAAGAGGCAATCAAGTTATAGAAAGTGAAAGTGATTTTCCAAATTCATACAGCTTTAAAATGGTGGAACTAGAATTTAAATTTAGATTGTATGGCCGCAGAAACTGTACTCTTAACTTCCAGGTTATGCTACCCCCTAGTCATGTAACTTCTCCAGGGGTAAATTTCTTCATTTATAAATGGAAGTTATAAATTAAAATGTGTAGGACTGCTGCAAGGATTCAATTTTTCAATTAAAAATATTTAAAGAATGCCCGCTATGCATTGAGCAATATGCTAAGTCTTTGGATACTAGTATTCCTTTTTTTTTTTTTTTTTGAGACAGAGTTTCACTCTTGTTGCCCAGACTGGAGTGCAATGGCACGATCTGGGCTTGCCACAACCTCTGCCTCCCTATTCCAGCGATTCTCCTGCCTCAGCCTCCCAAGTAGCTGGGATTACAGGCATGCACCACCACGCCCAGCTAATTTTGTATTGTTCGTAGAGACGATGTTTCTCCATGTTGGTCAGGCTGGTCTTGAACTCCTGACCTCAGGTGATCCACCCGCCTCGGCCTCCCAGAGTGCTAGGATTACAGGTGTGAGCCACTGTGCCCGGCCTAGTATTCCTTATCATTATGAAATACCAAACAATAATGATGGGTAAATGGGTAATTAGGACAAAATATTATAAGGCATTCTTGATAATGCTAGTTTCCTCACCCCCATATGTAAATATCACTAATTTTATTTGGCTCTACTTCCCAATATATTAACACTATCACTTGTCTTCTCTATTGCTAAAATCCTAGATTAAGTAAAAAATCAATATACCTTCCAGGGTACAAAAAATACTTTAATCAGCTTACTTTCTTTCCAGGTATTTGGGAGTAGGAGAGGCTGATATAGAAATAGAGGGAGGAACAGTTCACTCAGAATTTTAAGGTCAGATTCTAGACAGAGAATATAGAATGACACTCTGAACCTGTGTAAGATTTAACTGTGACAAAGAGTTCAGCACAAAGATTCTTTAGGAAAGAAAAAACTACTTTGGTTAAATTGGGAGAGAACACACAGCATCTTAGTAAACCAAATTTCAGCTTGATGGAAAAGAAGAATGTCATATGAGATACATTCAAAATAAGGGAGATTGGACTGGATTATACAGAATCTTGTGGGAGACCATCAGGATTTCCAAAATTAGCCTGAGTGACGGAAAGTCAATAAAAAAGTTTTAAACAAGGAAGTATTTGTTAAATGCTGTAAAATATTTTATTGTCTTAAGAATGATCTTCACATTTGAGATATTTAGATAGTTGAATTTAATGTGAGTTACGATATTGTTGGGTTTAAATATATCATATACTGTTTGTTTTCTATTTTCCCAATCTCTGCTCCTTTTATCTTTCTTTTTTCTTTATTTTAGATTAATTTAATAATTTTATGAATCTCTTTTATCACCGTTGTCTAATTTGCTATAATTTATTGTTTTGTCATTTTCTGGTCGCTTTAAATTTATAGTATACATCTTTAGCTTATGATGGCCTACTTTCAGGTCTTATTGTGGCACTTTTGCATTTCTCTCCTTCTGTAGTTGTGCTATTGTTGTCATGCTTTATAACTATATTTATGTTCTAAATTCCACAATATATTAATACCATTTTTGTTGAAACAGTCATTTATCTTTAAAAAAATAGATCATTAAAGAATACATATTTTATTTAGCCAGGTGTGGTGGTGCATGCCTGTAGTCCCAGCTACTCGGGAGGCTGAGGCAGGAGAATCACTTGAACCTGGGAGGCAGAGGTTGCAATGAGCCGAGGTCCCGCCACTGCACTCCAGCCTGGGTAACAGACCGAGACTCTGTCTCAAAAAAAAAAAAAAAAAAAAAAAAAAAAAAAATATATATATATATATATATATATATATATATATACCCATGTAACTTTCATTTGTAGTCATCTTCATTCCATAGTTATCTTTGATTATTCTATTTGTTTTGCTTTGCTTTTGTTTTTATTGTTGTTGTTGCTTTGTTTTATTTTGTTTTTCTCTTGCCTGAATAAAATACTCTTATTGTATTGCAGGACTGCTAGTGATGTCTGAAAAACTCTTTAAATCATATTTGTTTTTGAGAGAAATTTTTACCATGCATACAATTCTATGTTGACCACCCTTTCTTTCCATATTTTGAAGATGATATTCCACTATCTTCTCTCTTGGATATTTTCTATGAGAAAAAAAGTATTCCTTATCTTTGTTTCCTTGTGCATAGCATGTATTATTTTAAATACTTAATTACATTAAAGATGTATTTTTCCTCTGGCTGCTTTAAAGATTTTCTATCACTGTCTTCATGAAATTTTATTATTTTGTGCCTTGAAGTAGTTTCCTTGGTGTCTCTTCTGCTTGAGTCTTGTTGAGATTCTTGGACTATGGGTTTGTAATTTTAATCAACTTTGAAAAAATTTCAGCTATCACTTTATTTATTTTTGTTGTTTTGTTCCTCTTTCCCCACATTTGATAGTTCCTATCCTTTGGAGACTCCATTTGCATCTATCTGAGGTCACTTGAAGTTGTCCCACAACCCACTCATACTGTCTTCATTATATTTAATTTGTGTGTTTTATTTTGTACTCTGGTTCAATAATCTTTTTTTCTGTTGTATCTCATCTGCTATTAATCCCATCACATATACTATTTATCTCACATGTAGTTTTAATCTCTAAAAGTTTAATTTGGTTCTTTTAAAAATATGTATTTCATGACTCTACTTAACTTTTTGAACGTATGGAATGATGTTACAATAACTGTTTTCATGTACTTGTATGCTAATTCTAACATCTGTTTTATGTTAGAGTCACTTTTGATTGATAAAATTTTGTCCTCATTATGGGTAATTTTTCTTCCTTATGCCTTATAATCTTTGATTGAATATAAAACATTGTGAGTTTTACCTAGGTGTGCATTGAGGTTTTTTTATGACAAATACATTTTTGAGCTTTGTTCTGGGATGCAGCTAAATTACTTAGAAACAGCTTTAACTTTTGAGATAATGCTTTTAACCCTTTCTAAGGAATGACTGGAGTTGGGCTAAGATACTTCATATTTGAGGCAAGATTCTTCTGTGTACTCTACCAAATGCCCAATGACTCATGAGGTTTTCTAGGTGGTCTCATGGGAAAAGGTACAATTTTTGGCACCTTGTGAGCACCAAGCACTCTTCCCTTTAATCCTTTCACATTGGTCAGTTTTGATTTCCTCACAGGCATGCACTAATTAATTGTGTGTTGAATACTCAAAGTGTCACCTCTGTGGACCTGGTGTTCTCTGTCTGTACCACTCTAACTTCTTTGATGTTCTGACCTTTAAATTCTAGCTGCCCAGAAAATTCTAATTTCCCTTGACTCTCAGGTCCATCTTTCCATCTCAGGAAATCCTCCTGGATCAAGATGAGGTACCCCTCCCTGCACCATGGACTGGAATCAAACACCACATGTTTTCACTTATAAGTGGGAGCTGAACAATGAGAACACATGGACATGGGGAGGGGAACACCACATGCTGGGGTCTATCAGAGTAGGGCAGTGGATGGCAGGGAGAGTATCAGGAAAAATAGCTGATCCATGCTGGGCTTAATACCTAGGTGTTGTGTTGATAGGTGCAGCAAACCACCACGGCACATGTTTACCTATGTAACAAACCTGCACATCCTGCACATGTACCCTAGGACTTAAAAATAAGAAAAAAAAATAGTAAGGAGGGAAGTTGTATGGCTGATTTAAAACCATAGTAAGGAGGGAAGTTGTATGGCTGATTCACATCTCTTGGGTCCTTCTTGCCCATATTCAGTGTCTCACAAACTGTTTTCTCATATATTTTGTCTTTGTTGTTATTCTGGGCAGCAGTGTAATTCATGTCCTTGTGACTCTATCTCTTTCATAGTCGGAAGTTCATTCTTCTTAGTTTTAACCTGGATATTTAGCTAAAGATTATTGACATCCATCTGCCCTTATAGCTTTTCAATAGGATGAAAGCAGAAGTAATATGTGTACTGCTGGGCCCTTACCCTTAAAAGGATGTACCTGGACTTCCTGGCCCCTTTCCCTAGTTTACTGATTGTGAAATGATGAGAACAGGAGGTTGAGAAGGGAACTACTCTACTAGCTTGCACTGCTTATCTTAAGACTGTCATCTAAGGAAAACCTTGTATTTTAATAAAGCGCTGAATTCTTGCTGACTTGTGTGACTGAAGGTGAAGTGATAAGAATGCCTATAATGCAAATCTAAAATTGTGCTTCTCAAATTTGGCTGCACTTTGGATTCAACTGAGGAGTTTAAGAAAATATATTGAATCCACCTGGGTCTGTATTTTGATTGAAGTTCTATAGGGTAGGACCTCAGCATCATGATATCTAAAAACTACACAGGTGATTCAATCGTGCAACAAAATTTGATAACTACTTCTATAAAAATATTAAATTTAAGGAAAAACATAAGAAGATATGTTCACAAAGGAGCCTGGGAAGGAATAGGGAGTGTGGTTGGAGAAAATGTAGAAGAGTATAGTGTCATGAACTATTTATGCATGTTATGGGCCCTAAAAAATAAATGCCTGTATTGCATTTCTGGATTTCACATGTATTCAAAATAACTGGGTTTGAGAATGTATTTATTTTAGTAACCTAAAGCAACTTACTAGATCAGAACCTCAATATCACCAACTATAAAATCCAGATAATCATCCATTCCATTTCACCTCATCGCTATAAGTATAATGAGATATGTGGCAGTATCTTACAAAAATAATTTCATACCATGCCTAAGTGAGATGTTTAAAGTTAAATTATATTCCTTGCCTGACTTCCTACATCTTTAACTTTCACAGAAAGAAAATGGCCTATGTTTAAGAAAAGTGACTCAGGAAACAAAAATGTGGGATGACTATAAATGACATAAAATTGTTTGAGTTTTCTATCCTTCCCAGTGGCGTAACTTTGTAATCACTATCAATGTTACAAATGTTCTGTTAATCATGTTTCTGATTAAAGTGACAGTAGCAAGGAAAGACAATCTTGGCAGGAACATATATCCCTCTTTGGCTGTTGAACTTGCAACCAGGAACTCATAAAATTGTATGGGATAATGGTAAAAGGAACCATCACGGTTGATGTCTAGAAGTTCAGACTGGATACTGATAAAAATATATAATTTTCATTCCTTGCAGAGACATTTTACCAGTTTCAGCCTTGGAATGGAAGCACCAGGAGACACACTTACTGAACCTCTCTAAAGTTTAGATTGACAAAAAAGAAAAATACACCATGGGGAATAGCCCTGCCTAGAGAAAAGATTAAAAGGGTGACTTAACAAGTTATTTGCAACTCTAATTTCTTTGACTCCACTGGAATTAGGAGTAGTGAAGTGATTTTGGCGGTTCTGATTAGAACACTTACTGAGAGCAAGCAATTACATCCCAAGTGAATCAATAAATGGCTAACAGTTTAAAGGCAGTAAAATAGGGGCTTGCATCATCACCTAAATATTAGATACCATGGAAGAGAAGGCCATGCAACTACATAGGCTTATTTGGAGCATACATCTAGATTCTCATACCTTGACCTTCCAAACTGAACTTAAATCCTGAGTTAAACTTAGAAGAACTCATACCAGGTTAAACCAAATAATTGCATCATGGCTTATACTGGGAAACATATCACACTTTTATAGGCTGACTTAAAAAGCTTCAACTTAAAGAAAGTCTGGTTGCATAGAAGACAGGAAATCTGCAAATGAGTTATAAAAGTAGCAAATATATTTAGAGACTTTAAAGGGTATGATTTAATTTTACATCAATTTAATATATAATAATCTTATGAGGTGGTTTATTATTGGAATGAATATTCTAATAGGGTTATTTCTTTGTTCACCACTCCATCAGTAATGCTTTAGTAGGTGTATTTAGCAATAAACACTTTTTTTATGTGCTATGTGAGTGTAAATTAACTCTAGTTCTACCTTTCAAGAAACTCAAAGGCATAACTCAAAGTTATACTTTTCAAGAAGCTCAAAGAAAAAACATATACATAATATTAAAATACAGATAGTAAGTGATGTATACCACATAAATAGCTCATTAAAATTATATGGGTGAAAGATAATATTTTCAAACCATATACCTGAAAAAAATTCATATCTAGAATATATACAGAATTCTCAGACTCAGCAGTAAAATTCAAACAGTCTGCTTGTTAGAAACAAGAAGTCATGAACAGATATTTCAATGAAGAGGATATACTTAGGGAAATGCAAATTAAAACCACTACATGGGAACACTACATACCTACCAGAATGGCTAGTCCAAAATATATAAGTAACTCAAACAAAGTGGTAAGAAAACAAATAATCCAATTTAAAAAATGATAAAGAGCCTAAACAGACATCTCTCATAAGAAGACATACATATAGCTAACAAGTATATTAAAAAATGCTCAACATCGTTAATCATCAGGGAAATGCTAATTAAAGCTTCAATGGATATTATGTCATACCTGTTAGAATGGTGATTATAAAAAAAAATGACAGATAACAAGTGTTGGTGAGGATGTGGAGAAAAGGGAACCCTTGTACCCTGAAAGTGGGAATGTAAATTAGTAAACCTATTGTGGAAAATTGGATGGAGGCTCCACAAAATGTTAAAAATAGAGCTACCATGTAATCTAGCAATCCACTATTGGGTATAAAGCCAAAGGAAATCACATCACTATGTGGAAGAGATATCTGTACTCCTATGTATATTGTAGCATTGTTCACAATAGCCAAGATGTGGAATCTATCTAAGTGTTCGTCAATGGATGAATGAATAAAGGAAATGTGGTACAAATACACAATGGAATACTTTTCAGCCATAAAAACAAAGAAATCCCGTTGTTTGTGACAACATAGAAAGATAAATAACACATGATCTTACTTATATGTAGAATCTTAAAAAGTCGAACTCATAGAGGCTGAGTAGAATGTTGGTTACCAGGGGCAGAGGATGAGGAGTAGTGTTGCCAAAGGATGTTTCTATCTATGTAACCTTCATTAAATAAAATTATAGAGATGGTGAACAGATTAGTGGTTGCCTGGAGTTAGGCATTGGTGGGTCAAACTGGGTTTGTAGATATAAAAAGGTAGCATGAGGAAACCTTATGATTAGTATGGAACAGTTCTGTGTCTTGTTTGTGGTTATATTTATATAAATCTGCACGTGTGATAAAATTGCACAGAACTTAACACATACTCATGCAAATACACATAAACAACCAAAGAAATGAGTGAGTATAAAACTGGTGGAATCTAAGAAAACCCTGTGGATTATACCAACTTCCTAATTTTAATATTGTACTATAGTTTTCCAAGATGTTACCATTGAATAGCACTGGGGAAAATTGAATGTCAGAAAACTGGAACTGTCCTCTACAGCTTTGTTTTTGTTACTTCCCGAGGACCTCTAACTATTTCAAAAGTAAATTAACTAATCAATTAACTATATTAACTGCATGGAGCAATTCTGTTGGAACCAGTTTAAGGTATATGGAGTAGCAAGACATAAGTTTGGAACTTAGGTCAGACTTAGACATTGTAGATTGCTGATATCAGTAAGTAGGAGTCTGATATTAATAACCACGCAGCTAATAGTGATGGAAGGTTTGTGAAATGGTAAGAGAAATGATTGGAACTGTGATGAATTCACTCAAGATGAAGTAAACATAGAATTGTATAAAGCCTATTTCAACAGCATAGATGATAAATAATGACATTATACTGAATCACAGAAATTTTGATGAAAATGAAATCTATAAGAATTGATTGGTTACAGTGTACATTAAAAAGAGATTAAATTTGTGATTCTCAAGATGTGTCTATAAGCAGATGAAGCTATTGATGAGGACAAAAGCTTCTTAGCACTAAAAATACAGTTTGCATTTGTTCTCCTAGAAATAGTTTTGCCAGGTCCATATAGTTTTACTTTTTTTTAGGGGTGGACATTTACTGAACCAAAATATGTTTGTGATCATTATGATCTTGAAGGAAACAAAGTACCATCTTTTTATGTAAGAAAAGACAAAAAGGGAAATAAAAGGGAAATAAAAAATAAGTATATTTCTTTTTTTTATTATTATACTTTAAGTGTTAGGGTACATGTGCACAATGTGCAGGTTTGTTACATATGTATACATGTGCCATGCTGGTGTGCTGCACCCATTAACTCATCATTTAATGTTAGGTATATCTCCTAATGCTATCCCTCCCTCCTCTCCCCACCCCACAACAGTCCCCGGAGTGTGATGTACCCTTTCCTGTGTCCCTGTGTTCTCATTGTTGAATTCCCACCTATAAGTGAGAACATGCGGTGTTTGGTTATATTTATTTTAGCCTATGGTCCGTGAATATGTCACAGAAGAGTGTCTATTTACTCACCTTATATGCAGCTGTATTCTATTAGAAAGTGTATTAACATTTCCTTGTTAATTTTCTGAAGATTTAACAAATTATATATGGTGTTTAAGTATTAATTTGACTGCCTTTGAAATCAGTATTAACTTAAGCAAAATGGCCCAGAATGGCAGCTGACGCCTATAATTCCAGCACTTTGGGAGGCCAAGGCAGGTCAGGAGTCTGAGACCATCCTGGCCAAAAAGTGAAACCCTATCTCTACTGAAAATACGAAAATTAGCCGAGTGTGGTGGGGCATGCTTGTAATCCCAGCGACTCGGGAGGCTGAGGTAGGAGAATCACTTTAACACTGGAGGCGGAGGTTGCAGTGAGCTAATATCGGCCACTGCACTCGAGCCTGGACAACAGAGCTAGACTCCATCTCAAAAAACAAACAAACAAACAAACAAACAAACAAAAACAACAAAACTTGCATTCTAGAATTCCATTATGTTCCTTTGTTGAGGGTGGAGGTAAAAGAGTAATGCAGTTCTGAGAAGCAAATTTGCATGCCTTATTTATTTAAGGCTTTTCAGGTAAAGCATATTACTTTCAAAATGCTATGTAAAATATGGCTAGTAAACAGTTTTGAAGAACATTATATTAATACTTTTCCCGATAGCTCTTATACAAGGCCCTTACTCACACCCAGACCATTTCTTTCTTCTTCTTTTCATGGATCAATATTGGATATAATCACTATGTTTTACATATATTTCACCTTTATTATTTTTAGAATAATTCATTAATTTTCCCAAAACTTTAGGGTCTACACACAGGCTTTTGCAGATCTATTTCACAATAGATCAAAATCTATACACTATTTCTTAAAGCAACTACTTGAAAAGAAATTGCAAAAATCAAAGCAAAACATAATCCTTTGCTCCAATTGAAAGTACAGTTAAAATAAATAAAAATGGAATCAATGCTGTATATGAAGTATGTAGATAAAAATCTGCTATTTTTTTCATGAAAAGTTGGTCAGTTCTCATACATTAAAGCTACAGGTAAACAACTATGCCTCAGAAAAGTCACATATACAATTATAATTATTCCCTAGTTTATGACACATCATCACATTCAGTGCATAAATTTTTCCTCTTTTTAAATTATTTATTTCTTTTTATTCCCAAATCCCTCTTTCATTTCTTTGCATCTGTAGATAACCATTCTAATACAGATAATGTACAATCTTTAGCAGCATGTTTTTATACAGTGGACATTCTGTTTTGATGTATTTTAATTTACATAATAATATTTTGTAAACTGTTCTGTGCATTACCCTTTTCATTTCTTACCACTATATTTAAGATCTGTCTTATTTATTATGTATAATTCTAGTTTGTTACATATAATCCCTATAGAGTATAGCACTGTGTGGGTATGCACTACCACAGCTTGTCTGTCCACCACCCTAGAAAGGGAAAGAAAAGAGGATCCCCTTCCCTGGTACTCATATTAATGAACATCCTTACACGTGTTTCCTTAGAAGCCTATACCTGCACCTCAAAAATAATTGCTAGGTCAATTCATGTGTATATGTAATTTAAGTAAGAGCTTACAGTTTCCTCTTCGAAGCAAGTATACCAGTCTACCATGCAACTATCAGGACACTGTGTTGTACATCCACATATCTCCTTTAATACGGACATTATCCAGCATTTACTTTTTTTTTTTTTTTTTTTTTTTTTTTGAGATTCAGTCTCACTCTGTCGCCAGGCTGGAGTGCAGTGGCGCAATCTCGGCTCACTGCAAGCTCCGCCTCCCTGGTTCACGCCATTCTCCTGCCTCAGCCTCTGGAGTAGCTGGGACTACAGGCCCCCGCCACCACGCCCGGCTAATTTTTTCTATTTTTAGTAGAGATGGGGTTTCACCGTATTAGCGAGGATGGTCTCGATCTCCTGACCTCGTGATCCGCCCGCCTCAGCCTGCCAAAGTGCAGCATTTACTTTGCATGTCTGCTATAATGTGATAACTCATTGTTATTTGATTTATTATGTCTCTATCCCATAATGAGTTTGACTTTCTTTTTACATCTTATTCTGCTTTTAGGTTTATGCCTGTGCATATTTATTGACATATTCCATTCCACTTTGCCAGTTTGTGGATTTTTCTTACACAAACTGATCTGCAGGAGTCCCTGCTCTCTTTTTTTTTTCCTCCTCTCAACCTTCTAGGAACACATTTCACAAACCATAGTAAAAACTGCACACAACTGTACTGTACTACAGTTTGTGAAATGTGTTTCTAGAGACTTAACAAGAGAAACAAAAAGAGAGCAAGAACTAATAAACAACTTATATTAGAATCAATTTAGGTCTCTATTAAAACTTTTATTTCTGGTCCCCAGATCCCAAATTCTATATTTTAATAGTTCATTGGGTGTATCTTATGAAAACTAAATTATGAGATCTAATGAAATTTGTTTTATTTCCCAAATAATAATTTATTGCTATGAGACAGTGGAAGAAAAATGCTAAGAAACAATGCAGGATGTTAAGCTATATAAAGATAAAGCTGGTTTGTAATCTAATATGATAAATAAATTAACATTTCCATAAAATTGGGCTGCTATTCTTTTCTCTTCACATATTGTATTAGATATACAATGTAATAATACTTATAAATTTCACTGAAAACATTTTAAAACATCGAATATGTAAAATGAAGTTAAGATTCACTTGTTAATGGTTTGCATTTAGACATTGCATTTATGTATTATTTATTTTCTATCTATCTGGAATTTATACTTATAGAAACATAAAATTGTAAATTGCACATCTTTTTGGCACTGAATAGAAACGTAATAGAAGTTATAGGCTATAATCAACAGCTGCCATTTGATAAGGAAGATCTCTAATAACAATGGACATCTTTGGCACATTACACAGTTGATTTGAAACAACAACCCTAATATATATAAGGATTTTGAACTTATGACTCAGATATTAAACATTTTTATATGGACTAAATTAATGAGGGTGTTACAGACATTATTTGGACTCAACGATATAATCTATACTTACAAGAACTTTGATTTTCTTCTCTTTGATTCTGTAAGGAAAATAACTTCAAGGATGTGGTTGCTGTAACTTTAGTAAGCTCAATTGGTATAGAAAATTGTATTTTTTTAATAACTTGAGAACATAGTTAAAGATATTTCCTCATAACAAAAATTTATTTTACAAAGAAAGCTAAAATTTTTCTAAAATATTATACTTAAAACATAGTGTAGGTTCTTGTTTACCCCAATATACTCTATAATAAGTATTGATCTTAAACTCTTAAATGTCAATATAACTTGCCTTTAACATGTAAATTCACAATCAACCTGTGATAGGTGTACTAGACTTTCCCACATCCAGAAAAGTGAGAAATCAATTTCTATTGTTTACAAATTTTCCGGTCTGTGATATTTTCTTATAACAGCACCAACGCACTGAGATACCACGTATCTCATGTAACTTCCATCAAAACTGTGATATTACTTTTTTTTAATACCTAAAGGAAAAAAAGATATAAATGTCATCTACATAGAAACTGAAACCCTTGAAGAGTGTCAACTTCTCTTCTGCTTGTTTTTATTGTCTAATTGGTAATGCACTACAGGACCCTAAATAGACCAAATTAAATTTTATAATATTTTCCATCATGATGTTCATTATTAAATAGATGAATTTTGTGGGAGGGAATAGTTATATTAGTTACCAATGTAACATTTACAAACCGGTTTAGAATGTTACCAAAAGAAATACATTCATGGCATGGCACGGTGGCTCATGCCTGTAATCCCAACACTTTGGGAGGCCGAGGTGGATGGATTACGACGTTGGGAGTTCACGCCCAACCTGGCCAAGATGGTGAAACCCCGTCTCTATTAAAAATACAAAAATTAGCCGGGCGCAGTGGCAGGTGCCTATAATCCCAGCTACTCGGGAGGCTGAGGCAAGAGAATCGCTTGAACTCGGAGGCCAGAGGTTGCAGTGAGCCGAGATCAGGCCACTGCACTCCAGCCTGGGCAACAGAGTGAGACTCTGTCTCAAAAAAAAAAAAAAATACATTCATAAACATTTTATTGCATGTAAATTTAGCAACATGCTTTTGAAGGCCTGGATTTCAATTGAGAATACATGTTACTTCATTTCTATTTGCTGGGAACAGTGATATGTCAGACACACACTAAAAACCAGTTTACAGAAATGCAATCTAGCCTTAAGAAGTTTTGTATATGAAAATGTAAGGTTTGGTAGTAGAATTAAATGTAAAATAGCTAATAAAATTAATTTAGAACATATGGATTGAGCATAATGAATAATAAGATAATAACAACAGACCTGGAAATGCAAGATATACAGAATAGCCTTGGATAAATGTGTGACTCTAGAAAAAAAATGTTTAGGGCATTTTTACACAGATTCTTCCTTCGATACTGTCTTCCACAAAACACAAAATGTATGGATAATGTCATTAAAATTAATAATCTATAATATTATCATGTAAAAATAACTAAAAGATATAAATGAATATCCAGATATTTCAAATTACTTCTACTAAAAAAATTACATTATTTCTATTAAGATGATTTTTTCTTTTTTAGTAGTTTGGAATAATAATGTGAAATAATTATCTGTTGCTCTAAATTTGGTTACTCCTCAAGCAAATATTGAAACAAGGACTGGGTACAAGAAGCTTATCTATAATGTAATTTAAGTGTGTGCAGTTAGAGTAGTAAATGTGAGACAGGGAATGGAGAAAAGCCAGCAACATGTATTAATGAGTGGAACGTCCTTGTGAGAAACAGGGATGAAACACACTGGGAGCCTAAGTGACTATCTGTAACATACCTCTGAATTGTCCTACAAGAGGATGGATGAGTATGTGGTGAGGTTTGCCCCAGGGACAGTTACTTCTTCACTCTTCTAGGCTTCAACAATCTCACACAGTATCTGAGAAAGCACCCTCCCAAATTTCTAGCAGAGAAGCTGAGCCATTCAGGCATTTAAATAGGAAGCTACGAATATACTGAAATGGTCTATCACAACTTCAGGTTATGCAAATGGACCAAGGGGATGTCAGACAGGGCATCAACAGGATCTGCTGCAATTGATGATTTTGAATTCACGTTTTAGATCTATGTAGTGTCACCAAGTGTCAAAAATACTCTATCTTGCTTCTTCATGTAAATGGTTTAATTTAATTATATCATCTATAAAACCTGTGATAAATTGATTAAGTCTATGGATTTTTTTTTCATTACTGTGCGGGCAAAAAGTCAAAAAGAATCTGACTAGATAAGTACAACAGACCTGGAAATGCAAGATATACAGAGTAGCCTTGGATAAATTTGTGGATCCAGTAAACGCTGCTCTGTGAGACTTGGGTGCCAGAAACTTTTAAATTTTCCCCTCAAAAAGCTAAAGAAAAAATTGAATACAAGTAATTTTTTTGTCCCTAACTCTTTTTGTGTTATAAGTGTCTGGCATATCATTTTCCAGAAATCAACTTTGTGTTAGAAAACCCTGACTCTTTTCATGAAGGAAGTAAAAAACTCAATGTTGAATATCTCAACTGAATTTTCTTAAATTTAATTAAAAAATTCTTAGTGTTAAGTTTTATTATAGCAGAATGGTCAGAATTATATTTAAAAAATAGAAATAGATGTAACATTTTGCACTAGAGTAAGAAGGTGTATAGGAGTGAAATGTAAAACAGTTATACCTGTTATTCAGCTTGAACTTCAAAAACACTCATAAATACTTTATACTTAAAATTAGAGAATGTCTGTGTTGAGAAGATTGCCAGGTACCCTTTAAACTACGTAATTACGTGCTTTCTTCAAATTCAATAGGAAAAGCAGAATGTTCATCAAAGCAAGTAAGAAACTTCATGCATAATTTCTCAGTCATTCTAATGAAAATTCTGTGTTTAACTCCCCAAGCTCTCAATAAGTACATGTTTTAAGAAAATGCTTTAATCTATTTAATTGTTTTTGAAGTTTGATATTTCTTCTTTGAAAATGACTTTGCTACTAAGTTGTTTTTATTCATTCTGAAGAAGCAGAGCATAGCCATTCTATTCACATTTTAAGCAAATGTCTTTAACGAAAAACATCAAGAAAAGCAAATACCATTATAGAATAACAATTAGAATGTTGAAAATCCAATAAAATATAATAAAGATGTTACTTGCAAGTGTATAGCTCAATATTAACATATTCATGTCACTACAAACATCAAAATAGTATGTTTTGTTTTCTTTCATTTTGTAGAATTTTTGTGCTCTGGAGACTTAATGTCGTCTTCATAAAAAAGGAAAAATTTAGATTTGACACATTTTAGTCTCACTTTTTTGGCCCCAAAGAGGGAAAAATATTATGGATTTCTGATTTATCATAAGATTCATAAAATTAAAATCTTTACACAGAATGTCTTATACCTAATTAATGATTTTGGCAAAAAGAAAAGGAAATTATCAAAGACATGCTATAACAAGACTCCCGAAAATAAAATGGCATGGGTTTCCACATTTCAAAGGCCATCGGTTACCAGCACAATGGGGGGAATAAAAATTATGCCACAATATTAGAAAACTGAATGACAGCATCTTATTAAGTCCACTCCTAGTTAATCCATCCACTCCTGGGTAATTATGCAATAGAAAGGGAAATATATGCCTGCACAAAGACTTGTTTGTAAATGTTCATGGCAACTGTATTCGAAATGACAAATATCCAAAACCACCCTGTGATATTGTGAAATATATATTTGGTGTTCTTTCCTGTTTCCTGGCATACAATTCCTAAAATCCTTGGAATCTCCAAAGTGCTGTCTTTTCGTATCCAAATGTTGACTGATAGATTCAGAATGGAGCTTCTCAGGAGAAAGACAAAGGTAGGATTAGAGGGTTACAACTCTCAGTCAGGGCCTAAAGCCAAGTTGTTCACCCATGGCCAGTAGTTTAATTAATAGTGTCTACTTAATGAAGTCTCCATAAAAATTCAAGAGAGCAGGGTTATGAGAAGCTCAGAATAGTTGAGCCAGTGGGAGTTCTTGGAGAGTGATGAGCCTGGTGGTGGTGAGGCGGGCAGATGGGAGCTCTGTACCCCTTCTCCGATGACTTTCCCTATGCATCTCTTCATCTGTTATCTTTTGTAATAATCCTGTAAATGTTAAGTGCATCCCCAAGTTCTGTGAACCACTCCAGCAAATTAGTCAAACCTGAAGAGAGGATCATGGCAATCTGAACTTGAAGTTAGCAGTCAGAAGTTTCAGGGGAGGATTTGCAACTGGTGGAAAAGAGGGGCAGTTTTGTAAGACTGAGCCCTCAGTGTGTTGTGTCTGGATCCAGACCCCAAGAGAGAATTCTTGGATCTTGGGCAAGAAAGAATTCAGGGCAAGTCCATAGAGTAAAGTGAAGGCAAGCTTATTAGGAAAGTAAAGGAATAAAAGAATAGCTACTCCACAGACAAAGATGAACCAAGGGTTGCTGGTTGCCCATTTTTATGGTTATTTCTTGATAATATGCTAAACAAGGGGTGGGCTATTCATGCCTCTCTTTTTTAGACCAGATAGGGCTAAACATCAACTTCTTGACATTGCCATGGCATTTGTAAACTATCATTGCACTGGTGGGAGTGTAGCAGTGAGGACGACCAGAGGTCAGTCTCGTTGCCTTCTTGGTTTTGGCTGGCTTCTTTACGGCAACCTGTTTTTATCAGCAAGGTCTTTATGACCTGTATCTTGTGCCAACCTCCTATCTCATCTTGTGACTTAGAATGCCTTAACCGCCTGTGAATGCAGCCCTGTAGGTCTCAGCCTCATTTTACCCAGCTTCTATTCAAAATGGAGTTGCTCTGGTTCTAATGCCTCTAACAAATGTGCAGGATCTGACACTATCTCTGGGTAGACAGTGTCACAACTGAATTGAAGGACACCTAGTTGTGTCCATTGCAGCATAGACTGCTTGTTTAGTGGTGGAGAGAACCACCACCCACATTTGGTCACAGAAGTCTTCTGTGTTAATTATTGTTGTGGTGGTGTGAGAGCAGAGAAAAAACACATTTTAAGTGTTTTCCCCAAACACACCCAAAGACACATCAACTAAAATATATAAACAAATTACGGTATCTTCATAAAATGTAATACTACTCATCAACAACAAGAAATAAAGTACTGACAAAACAACAGTATGGATGAATCTCAAAAGTAGTATGCTAAGTTAAAGAAAAGAGACACTAAAGACTGAAATTCTAGAAAAGTCTAAACTATGTAACAAGATGACTGAAATATTCTAACTGTTGATTGCAGGGGTAGTTACATGAATTTACATATTTCCCTAATCTCATAAATTAATTAAAAGTAGATAATTTTACTAAATATATATTTCACCTCAAAAAAGTGAATATGCACCAAGACATGTTACTGTACAATCTTAGAATTCTAGGAACAAAGACAAAATGCCAAAAAACTTCTGGAAGGAAAAACAAAATAAAAGGGAGCCAAAGGATTGCATAAACAAAAATTTAGAATGCTATGCAGCAACAAGTTTTCTACATTGAATTTTGTAACTGAATGATTTATCAATATAAATATAAACTACATTTGCTTCCTGGCTTGCAAAGGGCAAAAACAAACAACAACAGCAACAAAGACAAAAAAAAGTTCCCGTTCACTTATTTCCAGAAAGATACTGGCCAATGTACTGCAATAAAACAGATTGAGTATACAGGAAAACACTGACATATGTAAAGCAAGGAAGAGGGGACTCAAATATTTAGCGATGGGAGGGGGATTTCCCAAGATGATAATGAAGGACTTCCAGTCAGGGAAAGTACCACTTAAAGTATTAGCCTGAGGCACCAGGGAAAGTTGTTTTGAAAAACTGCCTAAGCAGGAAGCCATTGAAATTTTCAAGAAACTCAAGGAAGTTCTTTCCAATTTCAGCTGCAGCTGCGGGAAGACTGGTTTTATGGACACTACTGCTTTTTTTTTCACACAGACCCAAGCATCTGGCTACAACAACCTTCTCCAGTAAAATCTTCACCTTTTCGTCTGCCTTTTAAATCTACAGCAGTGTCTCTCACTAGCTAACTCTAATTTAAAACTGTAAGAGTAAATATATGTTGGGAATTGTAGGTGCTACATTCTCTTCTAAACTGCAGAAGAAAATGTTGAAGAGTTGGTGTTGATGCCAAGTTCTTAATGATCCAGCACTGATCTCTTCCAGGAAAAAATAATGTAATAAAAATTATGCTATATGGAAACAGTTAAAATATTTATTACAAAATTCATCCATTAAGCTTAGAAAACTAAGCCAATGAAAACATTAATGATTAACTCCAAAAAAATAAAATTTTCTCAAGAAATAAAAAATCTTGATAGTGTACTACAAGGCTTGGCTTAATTTTTATGTCAATGTATAATATAAACATTAAATTATGAGAATCAAATACTTATTTATAACTATATTTGAACAATGGGGAGGAAAATTATTATTTGTATGTTGGTTGGGGAAGGATGCAAGATAATACCCAAGTACTTATATTTTATTATAGATGCTAATAAATGATATGCAACATTTGAAGAAAAATAAGTTCCACTGGCACAAGATTACAGCAATTTCCTTGCCACTTATTGATCAACAGCCAAGCCATCTGCAACATGGTCTGGATCTCAGTCCCAGGAGGAGTCTTATTTAGGTGCTTCATCTACTGCCTCTTTTGTCTATTCTTTTTGTGTTATCTTCGCCAATTCTTCATTACTCTAATCTCAAATTATAGTTATTAATTCATATATTAGTTTCTCTGTGATGTTCAAATTACTTATTGTGTTTTGACTCCCTATTAGTCCTAACCCATGCAAACTTTAAAATTACTTTCTTAAAATATCATAAATATACAAAATTGAATGTCAGTTTTTAAACCAAATAAAAGTTAAGCCTCCCTAACTATATGAATGGACCCCTTCTCCCTTTTGGAGTTCAGGAAAAGCCAACCAGCATTAATATCAACATAGACCTTAAGTCTGATAAGAAATATTTGCAATCTATTCTCTCTGAAGACCTGCTACCTGGAGGTCTCATCTGCATGATGAAACCTTGGCCTCCACCACCCCTTATTATTACCCAGACATTTATTTATATTGATAATAACTCTTTTAACCAATTGCCAATCAGACAATTTTTAAATCCACCTATGACATGGAAGCCCCCTCCCTTTCTATTTGTTCCACCGTTTCAGATACAACCAATGTAAAGCTTACATGTATTGATTGATGTATTGTGTCTCCCTAAAATGTGTAAAAGCAAGCTGTACTCCAACCACCTTGGGCACATACCATCAAGACCTCCTGAGGCTGTGTGATGGGCACATCTTTAACCTTGGCAAAATAAACTTTTTAAATTGATTGAGACCCGTCTCAAATACTTTTGGGTTTACAAATTGGTAACCACAGAAGAATTCTGAGTAGAGGTGTCCCTGACTTTGAACAAATCTCCTATTGGTACTTGGTACCAGCTTGAGTTATCCTTACAGCTCAAACCAACAGGACAATTTGCTGAGGTATGGGAGCTCCCCCACCCCCAGAGAATTCCTGATCTTCCCAAATTTGGTTGAGATGAGAGGTTTATTTTGCTGTACAACTCCTTTTCTGGAGTTTTACTTGCTTCCAACAAGGAAGGCGAGTTTTTCTGCTTCCATGACAATGGAGAGCAAGTAACCCCTTTCTGGAGTTTCAGCTAATTTCCAACAGGGAAGGTGAGTTTGAGAGGTTTTTTTCTTCTTGCTTCTAAGATGGTAAAGCGCAGTCTTGAGCTGGGGCCCCATTCCTAGGTAAGTAGCTGAATTGGGGAGTTTTGTCTTAGAAATTGTCCTCAATGACTAAAAGTTAAAATTGCCAACCAACTGGTCTTAATTTATCTAATTACATTAGAGTGCTCATTAATCATATTGTTGGGTGTTTTTTTGTTGTTGTTGTTGTTCCAGTCTTTCTCTCATCGAATTTGACCAACGCTACCTGACTTGATCTAATCCGAGTGAGAATTTCGAATTATAGGGAACAAGACCTCTGAATTGGCTAAAATTCCTCACAGCTGCAACCGCAGCAGCAACAACAACAAAGACATGCATTTGGTTTCTGTTTGCTTCTTGTCTTAAAAACTTGTTCTTCTGTTTCCTTTTCTTCCACTTTATTCCTCCTTCCACCTTTGCCATCTTTGGTACCAAGGAAAATCTAGAGAAGGTTTCTAATGATTCAAACCCCTTAAATAACACAGAACAAAGGCACGACTCACTCCTTTTGGGGGTGTTCTTTTTAGTTTGTTGAGTTTCAAGAGTCATGGACAGATTCTTCTTGGGTCTACAGCCCTGCTTTCTTGTATTACATTACCTGACCTCTTTGACTTTTGGGTACCAGAGATTACCTTGTAATATGAGAAGATTTGACCTTGGCAAAAGAGAGTTAGGGGTGGCTGAGGACAGTCTAGATAAAGTGGTCTTAGCTGTGGGATCCTCCCCCCAGGAGGTTGTCGTTTAGGATCTTAATTCTAATTTGGAGGTGCATTCTATAGGATTTTCTCCATCACTTTTTCTCTCCAAATTAAGCTTGGTTGGCTTGTATGTGCATTTGCATGAGAAACTAAACTGTCATTTTTATAGTTAAATGAGAGACTGAGTTTCCTCAGCTCCAAAGAGGCAAGGCATTTTGCTCTTCTCGGCCAAAAGGTGTCCCTGAGTGACCAAGGGCCAACTGCAAATGTCTGGGGGGTTGACACCCCATGATATACAGCGGCCCTACAGGGAGCCCTAAACAAAATTAGCTTAAAAGGGAAATGCATATAGGAGCTGGGCGCTCAACATTTTGAGGATTTTTGAAGGTGCAATACTTCTATAGAGAGTAACTGAGACATGTAAGAGGACAGAAACAACTCAATGGTGACACCCTGTGGAGTCCCACCTACAACCAGCACATTTCAATCTACTACACTAAACCCTAGGTCACAGCTCAGTTCCTCCCTTTAGGGAAAAAGAAGGAGAAGGAGAAGACAAATAGTCTAAGAATGAGAAAACTCAAAAGGAATGGCTTCCTTTTGGGTACCCCGTTAGTCTTATGGCACCTATACTTGCAAGTGTTTGTGTAAAATGAGAAATTTCAAAGGCATGTCAGGTTTTTCTAGTACTCCAGCTGGTCTATATATTATAATCTGTTTTGCACATTTGAAACTGATGGGCAAATTACATCAAGAAAAAATTCAGAGCCCCAAAGTCCACCTGCAACTATAGAGTTCCTAAGTTCTCTATTTATTTTATTTTCTGCCTGCTTTACATCAGATGTTACTTTTCTATTGAGATAAAAACCAGTTTAGATACAACTTTTTTTTTTCCTTCCCAAACTGGTGAGTTTGTATGAATATCTCATAGCTATGGTTCTGAAGCAAAAGCTACAGGATCTTTGTTTATATGAGTGTGTATGTATGTTTTATGTGTACGTACACATATTTTGTTACGTGTTTTTGGCCACTAGGTACCAAATTGGCTTAAAGTTAAAGAGTATGCATAAATTAAATAAGAAGCCCAAATGCTTTTCAAGTTCATGTGACTTAAGTAAAATCCTTAATAAATAACTGCCTTTAAAAATATTAGTAAAGTAGTATTGGAAATGTCTTAAGATTGTCAGCATTTTTATTTTCATTAATTAATCAAGCAGTTTTATACTTATGGGCACAGAATACTATTATAAGCTTTCAAAATTTGCCAAAACACTTATACAATTATAACCCCATACCAAAACAGAATGATCTTTCCTTGTGTAAATTTTAATAAATAAAACTTTTTTTTTTGTTTAATGAAAACAGATAAATTCTGAGTTATGGGTAAAATATCTGTATTTTTAGCCTTAAGATTTTACTTAGGTGAACAACTGAAATTCATGGGCTTTAAAGATAGTTTACAGCAAAATAACTTTAAATGATAATATTCAGAGTTTTTATAAGTAATCTAGGTAAACTATTAAATAACCAGGTAAATGTACTAGAATAAATGCTTGTAAACAAACTTGTCAAATAATTTAGAATCTAAGGTTGTATTAAATAATAGATATTATTTCTGCCAGCTTTATATCTGATGTTACTTTTAATTAATATTTTTAATTAGTTAAATGGGTAATTACCAAATTAAAAATTATCGAAAAAACATTTTTTAAAATGTTTTTATTAAAAGGTGAATATTTTTTGTCTAATCCAAAGGTTATTTAAGTTATATATAAAACAAGGTGAAATGAACCAAGAAATAAGAGAGATATAAAGAAAGTTACAGATATGAAGAGGTATTTTTGGTAAGAAATCTTAAAAGAAAAGCAATATCATATAAGAAAAAATCTTGCATGATGAATTTTTGTCCTAAAATGAAATGATTCATTGTTCAAAAAAGAGGAATATTTAAGACAAACCAGAAAGTCCAAAAATGTTGTGAGTGGTCTGTGTAAGTCATAATAAGATTAGTAAAAAAGGAAATTATAAAAATGTTATATGATTAAGTTGGCTATAATTAAAGAAAATTATAGTAAATTGTTTTCCTAAAAATTAAAATTTGATATTAAAAATAGTCAAATGTAAAACTAAAAAATTGATTAGAAGATTTTATTAAAAATATTGAGTTACTCTTAGTGTGAGAAGTTTTTAATTTTTAAATTCTATAATGTTTCTTTTTGAAATTATTCAGATTAATATCTCAGAAACTGCAACCTGTTGCTTCAGTTCTTTCTCTCTTTTGCAAGGCCTGGGATGGTAACTCTTTCTTTCACCTTTTGTTGGTTCCTGTAACTTTTAAAATTAATTATCTAAAGTAAGGGAGAGAATTTTTGAAAATAAGCAAAAGAAAAATCTTTTGGATCTGCTCTTGTCTGTATGTCTGTTATATCTATATGTTTGTATGTGTCATGTGGAAGTGATATTTCACTACCAAACTATATGAAAGGGCTCTAATCAATTTGTTTAAAGAAAAGAAAGTGCCTATCAGTCTGATATAAGCTAGCTCAGATCCTTTTTAATTCACATGACCTTGGTAATCTTTGGTAAGCTTAATTTGGTAAATTTAGTCCCAAAATTATCTCTAGTAGTTTAAAATCTTAAAGTCATATTATGCTACATTACACAACCTCAATTTTTTTCACTGGGAATTTGGGTTACTAAGAGTTAAAATAATAGACAGTAAAAGGTGTTTTTGGTGAAGTTTGTAAAAACACAATGATGTGGTTTTGCTAAGGAAAATGTAATTTTTTTTTCTAGTTTGGAGACCATTTCAGAGTTGCTTTAAAATAAAGAAAAAGAAAGTATAAATAAAACTAAATGGGTAAAGAGAAAAATAAAAAGGCGGGTGATGAGAAAGCTTGATTATTGAGTGGCCACGTGTTTACCCATCTTAAAGAGCTGCAGCTGGGCTGCATTCAATTACTAAAGGTAAAAGCTATGGTGGAATTCAGAGACGAATCATACTCATAGTCCCAGGGCATTAGTTCACGGAACTAATTAATTACAGAAATGCAAATTAGTAAGAAAAAACAAAATATTTAATCTCTTGGTTATCGTTATCTGCAATAGCTAAATGAAAGTAAAAGAGTGCTGGGTTTGGCCTTAAGGCTGGGCCAAGCTCAGATGTGGGTCTGTCTCAGGTCAGGCCACTAGCCTGAAAGCTACACACAAAAGGAAAAATTAAGCCAGGGCAACAAAACTTACCTCTTAGACCTGTGGTTACCAATGAGTTAGTCAATGCAGGAGAAGGGCAAGACCAAGTAACTATTAAAACCAGAGTGTAAGGGAATTGTTCCATTTTGTAGATTGATATAATCAGTTTCCTGAGAAATCTTTACTATAGTGAATTGTAAAAATAACTACTTTAAGGACACAATCTTTAATTTTAAATGCTACAGAATGAAAGTGCTTGTTTAAGTTAATGCAAGACCCATAGCTTACTATTAAACAATTACTGATGAATATATGTAATCCAAATGCACAGGAGGTTATTCCTGAGAGAACGACCAGTCCAGTGACCCAGATAAATGCCACTGTAAGGTCTATTTACCCTAAGAAGGAAGCTGCCTAACTCTCCCTATAAATGCCAAGTAGAGCACCCCAGACGAAGCAGTTAATATGCTTCATATGAAAGCCCTGTGGGACTGGCTTTATTATGACCCACCCTGTTCATTCTCTAACATTAAAAGGCCCCACACCCATTTTCTGCATTTACCCCAAATTGGGGAAATTTAAGAAATATCAAAAGGCAAAGGTTATAATAATAAGCTAATATTGCATGAAGCAAGGCTAAGGCAAATTATGATAAAGATTGACAAAAGAGACCAAGTTCCCTGGCTCAACCCACTGCTGGGGATCCAGATCCTCTTTCAAGGGAAAAGGTAAAATGGACTGGGGGTAGAAAAAAAAAAGGTCCTGGGACCAAAGCATAAAAATGTATAAGTTAATAGAGTTATGAAATTTGAGATGTTTAAACAGATTTCATGTAAGTTAGTTGTGACTCCTTCACATAAATGGCTACGAAAATAGGTATTGTATCTGACGGGGGATGATTCCCCTAGGTAGTACCATAAAACCGAAGGCATGTAAATGTATCCTATGAGAACTGTTCATTGGACTGTGGAGGAAAAGTTAAATATTAAATTTGAACTCAATTGAACATGGACACAAACACTGGTCACCAAGTCACGGAAAAGGTTGTGTGAGCCCCTTGAGGCATTTATCCAGCACTGTTTCGGACAAATCTCTATTTCAATCTATTCCTATATGTTAGTTATTGAAAAACAATAGACAATCACAAAAACAAGTTGACATTTTTGTGTTCCTTAAGCCCAGTCATGAAGGGCCCTCGTGACTGGGCCTCATGCCAAACAACTTGTTACAAAAAGAGCTAGGGTCCCAGACTGCGCCGAAGCTTCATGAGACCGATCCTCGTCTGTGGACAGAGGAGTAGCTGACTCTGAAGCCCAGGCTGTTGCTATCCAGTCTGGTGGTGAATCCTCCACAGTCTGGTGAGTGTAAAAACCTTTTCCCTTCTCCCCTTCCCATTGTGATTTGCTTATTATGTCAATCTGCTTATTATATCATTTCCTTATTATTATATAATTTGCTTATTACATCTGCATTGCCATATACATGGGATAAAGTTTGTTTACTTTTAAAGGTATTGTGTGTGTGTCTTTTCCTCTCCCCTTGTGCATTTCCCAAAGAGAATATGGACATGGTAAATAAATAGGAACTAGTAAGATTGCCTGAGCCCACAGAATATAGGGCAAAAGTTGGAGTGCTAATCAGGAAAAATCCTCCACTTTATAGCCCTTTGTGGAACATTTATTGGGACTGATGACAAAAGACTGTAAGCACTTCCCAATGACAACTTCTGGACTAGAGAATATCCACCTGAGGAGAATTTACTGCCTTGCTATGAAATGTTAATTGAAGCTACCCTTATGCTAATGGAAACAGTGGTGCCCCAAAGAGTTCTATAATAAAATAAAAATGGTTTAAATAGAATCTTACTACCTAGGGATGGCAGAAGGAAATTCTCATGAGCAGGGAACCTCCATTTTCCCTAGAAGTAACTAACTGTGTGAGGAGCTGCTAGATTCTACAGTGCCTAATAAACAGCTCTCATCTAAGATGAGCTACTTAGCATGTGAATAGCAGTTCCAAGGTGAACAAACCACATCTTGTTTGGAATGGTGCTGCTCCAAGGAAAATTCTAGAAAATCTTTTTCTTTTCTGTTTTTTATAGTTTAGAGCAATTGGACGAAGTATATTTTTGTGAGCAAATTTACCTTTCTCTCTGAATTCTCCAAAATTCAGAAACCGTGAGTATTCTGATTTTATGAAAATATATTTATTTACATAAGTTTAGTAAGAGTCTTTTCTTTTAAAACAGGATTATTTGAGACACTGGTTATTTTACCAGGGCTTTAACTAGAATAACATATTGTTAGGTAAACTTTCAGAAAAGCCAACTTAGAAAGAGCCTATATGGCAATCAATTCTTGCTGCAATTTATGCAAATAATCAGGCAAAGTACAATGAGCCTAAAACTTATTTTGCACACAAATTAGTCTTACTATAATTTCTCTTCAATAGGAAAGGAGGGCTAGAGAGAGGAAGAAATTGTTTCAAAGTAAAACTATTATACTTTTTACTAGATTTCAGCCCTGACTTTTGTTTTTGAGTGTAGATTGAATCATGAATTATTTCTTGGCTACAAGATGCAAATTTCCCTCATTTGGCATTCCACTGGGCCTGATCTGTTTTTCACTGCAAATACCCTGCTGTTTAAGGCTATAGAAGCCCCCTCCCTCTAGGCCCAGAGACTATCATGGAAGAGGTTGGCACATAAGATTGTAAGGGCTGGTTTTGAGGGATAGAAGTAGATCAAGGTCAGACACTCCAAATCAAAGATGGGTACAAATACACCGAAACGGCTAGTAAAACAAAGGACTTTGTTTTCTGAGCTATTATGTAGCACCTTTTCATTCACCTCAACCATAAGGAATTTCCTGCTTCCCATACAATTAAGAGAAAATAATTACTAAGAGGATTATGATACCTCGTGACCAAGCCTCCTGAGTATAATACTCTTAGTTATGAGTTGTGCAGATAAATATATATTTAAAATTTATTTTTCAGAACAATGTTATGCTTTATATAGTGAATTGTTTTATGTCTGTAACTAAAACCAAGATTGCAGTAGCTCAACACACAGAAGTTAAATATAATTCAGTTTTGTAACCTCGCCTTCGGCTTTTTGTTTGTTGGCTCTTTAAAACAAAAAAAAAAATTATGGGATAATGAATGCCTGTCCATGTTCATTCCTGTCTGGCCTGGAATATTTAATTGGCTATAAGTCTCTTGACTCTAAGTCCCTCTGCCACAGAGTGTCCCACCGAGGGACAGGATGGACCTGAGGCAGACAGTCCTTTAGCCCTGGCAATGCTATGGAACAAAATAAACATTTGGAGGCCATTGATGCTGTCTCTGGCAAACCTTGGCCAGAAGAGGGAGAATGTTAAAACAAAATAAAATTCTAAGGTCCCCAAACCATATGAATGGCTTTATCATATGTGAATCCTTAACCTTGGCAAAATAAACTTTCTAAATTGATTGAAACCTGCCTCAAATACTTTTGGGTTCACAGTTTGAATAAAAATAAAAAAAAATTCAAATTCAAGTGACATAATGTTTTTCTGAAATCCAAATGCTTAAACAAGAATAAACAGAGTTTTAAAGGATATTGGTAATTGTATCTCAAAAATTTTGAGAAACATATTATGTTGGGATAAAAGAGAACCTTAAAATAACATCTGCTTGTTGTAATACTGTGTAATGTTTCCTAATGAGACATAAATACTATTTCCTTTGCTAAGTACAGGGAGTAATAATAATAATAAAATTTTCAGGGTCCTTTTATAAAAAAATTGACTACTATAATATCAGATATTATGCTGTGTAGGCATTCCTTTATAGCTTATAAAATAAGTTTTGAAAAGTATAACCAGTACTTAAGCTATCTTTGAAGCTATCTTGTTGCAACAAAATTTTCTATTGCATCCCTTATTTGAAACTTTTACTACTTAAAATGTTTTACTACTTAAAACTTGATATTCTTCCCTGGTGTATTCAAGAACTCATCCAGTTGATTGAATCAGTTAATTGCTTTTCTTCTTCTTTTGTTTGCAATTTAAATGCTTGTCTCACCTTCACGTGTTATTACACTTCATAAAGGAGAAGAAAAATTAGAAGACAATAAAAACAGATATTTTCAACTTCAGAATTTTATGTATGACTATATCATTTTACAAGAATTTGTAACTACTTATGTTTTTGTAGAATTGTAAACATGGATTGCAATAGCTTGTACATGATTAACACACTAATTGAAATAAGAAAAATGTTACTAAAATCTGCTTTTAAATTTTTTAAGTAGTGAAAATTCTATGTATAATATTTGTATATATGTATTAATATTATTTGGAGCAGATAATGTTGGTTTATGCCTCAAAGCATATTTGATGTTTTATGTGATTTATTTGGTTAAAATTAATTAATCATTTAATTAAAAATTTAGAAGCTCTATTTAAAATAAGCTTGCTGTACAAGTAAATTACAATGGTTTATATATAGGTAATAAAACAGAATTAAGCAGCTAAAACCATCTAATACTACAGTTGGTTAAAGAGGTCAAAAAAGATACCTATACTTTTTTAAAAATTCATTTATTTATTTGAGATAAGGTCCCACTCTGTCACCTAGGCTAGAGTGCAGGAGTGTGAACATAGCTCACTGCAATCTAGAACTTCTTGGTTCAACTGATCCTCCCACCTCAGCCTTCTGAGTGGCTGGGACTATAGGTACATGTCACCATGCCTGCTAATTTTTTAATTTTTTTGTATAGATGGTGTATTGCTTTGTTGCCAGGGCTGGTCTTGAACTCTTAGGCTTAAGTGATCCTTCAGCCTTGGCCTCCCAAAGTGCTGGAATTAGAGGTGTGAGCCACCATGCCCACCCAGCTTGGTCAATTTAATATCAATTAATTACAAACAAAACAAAGCACACAGCACAACTCATTTTTCTATTTGTCTGGTGCTCATTCCTCTATGTAATAAAGGGCCAGTGGGTATAGATAATGTGCTAATATGGAAAATAAAATAATTTTTTAAAATAATTAATGTCTTAGAAGCCAAGAAAAGACAAAAAAAAGAGAAAAGAACCTTGAGAACAAAAGAAAATGAAAAGCAAAATGATAGATTTAACCTCAACATTATAGAAAAGTAAATCATTATAAATGTACTACAATCTCCAAATAAAAGGGAGCCATTGATAGAATTAATAGAGAACCAAAGTCAATCTATATGCTGACCTCAAGAAAGTAATTTTACTTGTAAACAGGTCAAAAGTTAAAAGATAGTTTCATCATAATTTGTTTTGAAGTTAAGAAGTAGAAAAGACCATACCTTGACATTGTTATGTATAAAAATCTGATGTATCTATATTAATATTAAAAAAAAGAGACTTCAAAACAATTTATGTTCCCTGGGAAAAAGAGGGATTTTTTTTTAATGATAAAGAGACTAGCTCACCAAGATGACATAATAATTTCAAACATATACAGGCTTAATAACAGAACTTTGAAATATATGAAGCAAAAATCAAAATAATTGAAAGAAGAAATAGATAAATTCACGCTATAAGACTGAGATTTCAACACACATCTGCTTTTCATTTATATAACATTTATAGGGGAAACAAATATGAATATAGAAGACTTAAATTACATTGTTAACCAGTTTTTTTCTAAATTACATTTACAGAACATTCTACTTCAAAACAGAAGAGTATGCATTGTTTCCAGATGCAAATGGAATATTCATTAAGATGTCTGTATGATTTAATTAGTTTAAAAGGAATAAAATCATCTGGCTTTGTTATTCCTATGGAATATAATCAGAAATAAGAAAAATAGACATCTATAAAATTCCTAACATTGGAAACTTGAAACCACATTTTTAGGAGTGACTTCCACTTTTGGGAAGATGGAGTAGAAATACTTTTTCCTATTCCTCTCACTAATCATAGCTAAAACCTTGTACATTATACATAAAATAAATGTAAAAAGACCCTATATAGGTGTAAAGAAGACAGTAGACCAGTGAGGGACCTCAGGAACAAAAAACAACACAATGATAGTTTCTTCGGCTTGGTTTTTGTCTCATATATACTAGACTTGGAGCTGAAAAAGCTGCCTGAAAATGCCAATGGGCACAGAAAAAATCCTCCAGAAAATGGCTCTTTTCTCTAGCCAAAGAACTAGTAGAAAAGCAGCCTAGCTAGAGAGAAAACTTTTACATAATAACCACTCTACTCCAGGCAAACGCCAAAAAACAAATCAAGAAAACAACATCCACAAAAATTGTGTCTGAGTCAGAAAAGACTGACCTGGAAATCTTGATTTTCACCGTCACAAGTTTGTTAAAAGATATCTGCTGGTCCTGATGGTAATGGTAGAGAAAGTCAAATAGAAAATTGATACATCACCATCAGCCTGTAACAAGTCCTCTGTCCAGCAATGTCAGTGAAAACCACATGAAGAACATGGGCTTTCACCTCACCCATCGGTAATGTAGTGCCCTTCATCCTTGATGCCTGGGTGGCGTCAGAGAAAGCCTACTGGAGAATCAGGAATTTCACCATTACCCAGTGATAACAAAGCCACTCTCACCATAATGTCGGTAGATGTCATGTGAGGCACCAACACATCAGCACTCACCTAGTGGTATCAAAAGACCACTCCCCTTGGGTTTCAATGAAGGATGAGTAAGTAACCTGGACTTGTATTTATAACCAGCTGCTTTTCTTCCTCTGCTGGAGCAGTGTCACAGAAAGCCAGTTAAAACAGAAAGTTTAAAGAAAATTTAGTGTCCCAAAAAATAACATAAAAATGTCAGGTCTTCAATAATAAATCACTTATCATACCAAGAAGTAGGAAGATATCAAACTTGATTAAAAAGGTGAGCAATAGATGCCAACAATGAGATGACAGAGATGTTTATATAATCTAAAAATATTTTAAAGCAGTTATAATAATTATGCTTCAGTAAGCAATTACAAACGAATATCCTTAAAAAACAAAAGGATGTGTCAACAAAGAGTTGAAACATCTTAGCAGAGAAATAGAACATATCAAGAGGAGCAAAATGGAATTTTAGAATTAAAACATTCAATTACAAAAATATGAAGTTCAGTGGATGGGTTCAATATAGAATAGAGGGGAGAAAAAAATGAATGAAAGACTATAGGTAGAAATTATACAATCTGCAAAACTGAGAAAATTAGACACAAATTCTCCAGCAACCTGTGAAAATATAGCCATGTATCACTTAACAATGAGGATATATTCTGAGAAATACATCCTCGGGTGATTTTGTCATTGTGCAAACACCATAGAGTATATTATACACAAATCTCAGTGGTATAACCTACAAAGCCTATTGCTCCTAGGCTAAACTCGTACAACATGTAATACTGTAGGCAACTATAACAAAATGGTAAGTATTTGTTTATCTAAACTTATCTAAACATAGAAATGGTACAGTTAAATCATGCTATTATGATCTTATGGGACTACCACAATATATACAACCCATCATTGACCAAAATATTATGTAGCAAACGATCATATAGTGAAATATCTACATTTTCTGTCGTCAAAGCACTGGAATAAGAAAAAAGACTGGGGTAAAAAATTACCTGAAGTAATAATAGGGGGATACTTCCCCAAATTTGGCAAAAAACCATAAAAGATATAAATTCAAGAAGCTGAATGAACACCAAACAGAATAAGACTAAATACATCTATGTCACTATGATACATCTTCATTATATTTTAGAAACTATAGGAAAAAAACTATTATAATGACAGAAATTTTTCTTCACAAACAATGGAGGCCAGGAAAGCTCATAATCCTATAGACAGTGAAAATGGCCTTCAAGAATGAAAGAAAAATCAAGACGTTCTCACAGGAGTGAGAACTAAGAAAATTTGCTACCAGAAAATGTATTGTAAGGGACAGTAGGGGCAGAATAAGTGGGGATTCTTAATTGGTATAAAAAATATAGTTAGAGGGAATAAGATCTAGTGTTTAGTAGCACAATAGAATGACTATGTTAATAAGAACTTACAGTATATTTCAAAATAACTAAACAAGTGAAACTTTATATTAACATGTATCTAGTTATATATATATATAGTATATTTCAAAATAACTGAACAAGTGAAACTGTTAATATTAACATATATCTAGTAAGAGTAAGAAACTGGAATGTTTCTAACAAAAAGTCCTTAAGTAATGGATATCCCAATTACCATGATTTGATTATTACACATTGCATGCTTGGATCAAAATTTCACTTTTACCCCATAAATATGTACAGCTGTTATGTATCTATAAAAATTGAAAATTAAAAAAATAACTAAATAAAAGTGAAAAAATTATTTAAAAAATAAAGCAAAAAATGAAGAAACAAATAAAAAAATCAGCTAATACGAAACACTCTTCTTCTCTTGCGTTGTCTAGATTATTGTTGACATTGAGTCAAAAATTATATCACTGATTTATTTTGTTCTTATTATATGTAGAGGAAGTCTTTAAGACAGTTATAGCAGGGAGCAGTTACAATGTAAACAGAGGTAAGATTTCTATATTTCACTTGAACTGATCAAAATAACACCAGTATACCATGATAAATTATGTATCTGTATTATGAAATACTTGGCACAACCACCAACAAAGCTTATAGAAAAATGAAATAGATACATACATACATATACACACAGAGAGAAATGGAAGTCAAAAAACAGTTAAAGTACTCATCATAAAAGCAGAAAAAATCAGAAAAAATATTAAAAAAGAGATAAACTAAAACAAAAATAAAATGATAGATTTTAAACCTAACATCAATATTTATATTAAATGGAAATGGTCTGAATTGTCCAATAAAACGATTGGCAGAGTGGATTAAATAACATGACTCTATTATTTTTTGTCAACAAGAAATTCACTTCAAGTATAATGCTATAGGCAGGTTGACACTAAAAGGATGGATAAAGACAAATCATGAAAATGTGAATCATGTTAATGTGAAAACAAGCTTGAATATAATATTAGATAAAGTAGACTTCAGAGCAAAGACAATTACTAGAGACAGAGAGGGACATTATATAATGATAGAAAGGGCAATCTACCAAAAAGACGTAGCAATCCTAAAGTTCATGCACTGAACACCAGAGCTATAAAATATGTGAAGTGAAAACTGAAAAAACTGAAAAAGAAATAGACAAAACCACAATAATGATCAGAGACTTCAACATCCTTCTCTGAAGAATTAGTAGAGCAACTAAACAGAATTTCAGCAAAACTCAGCAACACCATCAACCACCAAGATCTAATCAATATTTCTAGAACATGCCAAGCAACAACAGGAGAATACACATTAATTTTAAGTGCCCACAGAACATAACCAAAGGAAGATAATATTCTGGAACATTAAAAAAATCTTCAAAAATGTAAAAACCTAGAAATCATACAGAGTATGCTCTCTAATCACAATAGTATCAAACTAAAAATCAGTAACAAAAAAACAGAAAAATATTCAAACACTTGAAAATTATCTAGAAACTTGCAAATAATCTATGGGTCAAAAAAGTCTCAAATGAATTTGTGAAAATATATTGAAATAAAATGAAATGGAATAGACAACGTACCAAAATTTGTGGGAGACAGCTAAATCAGTGTTGAGAAAGAAATGTATAGCTATAAATAAAGACATTCAAAAAAATTAAAAGCATCAAATAAATCATCTACTCTCCCACTTAAAGAATATATATAAAAAGCTGTAAAATAAACCCAAAGTAAGCATAGGAAAGAAAATAATAAGACTATAAGTGAATAAAATAAAAAAATAAAAACATAAATATTGGAAAACAACCAATGAGACAAAGAGTTTATTCTTTGAAAAAATCAATAATATTAACATATCTCTAGTAACAGTAAGGAAAAAAGAATAACCAAATTATTAGTATAAATATCAGGAATAAAAATAGGATACAATTATAAATCCTATATATATATATAAAAGGTAATAAAGGAATACTATAAACAACTCTAAAACATATAAATTTGACAACTTAGACAAATTGGACCAAGTCTTGAAAATATTTTCACGACTCACCCAAGATGAAATAGATAATTTGAATAACCTTATAGCTATTAAGTGGATTTTTAAATTATAAACCTCTTGAAAAAGAAAGTTATATGCCCAAATGGTTTTCATCAAGAATTATATCAAACTTTTGAAGTATTAATATGAGTTTACAAACTCTTTCAGATAAGAGGAAGCAACAATCTTTAATTTATTTTATAAGACTATTATTATGCTGATATCTGATATCAAAAAATGAAAACAAAAATTATAGTCTACCACTTACGAATATAAACACAAAATTATTTTTAAAAAGTTAACAAGTCTAATTTAGTAATAACAATTATACACCATGACCAATTAAGGTTACACTAGGAACACATGACTAGTTCAAGGGTCACAAATTAATTAATACCATGACACATAATTTTAGCCTAGAAAGCAAAAATCACTTGATTATAACAATCTATGCAGAAAAAAACATGTGAAACATGTCAACGCCCATTTATTATAAAAACTCTCAGGAAAACAGGAGTAGAAAGGAGTCCTCCTAAAACTTGTTAAAGATAATCTACAAAAAACCTTACAGCTAACATTATACTTAATGGTAAAAAATTGACCATTAAATCAACACTTGCAGTGTAATCAGAAAAGAACAAAGTTGACTGAAGACATAGGATCCACGGTCTCTGCATAGTTTTGGGGTCCCCTTTAACTCTGTGATATAAAAACACTGTAAGTCGCTGCTTATATTTTGAGTTCACAAGAGGGATTAAGCAGGATTCTGAGGGATTGAACATTTTACTTAAAGAGACTCTGAAGTGTCATCCAAAAGAGATTGTTTTCATTAATTGTGGTAGGGAGTTGTATTAGTGTCCTATTACTGCTGTTTACAGTTACCTAAAATATAGTAGCTTTAAAAAGCATAATTTGGGGAGGAAAGAAGTCCAGGATGAGTCTGACTAGGCTAAAATCAAGGTATTTTTGGGTTGTGTTGCTTCTGAAGACTCTAGAGGAGAATTTCTCTTTGTGTTTCAAGCTTCTTGATGTCACCTTCATTTGTTTGCTCATGGCCCTTTGTTCCATTTTCAAAGCCAACAGTGTAACATCTTCAAATCTCTCTCTCTCTGAGGTTGACTCTCCTGCCTCCCTCTTATAAGCATCCTTGTGATTACATTGGTTCCATTGAGTAATACAGGATAATCCCTCCATCTCAAGATGTTTAACTTAATCACATCTGCATCTGTAAAGTCCCTCTTGCCATATTCACAGGTTCTCAGCATTAAACATGAGCAACTTTGAGGGAAGAACATTATAATGGTTCCCACAAGAGTTGAAGTTGGAACAAATTAAATATATACAAAACATAATTTCTTATCAAATATAGGCAAAAATGAGACAAATCTTATAAAATAGAGAAACTACATGTTAGTCCATTCTCATGCTCCTAATAAAGATGTACCCAAGACCAGGTAATGTATAAAGAAAAAGATGCTTAATGGACTCACAGTTCCATGTGGCTGTGGAGGCCTCACAATTATGACAGAAGCAAAGGAGGAGCAAAGTCATGTCTTACATGGAACAGGCAAAAGAGAAGTGCAGTGCAAAGAGGGAAAAATCCCCTTATAAAACTATCAGATCTCATGAGAACTAACTCACTATCATGAGAACAGCATGGGAAAGACCAACCCCCATGACACAATTCCCTCCCACCAGGTTCCTCCCAATTCAAGATGATACTTTTGGGTGGGGACAGAGCCAAACCATATCATTCTACCCCTGGCCCCTCTCAAATCTCATGTCCTCACATTTCAAAACCAATCATGCCTTCTCAACAGTCCAAAGTCTTAACTCATTTCAGTATTAACTCAGAAGTCCACAGTCAAAATTCCCATCTGAGACAAGGCAAGTCGCTTCTACCTATGAGCCTATAAAATCAAAAGCAAGTTAGTTATCCCCCAGATACAATGGGTGTACAGGCAATGGGTAAACATCCAAATGGAAGAAATTGGCCAAAGCAAAGGGGCTATAGGACCCGTGCAAGTCTGAAATTCAATAGGGCAGTCATTAAACTTTAAAGTTCCAAAATAATCTCTTTCTACTCCATGTCTCACATCCAGTTCATGCTAAAGCAAAAGGTGTGCTCCCACAGCATGGGAAGCTCTGCTCCTGTGGCTTTTCCAGGCATGTGGAGCATGCTATCAATGGATCTACCATCTGGCGTCTAGGGGACAGTGGCCCTCTTCTCACAGCTCTACTAGGCAGTGCTCCAGTGGGGACTCTGTGTGGTGGCTCCAACTCAACATTTCCCTTCTGAACTGCCCTAGCAGAGGTTGTTTATGAGGGCCCCAGTCCTGCAGCAAACTTCTGCCTGGACACCCAGGCATTTCCATACATCCTCTGAAATCTAGGTGGAGGTTCCAAAACCTCAATTCTTGATTTCTGTGCACTCACAGGCCCAACTTCACATGTAAGCTGCCAAGGCTTGGGGTTTGCATCCTCTGAAGGAACAGACTGAGCTGTGTGATGGCCCCTTTTAGCCACAGCTGGAGCTGAAACAGCTGGGATGCAGAACACCATGTTTGGAGACTACATAGAGCAGGGAGGGGGACTCTGGGACCAGCCCACAAAACCATTTTTTCCTCCTAGGCCTCCAGGCCTGTGATGTCAGGGGCTGCCATGAAGGTCTCTGAAATGCCCTAGAGACATTTTCCCCATTGCCTTGGAAATTAGCATCTGGCTCCTTGTTAATTATATGAATTTCTGCAGCTGGCTTGAATTTCTTCGCAGAAAAAGAGTTTTTATTTTCTACTGCATCAGGCTGCAAACTTTTCAAACTTTTATGGTTTTCAAACTTTTATGGTTTTCAAACTTTTATGCTCTGTCACCTCTTGAATGCTTTGCTGCTTAAATTTCTTCCACCAGATACTCCAAATCATCTCTCTCAAATTCAAAGTTTCATGGATCTCCAGGGCAGGGGCAAAATGCTACCAGTCCTTTGTATAGCAACAGTGACCTTTACTCTAGTTTCCAACTAGAGTAAAGTTCTTCATCTCCATCTAAGACCCTTTCAGCCTGGATTTTATTGTCCATATCACTATCAGCATTTTGGTCAAAGCCAATCAAGAAGTCTCTCAGAAGTTCCAAACTTTCCTACATTTCCCTATCTTCTTCTGAGTCCTCCAAACTGTTCCAACCTCTGCCTGTTCCCCAGTTCCAAAGTCACTTTCACATTTTTGGGTATCTTTAAAACAGCACCCCACTCCCAGTAACAATTTATTGTATTATTCATTCTCTCAATGCTAATAAAGACATACCTGAGATAGAGTAATTTACAAAGGAAAGAGGTTTAATTGACTCACATTTCCACATGGCTGGGGAGGCCTCACAATCATGGCAATAGGCAAATGAGGAGCAAAGTCATGTCTTAAATGGCAGCCGGCAAGAGAGAAGTCCAGTGCAAAAGGGGGAAAAGCCCCTTATAAAATCATCAGATTTTGTGAAAGCTAACTTACTATCATGACAATGGCACTGAAAGATCCATCCCCATGATTCAATTCCATCCCACCAGGTTTCTCCCATGACACAGGGGAATTATGGGAGCTACAATTCAAGACGAGACTTGGGTGGGGACACAGCCAAATCATATCACTCAGCATGTGTGAATTGATAAATTTTCTCATGACATTATGAGGGTATAAAATACAACAATAGCAATTACAGAAACCCATAAAAACTTCTACTGAAACTTGCACAGCATCCCTAGCTTATAGATTGTTACTAAAATGTGAAAAGCACACACACACACACACACCCCTCATGAGCATAAAGTTTAGTTCATATCTTGTTTAGGGTTGAAATTATGTTTCAGACAAATGTGCTAAACACAACAAATTTGTGGAATCATGAGGCCATCAGTATTCATTTGATTTATTAATGTTTGTTCTACAAGTGTATGTGAGGAACCCACTTTGCTAAAAATTGGTTAGATAATAAAAGGATATATAAATGAAGAAGTCATATATCTGATATGTACAGTGTAGTCATATAAAAAAGACAACTTCTCAAGTAAATATACAATCAGTTAAAAATAGTTTCATGCAACAATAGAGGTTAAAATTTCAATCAAAGGAATGATTACTTCAAAGAGTAGTGATTGGCAAGATTATACAAGATGATCATATACATACAGATTCTGTGATCATGGTAAGGGACATGTCAGAGATTTACTAAAACCCCAGGTCCCCTTTACATTTTCTAATGGTGATTATTTGTTAATAGTATTGTAAAATAGAGAAATTATGAGTAAATTTTTATTCCTAGCATCATTTGCTAATGTCTCCTGGAAAAAATTCTGAGCAACTATTTCTTTCATAAACAAAGCAAACTTTATTATTGAATATCTACTTAACAACCTAACAACCATATGCTTTACAGAAACAGATGCTTATTTTTATATTAATTTAAAATAAATATATAAATTAGAGAACTCAAGACTAATATAAGTTTGTTGGCCTGTTCTTTCAAATATTCAGCTGTTCTACACATAAGTTTCTGAAGTATTAATTTAGCCATAACTCTTAGTTGTCTATTCAATATCTGTTGTATCTTTTTTCCCCACTGTAAAAATATCTATATTGAAGTTTCAACATGTAATGCTCAAAATACACATCTTTTTCATATTGTCTTGCAGCAAAGCTTGACCATGAGATAAAATTCTAACCAATAATATGTAAGAGGAATTAGATAAAAGGCTTCAGTGAGAGTTTTAGTGTCTTCCTGATTAAAAAAAAAGGCTCATAAATTTCTTTGGTTTTTATTCCTTCTTCTGTGTACCTGGAATACAGTCTGTTACCTGAAGGAGCATCTTATAAGTATAAGGAAACAGTAAATCTATTTTATGTTAAAGGCATTGATATTTGGACTTTTTGTTATTTGCAACAAATGTATTTATAATGCAAGCACTTATTTGTTGTGTTTTACATTGGTAATTTTTGCGTATTAAAAAATGCAATAAACTTTACATTAGCACCCAGAAAAGAAATATTTATGTATAAATCTAACAAACTATGTTCAAGACTTATATGAAGTAAAGTACAAAACTGTGATGAAAGAAATTAAAGAAGAGCTAAAAACTTGGAGAAGTATTTCATGTTCATAAAGAGGAAGACTCAATATTGTAAAGATATCATTCTTTCCAACTTAATTTACAGGTTCAGTGTAATCTCAATACAAAATCCCAAGTTATCTTATGGATAATGATAAATTGATTCTAATATTAATATGAATAGGCAAAAGATGCAGAATAGCAAACACAGTATTAAAGAAAAAGAATAAAGTTAGAGGACTGATACTACCTTGCTTTGAGAATTTCTACAAAGCTAAGGTAATCAATTCAGGGTTGTATTGACAAAGAAATACACAAATAGATCAATGGAAAAGAATAGGGAGTGAAGGAATAAACCCATATAAATATAGCCAATTGATCTTTCACAAAGTACAAAGGCAATACAATGCAGGAAAGATATGAGGGAAATTTTAAAAATATGTAGAAAACTGGAATTTAAAGATAAAAATTAAAGATATAAACTTTTTAACATTAACTCCATCAAGTTCAAGACAATTTTGTAAGAGATGGTACCAATTGTTGGGTCAATCCCTAAAGAACTGAGGGTCTTGGGAATTTACCAATGTCAATGCTTTTTTACATTATCAACTGAAGAAAAATGGCCACGCTTTTTAGATTTTTTAATATTAGGAAGAAAAAGAAATCAGAAGAAATCAAATTAAAACTGCAAGGGGGATGCCTAATGATTTCCCATTGAAACTCTTGCAAAATTGCTCTTGTTTGAGAGGTATGAGCAGGAACCTTGTCATGGTGGAGAAAAGACTCTAGTGAAGCTCTCTCAGGTGTTTTCTGCTAAAGCTGTGGCAAACTTTCTCAAAACACCCTTATAATAAACAGATGTTATCATTATTTGGCCCTCCAGAAAGTCAACAATCGAAATTCCTTTGAGCATCCTTAAAAACTGTCACCATGATATTTGCTCTTGACTGATCTGTTTTGCTTTGACTAGTCCACTTCCATCTCTTGGTAGCCATTGCTTTGATTCTTCTTTGTCTTCGAGATCATACTGTTAAAGCCATGTTCCATCTTTTGTTACAATTCTTCAAAGAAATGCTTCATGATATTGATTCCACTTTTTAAAATTTCAATTGAAAGCTCTACTCTTATCTGTAGCTCATCTGTGTGCAATGGTTTTGGCACCCACAAAGTGAAAAGTTTGCTCACCTTTGATTTTACAATCAGAATTGTGTAGGCTGGACCAATTGAGGTTTCCAGGCTGTTACCTAATTGTGCTGTTAATTTTTGGTGCTCTTCAATTAGGGCACAAACAAGATTTTTTTTTTTCTCACAAACTGATGTGGATGGTCTGCTTTTGTGAGCTTTCATCTTCAACATCATCTTGTCCCTTCTTAACTTCAGTTATAATTTGTAAACTGCTGATTTCTTTTGGGTATTGTCCCCATAGGCTTTTGGTCAATTATTTTTCTGTTTCGGCTCAAGCCTCACCATAAATTTGATGCTTGTTCTTGCTTCATTTTAGCAGAATTCATGCTGCTCTGATAGGGGTTATTTTCAAACTGGTGTCATATTCTTCTTAGTACCTCAAACTAGATCCTGTTTAGACATGTTACAACAAGACAATGCAAGTTTATTTTTGTGAAAAAAGTTGAAATTCATGGAAAATTTAGAAAATTTTTATGAACTGTTTGAAGATCTCTTGTAGTCTTTTCAGCAAACGGTCCTTGTACACTTGGACATCCACATACAAAAAGATGACTCTAGACACAGACCCTATTCCATTCACAAAAATTAACTGAAAATGAATCACAGACCTAAATGTTAAATTGAAAAACCATAAAACACTTAGAGATTACATAGGAAAAAATAAATGACCTTTGATTTGGTGATGACATTTTAGATACAACACCAAAGGCATGATTGATGAAATAAAAAATTAATAAAATAGACGTTATTCAAATTAAAAATTTCTGTCCTGAAAAAGACACTGTCAAGAGAATGAAAAGACAAGCATGGGAGAAGATATTTTCAGGACACACATCTGATAAAAAAAACTATTAGCCAAAATATTCAAAGAACCCTTAAAACTCCACAATAAAAAAGACACTAGATTTTTAAATCGGTGAAAGACCTAAATAGAACTTCACCAGAGAAAATATACAGATGGCAAATAAGCGTATGAAAACATATTTCACATTATATGTCATCAGGAAAATGAAAATTAAAACAATAATAAAAAACTACTGCATACATATTAGAATTGGCCACATTCTAGAACACTGACAACATCAAATGCTGACAAGGATGTGGAGCAACAGGAAATCTCATTTATTGCTAGTGAAAATGCAAATCGTACAGTTTCTTTGGAATAAAATTTGGCAGTTTCTTGCAAAATTAAACATACTCTTATCATACTATTCAGTAATCACATTTCTTGGTATTCACCCAAAGGAGTTAAAAACTTATGTCTATAAAAATCTTACACACAGATGTTTATAACAACTTTATTCATAACTGTCAAAAACTTGGAAGCAACCAAGATGTTTTTCAGTATATGAATAGATAAATAAACTGTGCTAAAACAATAGAATATCATTCACTCCTAAAAAGAAAGAGCTATAAAGCTACGAAAAGACGTGGAGGAGATTTAAACGTATATTATTAAGTGAAAGAAATCAATTTAGAAAGACTGTATACTGTATGATTCCAACTATAGGGCATATAGGAAAGGCAAAACTATGGAGACAGTGAGAAGATTAGTGGTTGACAGGAGTTGCAAGAGGAAAGGATAAATAGGTAGAACACAAAATTTTGGGGGCAATAAATTTCCTCCGGATGATAATAAATGGTGGATACGTGTCATCATACATTTTTCATATTTTTTATTCCTTCTTATACTACAAAGTATTTTGGCTTCTCTTTTTGAATACCTTTCAACATTTTTAAATACAAAAAACAGATAATACATACTAATGAGTTGTTTAATAACATGGTACAAAAATATGATCAATGGATCCTCAATATGTTTTAAAATTAAAAATGTGAGTTAAGTGTTATGATTCTAAAGTCCTTATGAATAGAGTGATAGAGGGACTGATAATGTGTAGACATAAGAACAAAACATCCCATCAGTTTCTATAACTGCATATAACAACACAAAGTGTTAGTTGTTCAATAAGACACACATGAATCTGAGATCTTATTAAATATAAAAATTTACTAATAATTTTAGGACCGTGGTGTAGGGACAAGAGTGACTTTATTAAATGCTAATCTGCCATTTAACATCTGACTAACTCCAGTCCAGGAATGCCGCCAAAATGTCTAGTTGATGTATTATTGCTCCTTATGTAAGAACACCTATTCACAGAAAGTTTCCTCCAAAACAACCCTTATAGTCACAGAAATTATAGGCTGAAATGTCTGCAACCACTTACACGTTCCTTCTAGCATACATAGGCTTTTCCCCCAAGATGTAACCCGTGGGTCTGAGAGTTCACGGTGTAAAAATCTACCTGTGTTGTGGTTGCCCAAGGCCACTATTCTTTCTGCAAGTTCCCTTAATAAATCACTCAAAACCAACAAACTGGATTTGTCTGCCTCCTTCTTCAGCTTCTTGGCTCCTTTGGTACTTGAAGGACACTTTGCATATATGACCCTTTTACAGAACACACGGGTAATTGTGAAGCATGAAAGAGGCATGGAGAAATCCAGGACTGTTCTTGAGTCCTAACTTTTTATTTTATGGTGCGTCAGACACAGATTTAACATATAGGTCTCAGCTATGCTAGAAGGATATAACTTACACAAAAAGGAGCTATGCAAGTCATGAAATATTTTTATGTTGTGTTCTGAAAATTATCTGGTCTAGAAGACATTTTCTAAGGTGATATTCTAGGTGAATTTACAATAAACAACATAGATCAACCAGGTGCATAGGCTGAATCATGTTCTCCCAAAATTCTTATGTCAAAGCTGTAATCCCCAGTATCTCAGAATGTATCTGTATTTGAAGACAGGGCATTTAAAGACATAATAAAGTTAAAAAGCAACTGTTAAAGTGGACCTTCATTCAGTTTGATTTGTGTACTCATAAGCGGAAATCTTGACATACAAAGAGAAACCAGCAATGTGTCTACACAGAGGAAAAACCATGTGAACACATAGCAAGAAGGTGGACATCCACAAGCCAAGGAGAGAGATGCCAGAGAAAATCAAAACTGTTGGTACCTCAATATTGTAATTCTTGCCCCTAGAACTGTGAAAAAATAAATTTCTGTTGTTGAAGCCACTCAGTCTATGGTATTTTGTTGTGGTAGCTCTGGCAAACTAATAGAGTTGTCCAAAATATTTCAAAGGGCTCACCCACTAGAAAATAACAACATATGTTTTGCAGAGTCCTGACATTAATGTGTTTAAAAGATGATTTGACTGGAACATCTTTCATTCTATCCCATTCCTAAAGAAGAGGTGGAAAAAATAGATCACAGGCCTGCTGTTAACTCTTTCCTTTCATAAACTATAACACAGAAATTCCACTTGGTATATAACTAAAGACATTATCTCATAGGTAAGTATGAGGGAATATATTCAAGTATGGTATTACAGTGAGATTTGTTGTAGCAAGTTGTACATCATTAGGCAAGTGTGCAGTTTGCTTTGATGAGCATGCACCATGGAACCCTGGCCAGCTGTTAAAAGACTAGATACGAAAACAACAACATGGACAAATCTCTAAAATCGAATATCCAACACTTTTATTATGCAACTTAAAATTCAAGCACTGAATATAAATGCCTATTTTAAAAAAAATGTGTGCCAAAAATTTTTCCATGTTCAACATTATAAAATGTCTTTCTATGTGGTATAAGGGAGATGAAAATAGGACTAAAGAATACAGAATAAATTAAATAACATTTTTCAAGAGTTTTGTGGCACAGATCAGTGATTGTGATGTGCCATTAACTAAGGAGTTTTATGAATTCGACACATGGCACCCAAATTCCACATTTTAATAATAAATTAACAATAATCATATTTTAATAATAAGATTCAAATAGAGAGAATTCTGAGCTAAAAACCTTAAATAAATTTAAGATAGTCACAAACATAAAGACATAATATATATTCAATACTAAAGACAAGCAAGCCAAACAATATATAAGAACAGAAGATGCAGTTCATCTTAGAAAGATAATTACAGAAAATCAATACACCCAAGAAAATAATACTAAAGACTTCGTAGCTGCTATCATAAATTTTATACATGCCTTTTGTGGTTGAAAATCTCATAAGAATGGAAAGGAAAGGAGGAACAACAAGAAGGAAATTCCCTGAAATATCAAATCAAAAGAATTTGGCGAGGTACCGATAACAGAAATAAGAAAAGCCAGAGGTGACACTGAAGTAAAAGGAAGAAAAGTGTTAAGGGTTTTAGCAGCAAAAAGAAGAGTGAGCAAATATCCCAATTGCCTTTTCATTTCTATATTCATTACTTACCTTGTCCACAAGGTTACACATTATGAGGGCAGATTCCTTATGTGTCTCATTCACCTCACTGCTCAAGCATCTACCCCAGTGTTGAACTGTGACTGAAACATAATGTTTATTTAATAACTAAAGAGTATATTTAGGATGGAGAGCCATAGAAAGAGGACCGTTTTATCAACTGTTGTGAAAAATCTCCTGGAGGCAGGCACAACTATGGAATGCTAGAAAAGCAAGAGAATCTTTCTAAACTTTGCTTTACTTAGTCTTTTAAATGTGATCTAAGGCTCTGTGGAAAGAATCTCATGGACAGGTTGACCCTTGCTCCCCATCTTCTCTGGTTAGCAAAATGTGTTGTTTCTATTCTTGTGTTTTCCTCATGTGAAATAATAACATCAATAAAACTAGACAGACTCTTAACATGCATAACTGTACATGGTGTATTCAGATTACAAGACCTTTTAATTATAAATTTTCTATTGAAACACTCTAAACAGGAGTGCGGGTGATAGGTGATGTATACATATATATAAATGCCGTCCTTCCAGTTACTTGGAATTTAGGTTCCTTCGCAAGCAAAGTGTTCCTCCCTGTCTATTTAAAACTGACAAAGACATTTGTCTTTACTCGTGTGGAGATGCCTGATAACTTATTTCTAACTATCATACGCTCCACAGTCATGACATTTTAAGAAAATAGATCAAATCTATCCTGGATTTTTTTTCAAGTTCCTTTTGATTGCTGCTGGGAGGAGAATAGAGAGATAGTAGAGAATAGCATTAACTTGCAAAGTAAAATAAATTATTTTGAGATAACTATTCTATATTAGAATACAAAATAGCCTCCTAGTTACAATAACAAATTCAGCAGGGCATGGTTGTAATTCTCCAGGCTTACTAGTTTTGCTACCATGGTGTGTTTTCTCTGGTATACTCCAGATGATTTAAATAGTGAGACTGATACAGAAACCTCTGCAATGCATGTATTAAATGCATACATATATGAATTATAAGACAGCTTTTTCACTGGTTACCGACTGGACACTAAGGACAGAGTTTTTGAATTTGAATCTGAACATTACTATTTGCTCACTCTGTAACCATGAACATGATAATTCATCCGTCTGTGCCTCACTTTTCTCAGTTGAAAATATTAATAAAATATATATAGAGAGAATATAGAGTATATATATAGAGAGAGATATTCCATACATATTTTATATGTATTTACATATATATACACACATACATATATAGATTTATGGAATCTATATATACACATATATATAGATATATACAGATTCCATACATCTCTATATATATGCATAAATATTTACACACATATATCCATTTATCTATCTATAAAACAAGAATTAGTATATGTAAAATCCTTTGATGAGTGTCTAGTACAGATTAAGAATTAAGAATCAAATGAATGTTACCTGATATCATATGGGTATATACATATATATAAATATTTGTATATACATTTATGTATATATACACACATATATAATATAACTGTATATAATAAAACTTTGAATTTGGCAAAGTGAGGTAGAAGCCCCAAGTTAAATTTCATTAAGATTAAAACTGTAGCATATCCTTCTATTTAACTTCACACTTCAGCTTCTTTAAAATTTTTATTTCCAAGAAAGTGTACAAATATCTGCATATCATAAGCAAATAAAATATTTACATAAAAGATGGCTATAGCCACAGTGAGTAAATGCTTCAGGCTCCATATGCCTTAGAACTAAAGTGACTGTATAACTTATCATCCAGACCACGACAGTTTAAGAATAAAATGTGTGTGCTTTTAATAATCACTCCAGGATACCAAGTGTGAATTGAGATTTTTCCAGGAAAACCAGGAAGATTTGTCACCCTACTCAAAACCCTAGAAAATACAGTAAATAAGAACATATTTTACATGTCCCAAGGACAAACGCATGAGGAAAGTGGCGTCATCTTTTCTTTGTGGTGAAATAGTATCATCTATGCTCTCCGCAAAGCCCAGGTTGAATTTGTAACTCAGGTAGAATTGTTGATTTTGTATTTTAGGGTTTTTTTATTATACATAATGCGCTGCACCTCATAGTTAAAAACAATTGTTCTAAGCTTCCACATGCTGCTAAGATACAGCTACCGGGATTTAGTGCGAATCACGTTGTTCGAGGCGTTAGTTCAGCTGTCTGTTGAATCCCCTGAAACTAATGCTCAGTCTATATTAATGTCTCAGTCCCGAGAAACCTCAGCCTATTCTCTCCTATAATTAATCTTGCAGGTGGTGCCTTGACATTATTGGTTCACCAACAGAGCAGAACTGCCTCAGCCATCAATAATAATTCAACGCATCAGGATGAGGCCTACGCATGGGCCACAGAGGTAGCCAAATATGCAGAATCTCCTGCATTCCTCTCCAGTAGAAGGGAAACTGCAATTGAAACTAGTTGTTTTGGTGGCTCGATAATTTGTAATAGAGGGGTCTTGGTGTTACTAATTGTTTTGCTTTATGCTTTTATCCAAATGTAGCCACGGCTTGGCACAAGGGGAGTGATTGTCTGTTTACTGAATCTTAATATTGAGGCTGTTACAAATTGTCTTTCACAGATGGTGGGAGCTTTTCAGATCGAGAGAGGCAGGGAATTTATTACTCAATATTTCTGTATTACTGATTGGGACGTGAGGAGCATAGACAATCTGTCCTACTGCAGGGTTTGCTGCATGGTTTTTTTTTTCCGTCTGTAAAATTATGGCTGGCTCTAGACATTTTTCTCATTTTGTATAGATAGCAGCTGTGTAATTTCCAGCAGAATGTTTGCGTTGATCCCCCTTCCTTTAATTGAAATCCGCAATTATGAGATTTGTTTCTTTTATGTTTGTGAGTTTATTGGTTTAATCTACAAAATGTGCTGTCTTGCTGTCTTACACAGTTAAAGGCTACAGCACAGTTGGGACTTAAATGAAAAACATTAGAGGGAGGGGCTTTCTGTTTTTTGTTTTTTATTTTTTATTTTTTTGGTTGGCTATAGAAAGAATCCAATATTCTTCCCCTCAGATAGCAGGCTCTATGACAACTTAGTAAACTGTCATTCTGTATAATTTAAAGCTGTGTCTCTTGTATATATATATATAATGTATGTATTATATATATATGATTAGGCTCATTTCTAAAAATGAATAATATGTGCGTGTGTGTGTGTGTGTGTGTGTGTTCATAGAATGGAAAGGGAATATGCCTGCATAGGAGCATTTCTTTGATTATAGTAACTAGTAACATTTACATAATGCTAGCTTTATCAGCACATTTTAGGGGAAAGAGAGTGAAAGGATTATAAAGTAGATAGATATAAGAACAGTACTGCATGGTCTCAGACATAGTTCACAACAAATAATTTTGAGAGTTACATGTCAATATGCTCTACCACATAAATTAACCACAAATTTCCTAAATGGTAAAGTTCCAGATGTTTGAAATATTTTAATAAAAAATAGAAGAAAAAGAAGAGATCAAGTGGAGAAGAACGAGATTTTATTTCCAAATTTACAATTCTCTCACTGATAGTTACTGTCATAAACTGTAACTATATATTTTAAAACAATCTTTGCTAATATTTTATGCATTCATTATATATTTTTTTCTGGCACAGTATAGTGCATTTTCATTTGGAGCTCTAGGCTGTGTCTATATAAAGGAAATTCCATATTAATTGGTATTAGGCCAATTAGTTTGTAACTGAATTAATCTTTCTATGTAGCATCCTTAACTCCAACTAATTGATTTAGCCTAACAGTTTTGGTAGCTATCATATAGTCATTTCTCTTAAATGGTCATGAGTAATTAATTCACATTGACAAGGAATTTTTCACAAAATTCTTCCATGTGTTAATGGTTGTTTTTTAGGCAAATAAACCAAGCGATCATATGGATATTTAAAAATATTTAGAATTGCACATGTTAACTGAGTATGTCTCCAATTCACCTTGTGGTCTCCTGATTATTATGTGGTCAGGTCTATTGTCATACAACTGTGATATGTAAAAATATATATATATATATTTCATATATATATGGCATATGAGAAAATATCCAAATATTTTCTAAACTCAATATACATAGCCCATGGATTCTAGGAAGAAAAGTTCACTTAAAAATAAGCCTTTTAATGGACTATTTCTAAATCCTGAAAGCCACCACTGGAAAAATGTCATGGTATTTTCTGCTTTTTCTTAATAATTACAGTGTAATTAAATATCCACTCATCTAGGAATTTCTTAATAAGAAAAACTGTAGTAATTTTAGATATTTGTATTTTAAGTATGGGAAAAAACAAGGGAGCTAATGGATCTAAAGTAACTTGCTCAATAAATTACATGTAGAACACTAAGGAAATAAACAGAATTCAAATCCATACCTTTCTATGAAACTCTGTTTAATATGGATCTACCTGTTTTTTTAGGATATGTAATGACTTAAGATACCAACTCCACATTCTGTGGTAAGAGATGAAGATCCAGGAAATGTATGGACACCTATAGCCTGAAGAATATTGTCAGAAAAAAACACTGGGATCTGGAAGCGAAAAGGAAACATAGAAAACGAGACAGGAAGGTGAAGAAAGTTGAAGATAAACTTTCTTTTTCACAATGTTTTTATGGACAAGTTCAGCCCATAAATCAAAAATTACCTTTATGGATGAAATATTAGTTAAGTCAAGATCATCTTTTTCATTTCCTACATGCAGGTTGAATCTCATTTATGGAGTGAGATGTCAAATAACAACAAAAAATGCACTTAATTTGCATAAAGATGCTTGTAAGGTAACATTGCTCCACACTTTGCTTTATTCACATCATTAGAGGAAATATCTTATTCCTCTAGCTGTTTCTGGCCATGGCTCAAGGAATTAAAAACTTCCATTCATTCCTTCAGACAGTACAGTTAACAAGAGGATAACTTTTTTTATTATCTCTGTCCTTCTCCCTCAGGAAGCAGAGAATTATCAGATTGGTGAGAGAAAGGAAATAAAGGTCTGAACATGTGTCTCAAGTCACCTCTTTTGGGAGCACTCTGTTCTCAGTTTATTTTAATTCTGTTTCTCAATTTAATGAGTTTACTAGAGCAGGGTCCACTATTACCCTGTGGAGATCCTTAATGATACATGGATATGTTTAATTCTGGGAATAAAGTAGTTAAACTGGCTAGTGATTATGCCACATTGTTAGAGTCATCTTTGTCAATAAGAAAGTTGTTCATATTTATGACATCTGTATCCATTTCTTCAGAAGTGTGACTATTATTCATATATCCCCAATACACACAAAATATATAGTTTTAACTAAATTTTTAATCTGTTACATATTTTTCTAGGTTACTAGCTAGAGACATCCTGGTTGTTTCCAATTTGTTGTAAACTGGAAATTTGATGCTAAACAAGTAGTGTTATGACAAGCCTTCTTATTCATAACTTGACATGCTTTTGCCAGTATATTTTAGATGAAATTTTGAGATTATGGTGGAGTCAAATCATATGAACACTTTAAATTTTGCTCCGTTATTACCACATTCCTGTGCAAAAGTGACACCAATTTACAATGCCATATTGTATAGACGTGTTTCATGGTACCTTAAAACAATTACAATGTTAATAACAAAGATAAGTAATCACAGAGCACTATGTCAGATATAATACTAATTTAAAAAGTTTGAAATATAATGACAATTAACAAAATGTGACTAGGAGGCTCAAAGTGAGCACATGCTGTTGGTAAAATGATGCTAACAGACTTGCTTAATGTAGGGTTGCCACAAACAGAAGTAAAAAGTGCTTATTTGCCGACAACCTTGCCAAATATTGACTCTATAAAATGGTTTAAAATTATTTATATTACAGATACTTTGCTTTGCTATTTCTAATTCTCTTATTTTGTAAACAGTGTTATTTTAGCCACATATGTATTTCTTTCGCTCTGGATTTCTCATTTCATTTTAATTTTGTGTGTATGTCCTTGATGGATTCTTTGAATTTTTGTTTTCATTGCATCTTTCTGTATAATTATTCCTGGGATATTGTGTCATTTTTAAAAATTGCATTTCGTAGGATGGATTCCTAATACTTTCTTTGCATGTGCTTTTATGTTATTTTATTTCCTTGTCTTATTACTAAAAAGTGATTTTATACTTGCCATGATTTTCAGGTTTCCCAGCTTAAGATGGACAGTTCTTACACTTTGATGTAGCATGGGCAAATTTGTCTCTACTTTTTCACATCAAGCTATAGTTTAAGCATTGAGTTTTGAAATGTGCCCACTTTTTCCCTAGCCTGAGTGTGTAGAGAATAAGCAGATGAGCTCAATTGGTGTGCAATTTAGGTAAAAGACCTGGACTCTTTCTCTTGCCTAAAATTTTATTAAGTATCTAATCCCATAGCTTGCTCTCTTTCCAGGAGGCAGTTTTACTGCCGCCAGGGAAATAGCCTTGCTTTCAAATCTCTTCCTTAATTCAGCGCAGAGCCACCAAGGCTTTGCTTGTATCAATGAGCCATCTCATGTACCTTCATCCCCCATTTCACCAGTCTTTTCCTGGCACTTTCTCCCTCTATTCCTCACTCTAAGACTGAGTGGGGAATCAATATTTGGCTGTAAAGGAGTATATGGTGTCTTACCTTGTGTGCTGAAACAATGTATTTACTCAAAGTGTTATGGATTTTCTTTTTTCTCTACATTATGCCAAGACATAAATTCTGAGAGTGTTTATGATGGTGCCTCTTTTCCCCTCTGCTTTCTTTCCAAGTTAGAGACATCAAAATAATAAGCCTTAACCATTTTCCTGTTTTTAAAAGAAATAGTTAATTTTTATGGGAATTATTAGGTGTCTCCCGGGCTACTCATGTAAATCCTCATTTTATCTGTTTTTAAATTGAGTTATTCATGAGATGCTTTCTGCATTTTGTTTTTTAGGAAATTTTAGGAAACAAAGATAAATGTCATATGGTCTTTCAAATGTCATATGGTCTCTCAAATATCATATGGTCTCACATCCCCTCCAAACTATTTTAAATATGGCCTGACTTTGGGAATGAAGGCTTTACTTGGACATGGATATGACTGTAGGCATTTTCCTTTATATTCCTTTATAACTTACTGTTATGCATCTACTAGCAGCTGTTAAGGTCACTCCAAAACTGACATTCTCTCCCCATGTTTGCTTCCACTAAAACCCATCTGGTGATGGAACTGTGCATACCTTCATCAAGTATTTTGAAAACAAAACAAAACAAAATAAGCAAAAACAAAGTAAACAAAAGACAGATATCTGAATCAGACAGAATTAGTTTTGGATCCCAGTCTGTCACCAGTTACTTGTTTAAAATGGAGCAGGTTACTTAACAACTCTGAGAAATATTTACTTAAAACACTCAAGTATAATATGTATTTTGCAGACATTTTGTGATAAGTAAATGAGGTATGTGTGCATGTGTGGGCTTGTGTATAAAATAAACTCTCTTGATTGGCCTATATAACTGTCTTTTTCATTCAGGATGAATGGTGGGTAACTTTTTTACTCACTCAAGCTACATCGTATTCTATTCAGATTAATCTAATTTCTTATCTGAAATAGTTAAAATATGTGATATACTTTGACAAATATCAAGGTAATAAACATTTGAAAAAGGACACATTTTTCTCTTCCTTATTTCCTTAAGCCAATTCATTCTTCTACTATATTTTATTTTACATAAACGTTACTTTAATTTTATATATGCACTATGCAATCTAAAAAGTACAATTGCCTGTGATGTCCATATACTTTACCTTTCTTAAGAGAGGTACATTCGTTTAATTTATTCTTATAATCTAGTTGATATGAGTAAATCTTTTAAATAACTAGGGGCGAATTTTGCTCCAATCCACCTATATGAAAATATTTATCATTTTTAAAAAGGCAATTCTCTCAGCTTAGACAAAATAAAACCCATCTTTACAAAAGATACAAAAAAAAATTCGTTGGATGTGGTGGCATGTGCCTGTGGTCCCAGCTACTCAGAAGGCTGAGTGGAGACGAGAAGATCACTTGCACCCACATGGGTTGAGGCTCCAGTGAGCCAAATTCTTGCCTCTGCACTACAGCCTGGGTGACAGTGAGATCTGCAGAAAGATGAGATGCTCTTCCAAGCAAGTAATAGATCTTTGGGTTGCAGATATTGGCAGAACATTGGCATATTCTGGGACCTCAAGCATTTGATACCCAAGAAAATATAATTTTAATGTATGCTTTCTAATGTCTCTGCGGATATCACCATGAGGTGCTAACTTTTTATATCAGATATTATAACTTTATTATTGTATTATACCAAGTTGACATTATTGCTATATTTTCTTTTATTGATTTCAATACTATAATTATATGTTTGCATCCAGTAAGAATAAATATGGGAAATTTGAATTTTCATTATGTGATTTTTCTCCTCACTATTTCAATTTAGTTTAATTTACTCAAAATTGTCTTAGAGAACAATCTAAAAAACATTTCATACTGCACTTTTGGTTGGCTGTGCTGATTTTATTTTTCAACAATTTTCAAAAATGTTTAAGAGTGGTACCATAAATAATTAATAGGAAAAATAATAATGGCCTCATTGTATTAATACAAAATTATTGCTGAATTTGATGACTATATGAAATTTAGGTTTATTTTCTAAAAAGATAGTTTACTGATTATTCTACCAATAGCTTTGTTTTTAACATGAAAAAGGGAAACTGTATCTTACAAAGGACCAAAGAATATTGATCTGGAAAATCTAGATGTAGATGACAATAAGGCATTTTATGTGCTTAGTTTAGATTTTCCTCATCTTCATAGCATACAGTTATTTAACATTTCACACACAAAAATTTTGAGTGTCACTTACTTTTGAAATAACTTAAACCATTTACATTTATTGTTATGAGGCTGTTTTGTTTTAATTATCTTATTTATTTATTTATTATACTTTAAGTTCTGGGGTACATGTGCAGAATGTGCAGTTTTGTTACATAGGTATATACGTGCCATGGTGGTTTGCTGCACCCATCAACCCATCACCTACATTAGGTATTTCTCCTAATGCTATCCCTTCCATAGCCCCCCACCCCTGACAGGCCTCGGTGTGTGATGTTCCCCTCCCTGTGTCCATGTGTTCTCATTGTTCAACTCCCACTTATGGGTGAGAACATGTGGTGTTTGGTTTTCTGTTCTTATGTTAGTCTGCTAATGCTTTCTTACTGTATTCTTCCTTTTACTGTGCACATTTTAAGGTTTCTGGTATGTTTTCCACTTATTTTATTATCTCTTTTTTAAAAAATGAATTACTCCTAAACAGCATATGCAAAAATGTGATTTTTCGCAAAGAATTTCGTACTATTTTCTTCATGTTTTTCTCTCATTCCTTATTATTCTAGTATATTTCAGAGCCTATTACCATAATTTTTATATAACATGGTTTATATTCTATAAATCATACATTACATAATATTTCTACATTATTTTTATCCTTTCAAAAACAAAGACCAGGTGTGGAAACTCATGCTGTAATCCCAGCACTTTGAGAGGCCAAGGAGGGAGAATGGCTTGAGGCCAGGAGTTCAATACCAGCCTGGGCAACATAGCAAGACCTTGTCTCTACAATAAAATAATTTAAAAAAATTAGCCTTACATAGTGTCATGCACATAGTGTCAATACTACATGCAGGCAAGTAGTATTCCTAGTTACTTGAGGGGCTGATGCAGGAGGATCACTTGAGCCCAGAAGTTTGAGGCTCTAAGAGCTATAATCACACTACAACACTCCAGCCTGGGTGACAGAGGGAGACCTTTTAGGGAGACCTAAAAAAAAATAAAAATAAAGCACTAAAATCTATTTCACCTTTCCATTTATTTACCTAGGAACAAAGAAACTTGTATTTACTTTACCATTGGTCCTTTTCCAATAGGATCATTATTAAATTTATTTTGCTTCGTTCATTCTGGTTTCTGTTGCAGAGTCATAAATTTTAATTCTTCAATAAAAATTGTTAAACTATCTTGAAATTATTTCTGATGTAAGTCAACACCACTTTTTTATTCGTTTTTATGTTGTTCCTGTGTTTTCTGCTCCAAGTTGAGGCCACATACCTTATATAATATTTAATTATTTAAAAGTTTGGTAAAATAATATATTTGTGATAAAACATTTCACAATCTTTTTCTGGGTAATAAAAATATGTCTATTATTGTCACAAAATTTTAGAAATCATATACACATATATGTATATACTTATATATAATGTGGGCATTTGTTTTTGTGGTTAATGTCATTTTAGTATTTCTGTTATCATTTTCTGAAATTAAAACTATGATACCATAGTGAGCATATTTTATAATAGGGCTAAGGGTTACTATATTTTCCCTTTTGTCCATATGGAATATTAATACAGCCATATCGCAGGCATATTATGGGTTTGCTCCCAGACCACTGAAGTAAAGTAAATATTGCAATGAAGTGAGTCACACAGTATTTTTGGTTTCTCAGTGCAATAAATGTTATATTTACCCTATAATGTAGTCTATTAAGTGTGCAATAACATTTTATCTTAAAAATGTATATAATTTAAAACTACTTTATTGCTAAAAAATGCTACTAATCATCAGAGCCTTCAATGAGTCATAATCTTTTTTGCTGGTGGTGGATCTTGCCTTGTTCATGACTGCTGACTGATCAGGGTGATGATTGCTAAATTTTGGGTGGCTGTGGCAATTTCTTTAAACAACAATGCAGTTTGCTGCATTGATTGCTTCTTTTTTTATGAGAGATTTTTCTGTAGCTTATGATGCTGTTTGGTCACATTTTCATCCACAGTAGAACTTTCAAAATTGGAGTCAATCTTCTCAAACCCTGCTACACCTTTATTAACTAAGTTTATGGCATGTTCTAAACCCTTTTCTGTCATTTCAACAATGTTTATAACATCTTCACTAGGAATAGATTCCATTTCAAGATACCACTTTTTTTTGCTCATTCAAAATAACTCCTTATCCATTTAAATTTCATAAGATTGTAGCAATTTATTCATATCTTAAGATGCCATTTAATTATAGTTCTCTTGTTATTTCTACCACATTTGCAGTTACTTTCTCTGCTAAAGTCTTGAACCCCTCAACATTATCCATGAAGGTTGGAGTCAACTTCTTCTAAACTCCCATTTATGTTAATATCCTGTCCTCTACCAATTAATCATGAATGCTCTCAATGACATCTAAAAATGATTAATTCTTTTCAGAAGGATTTCAATTTCTTTTCCCAGATCTATCGGAGAAGTTAGTATCTATGGCAACTATAGCCTTGCAGGATGTATTTCTTAAATAAAACAAGACTTGAAATTACTCCTTTATCCATGGCTACAGTTATAAGACTTGAAGTTCAAAATTACTCCCTGATCCATGAACTGCAGATGAGTGTTCTGTTAGCACACATGAAAACAACATTAATCTGTACATCTACATCAGAGCTCTTGGATGACCAGGTGCACTAATGGTCATATCAATGAGCAGTAATATTTTTAAAGAAATCTTTTTTTTTTCCTGAGCAGTAGGTCTCAACAAAGGGCATAAAATATTCAGTAAACCATGTTGCAAACAGATGTACTATCATACAGGCTTGTTGTTTCATTTATGGAGAATAGGTAGAGAAGATTTACTGTAATTCTTAAGGGCCTTAGGAACTTCAGAACGGTTAATGAGCATTGGCTTTAAATTCAATAAAACTGCATTATTCCCTAACCAGAGATTCAGCCTGTCCTTTGAATCTTTGAAGCCAGGCATTGACTTCTACTCCCTAGCTATGAAAGTTCTAGATGGCAGTTTCTTCCAATATAAGAATGTTTTATCTACATGGAACATCTGTTGTTTAGTATAGCCATTGTCATCATGACATTAGTAAGATACTGTGAATAACTTCCTGCAGCTTTACATCAGCACTTGCTATGTCACCTTGCACCTTTATGTTATGGAGATCACTTCTTTGATTAAGCCTCATGAATGTACCTCTGCTAACCTGCAATTTTTCTTCTGCAGCTACTTCACCTCTCTCAGCCTTCATAAAGTTATACTTAAGGCTTTTCTCTAGATTAGGCATTGGCTTAAGGGAATGTTGTGACTGATTGATCCTCTATCCAGACCACTAAAACTTTCCCAATAACAGCAACAAGGATGTTTCACTTTCTTATCACTTATGTGTTAACTAGAATATCACATTTAATTTCCTTCATGAGCTATTTCCTTGCATTCACAACTTAATTAAATGTTTGGAACAAGTGGCCTAGCTTTGGGCATATCTCATCTTTCAACATGCCTTCCTCACTAAGCTCAATCATTTCTAGCTTTTGATTTAAACTGAGACATGCAACTCTTTCTTTCACTTGAACCCTTAGATGCCATTCTAGAATAATTAAATTGCCTGAATTTCAATATTGCTGTGTCTCTGGAAATACAGATGCATGAGGAAATGGAGAAAGGCAGAAAAAAAAAAAAAGGCTGATCGTGGAGCAATCAGAGCAGACAAAACATTTATTAAGTTTGTCATATCGTGTAGACATGTTTCATGGTGCCCTAAAACAATTACAATATTAATAACAAAGAGAAGTAATCAAGAGCACTCTGCCAGATATATACTAATAAAAAAGTTTGGAATATTATAACAATTAATAAAATGTTTCTAGGAGACTCAAAGTGAGCACATGCTGTTGGTAAAATGATGCTAACAGTCTTGCTTAATGTAGGGTTGCCACAATTTTCAATTTAAAAAATGCTATTTGCAAAGTACAACAAAATGAGATATGCCTGTATATAAATATCCAAATATTCTCATTTAAATATTTGTCTCGTAGTTTCTTTCCAGTTCCTGCATGGTGCCATGTGCAAAGTAGTTGTTCCTTAAATAATTTTGAATAAATGATCTAACGACCTATGAGAAGTCATTAAATAACTTTAGTTAATGAAGTTATAGAAGTCAATAAATAATAAATAAGTTATCCTTAAATAATTTTGAATAAATTATTTAATGACCTATGAGGAGTATGGAATACAAAATTCATAGTAAAAAAAGATACAGCAAGTAGGTCAAATCATAAAATATATGGTAAGATGACTCAAAGATAATAAATAGAACTCAACTCAACTCAAAGATAATAAATAGATATAGGAGGGAAGATATAGCAAGTAGGTCAAATCACAAGATATATGGTAAAACAGCTCAAAGAAAATAAATAGAACTCCTTTTAATAATAGGTTAGGTAAGGGAGTGATATAATTAAATTAATGTTTTATGTAAATTATCCTGTTCAAATTGACAGTACTGGAGAAAGGTGATCATTGGGAGGTGAGCATAATTTTCATAAAAATTGATGCAGGGCCAGACAGAAGAGATGTTGAAACTATTTAGAATATAGAATTGTTAGTATTTGCCAACTTTGTGTGTGTGCAAGGGATGAAGGAGAGAAGGAATCAAAGATACTATCAGAGTTTCACGATATGGCTATTCACTAGCACTGGGAATTTGAAAATCATCTTCTCATAATTTTATTGATACTTGTCTGACAAGTGAAATAAGAGGGGTATATGTAGAATTAGAATGCACATGATACACTGCCAACAAAGTTTTCCATGTTTTTAACACAGCATGTATCAGTATATTATTTGACATCAAAGATAAATTGTATTAATGCAAGGCATTTGTATGTTGGAGTTATTCACCATTCATTGTTGCTTACTGGAATTTCTGCCCTTCAAAAGAATATTGATAGCTTTTACAAAAATAAAGTAAATATAATAAATTAGGCTTGGCCAAATTATCAAAATCTCTTTAAGATATTGGCAAGAAGTAGATTTGTGAACTGTCTTTTAAAAATTTGTCTGACCATTTATTTATTTCTGAGTCTTTATAAATACGTTGTCGGAACCTTGAAAAAGTTATCTCATGAAATATTAGCCATAAATTAAAACCACCTTGTCATTAGATATTTCTAATACCTAAGTGATTTAACATTGTTCCTTCTATATATTCCTTCAATATACCACATTCTATGGTATTCCATTCATTTGAATACCAACTTGATTCTTTTTTCTGTTCTTCATTATAAACTCTTGACTATTTTATTTTCACTGAATAATTAGTTTATTTCGGTACATGAGAATAACATAATTTTCTTGCATGGCATATTTATCTTATTGGGCTTAGAATTGCTGGTTTAGTGGTTTCTCAGATACACTTTAAAAGACAAAATTCATGGAAATGCTTTTCTATTTCGTGGGTTTATTTTCTAATTGGGTCAATTTGGACAAGTCTCTTAAGCTCTCATACTTCATTCCTCTTATCAAAAGCAAACAAAAACCAAGAAATAAAGCTAAATAAATAATTATCTCTAAAGCTAAAATTCAAAGGATATGATTATACTATGTATTTTACACTTTTTATAGCTATAAAAATCAATGTTCATATTTTCAATCTGTCATTTTTTAAGAAATACGAGTCCAATTATTACTGACTTAATTGATTTACATATTATCTTGGATGTTTGAAAGGAAATACATAGAAAAAATAAGTGCATTTATTGTTCTATAAATATATGAAAGATAACAATAGAAATTAATGAGATAATGCCTATCTAACCTATTCCAACTTTTCAATTCAGTCAATTAATGAAATATCTAAGCTGTACAATCTATGAAAAATGTCTCATTTTCTTTCTTGTTTTGATTCCTTCATTTTGTTTAATTTTTTTAGCAGATGATTATTGAAATATGACAGGATACTTAAGAAATAATAAAGCAACTATATTTAAAGACAAATACAATAGCTTTCTTTAGCTCATAGCTGTGTGATCAGAAACTCAGGAAAATTTTATATTTTAAAAATTATTTTTCCCTAGTAGGTGATGTTTATAAGTGAAATGGTACCTAAGCATACTATGATTTGTAGAAATTTAAGTCATTATTCTCAAACAACGGATTTTACTGACTCAAAGTCTCTTTTAAAATATTTAAATTAAGTATTTAAATATTTAAAATACATAACTCAAAATATATTTTGAAAGGCTAAATATCTGATAATGGGCAGAGTAAAACACACATGTCATAATGCATGTGAAAAGATTACTAAGGTTTCACCATATAATTAATTACATCAATTAAACAAACATTTATTGAGTGACTACTATTTTCCAGGCACTGTTATTAAAAAATAATAGAATAAAATGTTAATATCCTGAGGTAACCAGTCAATTAATCAATAATAGAATGGAAAAAATTATGAATTATATTTCTGATAAGGGTCTAGTATCTATAATATATATTTAAAAATCTCTTACAATTCAACAGCAACAACCAAAAAGTCAATCTAAAAATGAACATAGGAAATGAAAGACATTTTCTAAGGAAGATATGCAAATGGACAAAAAACACATACATGATCAACGTCATAGACATTAGGTAAATGCAAATAAAATCCATAATGTCATAGGTGGGAATTGAACAATGAGATCACATGGACACAGGAAGGGGAATATCACACTCTGGGGACTGTGGTGGGGTGGGGGGGTGGATAGCATTGGGAGATATACCTAATGCTAGATGACGAGTTAGTGGGTGCAGCGCACCAGCATGGCACATGTATACATATGTAACTAACCTGCACAATGTGCACATGTACCCTAAAACTTAAAGTATAATAAAAAAAAATCCATAATGAGATGCCTCCTCCTACTTGTAGGAACAAGTAGGCTATAAATGACACAAAACTTAAAAATAATCAGAACACAGTTAAAAATTAAACTGTTGATATATGTAAGACACTGCAGAATCCACATTTTTTTCTAGTCTACACGTCAAACATTTAGCAGAGTTGACCATATATTGGGCCATAAAAAAGCTTCAACAAGATTTTTAAATTTTAAATCATAAAGGCAATTCTTTGACTACGATGAACTTAAACTAGAATACAAAAGGAAACCAAAAAATAAAAAAAATCCTCCAAATTTTTGAGATGTAAGTAGTAACATTTGACATAACCCATGGATCAACATAAAAAAAATACAAATCAGAAAAATTGAGCTGAGTAATAATAAAAATAAAACATAATAAAAAGACGTAATGCAGATAAAGGCATTCAGAAGATAAATTTATAGCTTTTCCTATGTGTATCAAGAAAAAAATTGCTGAAAATCAATTATGTATTCATCTTTAGGAGTTAAGATTGCATCTAGAGGAAACAGGCAGAACAGAGTAACGGAATTAGAACAGAAATTGATAAAACTGTCAAGCAAATCATTATCAAAAAAGTGAATAAAACAAATGTGTAAAAGAGAAATTAGATACAAAAGTTGAAATTTGAAAAATTAATGCAATCTCTAGAAAGACTTATCTAGAAAGAGAAAGTGGGAGAGAGAAGATTCAAAGGAGGACTTCGTTAATGCAAAAAAAACAAGCATCATTGTAGCTTCTAGAGATGTTAAACAAATAATACTATTATTAATCTATTTATTTGTTATACAATACAATAGATTATATGATATATAATGATAATTATAGACTATATGTTATATAACGGTAATTACATGCCATTAACATATTTGTCATGAGTTCAGCTGAGCTGAGAGAGTCAGAGTAAGCTGTAACTCAGGTGGCTGAAGTAGCTCATTACAGCAGTAAGCCTAAAGGACACATGTACCCCCTAAATTTATACAAATAAAATTTAAAGAATAAATGTACAGCTTATTTTGCAATTGCTTTTGATGTTTTAGTCATGAAGTCTTTGCCCATGCCTATATCCTGAATGGTATTGCCTAGGTTTTCTTCTAGGGTTTTTATAGTTTGGGGTTTACATTTAAGTCTTTAATCCATCTTGAGTTAATTTTTGTATTAAGGTGTAAGGAAGGGTCCAGGTTCTGTTTTCTGCATATGGCTAGCCAGTTTTCCCAGCACCATTTATTAAATAGGGAATTCTCTCCCTATTGATTGTTTTTTTTCAGGCTTGTCGAAGATCAGATGGTTATAGATGTATGGTGTTATTTCTGAGGCCTCTGTTCTGTTCCATTGGTCTATATATCTGTTTTGGTGCCAGTACCAAAGGCCAAAGTTGACAAATGGGACCTAATCAAACAAAAGAGCTTCTGCACAGCAAAAGAAACTATCATCAGAGTGAATAGGCAACCTACACCATGGGAGAAAATTTTTGCAATCTACCCATCTGACAAAGGTCTAATACCCAGAATCTACAAGGAACTTAAACAAATTTACAAGAAAAAACAAACAACCCCATCAAAAAGTCAGCAAAGGATATGAACAGACACTTCTCAAAAGAAGACATTTATGCCGTCAACAAACATATGAAAAAAAGCTCATCATTACTGGTCATTAGACAAATGCAAATCAAACCACAATGAGATACTGTCTCACGCCAGTTAGAATGGCAATTATTAAAAAGTCAGGAAACAACAGATGCTGGTGAGACTGTGGAGAAATAGGAATGCTTTTACACTGTTGGTGGGAGTGTGAATTAGGTCAACCATTGTGGAAGACAGTGTGGCAATTCCTCAAGGATCTAGAACCAGTAATGCCATTTGACCCACAAATCCTATTACTGGATATATACCCAAAGGAATATAAATCATTCTACTTAAAGACAAATGCACACGTATGTTTCTTGCAGCGCTATTCACAATAGCTAAGAGTTGGAATCAACCAAAATGCCCATCAATGACAGACTGGATAAAGAAAATATGGCACATATATACCATGGAATACTATGCAGCCACAAAAAAGGATGAGTTCATGTCCTTTGCAGGGACATGGATGAAACGGGAAGCCATCATTCTCAGCAAACTAACACAGGAACAGAAAACCAAACACTGCACGTTCTCACTCATAAGTGGGAGTTGAACTTGAGAACACATGGACACAGGGAGGGGAACATCACACACTGGGGCCTCTCAGGGATGAGGAGCAAGGTGTGGGGGGAGAGCACTAGGACAAATACCTAATGCATGAGGGGCTTACCACCTAGATGACAGGTTCACAGGTGCAGCAAACCAGCATGGAATATGTATCCCTATGTACCAAAACTGCACATTCTGCACATGTATCTCAGAACTTAAAGTAAAATTTAAAAAATATAAAAATATAAAAAATAAATGTACAGGTTAAAAAATAAACAAAAAATACAAAAAAAAAAAAAACACACCACCACTACAAAGCAATAAGCCAAAAATGAATGGGTTAAGCCCTTTATCACTTATTGTGGTGGTATAAGCAACACCCTAAATCCAGCGAAAGCTCCAACTTCCCCATTTCCATCTTCCCACATGAAATGATGCATATTCCAGGGTAGGGTGGATGAGCGCAGATTTGGCGTTTGTCCCACTGCAAGGAGATCTTCAAGGAAAAGTCTCTAGCACTATTATGGACTATGGCAGGGATGTTAGAGTGCAGGGGGCAATAGGAGTAAAAAAAATACTGGAGATTGTATCAGTGAGAAAAAATGTCTTTAATGTTTTCCTCTCCTCCTACTATCAGGAGGCCTGTTCAGAAGAGCCCGAGAAAGACCTCTGCCCAAGGCCTCAGATAAAGGTCCCTAAGTATCAGAGCACCACCAGACCAGTAAGGTAAATATGTGAAATACTATGATTGGCCAGGGTGCTGATATCTTGACTGTAGCTTCCTTTAGAGGTTGCAGTGCACTAGCTGCACTAGTTGTGGTGTGGGAAGGGCAGCTTTCCTAGCTTTACCTGCCTTTCATTTAAAACTTCTGAAATTATCTATGGTGAGGTCTGAAAGATCACTCATAGGTTTATCACCAGGAACTGGACTTGACATTGAGCAATTTACTGCCCATATATTTTGGAAGATAAAAGCAAATTCCTAGAAAGTACAGTTTTCAAAGTTGACACAAATAGTATAGTTAAGCAGTTCTGTATTTATAAAAGAAATTGAATTCATATTTTTAAATATTTCAAAAAAGTAATCTATTGGCCCAGGTTGACTTTATCAGCAATTTCTTCCAAATAGTTAAAGAAGAAGTAAAAGTATTCAAACAAAATTCTTAGAATAACAATAACATAAGAAATAAATCTCATCTTTAAAAAAAATCGGGTCATCATTATCTTAACAACAAACCGGACTAGGATACAGTCAGCGAAACAGATAAATTCTAAGTTGACTTCTATCAAAAACACAGATAAATAAAATCCCAAACAAAATATTAGTAAGTCAAATCCAATAACACATGAAAATCAAGACCAGAAACACTTAATCTAGGATTTTAGAATTGGTTTAACAATAGAAATTAAATGTTTGCAATTTATCATATTAAAAGTATAAGAAAGGAAAGTTTTATGTACTCAAATACAGGAAAAGACAGTAATTTTCAAAGTTATATGTCTATTCATTGTAGAAGCTACTAATCAGAAATAAAATAAAACTTTCTTATTCAATAAACAGCACCTAGAAATCTCTACAAAAAATCATACTTAATTTGGAAATATTGGATGTTTCTCCTGTGATTAGGAATGAGAAAAAGATGCTTGTTATCACCACTTCAACTAACATTGTATTCACAGTGCAGTAAGGAGAAGGAAGACAGAAGGAGGAGACAGAAGGAAGAAAAATAGAAGGAAGAAAAAAAGATTGTCATTATATTCATGTGATGCAACTGTCCCTTGACGATAAGTCTTAAGATAGATACAAAGCTTTTTAGTAAATAAAGTGAGTGATTGTGATTATTATATGAGATAGACACAATTAGAAATTGAATACAGCTAATCTAGAAATGACAAGATCAAAATACAAGTGAGTTTTTACATGAAAGAGGAAGAGAAATAGTGTGGGGGCATCAGTGCAGGCCCCAAGCAAATCTGAAATAATTGCTATCCAGAAGAATTATCAAAATCCAGTTGAATATTTTGGATTCACTGGGAAGCTTTGGTAAGGAAATATGGCATATAAAACAAATCATGATATTCAGAATTCAGTTAGGCCCTCTTCATTTCACAAAATTTGCATCTAACATAAGTAATGAGGGAATTACTTATTTTAAACACCAAACTCTCATGTTAATCATTTTAAAAGTCAAGGTTTTTTATTTTATTTTATTTTTTCAATTAGCTACATACTGTCTGGCCATCTTGAAAAGTATATTGTATAAAATTTAATCCTTTCTTCATAATGAATTGTACTTATCAAGCCCTCAACATCTCTAGAATACACAGGTAGCCTCAACATTTGGCCATTTTTATCAAGATATTCTGTAATTTAATTTTAGTATGTTCATTAATTACACATTTATTTAATATTAGAATTCTATTATGGATTTATCTGAATGATGCTTGACCCCACCATACATATAATCCTATACCTAAAATCAATTCCAAGTGGATCACTGATATAAATATACAAGAAAAATAGATCCCTAGTGCTTCCAGAAAATACTAAGAGAATACATTCCTGAATTGTGGTATAGAAAATTTTGTTTAAAAGGATATATAAAACACGAGTCATAAAGGAAATGAATTAATATACTGAACTGCATTTAAATTAGAAAGTTTTCCTCAAAAAATTATTAAGGAGAATAAATATGGAAGCAAAGGATTGGGAAAATATATTTGTAATGTATGTAACTCAAGGATAACTTCATCAAGTCAGCAAAATCTCTCTGAATCTCAACCACATTTATACCCGAAGTCAAATTTTACACATTTTCAAAGTTTTGGAAGAGCTCTTAATTTAATGTAAGTACTTCAGATGTCCTGAAAGTAGATCAAAAGTAAGGGTACAGATTAAACTGTATAATGAGCAGTTAACTCAATAACTTTTAATGACCATAAAAAACGGATATGTCTGAGACTAAAACACAATCTCATCCAGGGTCATAAAAGTCTATTTTATTGGTGTAAATCTCATGGGAGCTGTGAAGTACATATCTTCTTTTCCAGCCTAAACCTTGTGGCTTTTCTGATTGCCCTTTACAATGGCTGACGTTAATATCTCTTGTCTATTTTATAAGAAATAAAAAAAAGAAAGATTGTAAACTCACATTTGCTAACACATAAATGTTTACTAATCCTTTTTATTTAAAAAAATCATTCAATTAAAAAAATCTTATCCCAAATTCTTTGTGTTCTTTACAAAACTAATCTTATGTTTTATAATACATTTCCGGTCAAAAATTCCAGTTTAATCCCACAATGTTTGTGTAATCAAAAATTAATCAATCTCACTAACAATATGGGGAGTGACAAACTCACATAACAATCTAGATTTTTTAAAGCCTGAACACTTCTGTACATAAACAATCTACACAATTAAGGGGGAAATAACAGGATTTGTTTTACTCTAGGTAATGTCTTTGATTTCTTACTTTAATTTGCATGTATTGGCACTGCTTACAAAATTAAGCTAGAAAAAAATATGAACCTCTGACATTCAAAAATCACAGTGAGAATTTTTATCAACTTTTTTCTTATGTTAGTCAAATGCAAACATCCCATTAACTATAGGCTTAGGAGAATTCTCTAACAGTTTTAAAATACATATCCTAGACTGGGAGAGAAAGCTGTTTTTTAGCTATTTCTCCCATAAAATCTTTTTAACTGCTGTTTATTATAGCTACTATTTATGATAATGCTGTTGTATGCATTATTACAACCCTGTATTTTCAGTAAAATGTCTAATAAATGTATTTTTAAAATACATTATTCTCTATCTGCTTCAGATAAAATGTTGCTGTCATTTTACTGAATAGCACAGCACATAAACATGGTAATAATAAATGTTTTAAAGTTTTTAAAGCACTGAATGGTTGGAAATTAATCTGCATCATCATAACTACTTTTATAACAACATTTTTAATGAGCCAGATTCACCTACTCTATTTTGATGGCAAAAGTGGATTATTTCTTGAAGAGAAGAAATAGCAAAGAGCAATATAAACTTGCCCTGTGCTTTAAAAGTCTGAAAATAGAGAATGAAACTTTTCAATTTAGTATGGAATATAACTCTTCATCTACCTTGGTTTTTTCCGAGATCACAGATACATCATTTAACCTAGAACTAGATGTGCTAAATGGAAAAAGAGAATCATTCTAAAATTAATGTTACAAGGTGGTATTTGTTCCAGTGAATTTAAAGCAATTCCCTTAATCAGCATATGTCCTGATTTTACTGCTGCACAGATGAGATGGAAGCACCTAGAATTCCTAAGAAGTAATATTGCCTATTATTACACAGAAATTTTGGGGTAAGAAATATGGTCCTAACTAAAATCTTCTAGAATACTTCAAATGTAGTCACATTTTATGAGTAAAGTGCTACACAGTTATTTTTGGTACTTTTCCTATTCATAAGTATATCTTTACTTTCCTGACACATAATAGGATTTCTACATTTTTTTTAAACGGAAGAACTTCATGAACCTTTGATGATATGACAAAGGCGATGGATATATCCCCAAACTTATCATTTTATAACATTTTCAAAGAGTTTATATAGACCGGTAATTTACTAGGCTTCCTAGGGATTTATGGGTCCTATTAAGAAATTCCTTTCTACAGATTTATTAGTACTATATGTAATGATTACTAATTTGTCCCTAAATATTCCAGTTTTATTTTTCTGTGTACTTTGTAGGGGATTGATTGCATGTCCATACTCCTTTGAAATTAGGTTTGGTCACACAACTTGCTTTGGAATATGAAGTGTGAAATATTTTTAATAATGAAAATTAAGTTTGTTTCCTTTTCCTCTACCAAATCACCTACTTCTCCTCACCAGATACATTCTCTCTTACAAGTTTCTCATATATCCTTCCAAAAACAGGCTACACATTTTAGAGGTATGCATTTTAACAACCAAATTCTACTACCACCCCTTCTTTTTTCTTTATGTCTCAAGAAGTATAGAAATTTACACTAAAGTGAAACCTATATCTTCTTGGATCTTTGAGTTGTTACTATATGAGACAGAACTTTCTGCCTTGTATATGTAGCATGAACCAAAATAAACATTTGCAACTTATGTATACAGAACTCAGCCATCAAACATCTGAATTATGAGAAAGCTCTTTAAGACTATTTCTCAGGTTACTTTTTACCTAGGTTTCCAACAATCTTTGTTATCTGGTTTTCAAACTAAAAATAAAATATTACAAACCATAAATTTGGATTGTTATACCCACGGATGATTGTAAGAAGGAACATCTAATGAATTGGAAATAAGTGGAAAAAACCCACACAATCAAAAGAAATAAAAAAGAATGCTGGATTTAATGCCATTTGTGCAGGGGCAAGTAGTTTCAAACATATCAATAGATATTTGGGAAATGGGTAGCAGTAAAACAGGTAAGGTTTTACTAATATTTCTTTGTTGAAATTAAAGCTACCATAAATTAAAATTATCATCTTTCTAAGCAGTCTAAAATAAAAACTAACTCTGAAGGAATAATATACTAATAATCAACTATAGTATATTTTGATACAAATAGTTAAATCTTTAGTGTAGCACTTTATTCTGGGAAAGTAAATTTGGTGTGTATAAGTGGTTATCAAAAAACGATGAAAATATTTGCAGTATACTTTAGAAAATGGCCAGGGAAGTATATAACCAAGTAGAGAAAAACTTCCATCCTAAGTAAGAAAATAATATGTTAATATTTATTAGAAAGGAACATCTCATGACTCTAGATTGGGTGTAGAATCAAAGCATTAGAGAAGGGTTATTCAAAGTCCCATCATACTGATTTATTTCCCAAGCCCCAATTCCTTACCTATGCTTCTTAACATTACCAGCAATATTCAACTCAACATTAATTATTGCTCCATACTCTATGTAATTCACATTTGTGTAGTGTTCCCTAATGCTTTTTCCAAACCCTTTTTTTTTCCCATTACATGGAGCTCATATATCCAAGTCATACCATATTTAAACCTTCTTGGTCTATTATTATATACTGATTACTTGGTCATTCTCTTTTTTAAAGGAGATTTTGGAATATGACTGAAACACTTTTTTCAGGCCAAGTTGTGTCATCATCATAGGTGATTCTATAACAAAGATGAGAAATCCACTTCCCTGGTCTCTAAATTCTTTCATTTCATAAATATAAAAATAAGCAACTCTGCTGTTTTCACATACTGATCCTGCTATCCATGTCATGAACCCATAATCACTGAGAACTATTCCAGCTGTTAGGTATTAAAGTGAAACACTCTCTTCCTGGACCACAACTTCCTCATTTTCCAGTTCTCAGGTACACTGACTTGGTCATTGACCTCATTACATTCACGAACGCTTTGAATCCTCTATTTTGTACTACGTACCTTTATCTTTTATCTTTACATAATTGCCTCTGTAACTTTAGAGTTCATGACCACTTCAATAACTCTTCTGACAGCACCTTCAAAATTACCGCTTCTATTTTTTACCTGGTATGATGTCAACTCTTGATTATTTCTGCTGAACAACAACTCTGTTCCACGGGGAGTCTAAGAGAAAAAGAAATACGTATTCTCTTCAACTTGTGATGGGGTTAGGTCCCAATAATTCATCATAAGTAAAAAAAAATCATAAGTTGAAAATGCAATTGATACCCCAAAACCCATCGTAAATTTAAAAAACATAAATTGAATCATTGTAAATCCAGATGCGCCTCAACTTATGATGGAATTACCTCCTAAGAAACACATCCTAAAGGCAAAAAAAGAGTCATAAACCAAACCACTGTAAGTCAGAGACTGTACAGCTATGCAAAAAAATTGAATATTGGTAGTCTCTTAAAACAGTGTGAAAGGCTGGGTGTGGTAGCTCATGTGTGTAATTCCAGCACTTTAAGAGGCTGAGGCAGGCAGATCACTTGAGGCCAGGAGTTCAAGACCAGCCTGGGCAACATGGTGAAACCCTGCCTTCACTAAAAATACAAGAATTAGTGGGTTGTGGTGGTGCACACCTGTAGTCCCAGTTACTTGGGAGGCTGAGACAGGAGAATCACTTGATCCCAGGAGGCAGGGGTTGCACTAGGTAGGCGGAGGTTGCAGTGAGCCAACATCATGCCACTGCAGTCCAGCCTGGGCGACAGAGAGAGACCCAAAAACGAAAACATAAACAAAACTAAAAACAGTGTAAAGATACTACCTCCTTCTTTAAACTCTGTTTTTCTCTTTTTTCGGCTCTCTGAATAGCTAACCCTCACTTGGCTTTTGCTGCAGTTAAACATTGAATTGTATTCCCCCAAAATAGTATGTGGAAGTCCTAACTCCCAGGAACTCACAGTGTGATCTTATTTAAAAATAGAGTTTTTAAAAATGTAATTAGTTAAGATGAGGTCATATTGGATGTAGGGTGAGCCTTTATTCCAATATGACCTGTGATTTTATAAGAGAAGGGAGATGCACGGAGAGAAGATGGCTATGCCACAACAGATAGAGATTGGAGTGAAGTACCTACAAGCCAAGGAGTACCAAGAGTTTCCAACAAGCACCAGAGGGAGAAGAGGCAGAGAAGGATCCACCCCTTCTCTGCCTGACAGATTTCAGAGGGATCATGGCTCTGGTGACACCTTAATTTCAGACTTCTAGCCTCCAGAATTGTGAGACAATATATTTGTGTTATTTTGAACCACCCAGTTGGGCACTTTATTACTGAAGACCTTGGGAACAAGTACAGCTGCTCATCACAAGATTTTCTGCATAGACTATTCCAGCATCTGCTACTAGAGACAATTTTATTTATTTATTTCCAATTTTTATGCCTTTCATTTCCGTGTATGTCTTGTAGTACTGGCTAGAACTTCCAGTATTATGTTGAATAGCAAGGGAAAAGTAGCTGTATTTGCCTTGTTTCAATCTCATAAGAAAAACATTCAATTTATTTCTATTAAATATGACATTAGATATAGATGGGGATTTGGGGTAGATTGTTTTTATCAACTTGAGGAAATTACTATTACCTTTTTTCTGATAGTTCTTATCATTAATGGGTGTTGAATATTTTCATTTTCTTCTGCATCAATTATCATATGATTTATTTTTCTTTAGCCTGATAATAAGAGAGATTACATTGTTTGATTTTCAAATATGGAAGCAGCCTTTTATCCTTGGAATAAATCCCAGTTGGTCATGGTACTTAGATATTGTTGAATTCTATCTGATAATATTTTATTAAGAATTTTTTCATCAATATTCATGAGAAATATTGGTATATAATTTTCTTCTCTAGAGATTTCATTATCTGGTTTTGGTATCAGGGTTATTCTGCTTCATATAATGAGATAGAAATTACTCTGTCTTCTATTTTCTGTAAAATATTTTTTTAAATTGGTGTTAATTTTTCTTTAAACATTTGGTAGAATTCTCCAGTGAAACTGCCTGGGCCTGGAGATTTCTCTTACCTGAGGTTTACCATTACAAATTCAGTTCACTTAATAGTTATATGGCTATTCAAATACTCTATTTCACATGTAGTTTTGCCAGTTTTCACTGCTCAAGGAATTAGTCCAATTCTTCCAAATGGTCAAATTAATCTATACAGAATTGTTCACATTTACTCATTCTGATTTTTGCATTGACTGTAGTGACATCTCTTGTTTTCTTATTGATATTAGTAATTTATGTCTTCTCTTTGTTTCCTTGTCCAAATTACTAGAGATTTATTTCACTAATCTTTTGAAATAATCTGATTTTTGTTTTAATGACTTTTTCTTTTTTTGTATTTTAATCTTGCTGATTTGTGCTTCTTTCTTTACAATTTCCTTTCTTCTTCTTCTTCCCTTAGATTCATTTTGTTCTCTTTATAATTTCTTGATGTTGAAACTTAGATTATTGATCTAAAAACCTTTTCTCCTTTTATAAGCATCCGGTTTATAAACTCACTATCAGCATAACTTTAGCTGGGCTCTACAAATTTTTATATGCTATGTTTTCAGTTTTATTTAGATATATATGAATTGTTTGTGTTTATGTTCCCTTTGACTATATATCTATACCTATAATGTATCTAACTATCTATGTATCTATAAAATTTCTTTAGACTTTGACTGTGACCCTTGGATTATTTAGAGATGCACTGGTTACTTTCCAAATGTTTGAAAGCATTCCTTGTGTTTTTCTGTTACTGATTCTAGTCTAATTCCATTATAGTTAAATAACACTTTTTATATCTTATATTCAAATTCTTTATAAGTTATTTTATGGGCCAGGATATAGTCTCTCATGGCATATATTTCATGAGCACTTGAGAAAAATCGTGTATTCTTATGTTGTTGGAAGGTGCATTTTGTAAATCTCAATTAGATGCTATCAGTTCATGGTTTTGAGTTATTCTAGCATCTTGCTGATTCGTCAATCACTAAAATTGTAAATTTGTCTATTTCTTCGCTCAGTTTTATCAATGCTGCTTCACATATTTTGCAGTTAATTGTTTGGTGCATGTAGTTTTAGGATTGCCGTGTCTTCTTGGTGGATTTAGCCCTTTAACATTATGTACTGACAACTGTCTATCCCATAATTTTCTTTGCTCTGGTATCTTCTTTGTCTGTTAATACTAATGTGCTCATGCCTAATTTCCTTTGATTGATATTTTCATACTATATCTTTTTTTGTTGTTCTTTAACTTTTAGCCTTCCTATATGTTATGGGTTGAATTTTGTCCACTCCAAAATATGTTGATGTCTTAAACTCCAGTACACAAATTGTGATCCTATTTATAAATAAAGACATCATCAATGTAATTAGTGAAGATGAGATCATACTGAAGAATGATGGATCCCTAATCCAATATGACTTGTGTCCCTGTAAGAAGAGAGAAATTTGGACAGAGACACTTGAAAGGAGAATGTCATGAAACTAAAGAAGAAGAAATTGAAGTGCTATTGCTGCAAGTCAAAAAACATCAACAATTGGCAAATACCACAAGAAATTAGTAGAGGAAAATATGTATTCTTTCCTACAGGTTTCAGAGAGAGCATGGACCTACCTACACCTTGAATGTTGACTTCGTCATTGCAGAACTGTGAGTGAACAACTCTGTTGTTTTCAGCAACCCAGTTTGTGGTACTTTGCTCTGGCATCCCTATGGAGCTAATGCACTGACATCATATAGCTGGGTCATTTTGTTTTATCCACTGTACTAATCTCTATCTTTTAAATAATGTATTTAGACCATTTATATTTAGTGTATTTATTGATAAATTTATACATGAGTTTACCTTTTTTTGTTTATTTTCTGTTATTTTTTTCTGTTTTCTTTTTTCTGCTTCCTATGGTTTTGTGGAATATTTTAAGATTTCTATTTTTGTTTGTCTATAGTGTTTTTGAACTTATCTCTCTGTATAACATTTTTAGTAGCTGCTCTAGTTAATATATATAGTTATATAATATATATTTATATATTTAATATAACTTTCCAGCACAGCATCTACCAGTGCAAATAAAGTATAGAAAACTTAACACATTTTATGTCATTTTGTACTTCTTTATTTAAAATACAATTCCTTAAATACTTACCCTATACTCATTGATAATCATATGACACAGCATTAAAATTTTTGTTTCAACTATCAAACATAATTTTAAAAACAACAGAAGAGAAGATAAATCTGTTATATTTACCTATATTTTTGTTTCTTCTGTTGTTATTTCTTCTTTGTCAGTGTTACATGGTTCTTTTTTTTTTTTTTAGTTTTACTCTGTCACCCAGGCTAGAGTGCAATGGCATGATCTCAGCTCACTGCAGCCTCTGCCTCCAAGGTTCAAGCAATTCTCCTGCCTCAGCCTCCTGAGTAGCTGGGATTACAGATGTCTGCCACCAAACCTATTTTTTTTTTGTAGTTTTGGTAGAGATGGGGTGCTCTAAAACTGCTGACCTCAGGTTATCCACCCACCTCAGCCTTCCAAACTTCTGGGATTACAGGCATGAGCCATGGTGCCCGACCACAGGGTTCATTCTATTTTATTTCTGTTCTGATTTAAAATGTTCTTTGGCTAGATTTTAGGGTAGATATGTAATGAAAAAGTTTATTTATTGATTTTTCATTTATATGTGAAGGATAACTTTTACTGGATAAATAATTGTGAGTAGCTAGTTTTTTGTTTTGTTTTGTTTTTTTTGTTTTGGCACTGGAAAAATGTTGTGGCCCTTCCTTCTTGTCTCTGGAATTTTTCATTAAAAAAAAACCTCCTGCCATTCCAAATGTTTTCCCTTATAAGTAATATATTGTTTTTCTCTGTCTGCTTTCCAAATATTCTTAATTTTAGTTTTCAGAAGTTTGACTGTGATGTAGCTTGGCATCAGTTTTTCTTTATCCTCTTTGTAGTTACTCAATTTTTGAAACTGAAGGTTAATATGTTTCCCCAAATATGGGAATTTGATAGACATTATTTTTAAAAATAATTTTTCAGCCCCACCCTCTTTTAGCTTTATTTCTAGCTTTCCAAAGACACACATGTTTGAAGTTTTCTTTATAGCTTTACATATGCCAAAGGTTCTGTTCATTTCTTGTCTATTATTTCTGTTTTTGAATTTGATCAATTACTATTATTATATCTCTGAGTTCAGTGATCTTTTCTCTGCATATCTGGAAGACGTAGCTAGAGCAATCAGACAAGATAAAGAAATAACAGGCATCTAAATTGGGAAGGAAGAAATCAAATTACTCTTGTTTGCAGATGATATGATTTTATCTTAGTAAATGCTAAAGACCCGAACAACAACAAAAAAACTAGTAGAATGGATAAACTAATTTGGTAAAGTTTCAGGACACAAAATCAGCATACAAAACTCAGTAACACTTCCATATGCTAATAGTGAACAATCTGAAAAAGAATTTAAAAAAGTAATTCCATTTACGATATCCACACATAAAATTAAAGACCTAGAATTAACTTAACCAAAGAAGTGAAAAATATCTACAATAAAAACTATGAAATTGAAGAGAATACAAAAATGGAATATATTCCATGTTCATGGACTGGAAGAATGAATATTGTTAAAATGTCCACACTACCCAAAGAAATCTACATATTCAATGCAACCTCTCTCAGGTTACCAATCACATTCTCCATTGAAATGGGAAAAACAATGCTAACATTTATATGGAACCAAAAAAGACCCCAAATAGCCAAAGCTATCCTGAGCAAAGAAGGTCAAAACTAGAGAAATCACATTACTTGACTTCAAATTATACTACAGAGCTGCAGTTAACAAAAAAAGAATATTACTGGCATAAAAACAGACACATACACCACTGGAAAAGAATAGAGAACCGAGAAAGAAATCCACACACCTACAGTGAATTAATTTAAACAAAGTTACCAAAAATATACGCTGGGTAAAGATAGTCTCTTCAATAAATAGTGCTGAGAAAACTGGATATCCACAGGCAGAATAATGAAACTAGACCACTCTCTCTTGCCATACACAAAACTCAAGCTAAAGACATAAATTTAAGACCTCGTACTATGAAACAAAAAGAAATCATTGAGGAAGCTTTCCAGGATATTAGACTGGGCAAAAATTTCTTAAGTATTACCCCACAAGCACAGGCAACCAAAGCAAAATAAACAAATTTGATCACATCAAGTTAAAAAGCTTCTGCACAACAAAGAATAAAATCCACAAAGTGAAGAGACAACCCACAGAATGGGAGAAAATATTTACAAACTACCCCCTGACGAGGGATTAATAACAAGAATATACAACAGGCTTAAAAAACTCTACAGGAAAAAAACCCTAATAATCAAAGAAAAAATTGGGCAAAATCTTTGAATAGACATTTCTTGAAAGAAGACATAAAACATGGAAAAAAGGCATACGAAAAGGTACTCCAAATCATTGATCATCAGAGAAATGCAAATCAAAACTACAATGAGATATTATCTCACCTCAGTTAAAATGACTTTTATCCAAAAGACAGGCAATGACAAATGCTAGGCAGGATGTGGAAAAAAGGGAACCCTTGTACAACTTTTGGTAGGTATGTCCATTAGTACAACCACTATGGAGAATAGTTTGGAGTTTCTTTAAAAACAGTAAAAATAGAGCTAACATACAACCCAGCAATTCCACTGCTGGGTATATACTCAAAAGAAAGGAAATCAACGTATCAAAGAAATATCTGCACTCCCATATTTTCTGCAGTACTGTTCACAATAATTAAGATTTGGAAACAAACTAAGTGTCCATTCACAGATAAATGGATAAATAAAATGTGGTATATATACACAATGGAATACTATTCAGCCATAAAAGTGAATGAGATTCTGTTATTTGAAACACCGTCGGGGGAATTGGAGGTCATTATGTTAAGTGAAATAAGCCAGGCACAGAAGGACAAACATCACATGTTTGCACTTATTCGTTGTATCTAAAAATTAAAATAATTGACATCATGGAGATAGAGAGTAGACAGATGATTACCAGAGGCTGGGAAGGGTATGGGGTTGGGGGCAGCAGGGGGAATGCAGTTGGAATGGTTAATGGATACAAAAAATATTTAGAAAGAATGAATAAGATCTATTATTTGATAGCACAACAAGGTGACTATAATTAATAATAATTTACTTGTACATGTAAAAATAACTAAAAGAGTAATTGGATTGATTTTAATACAAAAGATAAGTGCTTGAGGGAATGAATGTGTCATTTTTTCATGATCTGGTTATTATGCATTCCATACCTGTATCATAATAGGTTGTGTATCCCATAAACACATACACCTCCTATTTACCCACAAAAATTAAAAATTAGAATAATACTTTTTAGCCTTAGCATCTATAATCAGATTTTTGACTCACTTTGAGTTAATTTTTGCATATTCTATAAGGTAAAGTTCTAACTACATTTTCTTTTTTTTTTATTTTCAAGTCCTTTGCCCATTTTTATTTTATTTTTTATTATTATACTTTAAGTTCTGGGGTACATGTGCACAACGTGCAGGTTTGTTACATATGTATACACGTGCCATGGTGGTGTGCTGCACCCATTAACTTGTCATTTAGCATTAGGTGTATCTCCTAATGTTATCCCTCCCTACTCCCCCCACCCCACAACAGGCCCCAGTGTGTGACGTCCCTCTTCCTGTGTCCAAGTGTTCTCATTGTTCAATTTCCACCTATGAGTGAGAACATGCGATGTTTGGTTTTTTGTCCTTGTGACAGTTTGCTGAGAATGATGGTTTCCAGCTTCATCCATGTCCCTACAAACGACATGAACTCATCCTTTTTTATGGCTGCATAGTATTCCATGGTGTATATGTGCCACATTTTCTTAATCGTCTATCATTGTTGGACATTTGGCTTGGTTCCAAGTCTTTGCTATTGTGAATAGTGCCACAATAAACATACATGTGCATGTGTCTTTATAGCAGCATGATTTATAATCCTTTGGGTATATACCCAGTAATGGGATGGCTGGGTCAAATGGTATTTCTAGTTCTAGATCCCTGAGGAATCACCACACTGTCTTCCACAATGGTTGAACCAGTTTACAGTCCCACCAACAGTGTAAAAGTGTTCCTATTTCTCCACATCCTCTCCAGCACCTGTTGTTTCCTGACTTTTTAATGATTGCCATTCTAACTGGTGTGAGATGGTATCTCATTGTGGTTTTGATTTGCATTTCTCTGACGGCCAGTGATAATGAGCATTTTTTCATGTGTCTTTTGGCTGCATAAATGTCTTCTTTTGAGAAATGTCTGTTCATATCCTTCGCCCACTTGTTGATGGGGTTGTTTGTTTTTCTCTTGTAAATTTGTTTGAGTTCTTTGTAGATTCTGGATATTAGCCCTTTATCATTTACCTCCCACTTATAAGTGAGAACATGCAGTATTTGGTTTTCTTTCCCTTTGTCAGTTTGCTAAGGATAATGGCCTCCAGCTCCATCCATGTCCTTATAAAGAACATGATCTCTTTCTTTTGTATGGCTACCTAGTATTCCTTCCATGGTGGTATATGTGCCACATTTTCTTTATCCAGTCAATCATTGAGGAGCATTTAGGTTGTTTCCATGCCTTTGTTATTATGACTATTGCTGTAATGAACATACATGTGCATGTGTCTTTATAATACAGTAATTTTTATTTCTTTGGGTATATGCACAATAATGGGATTGCTGGGTCAAATGGTATTTCTGTCTTTAAGTCTTTGTGGAATTGCCACACTGACTTCCACAATGGCTGAACTAATTTACACACCCAACAACACTGTGTAAACATTTATATTTTTCCAGAACTTTGCCAGAATCCATTATTTTTTAACTTTTTAGTAATAGCCATTCTGACTGGTGAGAGATGGCATCTCTCTGTAGCTTTGATTTGCATTTCTCTAATGACCAATGATTTTGAGCTTTTTTTCATATGATTGTTGGTTGCACATATATCTTCTTTTGAAAAATGTCTGTTCATGTCCTTTGCTCACTTTTTGTTTGGGGTTGTTTGCTTTTTTTGTAGATTTGTTTAAGTTAGTTATGGATGCTGGATATTAGACTTTTGTCAGATGCACAGTTTGCAAAAATGTTCTCCCATTCTGTAGGTGGTTTCTTTACTATTTTGATACTTTATTTTGCTGTGCAGAATCTCTTTAGTTTAATTAGATACTATTTGTTAATTTTTGCTTTTGTTGTAATTGCTTGTGGCATTTTCTTCATGAAATCTTTGCCTGTTTCTAGGTCCTGAATAGTATTGCATAGGTTGTCTTCCACGGTTTTTATAGTTTTGTGTTTTACAGTAAGTCTTTAATCCAACTTGTGTTGGATGTAAGGAAGGAATCCTGGTTTAATCTTTTGAATATTGCTAGCCAGTTACTCTAGCACCATTCTTTGAATAGAGAATTCTTTTCCCATTGTTTGTTTAAGTCAGGTTTGCCGAAGATCAAATAGCTGTAGGTGTGTGGTCTTATTTCTGGGTTCTCCACTCTGTTCCATTGATCTATGTATCAGTTTTTGCAACAGTACCATGGTGTTTTGGTTACTGTAGCTCTGTAGTATAGTATTTTACTCTTTTAGATAGTATTGTAAATGAATTATTAAAATTTCCTTTTCTGATTGTTCATTATTAGTATATAGAAACAAATGGCTTTTGCATGGTGATTTTTATTCTGAAACTTTTCTGAATTTATTTTAGCTCTAACCATTGTGTGTGTGTTTGTTTGTGTGGTGTGTGTGAGAAAGAGAGAGAGGAGAGAGGGAGAGAGAGAGAGACAGAGAGAGAGAGGGAGACAGAGAGAGGAGAGAGAAAGATTTTAGGGTTTTCTACATATAAAATCATGTCTGTGAAAGGAGATAATTGTACTTCTTGCTTTCCAACTTTGATGTCTATTTTTTGGGCATAATTGCTATGGCTAAAACTTTTTGTAATGTGCTTAATAGAGGCGGTGAAACTGGGCAACTTGTTTTATTTCTGGTCTTAGAGGAAAAGCTTTCAGTTTCTCCACTGAGTGTGATATTAACTGTAGGTTTTATTTTTTGTCTTCTTTTGGCATTTACATGATAAATATTCCACCCTTTTATTTATATTTACACTGCCTTATTTCAACAGGTGTGTCTTGTAAATAGCATAACTATTTTATTTTTATTCTTATTTGACATTCTTTGCTACTGTGAGTAGTCTTTCATTTTTACATATTTAATATTATTAGTGATATATTTGAGTTTGAATTTTTCTAGATTGTTCATACTGGTTTATCCCTATCTTTTTTAAAAAAATAATTAAATATTATGTGATACACCATGTTTTTCTCTATTTTTTTTTAATTATAAAAGCATCCAATTTTTTACATCCAATAAGAGAGGGTTCATTCAATATTTGTTAAATAGATAATGTAGGGCTAGCCAATTTAATAAAATTAGGGCCAAGATTGGATTATGATACAGTTTCTGTTTCGGTAATATTTATCTATATTTTATTTATGCTCTTTTTGAAACTTCAAATTATATCCTGATGATTTCACAATTAGCCGTAGAACTATGGACCCTGAAACCAAATATTTACCTCCTAAATTTTCTGCAACATTCCTGGATTATGCATGTAATCATAGCAGAATTAATTATTTTACCAATTTTACTATTAAAGGTGTTTATTATTCTACTTATAGCCACCCTAGTTATAGTTATCCTATTTATGCAGCCAATAAACCTAAACTGGGTTCTCTCAGTGGGAAAAGCCAGCATTTCAATGAACATTATATTTATGCATGATATATGGGTATTTGCATTTAGTTGTGTTGAAGGTAAAATTCATAAGAAATATTTGGAATATGAAGTCAAATTAAATAAAATAATGTTATAAATTTGAAGATGAATAAAATTGAACTTGGGCATTTTATTTAGTTTTGGAAAATTCTGAATTTTCCCCAATATATATACATCCATAGCTACATATACCTGTCTCTAAAAATATAGATTACATGGCATTTCTGAAGGGCATATTGTTCCTCAGAAAGTAGTCTATATTTTAAGAGGCCCTAAATAAGTCAATTCTAATAACACATTTTTTTAAATACTACTTTTATTCCATTTTACAACTGAAAAAGATAATCCTGGATATATGTAAGTAATAAAGCTAAGCTTTAAACTCAGTGAGTCTAGGGCCAGAATCTATGCTCTTATCCAATCACTGTGCTCTTATAGCACAGTAGTAACTGTGCTATACAGCTTTGTAACATATGTGCATATGTTTAATATATGAATTGAAGCTTTATGTATAGTTCTTGCAACTGAAAAGTATCTTCTTCACACTAGTAAAAACTTGCGGCCATGGTAACAAAGATATTTAATGGCCAGGGGCTTATAATAACGTGTTTCTTTATTTTTTAAAATAGGAGATATTTGCAAATATACTAATACAGGATAATTACCCAAACATAAGTCATTTTATCTTGTGAGCTAATACTGCTCTCTATATTTCCCCAATCGACCACCAGAAGGAATCAAAGAGAAATTACAAGATAAGTCTAAGACAGAATGATCTATTGTGTTCAATCTTCCTGACTGTGAAGTGTGTGATAAATATAAGTGAGTTATCAGGCATCTCCACATGAGTAAAGATAAATGTCATTTTAGTTCCAAATAGGCAGCAATGAACACTCCACCTATGAAAAAAACACTTGATTCCAAGTATCTCAAGAGATTACAGTCATATATATGTATAGATCTAACTAGATAAGCACTCCTTAGAGTGTGTTTCATAGGGAAGACTAAAGAAGCTAGCAATCTATATTGCCCCAACCAAGGTATTATGTTAAGAGACTTCTTTGCTCTACTTAAGTGCTTTTATACCTTAAGAAAAAAATATAACTAGAGAATGAGATATGTCTTAACTATGCAAAATCTTATGTTACATTAAAAAAAACTAAGTTGAGAGTAAGCTTCAGACTCTTGTTACCACATATAAACATCAAATATACAACAATAGTCTAAATAAAAAACTTTACAGGAACTCTCAAAACTATTCAAAGATTTACAGCAACCGTAAAAACACTCATTTAAGAAAAAGTCACATGGAAAATGGTAGGAAAATTTGTGGCATGCTTATACACCCTTGCCTCACTCCTTTCCTAGTGTGGCACAGAAGGGAGAAAGTTGCACAATTTCAGGTTACTTCCCTTGAGCCAAAAAAAAAAAAAAAAAAAGTACAGTGAAAGTTATCTGCAGTGATTTGGCCCATCTGTAAGCTGCCTGAGGGACCAGTATTTGTCTTATCTGACTTAGAGATCAGAGCAGAATGGCAGCAATTAGATTCTTAGGTTGGAAGCTGTGGAGACAGTGGTGAGTATCATGGTACATGCAAACTACAGGGGGATATCAGACCCATGCATGCCTGAGGCAAGAGGTTATGGGTAGCAGAATAAAGCAAAATATCTAAGGCCCAGAGAGGAAGCTAGAGTGGGACTTTTCAGGAATTAAAGCACTTAAAGGCAACTTTGGGAAAAATAAAGAAGCACACACGTGGGCTCAGAAAGGAAGCATATCTAAAAATTATACCAGACGAAATTTTTTTTTTTATTATACTTTAAGTTTTAGGGTGTATGTGCACAACGTGCAGGCAGTCCTTCGCTCCAGGCTGCTATCAAGGCTCAGAGAACTGCTAATTAGCAAAGGTCTTCACACCATACTGTCAAGGCTGGGGAACCTGGCTGTTTCTTAACATGCCTAATTCTCAAAAAATGAGCATAAGCCATACAAAGAAATGGAAATCATGGCCCATTTAAAGGAAGAAAATAATCACATAACCAGTCTGAAAAAACACATGCAGTGGACATACGAGAAAAACTCTTTAAAATAATTGTCTTTAATATACTCAAAGAGATAAGGGAAACATGAGAAAAATAGTGAAGGAAGTCAGGAAATGATTCATGGACAAAAATGAGAATATTAACAAAAACAAGTTAATCATATACAAAAAACTAAATAGAAATTTGGAACCCAAAATATATGATAGTTGAATTGAAAAATTCACTGGAGGTGTGCAACATAAAATTTGAACAGATAAAAGAATCAGTAAACTTGAAAAAATCATGTAAATTTATTGAGTCTGAGGAACAGAAAATAACAATGAAAAACTGTGAACAGAACCTAAAGGACTTATGGAAACCAGGAAGTTTCACTGTGAGAAGTGCATTATGGGATCATCAAGAGAAGAATAGAGAGAAGATAAATTATTTTTAAAGCTAATAGCTGAAAACTTCCAAAATTTGAGGAAAAAAGTATGACATACAAATCTCAGAAGTTAATTAATTCCAAGTGGGATAAACCAAAAAGACCCATACAGAAATCCATTATAATCAAACTTTTGAAAGACAAAGACAAAGAACGAATCTTCAAAGCAGAAAGAAAATGTAACTCATTAGATGCAAGAGATTTTCAGTAAACATACCAGTGAATTTCTCAGAAACCACATAGACCAGAAGGGAGGTGACATTTTAACTGATGAAAAAAAAAATAGCTATTAGTGGAGAATCATACATCTGGCAAAACTATCTTTCAAAATTAAGGAAAAATTAAGACACTCTTAGAGAAACAAAAATTTAGGGAGTTAATTATTAGTAGAACTGCTCTCCAAGAATGAGAAAGGAAGTTATTAAATTTAAAATGAGTGGACGCCAGGGAATAACTTGAAGCTGTATGCAATATTAAGTTTTTCAGTAAAGCTAAGTATGCAGACAAAAAAATAAGTATACTCACACTCACACACACACATACACACACATACACACAATTGTATTGTTTTGTTACTGTAGCTTTTTGTGTTTATTTATTTGTTTTTTTTTTTTGAGATGGAGTCTTTGTCACCCAGGCTGGAGTGCAGTGGCACGATCTCACCTCACTGCAACCTCCATCTCCAGGGTTCAAGCAATCCTCCCACCTCAGCCTCCCAAGTAGCTGGGATTACAGCCTCCTGCAACCACGCCTGGATAATTTTTGTATCTTTAGTAGAGACGGGGTTTCACCATATTCGCCAGCCTGGTCTGGAACTCTTTATCTCAAGTGATCTGTTTGCTTCAGCCTTCCAAAGTGCTGGGATTACAGGTGTGAGCCATTGCGCCTTGCTAGTTTTTATTTTATAGTTATGTAAACACAAATGCATAAAAATAAGATTAAATCTATGTTAATTGGATACAGTATATAAAGATGTAAATTGTGAAGTCTATGACAAAATGGAGGAGCAGAGGTGAAAAGGAGTCGAGGTTTTGTATGTGACTAAAGTTAGGTTGATATTAATTTAAAATTATTATAACTTTAGGACATTATAGGTACTGTCCATAATAACCATAAAGAAAATATAGACAGAATATACAGAAAAGGAAATGAGAAGTGAATCAAAACACAAAACATACTCCTGCAAAAATATAAACACAAAGGGAGACAGTAATGAGGGTAAAGAGAGAATAAAAATTTATGACATACAAAAAAAGGAACAAAAAAACTGACAAAACTAAGTGCTTCCCTTTCAGTAATTACTTTAAATGTAAATGTATTAGACTTATAATTCAAAAGATATGAATTGAAAGAATGAATTAAAATAAAACCGTGATCCAACCATATGCTGTCTACTTTAGATATAAGGACAGACATAGGTTAAAAATGAAAGGATGGAAAACTGTTCTGTATAAACAGTAATTAAAAGACAGCAGGGCTTCTCTATTAATATCAGACAAAATAGACCAAGTCAAAAACTACTATGAGAGGCTGAAAAGGGAAAATACAATGAGAAAGCTCAATTCATGAAGAATTCATAACAATTATAAAGATATAGATACCCAACATCAGAACTCCAAAATGCATAAAGCAAACATTGACAGAATCGAAGAGAGAAAAACAAAACAAAACGCTTATACAATAATAGTAGAAGACATCAGTACCCACAACACTATAGACTATTTTGACCTAACAGACATATACAAACCACTCCATATAACAATAGCAGTACACACATTTTTCTCTCGTGCACAAGAAACATACCCCAGGGTAGAACATATGTTAGGCCACAAAGCAAGTAGTAGAAAAAAGGAAAAGAAAGAATTTAAGTTAGGTAAACTGATTAGAAGTCTCTAACTTCTGGTGGGGCAATAGAAGGAGGTCATATAATTTCTCTTTGCAGAAAACAAGAAAATCTGGGAGGCAATTTTCTAGAAAATCATTAAGAGCACTGAAAATTGATAAATGAAGTTTAAAAATGTGAGAATTTACTTAAAAAAAATTCTTACAGTGTTGTATAAGAAATGTGTTGAGTTTTTGGCCATCATACCCATTCCCCTATTTCCTCCTATTCCTACTGTCTCAGGCTCAGTAGATTCTTGCCTCAAGGATGTGGTGGTGAGGGTGTGGGATCTGTAGTTGCTAAAGGTGAATGATTCAATTCAGAATGGGAGATGGAAAACAGATAGAGAAAAACAGCAGTTTATTAGTCTTTTTAGAGTTATTAGCAGACTGGCCATAAATCTAAAGGGAAGAAAATAGAAGTGAGAAATACATACGGATGAGAATGTCTTCAGAAATCCCCAAAGCCCTGGTTAACTGATAGCTGTATATGTTCAGGAGACCCAAGAGAGCAAAACAAAATTTGAAACTCAAGAGACACTTAAGAACTGGTTACAAGTTTGAATGCCTTCAACAACATATAGCTCAGCCATCAGAGCTTGGACTATTTGAGCACAACCTCTGTCAAAACCTTGGCAGACCAATAAACTATGCAACCACAAGACTGGACTTTAGCCGTGCTAAAAACCGTAAACGGAAATTATAAAATCTGATGAGAGATAGCCACCTGGTGGAAACAATGCAGGGAAACAAATAACACTGTGATAAATCCAGCTAAGTTAGGAAAGCACATAAACAAAAGAACTTCTCAAAAATAAAATATACCACATCCTAGAGCTGTCACATTATACTATGTAAAAATCTGATTTCAAACCAAAAATAAGTGACATATAAAGAGGAAGAAAATTGTGACCCACACTCACGATAAAAAAGCATTCGATAACAACTTGTCAGCTTAGTGGGCCTAGATTTTGGATTTAGTAAGAAAAGACTTCCAAGCAACTATTATAAATATAATCAGATAATTGAAGTAAACATATGTAAAAAATATAAAGATACCATGCCAATAATGAGTCAACAAATAAAGACTCTCTACAGAAAATAGAAATTAAGAAATAGGGCCAAAAGAAAGGTTGAGCATTGAAATGAAAATTACCTGAAATTAAAAATTTACTATGTATACCCAACAGCAATTTTCTGATGGCAAGTGAAAGGACCAATAAACTCAATATAGATCAATGGAAATAATCATATTGGTAGACCAGAAAGAAAAATTATTTTTAAAAATGAGGAAATTCTTTGAGACCTCTGAGAGACTATGAAGCATTACAACATATATATGAAAGCATTAGCAGAAAATGATTAGAAAGATAAGAGAAAATGTATGTGAAGGAAAAGGAAGAAAAGGAAAACAAACACACCACAAAGGAATTCACATAGAAAAGAACTGAGGTTAATGGACTCAAACAGCAATGACCTCACTCACCACTATTTTGCCAGCAATATAAAAGAGCCCAGGGAAGGAGCCAAGAAGGCCGAATAGGAACAGCTCTGGTCTACAGCTCCCAGCGTGAGCAACGCAGAAGACGGGTGATTTCTGCATTTCCATCTGAGGTACCAGGTTCATCTCACTAGGGAGTGCCAGACAGTGGGCGCAGGTCAGTGGGTGCGTGCATCGTGCGCGAGCCGAAGCAGGGCGAGGTATTGCCTCACTCCGGAAGCACAAGGGGTCAGGGAGTTCCCTTTCCGAGTCAAAGAAAGGGGTGATGGACAGCACCTGGAAAATCGGGTCACTCCCACCGGAATACTGCGCTTTTCTGACGGGCTTAAAAGACGGCGGACCACGAGATTATATCCCGCACCTGGCTCGGAGGGTCCTACGCCCACGGAGTCTCGCTGATTGCTAGCACAGCAGTCTGAGATCAAACTGCAAGGCAGCAGCGAGGCTGGGGGAGGGGCGCCCGCCATTGCCCAGGCTTGATTAGGTAAACAAAGCAGCTGGGAAGTTCCAACAGGGTGGAGCCCACCACAGCTCAAGGAGGCCTGCCTGCCTCTGCAGGCTCCACCTCTGGGGGCAGGGCACAGACAAACAAAAAGACAGCAGTAACCTCTGCAGACTTAAATGTCCCTGTCTGACAGCTTTGAAGAGAGCACTGGTTTTCCCAGCACGCAGCTGGAGATCTGAGAACGGGCAGACTGCCTCCTCAAGTGGGTCCCTGACCCCTGACCCCCGAGCAGCCTAACTGGGAGGCACCCCCAGCAGGGGCACACTGATACACCTCACACTGCAGGGTATTCCAACAGACCTGCAGCTGAGGGTCCTGTCTGTTAGAAGGAAAACTAACAAACAGAAAGGACATCCACACCAAAAACCCATCTGTACATCACCATCATCAAAGATCAAAAGTAGATAAAACCACAAAGATGGGGAAAAAACAGAACAGAAAAACTGGAAACTCTAAAAATCAGAGCGCCTCTCCTCCTCCAAAGGAATGCAGTTTGCAGTTCCTCACCAGCAACGGAACAAAGCTGGATGGAGAATGACTTTGACGAGCTGAGAGAAGAAGGCTTCAGATGATCAAATTACTCTGAGCTACGGGAGGACATTCAAACCAAAGGCAAAGAAGTTGAAAACTTTGAAAAAAATTTAGAAGAATGTATAACTAGAATAACCAACACAGAGAAGTGCTTAAAGGAGCTGATGGAGCTGAAAACCAAGGCTCGAGAACTACGTGAAGAATGCAGAAGCCTCAGGAGCCGATGCGATCAACTGGAAGAAAGGGTATCAGCAATGGAAGATGAAATGAATGAAATGAAGCGAGAAGGGAAGTTTAGAGAAAAAAGAACAGAAATGAGCAAAGCCTCCAAGAACTATGGGACTATGTGAAAAGACCAAATCTACGTCTGATTGGTGTACCTGAAAGTGATGGGGAGAATGGAACCAAGTTGGAAAACACACTGCAGGATATTATCCAGAGAACTTCCCCAATCTAGCAAGGCAAGCCAACGTTCAGATGCAGGAAATACAGAGAACGCCACAAAGATACTCCTCGAGAAGAGCAACTCCAAGACACATAATTGTCAGATTCACCAAAGTAGAAATGAAGGAAAAAATGTTAAGGGCAGCCAGAGAGAAAGGTCTGCTTACCCTCAAAGGGAAGCCCATCAGACTAACAGCGGATCTCTTGGCAGAAACCCTACAAGCCAGAAGAGAGTGGGGGCCAATATTCAACATTCTTAAAGGAAAGAATTTTCAACCCAGAATTTCATATCCAGCCAAACTAAGCTTCATAAGCGAAGGAGAAATAAAATACTTTACAGACAAGCAAATGCTGAGAGATTTTGTCACCACCAGGCCTGCCCTAAAAGAGCTCCTGAAGGAAGCACTAAATATGGAAAGGAACAACCGGTACCAGCCGCTGCAAAATCATGCCAACATGTAAAGACCATCGAGACTAGGAAGAAACTGCATCAACTAACGAGCAAAATAACCAGCTAACATCATAATGACAGGATCAAATTCACACATAACAATATTAACTTTAAGTGTAAATGGACTAAATGCTCCAATTAAAAGACACAGACTGGCAAATTGGATAAAGAGTCAAGACCCATCAGTGTGCTGTATTCAGGAAGCCCATCTCACGTGCAGAAACAGACATAGGCTCAAAATAAAAGGATGGAGGAAGATCTACCAAGCAAATGGAAAACAAAAAAAGGCAGGGGTTGCAATCCTAGTCTCTGATAAAACAGACTGTAAACCAACAAAGATCAAAAGAGACAAAGAAGGCCATTACATAATGGTAAAGGGATCAATTCAACAAGAAGAGCTAACTATTCTAAGTATATATGCACCCAATACAGGAGCACCAAGATTCATAAAGCAAGTCCTGAGTGACCTACAAAGAGACTTAGACTCCCACACATTAATAATGGGAGACTTTAACACCCCACTGTCAACATTAGACAGATCAATGAGACAGAAAGTCAACAAGGATTCCCAGGAATTGAACTCAGCTCTGCACCAAGCAGACCTAATAGACATCTACAGAACTCTCTACCCCAAATCAACAGAATATACATTTTTTCAGCACCACACCACACCTATTCGAAAATTGACCACATACTTGGAAGTAAAGCTCTCCTCAGCAAATGTAAAAGAACAGAAATTATAACAAACTATCTCTCATACAACAGTGCAATCAAACTAGAACTCAGGATTAAGAATCTCACTCAAAACCTCTCAAATACATGGAAACTGAACAACCTGCTCCTGAATGACTACTGGGTACATAACGAAATGAAGGCAGAAATAAAGATGTTCTTTGAAACCAACGAGAACAAAGACACAACATACCAGAATCCTTGGGATGCATTCAAAGCAGTGTGTAGAGGGAAATTTATAGCACTAAATGCCCACAAGAGAAAGCAGGAAAGATCCAAAATTGACACCCTAACATCACAATTAAAAGAACTAGAAAAGCAAGAGCAAACACATTCAAAAGCTAGCAGAAGGCAAGACATAACTAAAATCAGAGCAGAACTGAAGGAAATAGAGACACAAAAAACCCTTCAAAAAATTAATGAATCCAGGAGCTGGTTTTTTGAAAGGATCAACAAAATTGATAGACCGCTAGCAAGACTAATAAAGAAAAAAAGAGAGAAGAATCAAATAGACACAATAAAAAATGATAAAGGGGATATCACCACCGATCCCACAGAAATACAAACTACCATCAGAGAATACTACAAACACCTCTACGCAAATAAACTAGAAAATCTAGAAGAAATGGATACATTCCTCGACACATACACCCTCCCAAGACTAAACCAGGAAGAAGTTGAATCTCTGAATAGACCAATAACAGGATCTGAAATTGTGGCAATAATCAATAGCTTCCCAACCAAAAAGAGTCCAGGACCAGATGGATTCACAGCCAAATTCTGCCAGAAGTACAAGGAGGAACTGGTACCATTCCTTCTGAAACTATTCCAATCAACAGAAAAAGAGGGAATCCTCCCTAACTCATTTTATGAGGCCAGCATCATTCTGATACCAAAGCCAGGCAGAGACACAACAAAAAAAGACGATTTTAGACCAATATCCTTGATGAACATTGATGCAAAAATCCTCAATAAAATACTGGCAAAACGAATCCAGCAGCACATCAAAAAGCTTATCCACCATGATCAAGTGGGCTTCATCCCTGGGATGCAAGGCTGGTTCAATATACGCAAATCAATAAATGTAATCCAGCATATAAACAGAGCCAAAAACAAAAACCACATGATTATCTCAATAGATGCAGAAAAAGCCTTTGACAAAATTCAACAACCCTTCATGCTAAAAACTCTCAATAAATTAGGTATTGATGGGACGTATTTCAAAATAATAAGAGCTATCTTTGACAAACCCACAGCCAATATCATACTGAATGGGCAAAAACTGGAAGCATTCCCTTTGAAAACTGGCACAAGACAGGGATGCCCTCTCTCACCACTCCTATTCAACATAGTGTTGGAAGTTGTGGCCAGGGCAATTAGGCAGGAGAAGGAAATAAATGGTATTCAATTAGGAAAAGAGGAAGTCAAATTGTCCCTGTTTTGCAGATGACATGATTGTATATCTAGAAAACCCCATTGTCTCAGCCCAAAATCTCCTTAAGCTGATAAGCAACTTCAGCAAAGTCTCAGGATACAAAATCAATGTACAAAAATCACAAGCATTCTTATACACCAACAACAGACAAACAGAGAGCCAAATCATGAGTGAACTCCCATTCACAATTGCTTCAAAGAGAATAAAATACCTAGGAATCCAACTTACAAGGGATGTGAAGGACCTCTTCAAGGAGAACTACAAACCACTGCTCAATGAAATAAAAGAGGATACAAACAAACGGAAGAACATTCCATGCTCATGGGTAGGAAGAATCAATATCGTGAAAATAGCCATACTGCCCAAGGTAATTTACAGATTCAATGCCATCCCCATCAAGCTACCAATGCCTTTCTTCACAGAATTGGAAAAAACTACTTTAAAGTTCACATGGAACCAAAAAAAAGCCCGCATCACCAAGTCAATCCTAAGCCAAAAGAACAAAGCTGGAGGCATCACACTACCTGACTTCAAACTATACCACAAGGCTACAGTAACCAAAACAGCATGGTACTGGTACCAAAACAGAGATATAGATCAATGGAACAGAACAGAGCCCTCAGAAATAACGCCGCATATCTACGACTATCTGATCTTTGACAAACCTGAGAAAAACAAGCAATGGGGAAAGGATTCCCTATTTAATAAATGGTGCTGGGAAAACTGGCTAGCCATATGTAGAAAGCTGAAACTGGATCCCTTCCTTACACCTTATACAAAATTAATTCAAGATGGATTAAAGACTTAAATGTTAGACCTAAAACCATAAAAACCCTAGAAGAAAACCTAGGCATTACCATTCAGGACATAGGCATGGGCAAGGACTTCATGTCTAAAACACCAAAAAGCAATGGCAACAAAAGCCAAAATTGACAAATGGGATCTAATTAAACTAAAGAGCTTCTGCACAGCAAAAGAAACTACCATCAGAGTGAACAGGCAACCTACAAAATGGGAGAAAATTTTCACAACCTACTCATCTGACAAAGGGCTAATATCCAGAATCTACAATGAACTCAAACAAATTTACAAGAAAAAAACAAACAACCCCATCAAAAAGTGGGTGAAGGACATGAACAGACACTTCTCAAAAGAAGACATTTATGCAGCCAAAAAACACATGAAAAAATGCTCATCATCACTGGCCATCAGAGAAATGCAAATCAAAACCACAATGAGATATCATCTCACACCAGTTAGAATGGCAATCATTAAAAAGTCAGGAAACAACAGGTGCTGGAGAGGATGTGGAGAAATAGGAACACTTTTACACTGTTGGTGGGACTGTAAACTAGTTCAACCATTGTGGAAGTCAGTGTGGCGATTCCTCAGGGATCTAGAACTGGAAATACCATTTGACCCAGCCATCCCATTACTGGGTATATACCCAAAGGACTATAAATCATGCTGCTATAAAGACACATGCACACGTATGTTTATTGCGGCATTATTCACAATAGCAAAGACTTGGAACCAACCCAAATGTCCAACAATGATAGACTGGATTAAGAAAATGTGGCACATATACACCATGGAATACTATGCAGCCATAAAAAATGATGAGTTCATGTCCTTTGTAGGGACATGGATGAAATTGGAAATCATCATTCTCAGTAAACTATCGCAAGAACAAAAAACCAAACATCGCATATTCTCACTCATAGGTGGGAATTGAACAATGCGATCACATGGACACAGGAAGGGGAATATCACACTCTGGGGACTGTTGTGGGGTGGGGGGAGGGGGGAGGGATGGCATTGGGAGATACACCTAATGCTAGATGACGAGTTAGTGGGTGCAGCGCACCAGCATGTCACATGTGTACATACGTAACTAACCTGCACAATATGGACATGTACCCTAAAACTTAAAAGTATAATAATAATAATAAAATAAATAAATAAATAAATAAAAGAGCCCAGCAAATTAGCGGTGGATATTCCAGCCCATTCCTGCCCCACTTGACTGCCTAGAGCAAAAGTCACCTATTTCCACTAAGCCCTGCCCAAATTGAAGATTTGTAAACACAATAATGATTGCTCTTTTCAACCAGGAAGTTTAAGGGTGGTTTGTTACACAGTTGGAACAACATGTATGAATATTTAACTTGTAAATCATTTAGTGAAAACTTTAATAATAAGTGAACATCTGTTTATGTGTTTTGAGTATAGAAGTACCTAATAATCTGTAATTGTCAAGTAAACCTGTGATAAATATACACTCCAAAGCATAGACATGTATATCTGAAGAAATGTAATTTATTGATATATGTCTAGTATAATTACAGATATGCCTTTTGTGAATATTAAAATATTTCAATTTAAACCTAAATAGTGGTATTACACTATGGGCTACAATAACATGACAATGATATTATAACAGCAGATGTTTATAATTTCATTTATAGTTAAAAATCCGGTTCTGTAAAACATGAAAATGTAGAATGCAAATATTTTAAATAAAGTATATAATGGAATAGTTAACTTGTTAATGTTTGCTTAGAAACTATATAGGAAAGCTAAGGAAAAAATGTTATTTCAAGAGCCTAGTACATGTCTGTTTGTAGAAGTATGAAGCTCTAGGCTCTAGGCTTTTTCTGGATTATCAGAAGACAAAGAAAGATGTAGCTCCGCTGCCCTTTACAACAATCTAATAAGAATTTGGGGCTTCTTAGTGAATAAAAAATATTCATCAAGAAGGGGAGCATGGACTTAAAAATGGTGAGTAGTGGGGAGTCATTAGGAGCAATGGTATCTGACAAAACAATTCCAGTATGTGCAAAAATTTATTATTTTGTTTTCTTTGCTATTTGGCAATTTGATGTTATCATTTGTCAACTCAAGTCTCATTAGATATAGATGCATGAGGGCTCTGCTTGAGGGGTATTTTTGTTTTTGCTTTTTGGTGTGCAGCAGTAGGGTGAGAGAAAGTGATGTCAAAGAAATGAGAAGAAATTCCCTTGAGTCATGTTATGAACTGAATTTTCCCCCTCCTCATTTTATTAATATATTGATGCCCTAACCACCACGGTGTGTGTATTTAGAGTTAGGGCCTTCAAGGAGGTAACTATCCTTAAATGAGGTCAAAAGGGTGAGGCCAATCCAATGGGACTAGTGTCCTTATAAGAAAAGGAAGAGACACCAGGGGTTGAGCTCTCTCTATGCATGTGCACAGAGGGAAGGCCAGGGGAAGGCATGGAACCTTGATCTTGACTTGCAGCCTTTAGAACTGTGAGAAAATAAATGTCAGTTCTTTAAGCTACCTTGTCTGCGGCATTTTGTTATGGCAGCCCTAACTGACCACTACAAGCCAGTAGGGTAGGGGGATGACAACAACCATCTAAAGTAACATATGAATGAGATCAAAAGCAGGAGACGATTCTGAGAACAAGTCCCTAGAAACTGAAACACACTTAAGAAGGACATTCGATTTCCTCAGAATGAAGAATGAAGGGTTTGATTCAGTTTTATTTAACGGACAAAATTAACTGATCTGATACCTCGAATATATTTTAACCTTTTTTAAAATAAACGCTGGATTCTATTAAAAGACCATAAAAAGTAAGATTAACATTAGATTGCCTGACACAACATGTATATTTGGTTTTGTTTCTATTTTCTTTTGTACTGTCCTGAAAATCTACTTATAGTATCTCCCTTTTTTATAATTTTTATAACTTGAAGCGCAGGAATAATGCCCATATCACTTGTTTTATATATTAAGCAACTTCAATTATACCTTTTAATATGGAATCTTTGTTCATTCCATTTGGTTTGAAATTAATGTAATCTGAAGTTCAGGGTAAAGCATGTGTAGAGTTAACTATTTGCAGTTTAACTAATTTTATTGTCTAAGGTATTAAAATTCCGTACCTTCTACCTGCAGCTGCATAACTGGACACTGAAATGTGATCATAGTTTTAAGTAGCAAATACCTAAAGAGGCTTATGGATGACCACAGGTAAATTAAGGTAATAAAGGTATGCAGCAAATGCTTTTTGTTTGACCGAAGTATTTGTGAGCTTGAGGTCTTACTACTCTGCCTAGAAAAAAAAAATGTAAAATTTCAGTAAGTTTAAATGAGAAGTTAAGAAACCCCAAACATAAAACAAACAAGATATTTTCAACAAAATGTGTCAGTCAAATTACTTGACAGTGGAAGGAGAAGAAGACAGAAAATTGATGAAAAGATTTTGCCAAAAGTATAATCAGAAACCTATAAATTATCCCATTTAATGAAATTGAACATGTAATATTTTTATCATTTTATAATATTTGGGAAATAAAAATCCTGTTTTAATCATTACAATCACTCCTTATTCCTTCATAAAGTGTAAGCAAAATTAATATCTGTGACTTTTCTGTTTCTATTTATATATATAATTAAAAAATTATTGTTTAAAATATACTGTATGTTAGACTAATATGCTTGTAATTTTAATTTAATATTTAAAGTAACTACTTTTCATATTATCAAAGCATATACGAATATAGTTTCGATATATACAGTTTCATCAGATGAATATTTATTAAGCATTAATTTAAACATTCTCCTATGTTTTCTAAGGGGAGTTACGCTTATTTTTTTTTTTTGTCTTTTTTTTCTTTTCCTTTTTGTGGAGAACCGGGTCTCACTATATTGCCCAGGCAGGTCTCGAACTCCTGGGCTGAAGGTATCCTCTCGCCTCTGCCTCCCTGAGAGCTAGGATTACAGGCGTGAGCCACTGTGCCCGGCATACATTCTCCTGTGTTTTCTATTTTAAATAATAAAGTAGCCAAAACTATTACTATGACATATTTACCTGCTTTTCCCGTAGACTATGGCATACAGACAAATGACTTTTTACCTGCTGATTTTTTTTTTCTACAGAGAGCTACCTATATAATACTACTTTTTGTCCACCTTAATGCTTTAAGGATAAGTAAATATGTTGCTTAGAGGTTCTTTTTTGTTTGTTTTGGTTTGGTCTTTTACTAATTCTAGCCCAGGACATGGTTGTATAAACATGGTAGTAAGGAGTGACCTCAATTTAAGTTTTGTAAAGGAGATTATTTTGATGAAGGGTGATATGGTTTGGCTGTGTCCCACCCAACTCTCACCTTGAATTCCCACGTGTTGTGAGAGGGACCCAGTAGGAGGTAATTGAGTTATGGGGGCAAGTTTTTCTCATGCTGTTCTTGTGATAGTAAAGAAGTCTCACAAGATCTGATGGCTGTAAAAAGGGGAGTTTCCCTAAACAAGCACTCTCTCTCTTTACCTGCTGCCATCCACGTAAGACGTGACCTGTTCCTCCTTGCCTTTTGCCAGGATTGTGAGGCCTCCCCAGCCACGTGGAACTGTAAGTCCATTAAACCTCTTTATTGTGTAAATTGCCCAGTCTTGGGTATGTATTTTTTGGCAGCATGAAAATGGACTAATAAAAAAGGCTGTGTTTGCAACAAGGAACGTGAATAAAGAAATAATTTTATTCCTGTAACACCAAGGTAATTTCATATTCTAGGAAGGTAATTTTCAGCATTAAAAAAAATCAGCAATTAGTTTTGAAAAAAATAGTATAGTAAGAATATACAGAGTTATCAATTGAATGTGTATGCATCCTTCTCCAAATTTCATGTGTTGAAGCCCTAATCCCCGAGGTGTTTGTATGTTGGGGCCTTTGGGAAATAATCAGTATTAGTTGAGGTCATGAGTTTGGGGCCATCGAGATGAGACTAGCATCCTTCAAGAAAAGACACCAGGTTGGGAGGCCAAGGTGGGCTGATCACCTGAGGTCAGGAGTTTGAGACCAGTCTGGCCCACATGGTGAAACCCCATCCATCTCTACTAAAAATACAAAAATTAGCTGGGTGTGGTATCCCAATGCCTGTAATCCCAGCTATTCGGGAGGCTGAGACAAGAGAATCACTTGAACCCGGGAGGCAGAGATTGCAATGACCTGAAATCGTGCCACTGCACTCCAGTCTTGGCAACAGAGCTAGACTCCATCTAAAAAAAAAAAAAGAAAAGAAAAAAAACACCAGAGAGCTTAGTTTCTTTCTTGCTTTTCTTGTATATGTACCAAGGAAAGGCCATATGGGCACACATCAAGAAGGACGTCTGCAAGCCAGGAAGAGCCCTTACCAAAAGATAACTTATCTGGCACCCTAATCTCAGCCTTTTAGGCTCTAGAACTGTGAGAAAATAAATTTCCATTGTTTAAGCCCACAGTCTATGATATTTTGATATGGCAGCCAAATATAGACAGAGTAATACATACAATGATTGTAAATGTTTATAATTTATTTTAATAGTACTCCTAACCCAGTGTACTTCTTAAGATATAGTGGCTAAAGACAAAATTGTATTGACTTTATTAATATTAAATACAGAGAAAAGGAATTGGTAAGAACGCTAAAACTAACAATAATGCATATTAAATAAATAAGCCTTTTATTTTCCTAGCATTTTATATATACAGTGTTTCACTGAAATTGTAATAAAATCAAATTATGAACAACTTCTATTTTGCACATTTACAATTATGTATTTTTCATGTCATTGGTTCAATAGATATTAAGTAAAAGAAGTATGTGTGTGATATATATGTATCAAAGAAGAGCTACAAAGTATGCAAAAAGAAGAAAGCTAAAGATATAATCAAATGGCATTTTTTAGTAATTATGCTTGATTAATTCAAGTAGAAATAAATCAGGATATATAAAATAGCATATGCAAAATCAAATTTGAAAAGTATCAATAATTGCCTGCAAGACATTTAAATTAATTTCATGAATCCACAAAGGATTGGTAAGCAGCATGCTATTCATAGTCTGTCTTATAATTGTTTAGCATCTCTTTTTAAAAGCAATTTATCTGCTTTGAATAAAATCCTATTCATCAGTAAATGACAAAAGCTCCATAAGGAAATATTTAAAATGATACTGAAATTAATACTTTGAAATCTCTTTCATCTAAATGTTATTTTCTTCTCTAATATAATGGAAAAAAAATCACAAATTAAAGAGTACCTGAAAGAACATTAAATATCTTTGTTAGGAGAGTAGTTCATGATTCATAACATGTAGGTATTTGAGCTTCTCCAAATCAAAATTAGACTTTCAAAGACATTTTCTTCAAAATGAAAAAAACCCACCAAATTGCGTGTCAACTTCATTTAAATGAAAAAAGATTTTTTTTTGAAGCCTCCATTTTATGTCAGCTGACCCTGCTTGAATATCTACATTTCATGCAGTGTAAATAGAACCGCTTTTGTGCTATTTTCCTCAACATTTTCTACATTAGTTCAATCTGGAATCCTAGCAACAGACTACTTTGATATGTGTTATTTTTCTTTTTGAGTAAATAGATTTTAATTGTCAGAGAGTAGAGATCAGAAATCAACGTTACCAAAGATCTGATATCAGCACATTTAGCTACCTGGATGATTATTTTCTTCCTCCAGAATCTTAATAAAAACATATCTATTAAATCACTTAAACATATATTTAAATGATTCAACTTATTTTTTCCATTTTAAAAAGAATGCAGTGAATATATAAATATATTCTGACAAAGAGACAAGCTACACTAGCAAAACTATGTAAATGTCCAACTTCCATCTCCTGAATGATAAAGTCCTTCTATTTATATTTCCAGTCACAGCCACAGACCATGGTTAACATATTTAGTTTGTGTTAACTTGGTCTTTTCTTTATGCATTTAATAAACATAATAATGTATATAACATTCTTCAAATACATTTTGACTTATAGAAGTTTATGTCATTCTTACTTATTCAACTGACTTGCATTTTATTCACTTAACATTATGCCTTTGAGAGTTTCATAGCAAAACCTATAGGACAAGTGTACCTGAATTTAAAATTGAATAACAGCAGCAAAATAATTGGTAACAATACTTAAATATTTACTTTGTGTCAAGTACTGCCAGGCATGTTTGTTTGAATAAAGGTTTTTAATCCCTACAGTCCTATGAGTATGATAACTGTCTGTATTCTCTTTTAAAGGAAGGGAATTCACAAATAAGAAAAGGTTAAGTATCTTTTTCAATGTCACATAGTTAGTGTCAGAGTTGTATTTGCACTGAGGCAATTTGGCTTTAGAGTTTGAGCTCTTAATCAGACACTCTACTGGTTTCCAAAACAGAGCATCTTCCCTAAAAAGGTTTGTACCATAATTACCTATTCTTTTATTGTTAAATTCACAGTATTCTGTTTTAATATATCTAATAATGTATTTTGAAATTCCTTTAAAAGGATATGGTATGTATAAGCATATACTTATGTTTGATAAATTTTTAAAATGATAATTGGATGAAAACTACACATGCAACAGTTTATATAATAAAATCATTATTAGTGTATTTTTCCCCTTGGTATTTCTAATTAGAAATATTTACCAAAGTTGACATGAGTATCTACTGTTTGGAGAGTGAGATGTATTTTATGAAATATTAGGAATTTTCCTAGAAGATTCGAAAAGAAAAAGCTCACCTTCAAAAGTAAGATTAGGCAGTAATACAATAACATTGAATGTCAAAATATTTTGGAGAAGAGATTTTCCTAATTCTTTTAAAACTAAGTTATTATTTTCATAATCAAGGGAGTAAAACCAAGCTTTTAGAGTTACCCTGTAAAGTAAACCATGACACTTTTGTCTTTGGCAATAATGCCTTGAAGGTGGGTGTCTATAGTAAAAGGATGCAACACAGGAGAGATAAGAGCAATATCATCAACTTTCCAGTTCTACAAGTTGTAGAGCCACTAAAGCTGATTAAGTCAGGTTACACAAAGTAAGACTGAAGGAAGTTTTGCAAATGATTAATACAGTACAGATAAATTTAAAAAATTTTGCAGCACATGGTCAGGTAGAGGGAGTTTCTAAGAGTTAGTGTCAGTGTTTCATAACCACTCTTAGTTTTTTAAGGAATGAAACTGAACCAGAAAGAGCTGAAAGTACATCTGGGGTCTTGTCAAAGGTGACCAGGCTAACAAGGTCTAGATTGCTTTACCCTGAGGAGTGTAATCTACCCCATATGGGACCACATAAGACACGGCCAGATCTTTGAGATGTCTGCAGTGCTGCAGGGGTTGGGTGACTGCAGAGTCAGCTAGAGACTCATCCAGTCTCTGACTAAGATATGATCATAAACTACATCCTTTGCAGATTTCTGACTTGAAGGCAACAATGTAAACAGCAACTAGGGAGGGCAAGAGTTATTGCTTCAGAGACCACAAGTAGGCTTGGATATTCAATCTGTTCTTATTTGGGGCTTTTATCTTCAAATATCACTTATTCATTTTTATTTGGTTTGAATGTTTTACTCATAAGCAGACAAAAAGAGGAAACGGAAAGACAGTACTGTTAATCTAAAAGAGCCTGCACATTAAAGGTTTCTTTTAATAATTGGATTGAAGACAGTTTGGCCACATGGATATTTAGTTATTTTTTCTTGCCAGCAAGGTGAAGCCTTAAGGTAAAGGTCAAATTATCGAGAAAAAAAAAATTGCTGTAGTTCTCGCATATCCAAATTGTAGTCAAATTGAATCCAGCCAGGAAGGTTTTTTTCTTTTTCAAGTCTGTCAAGAGATATTTTGTTGTTATTATTTATTTGTCTTATTTTCCTTTTATTTTAAAAAAGGGTGTTGGGTTTTGCAAATGCTTTTGTTTTATAAGAGTTGGAAATAAAATATTTTGCTTTTTGGTTTTTACTGATATTTGATCAGCATTTCCTCAACTGTGCTTCACTAACATTCAGGAATATATAAGCCCAGCGCTTCGTGAAGAAAAGGTTTCTGGGAAAGATGAGCTAGTTAAATGGATGGTGGGTTAGGAAATCCCATTGAAGGATAATTAGTTTTCCTTGAGGGCTCAAACTTGCCATGACTTGCCATGACTTAGGTTCATTCATTTAGGGATTAATTTCAGGAGTAGAGGAGTGTAACTATTCCAGCAATGGGAGTTGCTGATTCCCATCTTCCCAGTCCTATTCCCAAGAAACTTTAAGGCAGTCTTTGTTCAATGGAGATACAGTGGCTAATAAGTAAAATAAAATAAAACCCACAGTAATTTTTTTGGTTTTCTCTGTATATATATATAAATATTAGTGATATCACATTCTAGGTCGCACATACACACACACACACACACTCACTCCAGTTTCATAGTCTGTCTTGTTTTATAGGTATCTTCTCTTAAAATTTTAAGGAACAGACAACCCTTATGGTACTAAACTACTCCAGAATGTTTTTAACCTTAATGAGGTCTGTAAAAACACTGATATCAAAATTGGACAGGAAGTACAACAGGAAAATGAAAAACTATTTGGTCAGTTTCACTTAGGGCTCTGAGTTTAATGACACACTTTCTATCAACATTTTCAACTACATATTTTTAAAAAATTAAAATATTAATAATTAATGTTTATCAGGTCTAATAAGCAGAGGATATACACAACCTAAATCCAATTCATTTTTAAACATAAAAATGTATTGATAAATATTTGATCCAATATGTTTGAAAAATGATAGCCAAATGGTTAATATAATTATCAAAGGAAAAATAAAAATGGCAAAATAATCAAAATATCGAGTAGGAAAAAATATCCACAACCATAGAAGAGATAAAATAAATCACAAAAAAACATTTTCAACAAGTTTGTAAACCTGAAATTTGTTTTAAGTATAAAAATAGAGAAATTACAGAAACTTAAGAATTACATCAAAATACTATTTTTGCCCTTCCATTTCCACTCTATCTAACTATTGCAAATTAAGTCTCCTCTCAGACAAGTTCACTGGTGTATCCTTTCAAAGTTTCAAGGAGCATTTAATGTTTATGCTACTTACCCTCTCCCAGACATAGAGATTCATGTCTTCTTAATACTTCTCAGCAAGCTGCTAGCTGGTAACACTAATATCGCTAATATATAAGAGTGGGTTACATTCTTTATGTAATCCCCTGCTTTTAGTGTGTCAGGAGATGAGAGCAATGGCAGTAGCACATTGAAACCACGGAATATTTTTCCAGTGTCCCTTCTTTTCATAATTGATTTTTGACTCAGAAGCATGTCTGGGGATGAAGGTGTGCTCCTGTCAGATTTCAGACACCACAGTGAAAAATTAACAACATGGGCTAACTAGTTTTACCAGGAGCAGGGACAGGGACGGTGGAGACACAGGACACACTTGTCTTTTATTTCTTCAATTTCTCCTCAATTTTCTTTGGTTTCGATCTCCAACACTGACTCCCAAGTTGATGATTTTGCTTTCTTTTTGTGCTCTTCCCTGCTTCTAGACTTTCTTGGTTAGAAATAATAGCCAACAGAGATTCAATTGACCTTTAAAAGGACCTCTCTTCATGTCTTCCTGAGTCATTTTATGTAGAAGAACTGGGGTCCAAGCAGGACAGTTTCTGTCTTCCTCGTGTCCCATGAAGATTCCAACCCAAGCAGAGTTGTTTGTATGCCCCTTGATGAATGAATTTATAGTGTTTTGTGGTTAAAAAAATAAATGGATAAAAAGAAGGTGGTAAAAAAAATAGTTGGACTAAACATTTGTATTTAAATTATTATCATCTTTGTATTTGCTGTCTTGTTTAAAGGGTCATCTATCCTGTTCGTTAGGGATATTTTTCTCTTGTTAAAATGTACCTCCTGTCGAATACTCGGGAAATTAAAAGGGAAGCGTGATGAGCACACACTGAGAGGCTGGTTTTAGCCTCTCACTTTTAGCAGGACAGGCAGCCTGTAGAGTGCCTGTGCACTGGACGTAGGCATCGTCTCCTGCATGGAACACCTTCACAAGGATGGCCAGGCAGGCTGCTTCACCTTCCAGCACTTGATGTGCCTGCTCTGAGGTTTCCTGAACACACAGCAAAGGCCTCTCATTCGTAACAGACCAGGATTCCTTTGCGTTTCTGCATAACATCAATGAGTAAATGAAGCTATTTTCACTTCACTGCCCTCTTTTGAATGTTTTTATTGTAATTACTGATTCTATTAAGGAAGAACAATAAAGGCAGTGTACCCCCCTACTACAATGCTTGGGAAACAAGTGTTAGGTTGTGCATATGACAAGAGAGGACTCTGAATACACCTACTCTTCATCAGCCCAAGCCTTATTGAGTTGGGATAAAGAACTCATTCTCTGTTCTTTAAGAAATGTTTCCTGTACTAATTTTTGTCCTTTTGGGATTCTAAGTGGGCCAAGAAGCGAAAACATCCATGTGTTAATTAAGGGAAACCGGCAACATGTTTTCCCATGTTTCAACTAACTAAAGAATAAATGATGAAGAAATTCTCCCTGTAGCTCAAAAAAAAAAAAGAAAAAAAAAGAAAAAAAATTTAAAAAAGAGTCAACCTGCCGCCTTCTAGTTCTAGCTCCACTACTTTTTACTGGTAGGAACCAACGTAAGTCACTATATCTTTGTCAGCTTCAGTTTTCTCTGCGATCAAACGAACATAAAAATGCTTCATAAGGTTTTTATGAGGTTTCAACTTGAAATGCATTTAAAGCATGTATCATATATTAAGCATTGAAATGTTAGCTTATATTAATTGATCAAATATTTTCCATATGAAAAAACATACTCATGGTTAAGGAAGGTATGACTTAAATGCTGACTTCCCTTTCCAACTCAGTAACTTGGTTTAACTTACACTTGGTCTAGCAAGAAATTTTAAATTTTATGATGTAAGATGGTGATTTCTGTAAGTCAAGTACATATGAATTTTATCCCTCTATCTTAAGTTTATTTCATTTTGCTGAATTTCAAAAACAAGAGTTATGCCTATGTATACATCTTTGACAGATAAAAATCAAACTAATAGCTTATATGCGTGTTGGTGGTGGTTCTAAATACACTTTTTGGAGACAGTAACATGAATACAAGGATGGTATGAACATCCCTCAGGGTTTTTCTCCAAATTAACTGAAAGACACAGCCGAAATGTTACAGAGGGTTCTTGAATCTCTTGCAGGAAAGAATTCAGGGCATGTCCATAGAGTAAAGAGAAAGCAGCTTTATTAGGAAGGTAAAGGAATAAAAGAATGGCTATTCCATAGACAGGGCACCCACAAGGGATGCTGGTTGCGCATTTTTATGGTTATTTCTTGATGATATGCTAAACAGGGGGTGGATGAGACCATATAAGGTAACTTCCTGACATTGCCATGGCATTTGTAAACTGTCATGGAGCTGGTGGGAGTGTACCAGTGAGGACGACCAGAGGTCACTCTGGTGGCCATCTTCATTTTGGTGGGTTTTAGCCGGCTTCTTTACTGGAAACTGTTTTATCAGCAAGGTCTTTATGACTTGTATCTTGTGCCGACCTCATATCTCATCCTGTGACTTAGAATGCCTAACTGTCTGGGAATGCAGCCCAGTGGGTTTCAGACTCAATTTACCCAGTCCGTACTCAAGACGGATTTGTTTTGGTTCACAAGCCTCTGACATAAATGTTTTAAAAAGTAGTATTAGTTATATCATGTTTCAAAAGTACCCTTCTAATAAAATTATAAACCATATTTTATTTTAGTAGTTTAGTAATATTTGAAACTGAATTTTAACATAAAAAGCAAATAATTATGTATTTCCTCCTTTTGTATACGTATTTGCTCCTCTTGTATATATTGTGTTTGTCTTCAGAATCCAGTTAGAAAGAGCCTCTTCCAAAATCAAGACTTTTAGAAGGAGAGGGGAGAAAAATAGTGATTATATATAATTTTTAAAAATCCTATCATTAGTTAGTTACTTCAGGGGCTCCCTATTACATTTAAAACAAACATCAAAATATATCTCACAACTAAGGATGATAGTCAAAATATTTTTAAGACCTCTATTGGCACAATCACTTACCAATCAGAAAGTGTGACTGACAAATCTGAACAGTCATTGACCTCAAACAATCAGTAAATACCACTCTCTATCAAGTGAACACTGTTTTATCTGTAAGACACAGCACGACCTCACTCCAATGTACTTTATCAAGGTCATCACACTGGCATCCTTAACTCTGTTGCCTATACTAGCTTTCTTTAATTACAGGAATTGCATAACTCTCACAACTATGTCTTAGCTCTGGCTATTTCTTTCAACTGGATCAGTCTCCCACAAAATTCTACGTATCCTATTCTCTCCTTCAAACCTTTGCTAGCCAATGCTACTCATCCTCTCCTGTTTATTATCCCTTTGTCAGAGAAGGATTCTGTAAGACACTGTCACAGTAGTAATTTATTGCATTTTAATTCCATGGAAGTTTGTGACCCTACTTAAAAAGTTTCCTTTCCCCATTAACCTTTAAATTTATAAAAGCAGAAACTGATTTTAGTTCATGAGCATTATAATATCATTAACTGCAGAGAAACTGTCCAATAATAGGGACTTAATAAATATTTGTTGAATACACGACTGTATCACCTCATAGTTTTTAAAATGTGTTCCCACATAGACTCTAATGGGGATGTATATGATTTTATTGAAATCATTTTAAGATGATAAAATGAAATATTAACAGCTATTTTGAAACATGTTGACTGTACTTTAAGGGACAAACCCTGAGTATGCTGAGAGGATACTATAAACTGAGGTGGCAAATATGGCTATTGACATAGAGATGATGACAAAAATTTTTGTAGAGCAACATTATGACTATTATTTTCTTTGATGGAAGTAACAAGACTTTCAAAAAACTATCAAATTAGGTAAAACACAAAAAATAGAAAATGACTTTCTCCAATAAATAATTTATAAGGAATACATTTCATGATCATTATTATTACTGATTTTACTGAAAATGAAATCAGTTTTTGAATAATGACCTTGTCCTTTGTTAAAGATAAATTACTTATTCCCTGTTGGAAGGCTTGCATATGTGTCTTCACATTCTACATTAAGTCTATGGTCTTCAATTTTTCCATCAAAGCATCACTAAAACTTGGTGCACAGTTAAAATGATATGAGAAGTTATCTTTTATCTTAAAATATTCAGAGAATCGGGTCCTCTGCTCCATAATGTAACAGCATCTCTTTTGTTATATTCTGTGATGTAGGCATATATACATATATACATATGTGTATGTATGTGTATATATATATATATATGTGTGTGTGTGTGTGTATTTTTTTTTTTTGAGACGGAGTTTTGCTCTTTCTCCCAGGCTGGAGTGAAGTGGCTCACTACAACCTCTGACCCCCGAATTCAAGATATTCTCCTGCCTCAGCCTCCTGAGTAGCTGGGATTGTAGGCGCCCACTGTTTATATTTTAAGGACTTTCCAGGGAGTAAATTTTATACACTTATCCCCTGGTTTCTTATATCTATACAACAACAACTATATGTCTGAGATAATATTTTCCAGTATATTATAAACTTTGTGTGGAAGAAAAATCTGCTCATTGTTGTCCTTTATACCTTTATTGCAGTAACATATTAAGAAGAAGAAGATGACCAAAATTGCAGTTCTCTATAGATGTCAAGCTCTGGAGTGTTTTGTCTTCTGTAATTTTACCATTTTATTGTTATAATAAGAATATTTTCTGTTCCCTCCTTGTTGAAGTTTTTGGTAAGAGCCATTTAAGGTGAGAATGAGTATTCATTAATCTATATCTATCCAGCTACAGTAACTTTAATCTATTTGTGTATTTGTACGTCACTTCTGTCAACCTATAAATGGCTGAATCATTGATGCAGGCCTTTATGTTGACAAATGATGAAAATGAAACAGAGAGCACAAATACCATTTGTAACAAGAAGAAAGAGCACTGTTGAATATATTTCCCTCCCAAGACCTTTGTTTAAGACAGCAGGCAATCTTTGGGTTTCATATTCTTGACGTCTGCAAAAAATCTACTATATATCATCACAATAAAGAATGATATATTTTTAAAAAGATCTTTGGAAAATTTTCGTTTATAGGTATAGAATTCTTCTAATCTGAAATGCTCTGTCAGTTGCTAACTAGTGTGTTGCTCCTAAATTTTTCTCATATTCCTTATTGTCTCCCATAAAGTGACCCTGCTGGAGGAGACCAGCTGGAGTAGCCATAGGCATCACAGTTTAGTTAGCCTGACTCAGTTGTTATTCATGGCTTTTGTAGGCTATTGCTCTGTAACCTAACGAGACCCTGCAGAGGTCAATATCAAACCCAAGTCCACCTGAAAGCTTCTTTTAACTCTGTGGTTTAAAAAAAATTGATATGGCGAGCTCTTGACTTTTATTCATTTCAATCCACATCAAACTCACACCTGCCAAGATTGGGGAAACTGATTCAGTTTCATTGTCTTACTCTTTTCATTAGGTTCATTGACTGGCCCAAACTAACTGATAAGACAAGGAGTAATGAGGCCCTATTTCAGTGGAAGGGAATTAATAAAGCAAGGTGAGGAAGACAAAATCCTTGGTTTGTATCATATCCATTTTACATAGCAACCCAAGAGTTTGACTAACTCCTATGAAATTGGCATAGTTACTAGACTTCTTCCAATTGATTTTTTTACAATCTGAGGCAGAACTAAAGACTATTCATACACATATGTCACTGAATATCGCAACACAGTTGTATACTCATATATAATTGACAAATAATTCAATAACTTTCTTATTTTCCAGAATAAATCTTACTTAATGCTTGCTAGTAATCTACAGATGGATTGTTTTGAATTAGAATCACCCATCCTACATATATGCAAGTTCAGGTAATAACTAACTTTGGTGACCAGGAATAAAGAATGCTTGTTGTTAAAGGAGACTTAAATATAACTTTGAATGGTCTTGTTTATAATTTTTAAATTAGGTTTAAGTATTGCTTCGATTATTTTCACTATTTTAGAAAAGGCAGAGACTGGGACAATAGATATTTAATAAACACAGATACTATTGACAAGTTTACTAAAACAACTATTAAATCTTTAGGTTTATGGAGGATTCAAAACAATTTTGTCTTAGACATGAACCTCACCAGGGACATGAGGGACAAGTAGGAAGAAACATGTTTATTGGTTATAATTAAATATGTAAGGTGTTTTATCATACAAGAAATCTCCATGTAACCTTTGGTGTTTATGTTTTAATAAGGTGATTAAGTATTTCTAGACATATTCAATAATTTTCATGTTAATAATTAAAATCTCTCTATCAAATAGGAAAATAATGTTGGCTTATTCCATAGAAAGTATTAGAAATGAGAGTTAAACATAAAATAATTTATAAAATATGTTCTCACAAAATAAGTAAAATGTTTGGAATATCTAATCAGCTTCATGTATAAACATTACTTTTGAGTCTGGTTGAAAACATCCTCAATTTTAAAAAAGTTTGAAGCTTACTTATGTAAATTAACTTAATACACAGATATATGGACAGAATTTAGGGATAAAGTGGCAATGAAAGTGTCTCCAACCTGATGGCATAAAAGAATGGCTTTCAGATTTATGTTTCCATATCATCTGCCAGCCTGGTAGCATAATTCCCAAATCTCTCAGCAGAAAATCTTTCATTTGAAGCAAGCTTCTGTTACGTGATCTTTTTCCCCCTGGCAGATGATATGTTAAAAATGTACTATCTGGGAGATGGACCAGAGGCAGGTGCACAGGTTTTGATGTGGAAGGCTTGGCAGGTGTGACCCAGAATGGAATATATGCTCCTCAGAGGGACCTGTTGAGATCAGATGTTCATGAAAAAGACAATGCTCAAATTATTCCAACATGCATATAATTATCTCTAAATGTGGTATTGTGACCTTGCTGTAATTTTCACACAAGCAAATACATTTAAGCCATGTTAGCAATAGCTGAACTATGATGTTTCTGGATTTCTAAAAACATTTAATCGTATTTCTAGTCTTTTGCTATACTTACAGTATACAATTAGAAAGACAGTTAATTAGCTGCCCAGATTAAAAGGAAAACAATAAAAACAAAAGTTACTTGTAATTTCCTGCCCAATAAAATGCCTCTGTCTAAGCATTGTGCAGCATAGTCTCATTCTTCCTTTCCTCTTCTTCACAGTCAACGTAATTTCCCCTTCCCAAACACATGCTCTCTGTGCAGCACTTCCTTCTTTGACCTTAGATTTAGTTTACCCCTACATTTTCCGTAGTATTTTAACTTTTTAGGTTTCACTGGACCTCTATCAAGTCTATGCTAGCATGTCACATGATAGGTGCTACTTAGTAGACACTTAAAGGAATGAATAAAAGAAGAAAAACATTCACCATGCTGCAAGATAAACTAGCCTCTCTTTTTGTTTTCCTTTATACATTCTTCTGAACATTCCAGGATCTGTTTGGTATTAAACCTAGGTAGAAAACTGTATCATCAAAAACTATTATGACCTTATACATCTTCGCGTTGGCACTTGCAGAAATAATTATAACGATGACCAAATTATTTGGTACGCCATCATTGAAGTTATAGTTAAATAATTCGCCACAAACTTCAGTAACTAATAATAAAAGACTGTAAAGAAGCGGTTGACAAAAGTCATTGTTAGAATGGAAACACTAGCTTTTTCATCATGATTTGTACAGAACTATTTGCATGAGTAATAAAAAATGACATTAATGTATACTTTTTATGTCTTTTTCTTTATATAGTTAAGTTTCGATATGTTTATTAAAAAGGAAATTTTTTAAATACTTAAATGACTTTTTAACAGTTAACATTCAAAGATTAATAACTGGTAACTTTGAAACTATATATTTATAAGAAACATCATTTGTTAGGATGTTTGTTTTAGAGAATTGTGTGCATTTACTTAAAGTCATATAACATCATCGTCAAGAAAAGTTGGATTTACTCACTTACCCTGTGATAATGCACTGGCTAATCATAAAGGGTGCAGTCAGTATATAAACATTATCTATCTTATTCTAAATTCAGAGTGTTCTCAAAGATAGTTATTTTGCATAAAGTTTATGTAAGTCAAAATTTAGCACCTGACTTTTAAAGATTAATTTAAAGACAGCAAAACTCTCATTCTTCCACAGGAATTTCAATTTTCTGACACCAACAAAATATTAGATTCACAAGTCCAAATGGCAAAGAAATGTGTTATTTTGTTGGGCAACTTAAAATTTCAGTAATCAATCTTGAAGCTTGCGTGTTGAAGACTAGCCAAGACTGAGTTATATTAGTCCCTAAACCAGTTCTTCCCTTGGCATTATTATTCTCCCTTTTTAATCAGTTTAAAAATGTTCTGGGATTCTCTGCTACACATCCTTCTGCATCCCTTCCCTTTCTCTTGCCAATATTCCTCTTTTCTGAAGCCCAGAGTAATGACAGAAGGAGGAAGTACATTATCATTCTTTTGCTTTTCCACATTTACTTCTGTTTTATTTTAATGTTTTTTATTTTACTTTGTTCCTCATATTTATATCTCATATCAGTGGGCATGGATAGAGGTGCTTATTCTTACAGGGCTTGAGAAAAATTTGACTTTTTATTGGCTTATTCTGATTCATCAACAAAATTAGAAAACTTGCAACTCTTCTAATTTTAACTTTCCTTAAAGGTCACCAAATGGTAAGTAGGAGGTTCACCAGTGAGGTGAATGGAGACTCCTGACATTACTAATTTATCAGTAGATGCTCTATCATTAAACAAAAGGGAGTAGTCACTGGGTCAAAGAGTATTAAAACAGCAAGGAGAATATGGTAGCCCACAAAATGGCTCCCAATAATTCTCATCTCCTGGTATTTATGTTCTCGTGTAATCTCTCATTGAGTGTGTACTGGACCTAATGATTTGCTTCTAGCAAGTAAAATAGGATAAAAGTGATGGAGTATCCCTCCCAATATCAGATTACAAAGATCTCAGCTTTTCTCTTTCTCCCCCTCCCTTGCTCACATTAATGAAAGCCAGTTATCATATTGTGAACGGCCTGACAGAGAAAGCCAAGTGGCACAAAACGGAGGTGGGCCTCCCACCTACAGCCAGTGAAGAATGAGGCCCTCAGCAACAGATAAAAAAATACAGAGGTAGAAGAGATGAATTATACTGTTTATAGAAAAGAAAATTAGTTATTTTGTTGGTTTGATTGTTTAATTTTGTCTTAATCAGAGTTGGGCAACTAGCTTGTAGTAATGTAAATTTTAGATTTATATTAGTATTCTAGTATATTTAAAAAGTATTTTAATAATTATTTAAATTAATAATTATTTAAATATCTGACCAGTTTCAAATCTAGTGTTGTGGGCTATTAAACAACAATCACAATACTAAGAGGATCCCAGAAAACTTTTTAAGAATATTTCGATAATGTTTCATTGCACATACTCTGCTTTTTGTACTCTATAATATTTATCATACTTGGTGCTGCGTTCTCACATTGGGGAGTGTTAACTGACCTGGGACAGAACAGCTGGCAATATCTCGAAATCTGGAGCTAGATTTGATATAATATGAGAGAAGACAGTGAATTGCAGATAGGATGCATCGATTCTCAGGGAAGTTGCTCAAAAGCTTTACATTTTATGGGTGTTCATGCATTTACATGTTTTAATCTCTGTGTCTTTAGCAGCCCTGTAAAGCTTTGAAATGTGTTTCTAATAGGGTTAATATGCAAAGCAGAAGACAGTGTCCAACTAACACTTGAGATTTCTGGGTGGACACTGGTCTGGGCACTAGTTTCTGCCCAAGGAAACAGAAAAGGCAGAGAAAGTTTGACCAGCTGCTTCGATGGAGGAACCTGCAGATTGCTGCTTAATATCAGTTGTACTTCCAATGTTTGGGGGATAAAGAATACATGATTGTTTCTTGTGGAGTAGATGTGGGCCCTGTGGCAGAGAGAGCCAGTGTAGAATTACGTTGAGTCTTTACTAGCAGACTTATCCAGATGGATAAAGAACTCTTCACAGAAAGTTCTTGGATTTGAGGTGCCTGGACTAAGGGAATTTTAAGAGAGAGAACCCCAGTAGGGACCTGTGCTGAGTTTAAAAAAACTTCCCACAAGAAATGGAACTCCATTTTTAAATATCTACTATCACCAGAAAGGGCAAAATTATCTCAGAAACATTTAGGTCAAGTATAATCTGTCGTCCTTATTCCTTACCCTGCTCCCCAAATGCTGGCACTGAAGGGAGTTAGCAATCTGGGAAAAGCAAGGCTAGAGATTAAAAAAGAAATATATTTGTCCCTTTTCCACAACAAACTTCCAGTGTGAAGCATGTCCAGTCAAAGCAGGTAAAATATGCTGTTCCTGGTCATTTCAAGTTGTAATTATTGTTTGAGACTAGGCTCTCTAAATTTTTACTTAGGACTTTCTGGTTTACTGTAATGGTAGGATTGTCTGTTACCTAAGAGTGAAGAGAAAACGTATGGGTTTGTCAGAATATAGATTTAACGGCAGGGAAGGATTATTTTCACCGAATGAAATTTAATAGTATGGCAGACAAAAAATAAAATTGCATTTTGATGTCAGTTCTTGTGTCATATTTATTCAATATACTAGTTACATATGCTTCTCCACTGTCTTTCTATACTACCCAGTAGAAAATGTACCATAACATGTATTGCTGATTTACTTGTCTGCCTCACTTAGAAGATGAATGATAAAATAGAAACTCATTCTAAAGAAAAGCCAGTAATAAGAAAATAGTTACGCTTCATAGGAAGTTTTCTATCAGGAATCAGGCTTGCTTGAAAACAGGAAAGAAACTCTGATCTGCAGACATTTTTAGTTAGGAAAAAGATTACTTGCCTTTGTCAGAATATAACAAAAAAGAAATTTTGAAACCACTGACAAAAATATTTGTGTAGTTTGTAGTGTAAACTTTTCCTAATACATAGGCTTAGCCTCAAGCATTCTTCTAGCGGTTTTCCATTGCCCTTCTTAAGAAGATGCTCGGATCAACTTGTATTCATTACTTGATCTTATATTTAAGTTGTAGAGATAGATTTATGAGACTGGTTTGCCTGGAAAGTTTTATGATCCATATCAAACTTACTTTGAGTTTTAATACTACTGACAACAACAAATAGGAAAATGTAAAAATCAATGACATGAAGTCTTCAACATTATAAGCAAGTTGTTACATGTCTAAATATTTTGAACACTTGAAAATGATACTATTTGTTAAAAACAAATAAGTAAGATTTTCAAGTACTATTTTACCCTTCTTATTCTAAGATGAATTACTACACAGATTTATTAATTGCGATACGATAATATTTTACAAGGGAAAGGTTGATCTCAAGCAGAGTCATCTCTGGTAGGTTGCATTCTCCAGAATTAGACATTCTGAGATGGAGATGGGAATGTCAGTTGTTTATCAAGATTAACACTTGGAAGAGAAGGGAAGAATTAAGATTTGGTAGAGTAAAAAGTCAGACCGCAATACAGTTCTGACAAAGCCAACCCTGTGGGAAGTTCTAGAGCATGTAATAACCATCAGATTGTCTCAACTTAGGCCAAAGTGATCAGACAATTATATTCCCATCTTGCTTAGTCAACAGATGAGAGTTGCCTTGGGAAGGGTGTAATGTCTGTTGAGGTAATCCTCTGAAGCTGTGGCTGATGCTAACATTACTGACAGCTAAAAGGCTACCTACTGACTACCCTCTTTTCAGATGGGCATTTCTTGATCTTTATCCTGATCCTCAGAGGAACCTGGACAATACATTTATAATCTACTGCTTATCTCTTACAAGTTTTAGATGCAGGAAGTTTAACCAGGACAGATATATGTTTATTGAAGATATTTCTGTGCGTTCAATATTCAAGATAACTGAGTATAAAATTATTTGAGAATTAAGAGTCTTATTATTTAGAAGTGTTTACTTGAGGTTATTCAAGGAAATGCATAGATAAATCAATCTCTAAATTTAAAGCATTCATGACTTCATGATGTATCTGTTCAATGAAAAAATCAATAAATTGCAAAGACAGAAGAAACTGGAAAAACACTGAACCTGAGACTATGTGTAAAATCTACGGGTCATTACAGTCAGTTCTGCTACACCATAATATACACATTCTAAAATCATTGTGTTGTGCAAAATAGCACAATAAACACTAGATACATTATGGAGAAAGAATGGGATGATTTAATACTCACAAACGTCATCAGTGAAGCATAAGATATAATCAACAAAGTTTTACACATATCAAATGATTAGGAAATGCACAAATACTAAAATGAATATGGAACTTTACCTTGAAAAAGATTAAAATTTCCTTGCAGAAGTGGCCTAAGGAAGGGTGCAGCTTGTGAGTACTTATAAGTGTTAGAAAAAGGGTTATCTAAGATCAGACAGAAAGTCTTAATACCAGGTGTAGATGGGTGTGCTGTACGTGTGTTTGCTCCTGTGCGCGCGTGCGTGCACGCGCACACACACACACACACACGGTGTGTTTGAGCTGAAACTCTGAATTTCAGTGCAGCTTGATTTAGCTAGAGTGCAATTTTCTGCATTCACCTACTATTTCTGGTGCCCAGAATTATGTATAAGCAAGCTGTAAATTTGTTTTATGCTCCAATTGTTCCAAGTACCATTTTCGTTAGCATACATTTGCATTTACAAAACAAGCGCACTAGAAGAAGGGACTGTACTTTCAAGACATGTTTGTTCTTTCTTCTTTGATGTGAAAACATAGTTAGTAATGTGCTAGGTGTTTTTAGTTAACAATCATTTAATCATTTTATCTCATTCAATTTTCTGGATAGTCCTGAGAGGTAGCTGTTATTGTCTTCGCTTTTATACATGTGGGAATAAACTGACAGTGGTGAAGGAAATTTCCAAAGGTATTAAAACCAATCAATGGTGGGGAGAAACAAACTTGTCTATCAGATTACAAAGCTCATGTTCATTTGTCCATACTGCTATACTAAGTCTCCATTACTTAAATAAAGAGAAGTGTGAAGCAAACAGGGTAAAACATTTTTCATTTTCCACTTGGATGGATCTACCTTTTAATGTAATAGGTTACTGTCTTTTTATACACTACAAACATTAGCACACTGTTATAATTTTTATGTTATTTTCATTTTTAGCCATTTCCAAAGAAGCTATTTCCCCAAATGACATTAAATATTTTTCTTCTGAAAATGCTTTTCCTTATCTATTCAATTTACATAACTCTCAAAAGTAAATGAAATAATAATATATAATGTATGAGACTGTGAAAAAGGAAGACCTTTCCAGCACATATATACATTTTGCTCAATTTTTACACATTATAAATAAGTTGTATTTTACACTGAGGAAAAAAATGTTATGAAGAGAGGACTTAAAAACCCATTATTAATACAGCTCAAATGACTTGAAAATTTCTAAATTCCTCACTTTCCATAATCTAGTCTATAAAATATAATGACACTGTCTTACAGCTACCATCATTCTTTATGTGCCTATGTGCAGGATTTTAAGAAATTTTAAAGCATCTTTTTTTATGTAATTTGATTCCCTAAATGATTGAGTCCATGATTACAGCTACTGTTTTGCTGCAAGACTGTATCAAAATCTCGGAAAACATTGCTTTTTTAATATACATGAAAGTGCTTACCTGAATATATATTACTTCTATAAGTCCCCCTCCAGACAGAGATCACAATTGGAGAAAGTTTGGGGATGTTACCATACAAGTATCTGGAATGCAACTGGGTTTCTTTTAATCTCAAAAAGAAACTTTAAACAACTGCCAATTACAGTATCCTAATTGAGAAATTCACCTGAACATATACACTTAAAAAATACACTGCAGGCTGGGCGCGCTGGCTCACGCCTGTAATCCCAGCACTTTGGGAGGCCAAGGAGGGAAGATAATCTGAGGTCAGGAGTTCGAGACCAGCTTGGCCAACATGGTGAAACCTCGTCTCTACCAAAAACACAAAAATTAGCTGGGCGTGGTGGCAGGCACCTGTAGTCTCAGCTACTCGGGAGGCTGAGGCAGGAGAATCGCTTGAATCCAGGAGGCAGAGGTTTCAGTGAGCTGAGATCGTGTCACTGAACTCCAGCCTGGGCAGCAAGAGTGAAATTCCATCTCAAAAAAAAAAACAAACAAAAAAACACTGCAAATTACAATGCATTAAGTGGCTATAAGCCATTGGTATCTTCATACTACTAACTTTCTCATTTGTACTATGAATTTATATTTCTCTCTTAACATGCATATATGTAAAACATAATAATTATATTAAAACACACTGTTTTGAAACTGTTCTTTATCCATATTTATAATTTATGCCAATAAATATTCTTATTCAATGCTATTTCTAAAAACGGAATATTATTTCATTATATGGAAACATAATTTTGTAAGCAAGTCTCTATTCTGATGTTGCCATTATATTGTAATTTCTAAATGTTTTGTACCACACTATGAACAAGCAAAAATATAAATATTTGCACAAATGAATTCATACTTGTTTTTTACTAAATACCAAGAATAGAATTGCTAGGTCAAAGAGTGCGCATTTCCTTGTGGTTTTTGAATAATTTCTGAAAATGTTTACCACAATTTGAACAAATACATTCCTATAAATATGAGATTATTCATTCTCTCACATCATCAACAATAATGGGTAGCGCAATTTTAGAAATTAGATACATTGCTTTGGTTGCTGATTTAATTTGATGCCTATGTTTGCATGTTGCCTATGTTTATCTAAAAATTTCACCAATTTTTTTCATCGCTCTTTCCAAATTGATTTTTTTCTTAGTTTGTCTTTATGGATTTGCCTACAAATTAGAAATGCAAATTCCATTTACATTTCATGTAAATAGAATAATAGAGTATATGGTCTTTTGTGACTGGCTTTTTTCATTTAACATAATGTTTTCAAGGTTCATTCATTCTGTAGCATCAGCAGGACTTCATTTCTTTCTTTCTTTTTTTTTTTTTTGAGACGGAGTTTCTCACTGTCTCCCCAGATGGAGTGCAATGGCGAGATCTCAGTTCACTGCAACCTCCACCTCCCGAGTTAAAGAGATTCTCCTGCCTCAGCCTCCCGAGTAGCTGGGATTACAGGCGCCTGCCACCATGCCCAGCTAGTTTTTTGTATTTTTAGTAGAGATGGAGTTTCACTATGTTGGTCAGGCTGGTTTCGAACTCCTGACCACGTGATCCACCCGCCTTGGCCTCCCTAAGTGCTGGGATTACAGGCGTGAGCCACCGCGCTCGGCTGGGGCTTCATTTCTTTTTATTGTCACAGAATACTCCATTGTTCGGATATATCACATTTTATTTTTCCATTCATAAGATGTTAGGCATTTGTTTTCCCCCTACTTTTTAGCTATTATAGGTAATGTTGCTATGAACATTCTCGTACAATTTTTTATTGAAAATATGTTTTAATTTTTCTTGGGCATATGTCTAGGAGTGAAATTGCTGGGTTATAACTACGTTTAACTATTTAAACAATTGCCAAACAGTTTTCCAAAGTAGCAGAGTCATTTTAAAATCCCCTCAGAAATAAATGAATGTTCCAGTTTTTTATAGTGCCATGAAAATTTGTAATTGTCTGCTTTTTTAAATTTTAGCCATGCTAGTACCTATGAAGTGGTATCTCATTGCAGTTTTAATTTTCATTTCCCTGCTAATGATGGTGAGCATCATTTCATGTAGTTCTAGGGTATTTGTATATCTTCTTTGGAGTAAAGACTATTCAAATCTGCCTGTTTTTAAATTGGGTTATTTGTCTTTTAGTAATTAGTTGTAAGTATTGTTTATATGTTGCAGATAGAAGTCCCTTATCATATATGTAACTTGGAAATCTTTTCTCCCATTCAGTAAATTGTTTTTTCATTTTCTTGATGTTGTGTTTGAACCACAATTTAATTTTGATGAATTTCTATTTGTCTATTTCTCTTCTGCTGCTTATGTTTATGGAGTAATATCTAAAAAACTATTTCCTAACCTGATTATGAAGATTTATTCCTATGTTTTCTTCTGGAATTTTATAGCTTTAGGTCTCAGGTTAATATCTATGATAAATTTTGATATAATTTTTTATTTAAATAATCTAACATTATGTTTTTGCAAGCGGATATCCAGATGCCCCAGCACCATTTATTGAAGAAGCTTTTCTTTATTGAAGTATCTCAACACACTTGTCAAAAATCACTTGGCCATAAATATGTGTTTATCCATGAAATCCAATTTCTATTCCACACTGACTGATTACCATAGATTTTTAGTAAGTTTTAAAATTGGGAAGTATAAATGTTCCAACTTTTTTCCTTATTAAGATTGTTTAGGCTATTCTCGGTGTTTTGCAATTAAATATAAATTTTAGAATGCATTTGTTAATTTCTGTGTAATAGGTAGCTGAGATTTAGAAAGGGATTGTGTCAAATCTGTAGATCAATTAGTAGAATATTGCCATCTTAACACTAATAAGTCTTCTGATCCATGAGAACCGGCTGTCTTTCCATTTATTTAGGTCTTCTTTAATGACGTGTGTGTGTATATATAATGACATACATATGGGGGTGTATATACACACACACACACATTATATATAAATGTATATTATAAGAACTATATATTTTATAACAATACATATATTAGTTTTCAGTATACAACATGTCCATGTTGTATCAGCTAGAAAATTGTCTTTCTCTGTCACAGACTTAACAAAGAGGTGGCTGGGGCTGGGTATGGGGTCATAATACAGCTTCTCTAAGCTTTAACTAAGAAGTAAAAAAAGTTACTTCTGTCCATAGCCTAATGGCCATAGCCAGTTAGATTACTCTGCCTGACAGCAAGGGGTTGGGAATGTGTATGAGTAGATGGGATATTTGGTTAGTACCTCTGCCATGACACAAAGCAGACATAAGAAGGAAATTTAAAAAGGCTTTATTGCTACATGAGGAGAAAGAAATGAGAAACCGTGTGTTTATTATGCTAACATTTGTGTAAAAATAGATTTGAATGTATTGGTATGTTTTAATTTGTGTAAAAATAAATGTCATGATACAAACCAGGCAACTACATTTGCTTCCAGCGAAGTAACCTTGGTAACTGAGGGACAGGACTAGAGATGAAATTTACTTTTAGCTTTATGTCATATTTTATATTTTGAGTTTTGTGCATTTTATAACAGTGAGTAGTATAAAAATGTTGAAACCTGGTATATTTTCATGAAAGTCCAGAACGGCCATTGATATGCAGCAACTTTCAATATTATTGTAGATATTCTAGGTAATAATGTTAGATGAGAAAATATACTAATAGGAGTAAAGGTTGGGAAGAAAAATGTTTTTATTTACAAATGATCTAATAGGTTTTCCCAGAAAAATTCAAGAGTTTTAAAAATAATTATCATAAAATCAATTTTTAAGTGTTGGTAATTTTATTAAGTAAAATGCATAAATTCAAAGCCAGCAGACTTTCCCTTTACTGGAATTAATTAATTAAATGATTAATTAAAAATTTATAAAATAATAACTAAAATTTATTTAAATAATTGGGAATACATTTAACATAAATGTTATAGAATATGTTTGAAAAAGTAATAAAGCCATTGTAAAAGATATAAACAAGATTTCTTTGAAGAATCAACATATTATGCTCCAGAAAAGGAAGAATTACTAAATGTCAAGTTTGAGAACTAAATATAAATTTGAAGTAACTCCATTCAAAATTTTATTTGAATTGCTTTGGTTGGAAATTAAGAAATGTTTTTACTCTTCAATGGTTTTAATATTAATGTAGGTTTGAGAACAGTAAAAATAATGTAAAAGGAGGAAAATAAGTGGGATTACCAGTTACCACAACTTGATACAATGCCATAGCGATTAAAATTATTTGATTATGATATATAAATTAACAAGTCTAGTAGAAGAACAGCGAAAAATCCTCTGGAAACATAACCAAATGTTCAATATGTGATAAAGTTAATATTTTCATTTCAGAAAGAAAGGATGGTTTATACAATAAAATCATGAGTATTGTTATTCTTTTGCAAGAGGATAATCAAACTCTATTACAATTTTACATAGATTTGTTTAATTTGAGTGATACTTCATTATACAAGGCAACAAACCCAGATGCCAGTAAAAAAAAAAATGAGAAAGAATGAACCAAGAATTATCCCACACTCAAATAATTCTAGCATCTCTCACAAATATTCTTTACCTGTAGAATTCACGTATAACAACTATGAAGAAAACTTTCTCATGAGACTTCAACTTACATAGCCAAATATATATACATGCCATACTTTAATTTGTAGAGAGAAAAACCTGTGGAAAAAAAAGCTTCCATGTAGACTATAAATGAAATCATAATAAAATATTTATGTATGTTATATAAAATAACATAAATTTGCATATATATTTATATCTTTATTTTAAATACATACAAATATATACAATATAAATATGTATTATATAAACCTATATATTTCATATAAAATCTATTTATATTTTTATATATAATTAAAATGCATTTATTGTTTTACTTAATAAATCAAATCAATGCATTATTACATCATAATGCTTCATTTTATCTGCAGCAAAAATCAAAATGAGTTCTTTAAAAATATAAAAATAAACTACAAAATCTGTTTAGAAATGTTTATGTTGCTTTTAAATTTTGGAATCTTTAATTTTGTACCTAAGTTAATACTTCAGAAAACTACTTCCTAATCATTTTCAATCTTTAAATTCTGTTTTTAAAATGTTAGAAATTCTGTAACTCCTACTTCCCTGCTATACATAATGACAGAAATATCAATAGTAAATAATAGAGGGTACACAAATAGACTACTACATACATACAGTTAGTTTATCACAGAGGTGATACTTAAGGGGAAGAAAAAATGATCCTTCAATGAATAGTGTTAGGCCAATGGCTTTTCATATGAAAAAAACTGATTTCCTATCTCACACCATATGAAAAAATCAACTGCACAGGAATTGTAGTTCTAAATGTGAAGGGTAGAATAATTCATATTTTAAAAGAAAACATGAGAAAATAAATATGTTTATAGCAACACAGTATGTAATAAATTTTTAGCAAACGAACAAAGCTTTTTTTTTTTTTTTTTTTTTTTTTTACCGTTTTTTTCTTTTTTCTTTTCTTTTTTTTTTTTTTTTGAGATGAAGTCTCTCTCTTGTTCCCCAGGCTGGAGTGCAATGGCGCGATCTCGGCTCACTGCAACCTCTGCCTCCCAGGTTCAAGAGATTCTTCTGCCTCAGCCTCCCGAGTAGCTGGGATTACAGGCACCTGCTACCACGCTCGGCTAATTTTTGTATTTTTAGTAGAGATGGGGTTTCACCATGTTGGCCAGGCTGGTCTCAAACTCCTGACCTCAGGTGATCCGCCCGCCTCAGCTTCCCAGAGTGCTGGGATTACAGGCATGAGCCACCACACTCGGCTGAACAAAGCTTTAATTATAACCAAAACAAAAATAATTTAATGGACTACATTAAGTTCAATTCTCTCCAGAACGGGAGAGATAGGAAGTTTAATTGCAAGAAAAAATGTTTGTCATACATATATTTGGAAATGACTCGTCAGAATATATATAAAGAAATCCTAGAAATCAAGAAAAGAAATTCAATTTAAAAAAATTAGGTAGAAGACTTGAGCAATCACAATAACAATCAGTTATATGGTTTACCAAGTAACAGATAAACACGTTCAGATATTTTAATTTATTCATCTTAAAGAAACTGCAAAGTATAACTATCATATACTACCACTTTCATTAAACTGAAACGGTACCCACTGCCAAATGCTGCTAAGTTTGTGGGGAATCTAAAGGGACAAAAGGACTTTGAAAACCAATTTGGCACTGTTTAGTAACAATGATCATTTGCATTCAATATGGGTCAGCAATTATACTTCTAAGTATATACCCAATAGAAATGTACATATATGTTCTATAAATTTATTAAAATGTTTATAGAAGCTCTATTTATACAATAGCTAAAAATGGAAACTACGTATATTCACATCAGCAATAAAATGAACTTAAAAATGACATTCACACAAGGATAGTAATATACAATGTAAAGGAGCGTACTATAACTGTCCTTACTAAGATGGATGAATCCCACAAATGCAAAGTTGCATGAAGGAAGTCATAACTAAAAGGGCTCATATTGTGATAAGAGTCCAGTTATACATAAAAACAAAAGAAGTGTTAATATCTCTTTAAAACCTGATTGCAGTCCTTTGGAATAAAACCTCCAAAGTAGAATTGCTTGATCATTTAGTCATTCTCTTTTTTATTTTTTGAGAAAGCTCCATACTGTTTTTTGTAGTGACTGCACCATTTTCATTTCCACCAATATTGTGTCAGGTTTCCAATTTCTCCACATCATCACCAACACTTGTCTTTATTTTTTTTTAATAACGGCTATTCTAACAGGTGTGAGATGATACTTCATTCAGGTTTTCATCTGCATTTCTATGGTGATGAGTGATGGTGATCATTTTTTCATATAACTATTGTTCATTTGTATATCTTCGTTGGAGAAATGTCTATTTATTTGTTCATTTTTAAATCAAGTTCTTAGTTGTTTTGCTAATGAGTTGTATGAGTTCCTTATATATTTTGGAGATTAACCCCCTATCAGGTATGCATGTGATTTGCAAAAATTTTCTCCATTTCATAGGTTGTTTTTTCACTCTATTGATTGTTTTCTTTGTTGTGCAGAAACTTTTTAGTTTGATGTAATCCTATTTGCTTAATTTTATTTTCTCTGTGTTTTTGGTATTAAATCCAAAAAAATATAGCCAAAAACAATGTCAAGAAGCTTTTCTCTATGTGTTCTAGGAATTTTACAGTTTCAGATCTTTTAAGTCTTTAATTGATTTTGAGTTTGTTTTTGTTTATAGTATAAGGACCCATTTTCATTATTTTGCATGTGGATATCCAGTTTCCCCAACATTATTTGTTGAAGAAACTATCATTTCCCCCACTGTGTGTGTTTAGCACTCTTGTAGATCAGTTTACCATAATATGTGGATTTAGTTCTAGGTTCTCTATTCTTTTCCATTTGTCTACATGTCAGTCTTTTTTTCAAGTACCATACTGTTTTGATTACCATAGCTTTGTAATGTATTTTGTTATCAGGAAGTATGATGCTTCCATTTTAGGTATTAAAAACAACAACAACACCACCACCAATAAAGAAGTACTCTCACTGTGTTAATAGTCTGAAGTGGTTAATCTTTATGTGATGGCCTGCAGAGGAGTCTTGGGAATATTGTTGTTTGATCTCTATGCCAGCCACATGGATGTGTTAAGTTTATGAAAAGTCATCCACCTTTACACTTATGATTTGTACATTCTCTTTCGTATATCTTGTTCTTCAATAAAAAGTTCAAAAAATATTAAAAAGTCTGGCACACAATAATTTTGGAAAAGTATTCTCTGCCTATAACTATTTAGTCATGCAGAAAGACTTGAAGATTCCAAACATAAAAGGAAACAATAGAAACATTTGGAACTACAGTTCTCTTAGCATAATACAAATTTTCATTTCACAGAGTGAAATTAATTGGAAATTTGTATCTCAGATTAGCCCACTGTGTCATTTATGTACTTAGCATCAGGCTTTCTTATTGATTCATAAATCTTTATCTATCTTTTAACTGTTTGCCATCTTTTCATTAGCTGTACCATACTGCAGCAAATCCATCCATCAGGGCAACAGATGTGCATACTGTTATGCACTTAAACAATGATCAAAATGTGGGAAGGTAAAGCATAAATAAATAGATAAGGCTTGTCATATCAGAGCTCTTACATCACAACAATTTTTCAGTGGAAACAGTTCTTAATAATAATTCCATTTTCTAATATATGGGAAAAATTCCATTTACTCTACCTGCTATGGATATGAATTTACAATCTGACTTTCACATTAAGGTGGTAGTGAACAGATTCTCTGTGATGAACCTCAGTAATTCATTTCTCAGACCAGTTATACAAACCCTATCAAACTTGACTGAACTAAAAATAACACTTGGTAATCTGTATTCAAACTTATGTGATGTATAGGTTTTTCTAAATCTGATGATCCACTTAGGTCAATAATCCTGGCTTTATATTTCACTACTAATAATGCTGAGAAACTAGATGGAAATAGACTTTCAGATCCAATCTGGAGTAAATAGATGTACGGATTTTCTGAGTCTCCTTAGGCATTTAAATGCACGTTAAATAAAAAAATCATCATTATATTCTATTCCAATAGTTATTAGTGTATAAATAAGGTTTGCCATTAGCCCCTTCATTTTTTAAGAAGAGCTCAGCAAAACAAATTCCTTGAGTTTCCAATTTTCTGTAAAATATTTCTACGTATTTATAATTAAAGAATCATGATTCATTTTAGGCTATTGGGAGACTAAATTACTGGAATTTAAAATGCTAATTTCAGCAACTAGAAAACTATACTGACTTTTTCATGTGTTATTTTCAGACAGAATATGCTGGGCAAAGGTAATGAACCTGTGCCCCCCAAAATTAATAATACATGATAGCCTATGATGAACAGTACCTCATATTTTTCACATTCTAGTCACCTTTAGGTTATATCTGAACTGTTTGGCAGTTCCAAAGAGTGTCGTGCTTTCTCCATCTCAGCATTTTGAGCATTCAGATCTTTCTGACCAAACAATATTTTTTAGCCCATTTCCTCATTGTCTTTTTCTCTCCTGACTCTCCTCTATTTTAATGAAAAGCATTTTTACTTACTACATATTTAAAAACAAAAGAGGATGAGCATACCTCCTTACAAATCCCTTTTCTTCCAAGGGGTAAATAATACTACCTTGTTTTCCTTTCAAAAGTTTACCATTTACATGATAAATTATCTGACAGCATTATCACCTATGATTATCCTAGAGCTAATCATTATATCCTATCAACTGTACACCTGTAATGTATCTGGAATCCACCCTCTTCTTTCCATCTCTACTGCCATCATTCCAGAATAGCTACCAGACCACTGAAACAGTTCCTATCTTTACTTTAACCCTTTCCCTCTTATAACCTACTGTGTACACAGTGGGCACAGTAATCTTAAAGCAAAGCAAATGACTGTCTTTGGTCATTTCCATTGTTCTTCCAGTAAAATCTAAGCTTTATATTATAATACCCATTTCAGCTGGCTTTTGTCTCCATCTCTGGCCTCACCCTAGGCAACTGTTTTCTACTGCTTTTTTTTAATTTTCATTTTTATATGTTTAGGGGATGAAAGTGCAGTTTTGTTACATGGATATATTGTGTAGTGGCAAAGTCTGGGCTTTTAATGTACCCATCACCCAAACAGTGTACATTGTACCCCATAAGTAAATTTTTTTGTCTCACCCACTGCTTCCTCCCTCCCAGCTTTTGGAGTCCCCAGTATCTATTATTCCCCTCTGTGTGTCCTTGTGTACCCATTGTCTCACTCCCATTTATAAGTAAGAACATGTGGTATTTGCCTTTCTGAGTTATTTTGCATGGGATAATGGTTTCCAGTTCTATCCATACTGCACAGAAAACATGATTTCATTCTTTTTTACGTCTGAGTAGTATTCCGTGTGTGTGTGTGTGTGTGTGTGTGTGTGTGTGTGTGTGTATTCTGCATTTTATCCAATGATCCATTTATGGACACAGGTTGATTCGATGACTTAGCTATTGTGACTAGCCATGCAACAAATATAGGAGTGCAGGTTGTTTTTTACGTAATGACTTATTTGCCTTTGGGTAGATACCGGGCAGCTTGCTCTTTTCTGTGTTGAGTCCCACTACATACTGTTTCCTCTTTCTACAAAGATATTCCCCCAGGTTTCTACATGGCTGCAGCCTCTTTCGTAAGGTTTTTGTTTGTGTTACCACCTCACAGGTCTTTACTAAAAAATCTAGAAACATACCCATCTTATTCATCCCAGAACTATATTCCTTCCTTTCATAATTCCTATAATCATTTGGGGAAAATGTTATTTTGCTCATTTTCTTTATATCAGTTTCATAGAGCAAGTTGTTCACCAATGCACAATCAACAGTGAGCATAGTGCCAGGAACACAGTGGTCAGTTAGCAACCTGTAACTAGATTTTGAACATCTAATTTCCACTGGACTCTCTTCTAAGTAATGTAGTATGGTGAGGAGGAAAAGTGTAATCTTTACCCTCAACACACTTGAAATTCAGTACGGTAAAAGTGATATATACTCTGAAGGACTACAGTGGAGTATATACTAAAAAAGACCAGTGAAGGAAGCTTCTGGTTTCCCTTCTGTGCTCAGGGAAGGCTTCAGTGAGAAAGTGTCTTTCAATGTGGGACCTACGCAATGAGTAAGGGGCATCTGGACAAAGAAAACTCCAAGAAGAAGAAAGAACATTTCCAAAGCTCATGAACCCCGAAGGGACTCAGCCTATTAAAAACAGAAAGAAGGTGAGTATGACTGTAATATGATGACCAAACAAATAATCCATTCATCCTTTCATACAACTTAGTTGACACTTATCAAATACTTACTGTATGCCAGGCACTGGTGTAGACACTTGAGATACTTCAGTGAATATAATGAAGAAAAATCTCTACCTTTAAACACTTCACAATTTTAAAGAAGGAAAAATAAGTTATGGCATTTAATAGCAAAATAACTAGGTATTTAATAATAAATAATTTCCAGTGGAGATTTGGATACTCAAAAGTTCAAGTTTTTAATTATAACCATTGACTAGTCCTCAGATGTTACCTAATGAGGCAGAGAAAGATGGTAAGCCTAGAACATGGATTTTACTTATTTTATTAGATTATCACCTCATTCTAGAGAAATGAGCAGTTTCTTACATATGAATTATAAATATTTCCTGAATTGTCAAACCTGGTTTATGTTCGCCAGTATGCTGAACTAACTTCTTTTTACCAGTCTAGTCATCTCGACATGAAAAGAAGTTGAACGTAAACCAGAATGCTGATTTCTGTTTAATTTTCCAAGGGTTCAGAAACCAGAGACAATTCCAAGAATGACCTTTAATGCAGAAGCTGAAAAATAGTGGTGCTTCCCAAAGATCAGACACCATACTGGAATGTCTTCAAAAGTAGGATTCGAAGAGGAATGTGAGAATGTACCTTCAGTCTGTTCTCTTTATGATATTGGTACTACTTTTGTTACTGTCTATTACTTTTGCAAAAGACTAATTGAATATAGCTAAACACTCCATTTATTCTATGAAAAAAATAAGACCTTTTTTTTAATTAGTTGTTTCATTGGTGTTAGTTTTGTTTTGTTTTGCTTTGTTTTGTTTGAGGAAGGGGGGAATTTAGTAGTGGGGCCTAAAACCCTTTAGAACAGAAGTCATGACCCAATGATTACTACATACTTTAGCCTGCACAATATAAACACAGGCAATGTTTTGTTATTTTTTATTGCAACCATCTATATTTTCTATTTCAGCCAAAGGAAGCAATTATCTCACAGCAAGTAAAGGGATGTTGTCCTATATCCTTATTCAAAAAATGTCTAAAATAATCTTTTTGATTAAGCCGGATCTGTATTAGAATCAGCATGATAAAAATGTCTACTCACCTTTCATAATGTCCTAATTTTACTTTATCTCTTTCTAAAACTCTGTGAATAAGATTGATATTAACATGCTGATTAAACATCTGAAATGTGTGGCCCTGAGAAAGCATAATATACACTGTCAGTGGCTTCTGAAATTATAATTTGAATTTAGATTTTATTAGTAGAAATACAATCTTTAGAATAAATTATGCAATAATTCTGCTCTATTGTTCACTATTCAGGTTACCATTGGAGCATTAAGTTCAGTTATGGAGAATACTAAGAGTAGCATTGGTAGAGTGTAGATTATTCACAGGATATATTCGAAATGGTTATAATATATATTAATTATGAAAGTCTAGGCTACAATAATACATAGATCCCAAACTGCAAACATATTTCCACAAAATAGCTTTATTCTAGCTCTCATAAGAGTTTGAGTTGATTTCAAGGTGGGGATTGAATTTGGTTCCATGCATTCATTAAGAGACGCAGTTTCACAGAGGCTGTGATGTTTTCAGTATGTGGGATTCATGGTCAATTTTGGCATTTCCTTCTCAGCTAGCCAGAAAGGATAAAACACAGAGGCACAAGCATAAATTTGTATGAGTCTCACAGTAGAGATAGACTCAAGATGCACAAAGGCACTCAGTGTATGGAATAAGGAAGCTTGGAAATTGTGGAATGAATGGAGAACTGACAAAAGCCATACTCTAGAGAATAGAGAGAGAGAGAGAGAGAGAGAGAGAGAGAGATTTGGAATAGAAGAGAAAGGAGAGATCACATTACATAATGGAAAGCCAATAAGGAGGTGTCTGTCTAATTGCACAGGTGGTTTGATTTCTCTGTTTTGCAGTTGGGAAAGGCTCTATTGCTAATATAGAAGTTGAACCTGATAATAATGAAGTAGAATTTTGCTTGATTGAAAAGAGAAGGAGGAAACTATTAACAAAAAGCAACAGATACAAGGCAGAAAACCTGAACGTTAAAATTTTGAAATTTGTTAATTATGGTGGAACCAAATCATATTGTATTCCTTGGTGGGACCTGCTAAAAGCAGATTTAAAATCAAATACCATGTGATTCTCTAGAGATATCGTGATATGGATTGGCTGTGTCTCCACCTAAATCTCATCTTGAATTGTAGCTCCCATAATTCCCACGTTATGGGAAGGACCCCGTGGGAGATAATTGAATCATGGGATGGTTTCCCCCATCCTGTTCTCATGGTAGTCTCATGAGATCTGATGGTATTATAAAGAGTTTCCAATGCACAAGCTCTCTGTCTTTGACCGCTGCCATCCGTGTAAGAGGTAACCTGCTCCTCCTTGCCTTCTGCCATGATTGTGAGGCCTCCCCAAACATGTGGAACTGTAAGTCCATTAAACCTCTTTCTTTTGTAAATTTCCCAGTCTTGGGTATGTCTTTATCAGCAGTGTGAAAATGGACTAATACAGCAAATTACTGCTGAAAAGATAACCTGAAAATGTGGAAGCAACTTTGGAAATGGGTAACAGGCAAAGGTTGGGACAGACTGGAGGTCTCAGAAGAAGATAGAAAAATGTGGGAAAGTTTGGAACTCCCTAGTCTTTTTGAATGACTTTGTCCGAAATGCTGATAATGATATGGAGAGTGAAATCCAAGCTGAGGTGAACTCAGATGGGGATGAGGAACTTACGAACTGGAGCAAAGGTGATGTTATGTTTTAGCAAAAGACTGGTGGCATTTTGTCTCTGCCCTAGAGATTTGTGGAACTTTGGACTTGAGAGAGATTATTTAGGGTATCTGGCAGAAGAAATTTCTAAGCAGCAAAGCATTCAAGATGTGACTTGTGTGTTGTTAAAGACATTCAGTTTTAAAAGGGAAACAGAGCATAAACGTTTGGAAAATTTGCAGCCTAACAATGTGAGAGAAAAGAAAATCCCATTTTTTTGAGGAGGAATTCAAGCCAGCTGCATAAATTTGCATAAGTAATGAGGAGCCAAATATTAATCACCAAGACAATGGGGAAAATATCTCCAGGGAAAAAGGGCATGTCAGAGATTTTTGAGGCAGCCACTCCCATCACAGGCCCTGAGGCCTAGGAGGATAAAATGGTTTTGTGGGTTGGGCCCAGGGCCTCCCTATTATGTGCAGCCTGGTGACTTCATTCCCTGTGTCCCAGCCACTCTAGCCATGGCTAAAAGGGGCCAAAGTACAGTTTGGGCTGTGGCTTCAGAGGGTGCAAGCCCCAAGCCTTGGCAGCTTTCACATGGTGTTGAGCCTGTCAGTACACAAAAGTCAAGAATTGGGGTTTGGGAACCTCTGCCTAGTTTTCAGAGGATGTATGGAAATGCCTGAATGCCCAGGCAGAAGTTTGCTGCAAGGCTGGAGCCCTCATGGGAAACCTCTGCTAGGGCAGTGCAGAAGGGAAATGTGGAGTCAGAGCCCCACTCAGAGTCCCTATTGGGACACTGCTTAGTGGAACTGTGAAAAGAGGTCCACTGTCCTCCAGACCCCAGAATGTTAGATCCACTGAACTTGCACTGTGTGCCTGGAAAAGCCACAGACACTCAACACCAGCCTGTGAAGGCAGCCAAGAGGGAGGCTGTACCCTGCAAAGCCACAGGGATGAAGCTGCCTAAGGCCATGAGAACCCACCTCTTGCATCAGCGTGACCCGGGTGTGGGATATGGCATCAAAGGAGATAATTTTGGAGCTTTAAGATTTGACTGCCCTGCTGGATTTTGGACTTGCATGGGGCCTGTAGCCACTTTGTTTTGGACAATTTATCCTATTTGAAACAGCTGTACTTACCCAATGCCTGTACCCCCATTGTATCTAGGAAGTAACTAACTTGCTTCTGATTTTATAGGTGCAAGGGACTTGCTTTGTCTCAGATGAGACTTTGGACTGTGTAAATAACTTGCTTTTGATTTTACAGGCTCATAGGTGGAAGGGACTTGTCTTGTCTCAGATGAGACTTTGGAGTGTGGACTTCTGAGTTAATACTGAAATAAGATTTTGAGGGACTTTTGGGAAGGCATGACTGGTCTTAAAATGTGAGGACATGAGATTTGGGAGGGGCCATGGGTGGAATGATATGGTTTGGCTGTGTCCCTACCCAAATCTCATCTTGAATTGCAGCTTCTGTAATTCCCATGTGTTATGGGAGGGACCTAGTAGGAGATACTTGAATCATGGGGTGGTTTCCCTCGTACTGTTCTCATGGTGAATGAATCTCATGAGATCTGATGGTTTTATAAAGAGGAGTTTCCCCTGCACAAGCTCTCTGTCTTTGGCTGCTGCCATCCATGTAAGACATGACTTGCTCTTCCTTGCCTTCCACCATGATTGTAAGGTCTCCCAACCATGTGGAACTGTAGGTCCATTAAACCTCTTTGTTTTGTAAATGGCCCAGTCTTGGGTATGTCCTTATCAGCAGCATGAAAACAGACTAATACATACAGATTCTCATTTCAACAATGAATTCAACCTACTTAACTTGTGGATTTCTGTCATCAATAAATGACACACTATCCATTCAGATGTTAAGGCTAGCAGCCTAAAAATCATGCTTGATTCCTCCCTTTCTATTAAACCTCATGTGCAATTAGGTATATGCCTCCTTACTGGCTTTCCATTACATAATGTAGTCTATTCTTTCTCTTCTATCCCAAGTCAATGTCTCTCTTTCTCACTTTCTATCTGTTCTCTAGAGTGTGGATTTTGCCAGTTCTCCAGTCATTCCTCAATTCCAAGCTTTTTTATTCCATGCGCTAAGTGCCTCTGTGCATTTGCAAATGCTGTTTGCCTGCTTCTCATCTGCTCTCGTCACTTCCATGTGGGTCATGGTGCTATACATTTTCACATCATTTCCTCCTTATCATTCTTCCATCTCAGCTTAAATCAGAATAAATATTGTCTTTTTAGAGAGTATCTCTCTTCACCAATATCTTCTGTCAACGCATCTTGCTATTGATTTTATTCACTAATAATATCCACCCCCTCCTCATTTGTTCTCTATTCCATTAGGATGCTACATCCTTGAACATAGGGAATTTCAAGTTTCAGTGTACTGTTACATATTCTGCTACTATACAGTGCCTAAAACACAGATATTGTAAAGAAATACTTGTTTAGGCTGCCTGATGTCTCACCATCACTCCACACATAGATGCAAAAATATTGCTCCATCCAGCTCTTGCTACATAGAATATATTAATCAGAAGCAGATCTTTCCACCTCTTAGATGACATCACCTAAAATTCTTATTCTCTCTCCTTTTTTTTCTTGAGGTGGAGTCTCACTATGTCACGCTGGCTTGCAGTGACACAATCTTGGATCATTGCAACCTCCACCTCCTGAATTCAAGCAATTCTCGTGCCTCAGCCTCATGAGTAGCTGGAATTACAGACATGTGCCACCATGTCTGGTTAATTTTTGTATTTTTAGTAGAGATGGGGTTTTGCCATGTTGACCAGGCTGGTCTTGAACTCCTGGCCCCTAACGTTCAGCCCACCTGGGCCTCCCAAAGTGCTAGCCAAAGGCGTCAGCCACTGCACCCAGCCTTAAAATTCTTATTTTCAAAATAAAATATTTTAGTATAAATTAACTAGAATTTAAGTGATCTCTACCAATTTCTTCCTTAAATAAGGTTTTGACAATGAGCTTATTTAATTTCTAAATGAAAAAGACAAAAAAATAAAAGAATATAGTGAAAGTTAGTGCTTAGAAGTCTTTGTTTGCCTCTATTCAACTATAAAATGCTTGGTTTATATGAGTATATTATAATATTATATTGTATCACTTCTTTACCAGAGTATGGAACTAAGTTCTCTCATTAGAGAGTGAGGACAGCAAATATCCAAATACTGTCTTAATCATATATGTGGTAATACATTAAATTTGTTAATAGAATTGGAATGTATATATTACAAAATCCCAACAGGATTTGGAACTAATGCAAAGGAGCACAGAGTTAGTAGATGAACAGTGAATGGCAAACTAAAAATTTCTCCTCTGTTAGGAAAAATGCTACTCTGCAGGGAGCATTTGATCAAATAAATATGTGCTGAATATAAGTTCAAAAAAATTTAAAACGCATACCAGGGCCATTGAGCTGCTTTTTGCCTCACGTTTGTGGAAAGAGTGTGTGAGTTGATTCCAGCCTATTTTTGTATAATGTTTGCAGTTAATTTTCTTCTAGAAAACTTGGAATTTTTTTTCTTTCCTGAGGAAAATCTATAGGTTGTTAGTGAATTTTCTGGTACTAATGGCCTCAAGTTCCTCTCTGTCGCCTGCCTTATAGACATGCTGTCTTTCATTTATGCAGATGGCACAGACAACCCACTATCAGTAGGATATTGAATCAATTAATGACATATAATTGAGGAATAACAGATTGAGGTTAGTGGTGCAGTCTGCAAGTAGAGAACAGAGTTTTCTCAGTCACAAGTATACTGGCTCATATGAAAATTAAATATGTGACCTTGGCTTTAGTAGCACCAGGATCTAATTGAGTTAGCCATCTCTGTCACACAATGTCATAAAAATAACTAATATTCTTGTCATTATCACCCCATGATATCTATTAATGTTATAAATCTCTAAATTTCCTTATTCAAATAATATTGTTTCTAGAATGACATTCCTGATGATATTTTGACTAATTATTGCCCTGGAACTGGTTATAAACTTTTTAAAATTATAATTATTAATTATAACTATAAATTAAAAGTTATAATTTAAACAGCCACCTGCCTGATTAAAAGATAGTCACAGAAAGCATTTGTAAATTCGAGCTCATAAGAGGTAATGCATAATGATTGCTTGTTGTTAGAATAATAGCAATCACAAGTTGTGCTTTATGGAGACAAGCTGTCCTCATCTTACTCATTGAAGTTCAGAAACCAATGAAGAAATAATACATAGTCGTCACCATTAATCTTAACACATACAGGTCATCTAGCCAGAATACTTTTTTTTCCCCTACAGGAAGGCCAATTCAAAAGAGAGAGAATCTAGAAAGGGCAGAGGCAAAGCAGCTCAGTTTCTTCACTCACTCTTACCAAGAGCAAAGGACAAGGAAGGAATTGGGGAGTGTTTCTCCTCCTGAATTTTCTTAACAAGGAAACCTGGAGAAGAGAGGATCTTTGTGTGCAAACCTCATACTTCCTGTCTCATAGCAGATGTAGAGCATGTATGATGATATGCTGAGCAGTTTATATCGGGGCCTCATTTCATCTTCCAAATGTGTCCTGAGTCAGATATAATCTTCAGAGTGGAAGAGTGATAGGACCTTGAAGAAGCTAGTTAACTTTCTCAAGGTTACAGCGATAGGAAGTGGGAGATCACAATTTTGAATTCAGGGCTCTCTGATTCCAAAGTCTATATTTTTTGTTTCTGTAATTTACTGCAAATATGTTATTATACATAATAACAGCAGCTGGATGCCAGTAGATATAAAAACATCCTTCTCTTTTTTTTGAATGGTTTTATAACTCCATATTTGCAGAAATGTTTTATGCTGTTAATAAGCTTTATAAATAGAATTTCCAGCAGGACCAGGAGTCCCTATCCCAACTTCGCTTTCCTTACTGTATTTTCACTTTTTCACATGCAAAAGATCTGGAGAAGGTCTAGGAAGCAGATGTTAGAGAAAATATGTTCTATTTCTCCCACTGCTCAGTACTGCTCCAAATGCTTATTCTATATGCATTGTGATATAGTTTGGCCAATTGCCTCTTTGGAATCTCATGTTGAAATTTGATCCCCAACGTTGGAGATGGGGCCTGATGGGAGGTGTTTGGGTCATGGAGACAGATCCCTCATGAAAGGTATGGTGCCGTCCTCTCAGTGATGAGTGTGTTCTTGCTCTGCTAGTTCCTGGGAGTACTGATTGTTTAAAGAGAGCCTAGCATCTCCCTCTCCTCTCTTTCTTCCTTCCTCTCTTGCCATGTGGTCTGCATACTCCAGCTCCCCATCATCTTCTGCCATAAGTGGAAACAGCCCGAGTCCCTCACCAGAAGTATAAGCAGGTGCCATGCTTCTTGTACAGCCTGCAAGACTATGAGCCAGATAAATCTCTTAAAATAATACCCTGCCTTAGGAATTCCTTTATAGCAACAGACAGACTAAGACATATATAAAAGTCTCTCTCTCTGTCTCTCTTGATCTATCCATCTATAGCTTTTAAACATATATTTGGCCAGAGCTTAACTTTTGTAACAAGTAACATTTCTCAACATGTGTGCCATTGCTTGTATCCATTTTAGCTGGTAATTTGAGCAATGTAGAGTTCCTTAGATAGCAACAATCTAAAGAGTCTGTCATTAGGTGATCTTGCCATTGGTTTTTCAACTAAAGTTGCACATTTGTATAAGTCTCATATGGTCACTGATCTTGTGTCCTCATGGTAAAAGTTAAGTGGAATGCATCATGCAACTTGATCTTCTGTATCTGAAAATAATGTGTATTTTACCTCTCCCTGCACACCTTCAGATGTTTTCTCTGTCTTAAATACATTTCCCCTTTTGTGGGTCCAGAAAAGCATAAATATTAAGTTTAATTCCCTTTCCCACTTCACATTGTATTCCTCCTATTAGCTGCAACTATATGTAATACAGTATTCTATTTTTGGACTTCCTTCTATTTTTCTTGTTAACTATCTACTAAATTTAAGGGTTACATCTGAATTATTTCTCTATATCCTGCACATTTATTCTAGAATATTTCTTGATATAAAGTAGATATAATACATATTAACAAAATGAATACCACTGCAAACTTATCTGGATCCATCATTCATTTAAGTATTTTAAATACATGATTTTACCAAAAACACAAAATGTTACACAATAACAGTCACAATAAATTCACACAAATTTGAAATAATGATATAGTTCTTAAATTACAGTTGTTCATACTTTTTTTCTGTCACAGGCACACAAAATTTAGGTACTGCAATAAAAGGTTCTGATTTTTTAAATAATTGTACTCTATGTTCTATCATCAGCTAAATAATATTTGATCAAATTTCTTTCTTTTCCTTGAGCAGGTGCACACTCTGCATCTGCACTGTTTTATTACCATCTTTTTGAGGAAGTGCTCCTTCAACATTAAGTCTTTTTAGTCTATGGAAAATGAGCTATTAAATTACATAGGTGTCTTTCCATCTCTCCAAGTTAGAGTTAACCATTTTCAACAAGCTGCCTCATCTTCCATGATACCCTCAATATTTTATTTTGGCAACATATAATTATTTACTATGTTTCTCTGTGGATCATTATCATTTTATTTCCTACTCAGTTATAATGCTGACATTGCCTAAATAGCATAATCTTTATCCTTTTGTTGTTTAGCCTTAACAAATAATATGTTAATCAATTTTAGTGGGCTTTATTCAAATATAGCCTACTGACAATCTTCCTCACCATAATTATATAGTGATATCATATGATATTCTGATAGAACAAAAAATACAACATAACATGACTAACCTATGTATTTTCACTGACTTCTAGAAGAACCTTGCCAAAATGATTTCTTTGCTTTATCTTCGTTTGTCAATACTCTTCCTGTTTTAGGGTGATGATTCACAAATTTCCGGTACTTAATTATTCTGCATTCTACATCATTGCACCCTGAAAGTTTCCCTTTGAAGAAGACTGAAGTCAAGTTCAGCAATATGTATTTGTATTATTCATCTCTGGTGATACTGCTCTTGTAAGAACATTACAAGAAGCTTAAAGTGAAGCTTACAAGAAGCTTAAAAAGTGAAGCTTAAAGCAAATTATGGATTATAATTCATAATTTAGATGAAGTTGTTGTAATTTGATAATTGATTTTACCCCAAAACAAGATGTTTGCTGTTCCCCCACCAAACACTGTGGTAGTCCTAGCCAAAATCATTCCTTGTTAAAAAGTTACAGCAAATTGAATTCTGTACCATTCTGCCTGTATAACCACAAAGCAATTCTGTATAGTCACAAAATCAAGAGGACTGAAATATTTCTCTGGGTTATGGAAGTGAAATTGTATTTTAAAGGACTCTCCAAAAGATAGTATAGCATTCACTAGGTAGCAAGTGGGACATTTTATTTGCCATCTGCTAAATATATTTGCACACGTGTGCCTGTGTGTGTAGTACATATAAATTTAATGTATGTAAATCACATAGCACTACTTCACTAGTGTATAGTAGTTACGAGTGAGTACTCTCAGATAAGACTCCCTATATTTCTCTGTTCCACTGCTTATTAAATTTATAACCTTGAGCAAATTATTTTATATCTGTCCTATTTTCTTCATATTTAAAATGCAGAAAATAATATGCAGAAAATAATTCTTCATATCATTTTTATAACATTTCACAAGGTAATACAGTTAAAGCAAACCTTTAAACACTGCTAGCTCTTACTAAGGCAGAGGGGATATAAAGATTAAAGCATACAATTTCTAGCCTCCATGACTTAAAAATCTAGATCTGCTTGTTTAAACTGAAAATAAAAATTTAGAGGTATATCCTTAAAAATGAATAATATAATTGATACAAAATGGCAATATTAAACCCCTTTTCATGCCCTATCTGCTAATAGTCTTTCTTCCAAATACTTGTCTTTTAAACCAAGCACTTCGGCAAAGCCATGTGAAATCCTGAAGTATTCACAATATAAAAGCTTGAAGGGTGGTTTCATCAGTCTATTAGCACCACTGGCTAATATGTTCACAGGTAAGTTTTATGTTTTTTCTGTGTTAAGTAACACGTAATATGTTGGGTTTTAATGTCTTATATTATGGTCTGTATAAACATATTTATTCCATGAAGAAATGGGCCGATATCACTATATAACAAATTCCAGGCTGGCTATCCTCAAAGGCAGAACCTGATGAGAAACGGGAGAGCTATAAGAATAAGTACTTTGTTGTGTTAACTAGCTTGCTGAGTCAGATGAGGAAAGGTGGGAAGAAAAATGAGAACATGACTTTATGCCCAAGCCTGGCTCCCACAAGTAGGGAAACTTTGTCAATGTCAAAAAACAGAAAGAAATTAGGGTGTTTCTGAAGGAAAAAGATTGGTATTTTTCAGGATATTTTTCTGACAGTTTATGACAAGTTCAGCATGCTTTCTTGTAAAAATTATAACATGTCCTGCTCATTATTAAACTAGCTCTTTTCTTGTAGGTTTAGGAAACCTATATACAGATATCACCATTTTAAAGCTAAGGAAACACAAGGGACAGTCTGTTAACTTTCTGGCATTTTCAAATTCCCATGAATTTCATACTTTTGAGCATGATTTTTCTTTTCAGAAGAATATGACACAGAACAGTTGCACATTGTTTCACATTGGCCTCTGGCCTTTTCTTTTCCTTTGTGGAACTCCAAATCCCTGTGTTGAGGATGCTTATCATGCAATGGGAACTTTGGTTAACAGGAAGTACTTTACTGGCAGGGTACCTTAGCTCACACCTGTAATCCCATCCCGGGCATGGTGGCATGTGCCTGTAGTCCCAGCTACTAGGACAGCTGAGGGGGAGTATCAGTTGAGCCCAGGAGGTTGAGGCTGCAGTGAGCCGTGATGGTGTCACTGCACTCCAGCCTGGGCAATAGAACGAGACCCTTTCTCCAAAAAAACACAAAAAAACAAAAAAAGTACTCTGCCCTCTGCCTACCGGCTTGTTACCTATAATCATCTGAGATTTGGGTATGTGTTTCTAATGATCTTGTTCTGTAATAATTAATATGATTTTTCTACTGACTATTGTGAAATGAACAAGCACATCTGCTTTAGTACATCTTTTTTGTTATGTCAGAGTGAAACTCTTAGGATCTTTGCTTTACAGCATTAAAAGAGATGATTCTTCTCAGTCTCATCACTTTCTTAGTGACAAAAGTAAATTCCTTTGAGTTTAAAAAATTACAGAGTCTTATCAGTTGGTGATATGAAAGAAAAACCAAAGAAGTCCTGATTTGTTGCAAAGTAATGATCTGATAATATTATTCGTTTCTTAGAATCTGCAATGCATTATTGGAAAGTTAGGAATTTATGACCATTGCCAGATGAGAAATAAGAAGCCAGAGACAAGACATATAATTCCTAGGACATGGGAGAAGAGTTATTAATTAGCTGCGATGTAACATCAGGGTGTAATTGCGAGGTAGACCAATAATACAGGGTCCAAAAGGTATTCATATTTAAAACATAGTTCAGGACCTTGCCAATAAATGGCATTTTCCCAGCAATCATAGACTCTATGGTCTCAAGGTAAGAAATGGACAGAAATTCATGTCTTGAAGGTCCTTAGGAGTTTTGACTAATTCACATTTACATTAAAAGAACAGTTGGTGTGACATATAAAATATTTTACAAAAGATCACAACATTTATGCCCTATAGAAAGGAAGCAAAAAGAGAAGGGGAAAAAAGAATGTAGGTTTTTATTGTAAAGTTAAACAACAATCAAAACTATATTATTCAGACAAAATGGTAGACTTCTCTTTCTTGTTGTAAATGGCAAAGATAACTGTGTTATTTTTGTATCCCTCTTTTTAAGTCAAGCTAACACATAATATTTTGTTTGAGGCAGAAAGAATGCTTTCATTAGCATTCTAAGTGCAATTATTAGTCATTCCAAACATGGAGAAACCATTAAGTGTGTGGTATTACAAACAGCAGAAGATAGATATGGAAAATATTATGATGATTATTCTCTAGTTTGTGGATTTCCAAGTTATTAGTAGAGACTTAATTCTAAGAGAATGTTAGAGTAATAAGTATATTAACAGAATAACAATGTGGGATGATTTAATGGAGACATTTCAGGAGGTATATGGGTACCAAATGGTTGTCACTGAGCCACACAATCCGATTGTCAATGAGTTTTATTCATTTTAAATTTGTGTAGATGCTAAGCAGAAGCTTATTATCTGTGTAGGCCTCAAGAATTACAATTGTAGAGAATTCTGAACTTTGTGTGGGTTTCCTATTAGATTTGCTTGAGGGGAAATGATAAAGTCCCATAAATTTTATATATGTCAGCATAATAAAAAGTCATTCATTTTCAGATGAATTATAAAAATATGAAAAATGCCAAATTACAATAAGCACCCCTAGCTTTTCTCAGCGTGCATGCCCACTCATTCAAGGGCATCTTTCTATCTATCATATATGTGACCTTATTTGCAAAGAGGAGGAGGCTTTGTTGGTTGACCTCGATCTCCACCCGGTACAATATTACATTGGGGGAATACTTATTCTCCCCTAAATGGAAACTTTTAGTGTAAACTAGCTCTCAGACATGGTAGAAGATTAACTCTCTTTTTGTTTGCTTTCGGGTACAGGTGTTACAATGATTCCCTTATTGTTTATGTCAATTTGTACATCTTTTTGCAAAATCAAAACACAAAAAGTATGACACAAGACCTCAAAGTTACAATTCCATCTTTTCAGTAACTTGTTATGCAAATTTAGTAAATCATTTGTTCATGAAATCTTTCTCATCTTAGAAGAAATAACTGTCACTTTCCTACATTCTTACTGACATTGTAAAGAATTAATTACTAACGACTACAAAGCACTTCCCAAACATAAAGCAACAGATATTCTTTAAAATAAAAAGCATTTTTTTGTAATGCAATTTATGCTGCCTATTTGTATTTGGTGAAAATGTTCATTTATTTATTATATATTTTAAAGAAAGTGAAATATTTTACCGGGGAAAAATAAACATCACCAACAAAGAAATAGTTAAAAGCTCCCAGGTAGAGTTCTCGCTTTTATCCATTTGTGTACAGACTGAATGCAAAAGTCCACACTTTCAGTTAGTGATTTTCATAACACTGACACATAAATGAAAGTAGTTAGAGCTCACATCTTGTGCGTATTTGACAAGCTCTAACAGAACTGTTTGCAAAATTTTATTGAAATCTCTGCTTTCATTTATCTTTGTTAGCACAAGCCTCAGAAATCAGTGGTATGGAATTCTTGTATAATTTAACTCTAAGATAATTAAATGTGCAGGTGTTCAGAGAATAGCCTATTTTTCTATGTAAATAAAATATTGTAGAAGAAAATATATTACTTTATTACCTTATGGAAGAATATTCAGTTGGTTTGATTTGTTTCTAAGAGAATAAACAAAACAATATATTGCAAAGAAGGGGATGATAAACCAAGAAACAAAAATGCAATTAGTTACTAGTTATCTCTTGAAGTTGATTAAGTAAACAAGCTAAAATTGCTTAAACAGCTACAATAAGGACTTTTAGAATTACAGCATTTGTTAAGGTTGCTATATTAAACAAAGAAATGTGCACTTAAACTATATTTTAAAAATTTTCATTTGTGGGCATACCCCTCCTTGCTATGCACCACAATAAACCCACAATACACACATTCACAATTCAGAAAGTAAGAGTAATTTAGGAAAGTTAGTCCGTATAAAAACTTCCAGTTTTTCACTTTCCTCTCCACTCTTTAGGCTGGGCTTCATGTAAACTTTCCTAGACAAATGGGTTTCCAGTGCATTTTGAAAGGTCTATAGAGGAATAAATTAAGTACTTTCCATTTTAATGCCTTACAGTCCTGATGGAAGTTCTTTCTTTTAGCTAGCCTAAATGCTTTATACAACATTTCAAGCTCACTTATTCTTGTTCTGCCCTCTGTGGCATCAGAGTACCGATCAGCACCTTCTAAGTAATAATCCTTCATGTAATTGAAAACCAACTTGTTTCCCCAGCCTATTTTCCAACTTAAATAATATTAGTTCCCTTAACCTTTCCTCTGAGATTCTATTTTCCAAGCTATTAATCATGTTTATTGCTTGTCCTTAAACCTTCTTCAAGTTTTCCAAGGTCTTTTTAACTTAGTGAGTCCAGGTCTGTGCACAGCACTGTGATTATGCTTGGAGAATTACTTCTCACAGTGTATGCATTGTTCTGTTTATGTGTTCAGGAAGTTGGAATTGTTAATTCACCTTTAAAATGTGACTCTTAGACTACTGTAGTTGTTACTGTTGTCTTACTCCTACCAAATCCATCCTCTCCCATATTATAATCACGTGGTTCACTTCACTTCTAAGTACACTGCTTCTGCATTTTAAAAATCCTGAACATTTCCAACTTGTGAAAAAATACTATGCATTTTATGTTTTTTTTGTTCAAAATGAAGTCATTCTAATCACCCCATTTAACTTAGTATCTGTTTGTTTGCTTTTTCTCAAATTATAAGTGTGTTTGAGAGTTTAAAGTACATATACAATGTTTATATCAAGTGGCAGTGGTACCAAATTAAAACTAGATCATAACATCTGTTAGAGGCTTTCTATTTCATGTGTTATTCAGATTTTATGTGTGATTCATTTTAAAATGAAATAAAATATAAAACATGTACATTCATTTCTTGTACATCTTTAATCACCAAAATGTTTTTTACTCACAATTTCATCATTGCCACCTTCCATAAAATTGCATTCTACAAATTTTAGTTGTATTTTAGATTTTCCTCACTCCCGCAATGTAACATATTTAGCTTCCATTAATAGAGCACTCTAACACCCTGATTCCAATCTTTCTTACATTCTTCTTTCCACTTTTTTAACATAAGAACAATAGGAAACATAATTTAATTTCATTTTCATTTCCTTCATCTGATTCTGCAGACATTTTTACTATGGCTCACTTTTTACTTTTCATTCAATTCCGTATGCCACAATAAAATTCACATGCATTAAACCAATATAAGGAAAACAAATTTTTTTCTATCAATACATTTTAAAATATAAATAGGCTATCTGTGCATTTTTACATACACATCTACATAATGCAATACATCATTTAAAAATGAGTCACACATTGTTCATTTTTTCTATAATGCCTAATTCTGAAACTGCTTAAAAGCCCATTTGCTTTGTGAAAAAGAAAAGTTATCATCTTTTAACAATTTAGAGGTATTAAAATGATTAGGTATTGTCCCTTTCTTGCCATTGACAAAAATCTACTGTGATTCTGATTCCTTAAGTTAACATCCTATACTATTTTCCTGAAAAAGAAATAGGTTAATTGAAGACTTGTTACAATGTATATCCCTCCCTTTACTGTCCTTATTCTAAACAGTGCAAACATTTTGGAATTTATATGGACTAGAGTTTCCTCTGAATTTCTCTCCAGTTATGCTGAATCCTCCAATTTTTGCTTTGGCTTTCATTTATAAATTGATCTCATCTTTGTTTGCCTGTTGTTTGGAGCATTTTCTCTTAACATGGTTTCAAACCTATAAGGAATATGAAATGCTTCAAACCAAAATATAAATGCATGAAATCACAAGCTAGGAGCCACAATTCACAAGTTCATTTCATCTTTACAATAATTGCTGATATCATTAAGAAATTAACCATGATGTTTAAATAGATTATCTTATGGCATATTTACATCACCATGATTATCATTATCATCATCCTTGTTTTACCCAGGCATTAAGTACAGGCGATCCCCAACCTATGATGGTTTGACTTAATAATTTTTTGACTTAACAATCATGAGAAAGCAATACACAATTCAGTAGAAACCATATTTTGAGTACTCATACAATCATTGCATTTTTTACTTTCAGTACAGTATTCAATATATCACATTAGATATTTAATAGTTTATTATAAAATAGGCTTTGTGTCAAATGATTATTGCCCAACTGCAGGGCAATGTAAATATTCTCTGAGCACCTTCAAGGTAGGCTAGGCTAAGCTATGTTTGTTAGGTTAGGTGTATCAAATATGTTTTCTATTTAAGATATTTTCCAGTTATAATGTGTTTAGCAGGAGGTAACCCCATTGTTAGTTGAGGAGCATCTGTAATTCCATCTCTTGACTATTTACAAAGGTGACAAAGTGAAGCTGGGATTTCATCCCAGGTACTGAAACACCAGAGCCCATGTATTTCCAGTTAAACCACCCAGCAAGTCAGATTTGGTGTTTAAAATGCAATTGATATCAGAATGCATGACTAACTGTTCCAACGCGAGTCATTCAATACATTGCTTATTTATTCTCTTTGGGGAGAAAACGAGAATAAGACTTAATTAATGTTTTTCTGGTACAATTATTTGTTAGTTTTCTAAATGATTTAGCATACTAATAATTTACAGAACATGGCCACATTTGGTGTTGATATTCCTTTTGAATTTGTCCCACAATAATGATGCATTAGAAAGGTGTGACCTCCATTTAAATATTGACTAATTAATGTATTTGATTTTAAACTACATATCATTTGATAAAATAATATTATTTCTTATCTCCAACCATGAGTGTGAAAAAATTATAAAATATCCAGCTTTCAAAATAATGAAATACACATGTACATTATCTATAATTTTAAGGATTTATCAAAAACTTTAAAATACAATATATTCCATTGAATATTTTAATAAACCATTTTACAGTTTAGAACCCCTGAGAATATTCTAATATGGTAGTCCTAAAACTTTCAATCTCACTTTTACCAAAAATTGAATTTCTCTACTTCCCTATCCACATCTAAAACCAGGCTAAACCACTCATGACACACATATTTAAATTCCCATTCTTCATGTCCCAATGAATTATTTTTTGGGAAGAAATTCACGACCTTTTAGTCAATGTTTTAATTTAGAGTATTAGTGTAAGGACTGCTTCGGGATTTGATGTGCACTGGCAAACCTATAGCGAGGCAAACAGAGGTAAATAATGTAATCACAGCAGCAGCTGGGTTTCAGGCATGCCAACAGTAAACCTAGAGCTTCCTAGGCAGCTGGGGCAGGTGTTAGTGATCTAAACGAGGTTGGTGAAAGACTTTTATTACTTTACAATAATTCTGGCAACTAGAGCTATGTTCCTGCCATTCCAGTCCTGGTTCCCACTTCGTTTTCTTCAGTTTTCCAGCAGGTTTTTAAAAGTTTTATATCACCCCCAACAGTTTGACTATCACCTCTCTCTCCAGGCCAGATGAAGGAGTAAATGCACAAAATTGTAGTACTTCATTTTGAAGTGTATGTTGGAAGCATAACCATAATTTAAACATCCTGCCAGTGGTTTTTTTTAATTAACAAAGTGACCCCAGCTATAACTGCAAACTCTACTCTGTTTTGTAATAAAAGGGATGCATTATCGTTTTCACAAACGCTAAATCAAAAAATTGATGGAGTGCCTACAATATAGAAGACATTTTTATAATAACTGTTTAGAAGTAGTCTCCCTGTCTTTAAGGAGCTAAAGACAGTTGGGGAAGCAGGCTATAAACTATACAATAACACTAACAATAGATGTTATCATTTGACCAGTGCCAAATTAACGATATAGGTATCAAGTGCTATTGGGTTTTCAAGGTGACAGAAAGTACACGGAAAAATCACATAAACAGACTGTGTGAATGTGGTAAGGCATGAAGATAATTAGAATTTATATATAGTCAAAATAGGTATAAACATGATTCTATACTATAAACATAACGTGGATTCTTATACTATGTTCACCTTATAGTTCACCTGTAGCAGATGGCCTGTATATGAGAAAAGTAGGATATATTATGGGGGAAAGTAATTCAGCAGTTTTGATGACAGATAACAGTAAGTACAATCATTATAGTAATGCTATTAAAATAGCTAAAATGTAGGTGCTTGCTATGAGCTAAATACCACGTGCTTTCTCCATGCAAAACAGCATCTAGTTTAATTCTCAGAACAAAAGCATACAGCAGGTAGCATGATTATCTAAATCTTATGAGAAAATTCAGGCATTAAAAGAAAGAATAAATAGAAAGAATAAGTCCTTGCATATTTGTCCTTAGCAGTGAAGCTAGGGCTAGAATGCAAATCTCTTTGTTGTTATAGTCTCTGTATTTTGACTTCATTATCAGAGAAACAAGTTAAGACAGGAAAGGCAAGAGGATGGCTAGGAAATACCATAGGAAAGAAATATCAGGTATAGCTTAGTGTAGGAAGAGGTAAAAAGTCATTTGAAATACCTTACATTGTTTCATCTCTCTCCTGCTCTTCTGACACTCTCTCCTTATAGCTCATTCTGGTCTCCTTGTTCTTCCCCAAATATGGTAGTCACCTTAGGGCCACTGTGACAGTAGTTTTTTCTGCCTAGGAAATTCTTCCTTTGGATGTATATATGAACAATAGTTCATATATATATATATACAAGATCTTCTCTCCATCTATTAGAAGATTTAAGTCAATTGTCACTTCTCACTGGGGTCTCCCTTGACAGCTCCATTATTGTAACCTTTTTTTTTCCCCAGGCACTGCTGATCTCCCTTATGGTACTCTGATTTTTCCTTTCACAAAACTGTTACTCTTTTAATATATTATATTATATTATATTATATTATATTATATTGTATTATATTATATTATATTATATTATATTATATTATATTATATTATTTATTTTGAGACAGAGTCTTTCCCTGTCTCCCATGCTGGAGCACAGTGGTGGGATCTCGGCTCACTGCAACCTCCACCTCCCAGGTTCAAGGGACTCTTGTGCCTCAGCCTCCCGAGTAGCTGGGATTAGAGGCATGTGCCAGCACACCCAACTGGTATTTTGTATTTTTAGCAGAGATGGGTTTTCACCATGTTGGCCAGGCTGGTCTCAAATTCCTGGCCTCAAGTGATCTGCCTTCCTCAGCCTCGCAAAGTGCTGGGATTACAAGCGTGAGCCACTGCGCCTAACCTATATAATTTGTTTACTTATTATGTGTATTGATTATTGTCCTTCTCCTTCCTAAAAAATAAACTGAATGGAAATAATATTTTCTATTTTATTCACTTATGTAACCAAGAGCCTAAAAGACTCAAGTATAGAGTAGCTGTTCAATAAATGTTTTGAATTAATAACTATATTACTGAAAATTTATTACACAAATGACAGATGCTCATTCCATAAAAATGAAAAAATGTACAAAGTATAATACAAACATTTAAAACAAGCATAATACCACCAGTGACAAGCTTTAATATTTGATTATAATTTTATGCCTTAATATAATTTGATTATTAAAAGTGATTCTGAATCTATTCAATTTCAAAAATATTACACAATAAAAATAACAACTTCTTATCAAGATTGTTTTTGAGACTATTTCATTAGGAAGGTATATTTATTAGTGTGCATCTTAGCTATTCAATGGTCAATATGACTTTTACACAATTTACAAGGTATTTTATAATATTTATAAGTCTTTAATTTTGAATACAGAATACAATTAAAGGTATGATGATCAGTAAGGTTTTTACATTGAAGATGAAAGCACTGTTTATAAAATTTACCCTCAGTTTTATAAACCCAAGTGTGAGTTTGAAGTTAAAGCTTTCAGTGGATGAGGCAAGAAAGATGAATGTGGAAATGATTCTACTGCTAAAACACTCTAAATGTCCAGATTAGTAAGCTACTGAAATGATAGCCTTTCAATGTTTCCATAGCAATATTCATTTACCTTTAATAATGCATTCATCACCTTGAGTGAAATTTATTATTTATACATCTCTCTGGCTTGTTATTATTTATCTTTAAATCATTAAATCATTTTCCATACTGAAGGGAGTGATATATCGTAAACTCAAAGTTGATTATGTGATATATATTAAGTTGGTGCAAACGTAATTGCAGTTTTTGCCATTAAGAGTAATGGCAAAACCGGATTACTCTTAATGGCAACAACTGCAATTACGTTTGCACCAACCTAATATATACATAGACACATACATACATAATCATTTACAATTTAAACTAAAAGCTGAACTAATAGTAATAAAACACAAAACAATGTAGTTTTATGGAGAAAAACTCATGTATTACACATGTTAATGTTTGTTAATTTAAGATGTTTAATATTATACATGTTAATGTTTGTTAATTGTTAATACGATTTGTTAATTTAAGAAAAGCTAAAATAGGCTTGTGGAATGAAACATCGAGAAAATGTTTTAGATTTTGTGATCAGGTAAAGCCTCTCTGAGCAGATAAAATTGTAGCTGAAAATTGAAGGATGAGAAGAAATCAAACAAAAAGTCTATGGAATAGAGTCCCAAGCCAATGGATCTTACTAAAGGACCTTGGGGTGGAAAACACAGTCCACAAAATACAACTGGAGCTCAATAACAAAGAAGGGAGCAGAGTGAATTGAATTTGATGAGATAGATGGATGCAGCACGACAGGGATTCAGAATCTCTGACAAGAAGTTTGAATTTTATTTTTCATGCAATTAGAAGTCCTTGGATTGGTGTTAGTCATGGATGTTACATAATCTAATTTAGGTTTTAAAAATCAATCTAGCTGCTGTGTGCTACTGGATTTGAGGAGAGGGATGGCTGGATTGGATATACAAGATTGGAAGCACAAACTGATTAAGTATGAATGAGCCAGTCATTGGTTCTAGTCAAGATTTTGAATCTTGAGATTAAAATTGAAAAAATTAGCATATTTTATCTAATTTCTAATACCTCACCATGTGTTTACATGATTTGGAAATTGCTAAATTTTCATGCTTATTGTTTTTACATTCTGAAAAATATAATGTTGACAATTGTATATAAAATGAATAGTAATCTTTTAGGAGCCTTTTAGATCAATTATGTGTTTCTAGAGAATTAAGTGGCAGAGTTTTCTTAAAATGGCTTTCTCATTTGTGAATTAAATAATTCATCTTTTTCTTGGAGAAATAACATCTTCAAATAAACTTTTCAGTAAATTTGTATCACTACATTACTGAGTCATTAAATGGTTTAAAAATATTTTCTACATCCATTGCACTAAAAATTAACTTATTCAGGTACAGGGTCAAGCATGTATCTTTTCCCCTACAGTTATCTGTTAAAGTTGATCTGTAGATTTCTGTTTCCTGGTATTGTTGAGATACTGGGAACTAAAATAATAGCACTTAATTGTTGTCTTTATAGGCAATTTATGTTTCTACCTAGGCTTTTGTAGTTTTTATTTCTCTTTTTCCTTGAAATTTAGTAACTTTACCAGGATATGTCCTACTATCTTCTTATATACTAAAGTTTTGTAGGTCAATGAGCTGTTTTCTTTTGCAGACTAAGAACGGCTTGCTATTCTAAAGATTCTTTTATTACATAAGAGAAGAATTTTGCTGGAGTTGAAGTTTGACTGAACTAAGCAATGACAGCTACTTAAATAATTCCAGTGTTTTGCAGGTATACTGGCTATTTTGTCAGGATCCAAAATAACACTTCAAATTATACATTTGTGCCTAATTTTAAAATGTAAATTTAGAAATAAATGTAAAAACTTCTTTCTCAATTTACATTTTAAAATTAGGAAAATTAATGTATAATTGGAAGTGCTATTTTTGATCCTTATAAAATAGCCCACATGCCTGTAATCCCAGCACTTTGGGAGGCTGATGCAGGTGAATTGCTTGAGTTAAGGAGTTTGAGACCAGCCTGGCCAACATGGTGAAACCCCGTCTCTAATAAAAATTCAAAAAATTAGCTGGTCACGGTGGCACATGCCTGTAGTCCTAGCTACTCAGAAGGCTGGGGCAGGAGAATCACTTGAACCGGGAGGCAGAGGTTGCAGTCAGCCGAGATCATGCCAGTGCACTCCAGCCTGGGCGACAGAGCGAGACTCCGCCAAAAAAAAAAAAGAAAGAAAGAAAGTTACAAATTAAATATCTTTTATATGTTTAAAAAATAAAGAACAACAATGTGCAAATTATCCTATGAGTAAACTATTTCAAATGGGTTGAAGAAAATTTATAAAATGGTAAAATGAGGCCGGGCACAGTGGCTCACGCCTGTAATCCCAGCACTTTGGGAGGTCGAGGCAGGTGGATCACAAGGTCAGGAGTTCAGGACCAGCCTGGCCAACTTCATGAAGCCTTGTCTCTACTAAAAATAGAAAAGCTAGCTGGGCGCGGTGGCAGGCACCTGTGATCTCAGCTGCTTGGGAGGCTGAGGCAGGAGAATTGCTCGAACCCAGATGGCAGAGGTTGCCATGAGCCGAGATAGTGCCACTGCACTCCAGCCTGGGTGACAGAGTGAGACTCCGTTTCAAAAAAAAAAAAGTAAAATGAAAAATAGTAAGCTAAGAAGGTAGAAGTCATTGTGCATATATATCTGTCCAAATATTTTCAGGGTTATGTCATACCTTGTATTTTTTAAAAAATTATTACTATGCATTTTATTTATAATTAAAAAATGTATAAATCATCTTCAGGAATATCATAGTATTGTCTTTGCGAAAATCTGGCTATCTATAATTTTTGGTAAAACAGTGTCTATTTTTTACAACCCTGTTTTGTGGTAGCCATGAAATTAAGCACTAACTCACTAATCCTATGTGTAAGTCATAAAAATTAGGCAATTGCTCAAAATGAAATGAAATATACTGGTGTTTTCTAATTCCTTTTTTGTTATGTTGCCATGGAAATCAGTGGCTCAGTCTATTTGAATGTTTAAAAATAAACTAGATCAGTGAGTTGATGCCTAAAACATTTACTGGATATCAATTATTTACTGATAATTACTGTAAAAAGTGCACATTTCCCTTTGTTCCAGTGTGCTGAAAAAAAACCCTGGTTAGCTAATGACAAGAACTGATAGGTAAGAGATTATACATCCTTTGTAAAGGTCTTAACTGGAACCCTAGACGTCAAGTTCACTTGCTCAAAGATTAAATAACAAATAGAAATTTTTATTCTTAAAATGTCCATTCGTAGTTAGGAACACACTTCTGCTGTTATGATTATTCACAAAATGTTTTACCAAAATTTTTGTAATAGTAGCTCCCATGTTCTTAGCTCATATGTACTGGCAGTTTTCTTTGGCTAAGGTTTCAGGTGGATGCTTTAATTTATTCGCTAAATTATAACAGTTAGGAATATATTCAGCTATGGGTGAAAGTAACTCAAAGTAACTATAACTGTAAGAAGATAGAGAAGTTTATTTCTTTCTCAATGAAAGTCCAGAGGCAGGTAGCCCAGGTCTGCTGTAGTTTTCTGTGGCGGCAAGTACTAAGGATTCTTTTATCTTTGCTCTACTGAGCTATGTTAGGCCATTTCATGGTCCAAGATGGTAGTCTCAGCTTTGACATCTGTGAATTTCATGAACAAGAAGCATAACACTTACCATCTTTCCAGAATATAACCACCTTTCCATATCTACATGCAAAGTAAAGGGGAAATGCAATCTTTAAGCTAAACTGAATCTATTCTACCAAGTATGTAGGACTACATTTCTTTCTTTTTTTTTGGCTTATAAACAATAGAAATTTATTTCTCATGGTTCTAGAGGCTGGAAAGTCCAAGATCAAGGTGCTGGCAGATGAGGTGTCTGTTGAGGGCTCACTTCCTGGCCACTCATAGGGTGGAAGGAGAGCTCTCTGGGGTCTCATTTATGAGTACTAATCCCATTCCTGAGGGCTCCGCCTCATGAGAATCACCTCCCAAAGGCCTTACCTCCTAATCCCATCACCTCAGAAGTTAGGATTTTAACACAGGAATTTTAGGGGGACACAGATATTCAGCCCTTTGAAGATGAGTCTGTGAATTCCATCCATGGCCTCTTGAGTAGCTATTTCTTTTTTTTTTTTTTTTAATTTAAGTTCTGGGATACATGTGCAGAATGTGCAGGTTTGTTACACAGGTATACATGTGCCATGGTGGTTTGCTGCACCTAACTGTAGGGCCGTATTTCTAAAAAAATAATAATAATGTCGAGCAATCGATATTAAGGAGCAAATACTCTCTGGAATAAACCATTGTGAGGCACTAAATATAATTTGGCATCAATCTATTTCTATACATTGCATCCTTCTCAAATGAAAACATCTGTATGGAAGTTTACCCTGTTTCTCTCCTTATGCTTCTATGTCTTGTTTTCAACATCAGTGAACAATCATATTAAAACATACGGTAGATAATACATTTCACTACCTTAAGCTTCCAGTGGCTCCCATCTCATTCAGAATAAAATCCATTCTTTACCATGGTTCTTAAGGCCCGGGTGTCGGCCCTTACTATTTCTCTGACCTCCTACCTCTGAATCTCTTGCTCATTTTTATTTTTATTTATTTATTTTTTACTTTAGCTATTGTGATTCCTTGCCACTTTCTGAATAAGTCAAGAATGCTTCCAAATCAGCGCCATTTCCATTCCTCGAGAGTCAACTTTTGATCGCCCATTCTTGATCCCTTAACTTGCTTCATGTTTTTCTTCACAAAAATATTACCACCCGAAATATAACTATGAATTTATTTTACTGGAATGCAAACTTCATGAGGGCAGGGTTTTGGTTTTATGTATTGTTTTACACCCAGGATTAGAATAGTACCAGACACATAACATTCAGCAATTGGTACATAAAAACTTCAAGTAACTGGTCTAATAAACTTCAACATACCATTACTCAATTTCCATACATTGGTTTGGTCCATTTCGGCTGGTTTGTCAAATGTACAGTCATAGGCTGTTTTTGTGATTGTTTATGACCCATGTGTATTTTTTATTTGTCTTATGCTCAAAGTCTTATTCTTATACTACATCATTAGATTTGCAAAACTACTATTTAGTCTTTTTTTATATTTAACTTTTGATTTACTTGTACTTTCTAAAATTTGTATGTTTATCTTACTTATGTCAGCTTTTATTTTAATTTCTTCCTCTAATTTGTGTTGGCTTATTTGTTCCTACAGTAATTTTATATCATCAATTCTTAATTCTAATATATTTCATTTTTATATAATTAAGATAATATATATGCAGTAAAATTACACAAATCTTAAGCGTATCACTTGTCAAGTATTTCCCGTGTGTGTGTGTGTGTGTGTGTGTAACCACCACCAAGGTCAAAATATGAATCTTTGTTAAAGCCCTAGATGTTACATTCAAAACTCCATGTCACAGAAGTAAACAGTATTCTAACTTCTATTGCCACAGATTACTTTTATCTGTTCTCCAACTTCATAAAAAGAGAATCCTTCCACATGTATTTATCTGCCATTTTTTGCCCATTGCAATTTCTGTAAGAATCATCTAGGTTGTCATAATATGAGGAGTTCCTTCTGTTTTATTGATGGGTAGTATTAAACTGTCTGAATATGCTAGCATTTTTATTTATCTGCTCTTCTGTACATGAACATTTACAGGCATACCTCATTTTATTGTGCTTCATTTTCTTGCATTTTGCAGATATGTTTTTAAAAATTAAAGATTTGTGGCAACCCTGAATACAGCAAATGTTTCAACAGCATTTTTCCAACAGCATGTGCTCACTTTACATTCTTCTGTTACATTTTGGTAATTCTCACAATATTTCAATTTTTTGACTGTCATTACATCTGTTAGGGTGCTCTGGGATTACTGAATTTTAATCTTACTATTGTAATTCTTTGGGGGCACCATGAATAGTGCCCATATGAGATGTTGAAGTTAATTGATAAATGCTGGGTGTGTTCTATCTTCTCCACCAACTGGCTGGCTGTTCCCCAGTCTCCCTTCTCCTCAGTCCTCCTTATTCCCTGAAACACAACAATATTCAAATAAGGCCAATTAATAACCCTACACCAAGGTCTCTAAGAGTTCAAGTGAAAGGAAGAGGTGCACGTCTCTCACTTTAAATAAAAATCTAGAAATGATTATGCTTCGTGAGGAAGTCATGTTGGAAGCTGAGATAGGCCAAAAACTATGCATCTTGCACCGAACACTTAGCCAAGTTGTGAATGCAAAGGAAAAGTTCTGAGGGAAACTGAAAGTTCTACTCCAGTGAACATATGAGTGATAAGAAAGCAAAACAGCCTTATTTTACTGATAAACAGAGAAAAATTTAGTGGTCTGGATACAAAAAAAATCAACCACAAAGCCTCACATTAAGCCAAAGCCTAATCCAAAGCAAGGCCCTACTCTTCAATTCTATGAAGGCTGAGAGAGGTGAGGAAGCTGCAGAAGAAAAGTTAGAAGCTAACAGAGGCTGGTTCATGAGGTTTATGGGAAGAGCTATCTCCATCACATTAAAGTGCAAGGTGAAGCAGCAAGTGCTGACGTAGGAGCTGCAGCAAGTTATCCAGAAAATCTAGCTAAGATTATTATTGAAGGTGGTTACATTAAACAGATTTTCAGTGGTGATAAAACAGCCTTCTATTGGGAAAAGATACCATCTAGGACTTTCATAGTAGAGAGAAGTCAATGCCTGGCTTCAATGCTTCAAAGGACAGGCTGACTCTCTAGTTAGAGGCTAAAGCAGCTGGTGACTGCTTTAGCAGTTGAAGCCACCACTTCAATTGTTTTTTTAAGACATAATATGAGTACACACTTAATAGACTAGATGTTTGCACTCTAGTACAGTGCAAACATAACTTCTACATGCACTGGGAAACCAAAGAATTTATGTCACTCACTTTATTATGATATTTGCTTTATTGTGGTGGTCTGAAACTGAACCCAAAATATCTCTGAGGTATGCCTGTGTGTTGTTTCAATTTTGGGCTGTTATTAATAAAGCTGAGAGTCTTGTGTATGTCTTTTGTTGGAGTTGTTTACTCATTTCTCTTGGGTACACACATAGGAGGAGAATTTCAAGGTTATTGGGGAAGTATATATTTATTTTAGGCGATCTTGCCAAACAATTTTTCTAAATAATTGTTCTAATTTACACTCCCACTAGCAATGTCGGAGGGTTCCAACTGTTCCACATACTTCTCAACACCTCCTATTTTCAGTCTTTTCTGAATTTTAGCAATTCCAGTTGGTATATAGTAATATCTCATTGTGATTTTCATTTTCATTTTTCTGATGCATAATTATGTTGGCCAATTTTTCAAATGTTTATTTTCAAAGAACAGTTTTAAAGCTACACATTATCTTAAAGTATTTTTGCTGTGTCTAACAAATTTTGATAGTGAAGCATTGTTTTCATTGACTTCAAGTAGTTAGTGACCTTTAATTTATTCTTTGACCTAAAAGTTAACATTGTCTCAATGTATAGATAAGCATTTGGACTTAATTTTTAATTATTTATTTTCAATTGTATTGGCTTATGATAAGATACATTGATGGTAAATTGTCTTAAAAAATTAAAGTTTTGATGTAGCCAAGCACATAACATTTTTGTATATGTTTCTTAGATATAGGAAAATATTTAATTGAGGGGCATAAGGCTCTCCATACAGCTATTATATAACATGTCTATTGATTGTAATTTTAATCTACTAGACTAATTCTGAAAAATATGTATTATAATATTTCATTGAGTATAATTTTATTTATGTTTCCCCCACATTTCTTTCTTTCTTTTTTTTTTTTTTTTTTTTTGAGACAAGGCCTTGCTCTGTCACCCAGTCTGGATTGCAGTGGCGCAAACACAGCTCACCGCAGCCTTGACCTCCTGGGCTCAAGCGACCTCCCTGCCTCAGCTTCACATATATATAGTTGGGACCACAGGCATGTGCCACCATGCCCAGCTAATTTTTTAGAATTATTTTTCTAGAGATGGGATTTCACTCTGTTGTCCAGTCTGGTCTTGAACTCCTAGTCTCAAGTTATTCTCCCGTGTAGGCCTCTTGAAGTGTTGTGATTACAGGCATGAGCCACCACACCCAGCCCACATTTCTAACAGTTTCTCTTTAATATGCTTAGCTCACATAAGCCATACAAATTCATGATTATAATATTTTTCATCAATTTTGCTTTTTACTATTATATAATTCCTCAATTACCCTGTTTCATTCTGCATACCTCAAATCCCACTTTCTCTAATGTGATTAATGATACTTTGATTTCTTTTGATTTGCTTTTTCTTGATACTCCTTGCACATATCACTTTATTCAACTTTCTCTGATACTTTAAGTATGTATCTTATAATCAGAAAATTGAAAACTTTTACTTTTTTGCTACTATATTATTTGTGGCTAATGATCTGTTTTATTTTATTTCTTCCCTTTTGCTTATGTATGCTTATCAAGTTAAGTTATTTTGCCTCGTTTTCTTCATCTCCAATTTTGTTAGTGTGATGGGGTTGACACTTTTTGCCTTTTTCACTTCTGTCTACTCCAGTTTTCTGTTCCTTTAATTAGCATCCTCTTACTTATTCCCCTAATTAGATATGAATCACTAATGTTATTTATTTTAAAATAGGTAATTGTCTTGTAACTGAAATGCACTTTTCCTCAACCATGGGATTTTAATTCATTTCTTCCCCAGGAGAAGGACATGATCTTTAGAATCATTTTATTTTCTCTTCTATAATACACTACTTTTTCTCCATTTTCCCATAGTACATTTAGAATATTACATTTACTTTACTTCATCCTACTTAACTTTAATTTTCTAGCATTTCTTTCCTTTCCTAATCATTAGAGAAATTGTCTTAATCTATGACCCTTCTGATTCAGGAATCCTTTAATATTAGTGTTTCATGGTCCTAAGGAGGCTATCTTTATCCATTGTACAGCTAGATATCAAGGTTAACTTTTAACCACTATTTTCTCTGCTGTTTATCTTTCCCCATATTTAGGTTTCTGTTTTAGTTTCTTCACCATTTTAGGAGGAGATTTTCATCGAGTTTGTGATTGATAATGTTTCTCAGTTTTTCAGTATCCTCATATATCTTTTTTCTCCCATGATAGATACGGTATTGTTGAGGTGAAGTCTTCATATTTCATTTCTCTGGAAATGTTGGTTTATTATTGTCTAACTTCTACTTTTCCAAATGAGGAGCTCAATTCTAGTCTATCAATTATTTTATGACTTCTTGAATTTCAGACCTACGTTTTAAAAATCAGTAAGGTTGGAATTTACTATTTCATTAAAATCAAGAAAAAAAAAAAAACCTAAAGTCTCTGTGCTCCTATAGGTTGAGGGTAGGGCATCAGATACCTCATGCAATACCCAGAGAAGTCATCTCTTATCTTTAACATAATGTACTAACCCATTCAGGTAATTTTTAAAAGTCAACCATTCAGTTATTTCCTGACTTATTTTAAAGTGAGGTTCAGCAACATATTCATTCATGTTGAAGTTTTCTTTGGACTTAAGTACTTAGACCTTTGACTACTATAAGCTCTTTCTTGGCTCTTCTGCCCTCAGTTCTGCCCCTACTTTCTATATGTTTTTCCAAGACTACTGCTATGATTTGGATATGGTTTGTTTGTCCCTACCAAAGCTCATGTTGAAATTTAGTCCCCAGTGTGCAGGTGTTGGAAACTTGGACCTAGTTGAATGTGTTTGAATCATGGGGATGAATCCTTTAGGAATTGCTTGGTGCTGTTCTTTCAGTAGTGAGTTTTCACTCTGGAAAAACGGAATTTGTTCTCAGGAGAATGGATGAGTACCCTTCTAAGTGAGTTGTTATAGAGTCAGGGTGCCCTTTGGGTTTTGACTCTATTTGCAAATGTCTGCATCCCCTTTGACTTTCTCCACCATGTTATGATGAAGCATGAAAGCCATTGCCAGAAGCCAGGGCCATGGCCTTGAACTTCCCAGCCTGCAGAACTGTATTTTTCCTGGTAAATTATCCAGCCTCAGGTATTCTATTACAGCAACAAAAAATGAACTAAGACAACTGCTGAGGAGAAACCTCTCTGGAAACGTAATCACGGTATTACCACTGCCAAGTTATTTATCAGGATTAGAAGATCCTGGCTACACTGAGGGAAGCAGGTTATACCTGGAATCGGAGGGTAAAGAAGAGATACCCAGATTATCATATTATCAGAATTCCCCATCAAAAACTGATCTTTTGTTAACAGCAAGATGATGGGGTTAAACTAGCTATGGCTTTTCCTTCCTCATACAGATTTATTAAAAAATAAATAAATTATAAAATTGTTTATAATGAAAATATTTACTTTAAATTGATTGAAGTTATATGAAAATAATTTATTCCACACAATAAACCTCCTCATTGAATAATGAAAATGATTAAATTTTAGTTGAATGTGTGGATATAAAAATAAAAATAAATTTAATTGTTAAACATTGAGAGGGTACACTGATGTTATAAATCACAATGACTTTTACAAGTGAACTTTTGAGCAAAGAAAGGTTAACCTAATTATTCTGTTCTAGCAGGTTTATTTATTGGTTTATTTATCTAAAAAATAAAGTAGTTTACTAGGAAATCTAATTAAGAAAAATTTATGGATGTCATGAAAATATAGTAGTGTTAAGAATACAATTACAAAGATATATTTGAAAATATGACCTAAAAGATAAAAAAAAGACAAAGATGGCTGAAATTATTTCAGCAACATAGAAGTGATTTTTTTTAACTATATGATGGAATCTCATGAATTGTCTATAATTCAATCATTTTTGACCTTCAAAGACGGCAACTTCACATGGTTCAACTTAATATAAAATACATCCTTAGGGAGAATTCTGCCAGACACACTACAGCTTGATTATATATGATGGAAGAGACACAAAACTCATAGAGACAACCACATATTTTGAGGAGGTTAACAAAATACGTATTATCAGATATTTCATAACACAAAAGCTCTTTTGTAATTTCTTAAATGTATTAGCATGATTACTTGTTTAAAACCATTTTTTAAGAAAATTCTATCTTTTCATAATTCTTGTGTTTTTGAGAATGTATTTCTTATATTTTACTCTTAAAACATGAAGAATATCATTTTCCTCAAAAATACGTAGATAACGTCTTTTTTAAATTTCCTGTCAGGCTAATTTTACAGACAAGATGACATTTTATAGGATTTTTTAAATCCCTATACATCAGTATTTTGTTAGAATATATTTTAATCAATATACTCTGTAATTTTTTCTTATATATTGAATTATTTTATCTAAAGTGTCAAGAATCCTATGATTTCAGGAATGTTTACATTTTTGAAAGTCTTTTATTCTGTACCATCTTTTCCTATTTCCTTCAGAGATACTAATTATCTTTCACTGAATCTTAGCTGTCTCTATGCCATAATTATCATCTTCTCACTAAATCCTTTTAGCCAATATACGAAGAGGATTAGTTGGAATTGACTAAGCAGAGGTAGGAAGAAAGAAAGTAAATTCCACACAGTGAGGGGTTGAGTCAAAGACTCAGAAATGGGAAGGATTATTTCACATTCACAAGTTCTACCTATGGAATCCTATGTAGCCATGAAGAAGAATGAGCTCATGTCCTTTACAGGGACATGGATGGAGCTGGAGGCCGTTATCCTTAGCAAACTAACACAGTAACAGAAAACCAAATACCACATGTTCTCACTTATTAGTGGGAGCTAAATGATGAGAATGCATGGATACACAAGAGAAACAACACACACTGGGGCCTTTTGGAGGGTGAAGGGTGGGAGGAGGGAGAGGATTGGGAAAAATAACTAATGGATACTAGGCTTAATACCTGGGTGATGAAATAATCTGTACAACACAACCCCATGACACAAGTTTACTTTTGTAACAAACCTGCACTTGTACCCCTGAACTTGAAAGTTAACTAAAAAAAAGAAAGAAGAAAAGAAAGAAAGGAAGAAAGAAAGAAAGAAAGAGAAGAAGAGAAGAGAAGAGAAGAGAAGATTCACCATGAGGCTAGTGTAGCTAGAATATAGAGATTAAGTGGGAGAGTAACAATTAAGGTGCTGGAAAAAACGAGATATTTGGGGCCATCATCACAAGCTTAAATTTTATTCTGAAACTAATGAGAAATAATTATTATTGGTGGTGGGGAGGTGATCTAATTTTTTAAAATATATCGCTCAAGCTGAAGTGTTAAAAATAATGTTGATATAGGTGGACAACTAGAGTATTTAGGAGTTTATTGAAGCAGTGTAATAAGAATCAGCAGAATATAGACATAAAATATAGCACAGAATAGCACAATAACATTAATGCTATTTTCCAGCAGACATCAGATATCCAAAGTCATAGTAAAACATATATTTGATTTCATTCATGTATGAGATATTGATACATAATTATAATGATAAAACTTACAGAAAGGTTGGTCCATAGGATCTACTCAGGAAAATGAAAGTATATCGAGAAAAAGGTACAAACTGATATAAAAATGGAAGGAATTAAAACAAACTGGAGTTCTCAAAATTTTGAAAATAAGTCACTTAATCATCACCACAACACTGTAAGGTAAGTATAATTTTTGTCTTCAATATATAAATGAGGAAATCAGAAAGAAGTTAAGTCACTTTTTCTAGTTTGTAAGTGTTGAGATGTATGAACCAGGCAGAGGACACATAAAAGAGAAGAAGCGAGAGAAAGCAGGATTGAGCATCAAAATCTTCCTGGAAGAGGTATACAGGAAACACATAGCCATGTCAGACATAAACCACAATAGAATACTCTTGGAGAAGTTTTATTTTCTCTTTTCAATTCTAGCAACTTCCCTTTAATTTCCTTTTGTTTTACTATTATTTGTTTTAATTCATAATTTCATAAGGGCCATGAATTCTAAAATTTCTCTCATAGAGTAAATCAGTAGAATATTTTTCCTTTTGTTTTCTAAGGTAAGTTATTTCTTAAGGTATCCTTTTTGTGGCTTTTTAAAAATACACTATGTTCTTCTTCCATTTTTGTAGAAGTCTCATATTGTGGCTTTCTCTCTGCTCATCTTGACATAAGACTATTTTCCTTAGCATGACTGATACATCCATGAGGAGACATTCATGTAGACCATAAAGTATACAAACATCAGACATCAATATTTGTAAAGATCAATAATGTAATTTATAATGAAATTGCTTTCTTAGCTATTAATGGAAACTATATCATCTTCATATAGCCTTATAACTTATTTATGCTATTCCATTTTTCTCTGTTCCTTTTATTTTCACTTCCCTTGTAATGTTAGTCTCTTCGTATTGATTTCTGAAGAGTTCATTTATGATTAAAGATGTTAAACTTTTGTCTATAATTGCAAATATGTTTTATCTCATTCATTTTACTGTGGTGTTTTATTTTTTGGTTATACAGAAGTTGTATATTGAAATGTAATCTTGTTCTGTCTTATGGCTTTGGAAAACATAAATAAAAGTTAGCTTAACTTACTGTAATTTTTTGACTATAAACTTTCTAAGCTTACAGTCAAAACTGTAACATGGTAGCCATTCTTTGCCATGTTCTCTTTCTCCCAATTTCTGTGGCTATGAAGACATAAACTTGTTATGTTTATATTAAAAAAATTACAGTAAGCCAAGCTAACCTATTATTAAAGAAATTAATAATCCTGACCTCATGTAGACATAGGTCTATATTTTTGTAGTATCGCTTACCTTGAAAACATATACAGCTATACAAAAAAATTAAATGTATATCTTTATTATATAAGCTTTCCATATTTTACATTTTCTTTTATGTTGTAAACCTTTCTTGTAAAAATAAACAAAAAACAAAAAAAGACAAACAAACACATTAGACTATGTCAACATGAGGTCAGGATAATCAATATTACTGTCTGAACCTCCACATCTTGTCCCACTGAAAAGGCTTCAGAGGTAATTACACTCACGGAGTTGTTATTTCCTATGGTAATGATGCTTCTTTCTGTAATACTTCCTGAAAGATCTGCTTGAGGCTATTGTACAGTTTTAACTTTTTTTCCATAAGTAGAAGGGGTAATTCTAATGATAAAAAGTGTAGTATATAAAACACATAAACCAGTAACAGAGTTTATCATTATCTAATACTATGTACTGCACACAATTGCATGTGTACTTTAATATCACTGAAAGAAGAGCAAATTTGTTTACACCATCATCACCACAAACACTAGCAATACATTTTGCTACAATGTTAGGTGGCTTACAATATCACTGGATGATAGAAATTTTTCAGGTCCATTAGAATCTTATGAGGCCAACATCATACATATATGGTCTGTCATTGACCAAAACATAATTATGTGGCACATGAGTGTATATATCAGATACATTAATCAATATATTCAACATTTCTCTCCTGCTTATCCTAATGGTAAAGACGATATAAAATATAATTTAAAAAATATAGGAAGAAATGGTGTAATAGTCTCTATATTAAACACTAGAGTTAAATTGTTTAAAAAATTATAAGTAGATGCTAAATACACAGATTGAAATACATTAAATACATTAAGAATGTTTGTCCTGTTTCTTATATATTGCTGGTTTTCTGTCATTGAAAGTTTAATTTAGACCTCCTTATTTCATGTAATCACCCCAATAATTTGTCTTACAAACAATTAACAGAAGTTAACACTATATAACATAGTTGTATAGTGTCTTACTCTTACAATGGGATACTTTACTTTTCATGAGGGAAACAGTAAGCTAATTCTAGGAATTTATCCTAAAGTTTACACAATCTGAGATGTAGGTAAAGATTGATGTGCAAGATTGCTTCTAGATATATCACTTTATAATGGTAACATAAAAAAGGAAAGTAATGTGTAAAATATCTTCTAATGCAACTCTTTCCACTCTTCCTGACTCTCTTTGGACTTTTTTTTTTTTTTTTTTTTTTTTTGACTTCTGACGAATACATCAGGAGGCTCCCTCACGGTTAGGTTCAGCCTGTGAAGAACCCTGGAAGAAGGTAGAAAGAGGAGAGAAGGGTCATGGTGTTTATTCTGCTGGTCCCTTCCCCATGAGGTTGTCTTCCTTACATGTGTCTCTTTACAGAAGGTCACTGTTGTTCGCCAGGTGGTCTGATCTTCTACTCCTTCTTTTTCCAGGTTTTGTTTTTATCCTCATTGAACGCCAGTTCCAGATTTATTGCTTACAATTCTTTCATGCTCCTTCCTTTGTATGGAAGCATTCCTCAAATTATTCTTAGTTGTATTTACCATCTGTTTTCTGTTGAAATTCTGACTAATCCAGAATATAAAACTTTTTAGAGTCCAGTCATTCTTTGCCATGTTCTCTTTCCCCCCATCTCTGTGGCTATGAAAACATGTATCAAATATTTTACCTGACTCTCAGGAAGGGGAAGGCCCACTGCTTGGCCTGTTTTGGATACATAGCATCAGTTAAACTAAACCTTTCATAAACCACTGATACATCAGTGGTTTCTTGTTACGTAGAATGAACAGTATTCACCAGAGTAATATCCTGACTAGCAAACACATCAATTGCCACTGTATGTTCTAAGCGTTATGAGTAAAATAAAAACTGAATAAAGATTTTGCCCTCAGGATGTTTATGTTCTCCTGCGCGAGAAAGATAATTAAAAATACGAAATATAATATCATTTTATGAATTGTAAGTGTTACACAAAAAGTGAATTAGGGTAAATTTCCATGTTTGTACTTTTGCTTATGGTTTACTATTTGTATTTATTTTCTAGGACTGTCATACAAAACACCATAAACTGGGCAGCTTAAAATATCAAAAGTTTATTCTCTCAGTTTTGGAGGTCAGAAATTCAAAATCAAGATGTTAGCAATACCATGCTCCCTCTGAAACCTGAAGGAGAGAATCTTTCTTTACCTCTTGTCTTCAGGTGCCAGTCATTAATTCTTGGCACATTCTTTGGCATGCAACTGCATCAGTTTGTGACTCTGTCATCACAGGACATTCTCCCTATATGTCTGTATCTCTGTGCCCAGTTCTTATAAGGACAGCAGTCAACTGACCTCATCTTAACTAGTGACATCTGCAATAGCTCTATTGTCCAATAAGTTCACATTTTAAGGTACTGGAGTTTAGCACTTTATTGTATCTTTTGAAGAGACACAATTAAGCTCATATGTAATAAATATTATTATTCAAATTAAGTATATCCTACACTTAAAATATAGTGATAAAATAATTTATAATTTCTAAAGACCTCATAATCGTACAATCAATATTTATAACAGATTGCTTTTCACTCTGTTATCTATAAATCTGTATTTTTGTTTTTAGTTACAACCACGATATCCCCAGAAAGCTTTTCTATACAGAGAAGTGGCTCTGAAACTGTTATCAACATCTAAACTTTTGTAAAAATTGAAACTATTGCAATTTCAATTTACCTGAAGACTGTTTTCTTTTGATGTATTTGAACTGAGTATCCCTGTGATTGACAGGATGAACTGTTTAATTATGAAATATATCAATATTGCTCATTGTGATATTCATCACTGAATAATTATATTTTTATTTTGTCAATTCTGAGTTATTTGGAAACAAAAATCCACAGAATATTACCTATATAAATATGTTAATACATTCTTGATTATTAATAAATCTCTGTTACTGCAATGTCATATCCTCTCAGTAATAAAAGCATATTTAATTTATGCTTTTATCCATTAGAAAACAGTGAAGCTAGAAATTATTTAAAATTTTACCCTAAGAAATATGTGGAAAAAATTAGAAAATTTATGTTTTAAAATAAAATTGCATGTTATCATGATAATATGCTTGCCTTGGAGTATGATTTTCATTTGTTTGTTTTTTGGTATTAATTAGTAAGCTTTTTATTATAAAATATACAGCTTTACGGAAAAATTAAGCAGAAATTATGGAGAGTCTCTTCATACTCCCTCTCTACTTCCCTGACAGTTTTCCTATTTTAACACAATACATTTGTGTAGTCGTTTTTTAAACAATTAAGAAGCCATCATTGATGCATTTATTGACTAAAGACCAGAGTTTACATTAGGGTTCACTCTTTGTATTATACAGTTCTATGGGTTTTGCTAAACGCATGATGTCATGTATCCACCATTACGAAATCATACATAATAATTTCACTGCCCTAAAAATTCCCTGTGATTCACTTACTTATCCCCTACATGCCCAACTCCTGGTAATGACTAAACTTTGCACTATCTCTATAGTTTCTCCTTTTCTAGAAGATTATATACTTGAACTCATACAATATGTAGACTTTTCAGACTGGCTTCTTTCACATAGAAGTACGCATTCAAATTTCCTCCATGTCTAATCATGACTGGATGGCTTATTTTTTACCCCTGATAATTATGTCATTGTACGGATGTAGCAGAGTTTGTTTATCTAATTAAGGAATGTTTACCTATTAAAGGATATGCTGGGTGCTTCTAAGTTTTAGTAATTAAGAATATGGCTGCACATGCAATAAACATTTGCATGTAAGTTTTTGTGTGGTACAGTATACTATTTCTTTGTTCTTAAATACTTCTCATTGGTTCACACCAATGAGACGCTAACATTGCATTCTGATATTTGGTTGGTTTCTAAACTTAAAAAACCTTACTTTTACAATTTTTAAAGAGAAGTTTCTACTGCCAGTTGTTTAAAGTAATATGCTCTGCTGGCCTTGATATAACAATACACCATCATTGGCTTTTAAGTCCTGATATGCTCAAAAAATTAGAGAGCAACTATCTCCATGAACCACCATCTAGATTGCAGGAAGTAAAGGGAGAACAAATGTTCATTGAATAGATGAAATTTACCAGGACTTATGCTAAGCATTACAGACTTATAATCTCTTTATATATATATATCATATATATATGATAAGAAAATTAAGGCGAGAAAGTAATAAACAGTTAACTCTGTTTTTAAAAGTAACAATCCAAACTTAAACTGAAGTTATTTTTACTGTAAAACCACTGTAGAAAAATAAAAACTCGATTAAATTCAGAGTCCTATATTGCATACTAACTGTAAACCATATGAATCATTGTTCAGATTGATTTTTTTAACAGATCAAATCATATTTAACCCATTGCACTGAATTTAATGCATTGTGTTGTTGCTCTTTATTTTGTTTTATTTTACTCAATTTTATATTTTCTTTCTAGTAGAATATTAGCTGGTACATTTGAATACCAGAATGTAAAGAAAGGAAGAACAGATCCAAATAAATATTTAAAGTAATAATTGCTAAGAATTTTCCAAAATTAAAAGCAGATACTGAATACAGATCCAAGAAGTGCAGAGAATACCAAGCAGAATAAATGCCAAAAATCTATACTTAGGTATATATTTTTTAAACTAAATAAAACCAAAGACAGAGAGACACACTGAAAGGAGCCAGGGGTAAACAAGAAAACTTACCTGTAAATAAATAAGGCTAAGAATTACAGTTGGTTTCTCATTAGATGAAAGCAAGTAGACAGTGGGGGGGGGATTATTTAAAGTCTTGAAAGTGAAACACACACACACACACCACCTACATTTCTTTTTTTTTTTTTTTTTTTTTTGAGACTGGAGTACAGTGGTGTAATCTCGGCTCACTGCAGCCCCCACCTCCTGGGTTCAAGCAATTTCTCCTGCCTCAGCCTCCTGAGTAGCTGGGACTACAGGCCATCACACCAGGCTAATTTTTTTTGTATTTTTAGTAGAGACGGAGTTTCACCATGTTAGCCAGGATGGTCTCGATCTCCTGACCTCGTGATCTGCTCGCCTCGGCCTCCCAAAGTGCTGGGATTACAGGCGTGAGCCACCGCATCCGGTCTACATTTCTATATCTAATAAAATTATCCTGCAATAGTGTAGAAGAAATAAAGACTTTCTCAGACAAACAAAAACTGAGAAAGTTTATGGCCAGTAGATCTGCCTTGCAAGGAATGTTCAAAGAGGTTCCTAGGGAGAAGAAAAAGGGTATAGCTCAGAAATTGGTCTATATAAAGAAAGGAAGAATATCATAGAAGGAATGAATGAAACTAAAATAAAATGTTTTTTTCTTATTCTTAATTGACCTAAAAGATAATATTTTGTTTAAAAGGAATAACTGTAACAATGTATTGAATGAATATAGTATATAAATGAATACAATAAATGGCAGTGGTCACATAAATAATGGTAGGAATTGGGATTACTTGTATCTTAGTTTGCTCAGGCTTTTATAACAGGATACCATACACTGGGTGGCTTATAATCAACAAAAATGCAGTTTTCAGTTCTGAGACTGGGAAGTCCAAGGCCAAAGCCATGTGCATATTAGGTGTCTGGCAAGGGCTTGTTCATAGAGGACGGTCCAGTCACCGGGTTTTCACATGGCAGAAGAGCAAATTAGCTCTCTAGGGTTTCTTTTGTAAAGGCACTAATTCTATCCGTAACAGTTTTGCCCTCATGACCTAATCACTTCCCACAGACCCATCTCCAAATACTCTTACCATAGGGATTAGGTTTCAACATACACATGTTGGGGGAATAGGGGAATACAAATATTGAGTCTGTAACACTCTTGTAAAGTGATACTTGTGTTGTTATTCAAAGTCTTATTTAAAGGTAGATTGAGATTAGTTAAAAATGTGTATTGAAAACTCACATAAATCACTAAAACTGTTCTAAAGTATAACTGACATGCTAGGAGAGGAAATGTAATGGGATTATTTTAAGTGTCAATTAAAACAATAGAAATAAGAAAAAGAGTGTTTGTTGGGAGGCAAAGAATAAATGATATGAATATAAAATACTTATAAACACAATAAATACCAGCCCAACTAATATCAATAATTACTTTAAATGTGCATGATCTAAATATACCAATTTACAAGACAGCTGTTGTCAGAGAAAAACAAAAGAAGACATCTAGTTAACAATCTTTTTCTTTCTTTATTTAATAAACCTGAACAACATTTCACATCTAATTTAATCCCAGCACTTTGGGAGGCCGAGGCGGGCAGATCATGAGGTCAGGAGATCAAGACCATCCTGGCTAACACGGTGAAACCCCGTCTCTACTAAAAATACAAAAAAATTAGCCAGGCATGGTGGCGGGCACCTGTAGTCCCAGCTAGTGGGAGAGGCTGAGGCAGAAGAATGGCATGAACCCGGGAGACAGAGGTTGCAGTGAGCCGGGATCGCGCCACTGCACTCCAGCTTGGGCAACAGAGCGAGACTCCATCTCAAAAAAAAAAAAAAAAGAAAAGAAAAGAAAAGAAAAGTTGATGAGTACTTTTTGTCATATGGAATTCAGTGATATTTATAATAAAAATTGCATACCACGCAATTGATCAAAGCACAGCATATCCGTGCCACTGTAGTCTTACTTATGGCTACCTGTCCAGAACTCACTTTGAAAAGTCACTTCCCTACTGAAATTCATGACACTTATGGAATTGTCAGAATCTATAAAGAATGCATAAGGAATTTTTATAAATTACGAATTACTCAAAGTAAGATATCTTGTTAAAGCAGCAGGAATGGACTAAGACCCCATGTTATGGGAATAAGAAATGACATCCTTAGTCATAAGCAAAAGTTGTTGATGAAATGGCTAAAAAATAAATATGCCCAACTCAGCATCATTAACAAGGGAAATTTCATAGGTGATAAGGAACAGAACCTGGCCCTAAGGTTTCTAATAGTGCCAAAAGCTCCCACTTCATATTTTACTCATTTGGGTGTCTCTCTGGAGTAAACTCACTAGTTTATGTACTAGGGAACAGTTGGCTTAGAAAGGTCATGCCAAAAGGTCAATATAAATTTCTTCACTGGCCTTCTTTTCGAGTAATGAGACCTTTCTGTAAAATAAAGATGGTTTTGTTGCATATCCATACAGCAACCTATCATTTCCAGGAGCTGTTCTTTCTGCAGCATCCATATTAATACCCGGGTGAAAAGTGAACCAAAATAAAAAGAAGATAAAAAGATGAATTAATTTTTTTTTCTTAATTTGGGCAAAATTACTTCAAAATGTTTACAGTATATACAACATCTTAAAATATGTAATTGGAAAGAAAATTTTACAAACTAAAAATATTTACATTGTGCATGTTTTGTTTTTTTTTATTTAGAAATAAAAGCCAAAAAGGTACCCAGAGAAGCCAAATACAAGATAATAATTACTTTGAACGCTTTTTCATTCAAGCAAATTTCTAACTGTGAATGTGGGGTTACAAGTACATTCCAGAAAGTGAAGGTACATTCGGTCTACTAAATTTCTTGGCCATACTTTTCTCAATTTTACTGAACTTGGAATCACAGGACTGGGGAATATTCATTGGGGAATATAAAAAGTAGCTTTCTCATTTTTGCAGTGATTTCATATAAAAGAAGAAACATTATTTATATAAAATATTTTCTTCACATGAAAATTTGGTTGGTATATCTGTGCTATTTTACCTTTTGCTAAATATATATTAATAACTTCAGAAAATATAATACATGACACATTTTGATTTATCTTCTGTATTCATATATCCCAAAGCTTGAGTTAAAATGAAGATAAATCATAAAACACTCAATGATTTTGTATGTTATATTCAAAATAAGGCCACATTGATCCAAAATCGCTCTGTAGTATTCAGTTACTTAGAGGAGCATGTTAAAGTTTTCATACCCATACAGGATAATCAATTGTAAGAATTTCTGTCATTTGCCTCAATGGTGGTAACAAAATTTTTAGTAAAATAAAAAGAATTTATTTCCAAGAAATGCAAGAGTTTTATGTATTTTGCATTTAAAAATTAAGCACAGTTCAATGAGGGTTTGATTTAAAAAATAAAAATGAACAGAATTCTAAACTACATTTCTGATGTAGTCATGTGGCCAAAATACTAACAATTTGACTTAAAATATATCTTCATCTAATTATTCCTTCCGTGCAAAAGATGAATTGGATTTATTGGGAAGGATGCTTTGAAAGTATGAATTTAATTTTCCTTCTTCCAGGGTATCTATTTCTTCCATCATTGTAAGTAGGAATTGCTTGCTCAATATGCAAAAATGCAAACACTGGTTTTTAAGTGCTATCTGGAAGAAATACTAGAATACATATATTCTACATACATATATATTCATACATATAATATTTATAATACATATTCAAGATATCTATAGATACATACAAATAAACATTTAATGAAAATTGAAAATATTAGTCAGAAAGGCCTAAGGTACTTCAGGTATGTAATCTCATTTATTTTTACAGGAAAAGGATATTTCCCAATAACATTAAAGCTTATATAAAATTTGATAATTGGTTAAGTCAAGCTTCTAATAAGTGGTAAATAAAGATTTAGTTGTTAGTATCCATTATATGAGTATTAGTTCATTCTCACACTGCCATGAAGACATAACCAAGACTGGAGACTGAGTAATCTATAAAGAAAATAGGTTTAATTGACCCACAGTTCTGGGGAGGCCTCAGGAAACTTACAATCATGGCAGAATGCAAGAGAAGCAGGTACCTTCTTCACAGGGTGGCAAGACTCAATGAGTGCAAGCAGGAGAAATGTCAGATGCTTATAAAACCATCAAATCTCAAGATAACTCACTCACTATAATGAGAACAGCATGGGGGAAACCACCTCCATGATCTACTTACTTCCATCTGGTCCTGCTCTTGACACATGAGGATTATGGAGATTACAATTCAAGGTGATATTTGGGTGGGGACACAGAGCCAAACCCTACAGTATGTATGGTATCCTACTATGTATTGCTTGACTCTACACAATACAGTTCTGTCTCTTCAAATGGATTCCAGCTGAGGATAGTAAGGAACAAAACTGACACATAATATGTAGAAAATAATGTATCAACAAAATGTATTATATAATAATTTTCTTCATTAAATAATATTTTTTAGTAAGAATTATGTTAGGTGCTGTAGGAATAAGGGAATAAAACAAGTGTGTATTTTACTCTTTGGAGAAAAGTAATACAAAGAAGAAAGCCGAAACAATGCAGAATCAAAGTTTGACCTTCATATAGATATGCATGTAAATATATATGCATTTGTGGACTTTCAATTTAAAAACATTTTTATTAGAGAAATGATAAAACTTTATGATAAAATTGCACTCATTTTGGATTTAGAAAGGGTAAAATTATGTGTCTCAGACCATTTTGTGCTTCTAAAACAGAATACTATACATTGAGTAATTTATAAAGAACAGAAATTTACTTCTTACTATCCTGGCGGCTAGGGAGTCCAAGATCAAGATACCAGGCTCTGAGGTCTTATTGATGCATCCTGACATGGTGGAATGTGGAAGGGGCAAGAGAGAACCAACTCTCTCTGTCAAGACCCTTTATAAGATCACCTCATCCCATTCATGAGGGAGGATCTCTCATGGCCTAAACACCTCTTAAAGGCCTGACCTCTTAATACTATCACATTGGTAACACTTGAATCTTGGAGGAGACTCGTTAAAGCCATGTCAGTATCCATTTCTTACTAAAGGTATAAAATAATTTGAAGTATGAAGGGAACACAAAATGAATAATACCTCCAAGAAATATTCATTCACTTGTCCACTCACTCACTAAATAAATATTGAGAGACTGACTTGTAAAAGCTAATTTACTCTCTTCTAATCTCCATCATACCAGGCTGGGAATCTCCCAGTAGATAATATGGGCACTAAGATCCAACCTAATATAAACTCAGATCAATTTACTCCAGATATCAGGATAAAAAGCTTTGCACCATTGTGAGCCATGATTCTTCCAGACAGCAATACAAGGAAGTAGAAGAGACAGAGTCGATCCAAAAAGCAATGAGCTTGGGAAGTTTTTATAGCATGTAATTTCAAATAAATCATTTTCTATACAGCTGAGATTCTTCTATTCATGAATAGAACCTTCTTAAATGCACTCCAGCATTTCTCCAAAGTGGGGCATTGTAAACAACTAAAAAGAGGGCCAGAAATGGCTATTTATCTCACTTGAGCATAATAGAGCATCCAATACCAGCATCCAGTCTGGGTCAATGGAAATCTGGTGCCAGACTTTGGTTTTGCCTTTGAAGATAAATTTTTTTTTTCTTTAAACTGAATTTGAAGTGAGATTCTATATGGACTGCTATGTAAGGGAAAGGATTCTTTGAAAATGGGTCCAACCCACTAGAAGAAGAGATAACAAATGGAGATAAGCTGAGCCCTGATTACTTTACTTGGAGTCTGAAATCACCTTTAGCTTAAATCATACTACCCTTGGGCTTAGTTACTTTAGTCTACTTTTTTTCTCCATTTATGTTACTTGCCCCCAAATGAGTCTTAATGGGGACAAATGGTCATTCAGGTACAGGCCTCAGAAGAGTATTCCTGATGAGAGGAACCATTTCCAAGGAATGTTAATGAGATTGTTCTGGGACAGGATAAATAAAAGAAATGCATTTAGAGGAGTTCTACATTTAATGAACAGCACAGAAAGAGAAACGTACAAAACAGCTAGTGGTGGAACAGTAATAGAATGAAAGGGAAAACCAATTTCTTTGAAACGTATACAGTCATGCCCCACATAATAATGCTTTGGTCAATGACAGACTGCATTTACAATAGTGGTCCCATAAGATTCTAATGGAGCTGAAAAATATCTTCCATGTAGTGACATAATAGCCATTATAACTTCAAAGCTCAATGCATTACTCAAGTGCATTTGGTGATGCTGATATAAACAAACCTATCGTGCTGCCAATCATATACAAGTATAGCGCATATAATTATGTACAACACATAATACTTGATAGTGATAATAAATTACTATGTTACTCATTTATGTATATACTTTACTATTTAATGTTCTCTTAGGGTATACTCTTATTTATTTTAAAAAAAATTATCTGTAAGACTGTCTCAGGCAGGTCGTTCAGGAGATATTTCAGAAGAAGGCATTGTTATCACAGCAGACTACAGCTCCATGCATGCTATTGCCCCTGAAGACCTTCCAGTGGGACAAGGTGTGAAGGTAAAACACAATTATATCGATGATCGTGATCGTGTGTAGGCCAAGGCTAATGTGTGTGTTTGCATTTTACTTTTTAACAAAAAGGTGTACAAAGCTGAAAAAAAAAAGGAAAAAGTCTTATAAAACAGAGCTATAAAAGAAGATGATATTTTTGTATAGCTGCACAATGTGTTTAAGCTAAATGTTATTATAAAAAAATCAAAGTGTTAAAACATATAAAAGCGTTAAAATATATTAGATTAAAAGGTATAGTAAGATAATGTTAATTTCATGGTCCTTAAGTGTATCATTTTTATAAAATCCACAATCGTATGCAGTAATGTCCTAGGGTTTCACATTCACTCGCCATTCACTCACTGACTTATCCAGAGTAACTTTTAGTCTTCAAGCTCCATTTATGGGAAGTTCCAATACAGATGTAACATTTTCCATCTTTTATGCTGTACTTTTACTATACCTATTCTATGTTTAGATATGTTTAAATACACAAATACTTGCCATTATGTTACAATTGCCTACAGTGTTCAGTATAGTCACATGCTGTACAGTTGTGTAGCCTAGGAGCAATAGGCTATATCTCATATAGCTTAGATGTGTAGCAGACTATGTTGTCAAGGTTTTGTAAACATCTATGATGTTTGCATAATGACAAAATTGCCTAACAACGCATTTCTCAGAACATAGTATTACTAAAGGGCACATGACTATACATATTTAATTTTTACTGGTGAAATATTATTATTCATATTGAACAGAACTGAAACTCTAGCTCTATTACTTATCTCTCCTAGTTGAAGCCAAGCTTTTTCCAACAGATTGGAAAACTATATGCTACTGAGAAAGATACTGGTATTGGAGTTCTAAAATACATATGTATGTTTCTTAGCTCTCAAAATTATTTTGTAATATCATATGCCCAAATACAAAATATAAGTGCCCAAATATTTAGACTTGTATAGTCAAGGATTATAATTAAGTCTTGACACTAAGTAATATTCAAAGAGGGAAGTTTGCTCTTTATTTTCCTAATTGCCACGGGCAACCATCAGTTATTTACTTCATTTCCTTTCAATAGTTCTTGCTCTCAGCAAGTCGGGATCTCTCAGAGAGAAAGATTCATAGAGGCCTGAGAAAAACAGAAGAATCTAGGGACAGATATAAAACCATTTTCATAATCACAATCCATTTATTAGATACACCATCCTGAATTTTGTCCTGAAGAATAAGCAGGTCTCATATTCTATTTCTTATATTTTTTGAGGGACGCTTTCAGTGTAAGCAACAAAGCAGTGGAAATAATTTCAAATGCTAGAATAGTTTTTTGAGTAAAATCTGGTCCTACTAATGATTTAAGAGCTGGAACACAACTTCTTGCAGGTCTAGAGCTGGATCCTAGTCCAAGTGTTCCTGGAAGGGATGGGGTAGGGGTGAACGGAGTGTGGGAATGCAGTCCTGCCGAGTATGGGCAGCTGTTCTGGAGCCAAGCAATTCACAGTTTCACTTTGCCAAAATAAATCCACTTGAATGATTTTTTTTTTTTTCAGGGATGAAACTGAGAAATCAGTGGTGAGTAGTTCTGCTTAGGAAAATTTTTGACATTTCAGGATAAATGACAAATATTACACTTTTTCTTAGACTATCTTAAAAATTCTTTAATATATCTAATTCTCATTATTTTGCTAAACTTTCTATACTTGCTATTCACTTATTCACATTTAAATTTTTATTGTGACAATTATATAAATGGAAATAGCTGTATCTTTTAAGTATAGAATCCCTATATTTTTCTTCTTACTAGCCATATCTATCTTATTTATAGTGAATATCCAAATTTCATGAATTCTGAAACTGTTCAATGACCTCAAAAAGCAATACAATTGTGTGGTATACAGAATATTAGATGGTCATGACCTTAGCCTCCCAGTGTTACTTTGATGATTATATTGTATTACATGGCAAAATGGATTGCACAGATGTAATTAATGTTAATAATCAGTTGATGTGAAGACAGGAGGATTATCCAAGTGTACCTAATCTAATACAATGAGCTCTGTAAAATTTTATTTATTTTTGCCCCACTGTCTTATTTCTGAGAGCCAGTTTTCAAGCTCTGAGGTCCTTTCCTCAACTTGGTCCATTCTGCTGTTAATACTTGTGACTGCATTATGAAATTCTTGTGGTGTGTTTTCCAACTCTAGCCAGTCAGTTTGGTTCTGTTTTATACCGGCTATTTCACCTATCAGCACCTGAATTATTTTCTGTGTTTGTTTCTTAGTGATATGGTTTGGCTCTGTGTTCCCATTCAAATCTTATCTCGAACTGTAATCCCCATGTGTTGAGAGAAGAACCTGGTGGGAGGTGATTGGATCATGGGGGCGGTTTCCCCCATGCTGTTCTCATGATAGTGAGTGAGTTCTCAAGAGATCCGATGGTTTAAAAGTGACCCTCCCCCTTCACTCTCACTCTTCTGCCACCTTGTGAAGAAGGTACTTGCTTCTCCTTCACCTTCAGCTATGATTGTAAGTTTTCTGAGGCCTCCCCAGCAATTCAGAACTGTGAGTCAATTAAATCTTTTTCCTTTATAAATTACCCAGTCTCAGAAGTTCTTTATAGCAGGGTGATAACAGACTAATACACTTAGCTTCCTTGAATTAGGTTTCGATGTTCCCCTGAATTTCAATGATCTTTGTTCCTAGCTATATTCTGAAATCAATTTATGTCATTTCAGCCATCTCAGCCTAGTTAAGAACCCTTGCTGGGGAACTAGTGTGATCTTTGGGAGGAAAGAAGACATGCTGGCCTTTTGAGTTGCCAGAGATCTTGCATAGGTTCTTTCTCATCTGTGTGTGTGTGGGTGTTCCTTTAATTGCAGTGCAAATTGAGTACAGTCAGTAGACTTCTTTCCTACATGTTTTCAGAGTCCTGAGGCTTTGTTCAGGGCCTTTATTTGTAGCTAAATTCTCATCTTTCTTTTCACAGTGGGGTATGATAGCAAAGTACTTTTGGTGTTGAAGTTTTGGGGTGTGATCTAGTAGCTGGTGCTGAAGTGTAATGGTCACTGTGTAGGCTCCTGCTCAGTCATGTGGCTCCTCCGTATTTCCTCATGGGTTGCAGCTATGCTTCCTCTCAATGTTTTGAATGTCAGTGTAGGCTCCTCTCCCACCTGAGTGCTCGCTGCAGATCTTGGCTTGGTGCATCCAGGCTGCACACCATAGTTCTGAAATGATCATAGGCTTTATGTTACTTCCCCAGCTTGGAAGCAGCAGGGAAGGAGACCCTGTGGCTCAAGGTCTTTTCTTGTCACTTGGGGCTCCATTGCAGAAAGATGCAGAACTGCAATCAATTAGCATGATCAGCCTGGCATGGGGCAGCTGCACTGTGAGCCCAAGCTGGGGGGATCCTGTCTGGTGACTAGCAGAGAATGTGGTAGGACCCATGGGAGACAGACTGGCCTCCTCTCCTTAGAGCAACTACAACTTGCTGGATAAAGCACTTGGAGTCTCCTTCCCTAGTTCAAGGGTAAACAGGGAAGTTAAACTGGAGAGGCAGTGGCAGAGGGACTTTTGGTTGCCCCTGGGAGCTCCACCTCTGAGAAATGTGGAGCTGCTGCTACTGGGAGTGTTCAGCCAGAGGGTGAAGCAGCTGCACTGCTTGCCTGAGCTAGGGGCTCTGCTTGTTGGGGAACAGGGGGTCAAGGGCCCATAGCAGCAAGAAATGGGGCTTTTCTCTAAATGGTGGCTGTGGTGTGCTCTACACATGGGGAGAAAGCAACCAACTCAGAAAACATATTTCAGGATATCATCTACGAAAATTTCCTCAACCTCTCTAGAAAGACCAACATTCAAATTCAAAAAATATAGAGAACCTTTACAAGATGCTAAAAAAGAAGTCCATCCCCAAGACACATAATCATCAGATTCTCCAAGGCCAAAATGAATGAAAAAATGATAAAGTAAGCTAATGAAAAAAGGCGGATCACCTACAAGGGGCACCCCATCAGGCTAAAAGCAGAACTTTCAGCAGAAATCCTATAAGCCAGAAGAGATTGGGGGTCTATATTCAACATTATTAAAGAAAAAAAATCTTCAGCCAAGAATTTCAGATGGAGCCAAACTAAGCTTCATAAGTGAAGGAAAAATAAGATCCTTTTCAAACAAACACATGCAGAGGGAATTCATTACCACCAGACTGCCTTACAAGAGTTCCTGAAAGGAGTAGTAAATACGGAAAGGAAAGACTATTATCAGCCACTACAAAAACACCTTTAAGTACACAGATCAGTGACACTATAAAGCAACCACACAAACCAGTCTGCATAATAATCAGCTAAGAACAGGATGAGAGGATCAAATCCACATATATCAATAATAACCTTGAATGTAAATGGCCTAAATGCCTCAATGAAAAGGCAGAGTGGCAAGCTGGATAAAGAAAAAGACCTAATGGTATACTGAATTTAAGAGCCCCATCCTACATGCAATGACACCCATAGGCTCAAAATGAATGGACGGAAAAAAAATCTACCATGCAAAAGGAAAACATAAAAAAGCAGAGGTGACAATCCTAATTTCAGACAAAACAGACTTTGAACGAACAAAACTCAAAAAAGACAAGGAAGGTCATTACATAATGGTAAAAGGTTGAATTAAACAAAAAGACCTAATTATCCTAAATATACATGCACCCAACACAGGAGCACATAGATTCATAAAACAAGTTCTTAGAGACCTACAAAGAGACGTAGATTTCTACAAAATAATAGTGGAAGACTTCAACACCCTACTAACAGTATTAGACAGATCATTAAGAAAGAAAATTAATAAAGATATTCAGGACTCGAACTCAATACTTGATCAAATGGACCTAATAGACATCTACAGAACACTCTATCCAAAAATGACAAAATATACATTCTTCTCATTACCACATGACACATACTGTAAAATGGAACACACAATCAGACATAAACCAATCTTCACTGAAATCATACAAACGACACTCTCAGACAACGGTGCAATAAAAACAGAATTCAGTACAAAGAAAATCACTCAAAACCATACAATTACATGGAAATTAAACAACCTACTCCTAAGTGAATTTTGGGTGAACAATAAAATTAAGGAAGAAACCAAGATATTCTTTGAAAATAACAAAAAGATAAAACAAGCAAGAATCTCTGGGACACAGCTAAAGTGGTATTCAGAGGGATATTTGTAGCCCTAAATGTGCACATCAAAATGATAGATATCAAACTAAAAACCCAGCATTACAACTAGAAGTACCAGAGAAGCAAGAGCAAACAAACCTCAAAGCTAGCAGAAGAAAAGAAATAACAAAAATCAAAGCTGAAATGAAGGAGTTTGTGACATAAAAAAAAAAAAACATAAAAGATGAACAAATCCAAGAGTTGGATCATTGAAAAAATCAATAAATAGATATATGGATACCTAGACTTGTAAGAAAAGAGAGAAGCTCCAAATAAATACTATCAGAAATGACAAAGAAGATGTTACCATTGATACCAGAGGGAAAAAAAAAACACCGGAAACTACTTTAAACACCTCTATGTACACAAAATAGAAAATGTAGGAAAAATCGATAAATTCCTGGACACATACATCCACCCAAGATGGAAGCAGGAAGAAATTGATCCTTGAACAGACCAATAATGAGCTTCAAAACTGAATCAGTAATAAATAGCTTACCAAACAAAAATGCCAAGGACTAGATGGATTCACAGCCGAATTCTAGTAGATATTGAAAGAATAGCTGGTACAAATCCTACTGAAACTATTCCAAAAAATTGAAGAATAGGGACTCCTCTCCATCTCATTCTATGAGACCAGCATCATCATCTATGAGACCAGCATCATCTTCATACCAAAACCTGGCAGAGAAACAGCAAAATAAAAAAAAAATAAAAAAACTTCAGGCCAATATCCTTGATGAACATAGATGCAATAATCCTCAACAAAATACTAGCGAACAGAATGCAGCAAGACATCAAAAAGCTAATTCACCATGATCAAGTAGACCTTATCCCAGAGATGCAAGGTTGGTTCAATATATGCAAATCAATAAATGTGATTAATCATGTAAACTAAAGACAAAAACCACATGATTATCTCAATAGATGCATAAAAAGCAAAAACCACATTATTATCACAATAGATGCACTCAACACTGCTACATGTTAAATACCTTTAATAAATTAGGCATTCAAATGACCATACTGCCCAAAGCAATTTACAGATTCAATGCTATTGCTATGGAACTACCAACAACATTCTTCACAGAACTAGAAAAAAACTATTTTTAAAATTCACCTAGCCCTCAAAGAAGACCCTGGATAGCCAAGGCAATCTTAAGCAAAAAGAACAAAACTGAAACCATCACATTATGTGACTTCAAACTCTTCTACAGGGCACAGTAACCCAAGTAGCATAACACTAGTACAAAAACAGACACATAGAACAATGGAACAGAAGAGAGAGCCCAGAAATAATGCCACACATCTACAGCCATCTAATTTTCAACAAAGCCAACAAAAACAAGCAAGAAAGAAAGAACTTCCCATTCAATAAATGGTGCTGGGATATCTGGCTAGTCATATGCAAGAAGATTGAAACTGGACTCCTTCCTTATACCATATATAAAAATCAACTCAAGATGAATTAAATACTTTGAATGTGAAACCCAAAATTATAAAAACTCTGGAAGATATCCTAGGAAATGCCATTCTGGATATAGGAACTGTCAAAGATTCCATGATGAAGGTGCTAAAAGCAATTGCAACAAAAGCAAAAACTGACAAATGGGATCTAATGAAACTAAAGAGGTTCTGCACAGCAAAAGAAATTGTCAACAGAGTAAACAGACAACCTAAAGAATGGGGGAAAAATTTTGCAACGTAGGCTTCTGAAAAAAGTCTAATATCCAGAATCTGTAAGGAACTTAAACCAATTAACAAGAAAAAAAAATAAAAAATAAAAACAACCTAAGTAAAAAGTGGATAAAGGACATGCACAGACACTTTTCAAGAGAAGACATACATGCTGCCAACGAGCATATGTGAAAACCTTAACATCCACTCATTAGATAAATGCAAATCAAAACCACAGCAAGATACCATTTCACACCAGTCAGAATGGCTACTATTACAAAATCAGAAAGCAACAGATTTTGGCGAGGTTGTGGAGAAAAGGGAACACTTATACACTGCTGGTGGGTGTGCAAATTAGTTCAGCTATTGTGGAAAGCAGTGTAGTGATTCCTCAAAGAACTAAAAACACAATTACCATTTGACCCAACACCATTACTGGATATATATTCAAAAGAAAACAAATTGTTCTACCATAAAGATACATGCACACATATGTCCATTGCAGCACTATTCAAAATAACAAATACATGGATCAACCTAAAGGCCCATCAACAGTAGATTAGATAAGGAAAATGTGGTACATATACACCATGGAATACTATGCAGCCATAAAAAGAATGGAATCATGTCCTTTGCAGCAACATGGATGGAACTGGAGACCATTATTCTTAGCAAACTAATGCGGGAACAGAAAACCAAAGACTGCATGTTCTCACTTATAAGTGGGAGCAAAATAATGAGAATACATGGACAGGAACAACCAACACTGGGGCCTACTAGAAGGTGGAAGGCAGAAGGAGAGAGAGGATTTAGAAAGAATACATACTGGGTACTATGCTTAGTACCTGGGTGATGAAATGTTCTGTATACCACAGCCTCATGACACGAGTTTACCTATATAACACATCTGCACATGTACCACTGAACCTGAAATAAAAGTTAAACGAAGGAAAAAAGGAGTCTTACCTGGCTTGCAGCCCGAGAAGTCAAAGTGATTTGAATCACAAAAAGGGTTCAGTGTATTGTTGCTGCCTTTGAAGACGGAAAAGGGCCACATGCAAGAATCAAAGGGTGTCTTCTAGCAGCTTGTGCAATCCCAAGTGGACATCCAGAGGAAATGTGAGCCTCAGTGCTACAACCACAAGAAACTGAATTCTTCCAATAACCTGAATGAGCTTAGAGGTGACTTTTCCCCTAGTTTCCAGATAAAAACTTAACTTAGCCATATCTTCCGTATCACCCTGTGAGTTCCTAAGTAAAAAAACCGGTGGAGTCTGCCTGGACTTTTGATGTACAAAACTGTTAGAAAATAATTGAGTTTAATGTTAAGTAAAAAATATGAGAAATCAAACCTATGTAATAATTTTGTTAATTTCTAGAAGTCTTTCAAATCAAATAAGTAGGATTTTTAAATTATATATTTTGTTGTAAGGTTGTGTATTATCATTCTCTATATAAATAAATTCAAATTTTAGAAAACATTATTCCAAGGGTTGGTAAAAACATATATTATTATATAGTGAAAAATGATTATAATTTCAGTTATAGTTCTCAGTTGTGGTTTTATATTTTCTTTCACATTTTTCTTGCGTGTTTTCTATGTGGTTTTCAAGTGTTTTTAAAGTTTTCCTCCAACCTGGATTTTCTTTCTCTCAATCCATGTATCCTCCAATTTTTTCAAATATCCCCATCAAATTGCCTCCCTCTCCACTTACTAATCTATTCCTTTCCACTTTTTAGTTGTTTCACATTTTCGTTTTTAGTTCATATTTTAGTACTTTAGTTCATTTATATTTTATCTTCCTAAATAAAAAAGTTCTTCCTGGAGCATTTATTGACATTCTCAAAGGATGAACCACTTCTATAGAGCTTCACCAACACATTTACTTACAGTTATATTCCCATATTATCAAAACTTTATATTACTCTAAACTTCTTTTTCTGTAAGTAAAAGCCAATTGGTAACTATAATTTGAATTTTCATGTAAAATGACTTGTACAATTGTTTTATGCAAATGTTATTTTCCTTTTTCTTGTTGAACAATAGGACCAAAACATAAAAACAACCAAATGGCAAACATTTCTTTGACATATTTATTCTGTAATGGGCTATAAAGAGGTCTTATAAAACTATTTTTTCTTTAAAAAAAAAAATCCTTCTTTTCTGTATCTTCCATTTGATATTAAAATATAATATTAAGCTACTTTTTTTTTTTTTTTTTTTTTTAGATGAAGTCTCACTCTGTATCCAGGCTGGGGTGCAGTGGCACAATCTCGGCTCACTGTAACCTCAGACTCCACTCCCTAGTTCAAGTGATTCTCCTGCTTCAGCCTCTGCAGTAGCGGGGATTACAGGCTTGTGCCACCATGCCCGACTAATTTTTGTATTTTTAGTAGAGATAGGGTTTCACCATGTTGGCCAGGCTGGTCTCAAACTCCTGACCTCGTGATATGCCCGCCTCAGCCTCCCAAAGTGCTGGGATTACAGGCGTGAGCCATCGCGACTGGCCTTGTGCCTGTTTTATCTGTTATTCCTTATATTCTGTTCTCTTTACTATTTAATTCTATTCCGTTTACATAGACTCAATGCCTAAATTTTATTTACCTTTGAATCATAATTTTCTTTAATTATCCTAAATTTTCTCTGCTTTCTTTCTTGACTTATTCCTTCTGGTACCTCATTTCAATTACTAAAATTTACTTGGTTGGTTATTGTTAACTGAACTTCTAATTCAATATAAAGTAGTTCAAAATTATGAGTCTTTATTTTTCAAAAGGTTTTCTTTTCCAGTCATCATCTAGTAATATGTGATTTTAAAATTTCATTAAATGTAGTCTATCTTTTAATTATCTTGGTTTAACGAAGGATTGTTTTAGATATATGTATTTCTTCCTCAATTTCCTTCCTTAATACTACTGCATTGCTTTGTGCATGTGCCCAGTTCTATTTCTTGGTATATAATTTTTTGAGAAGTGTGATGTAGTAACAAAAGGAAATAATATTCATGAAAGGATTTTAGAAAAACTTTTAAAATAGGTAAATTAAATAGAGGTTTCAACAGCATGCTGATGCTCCTCAGTAAGAACTAAATGGCATACATAAAGTCAAAAGAGGTTTGACTTTGACTTCAAAAACAATTCAACTAGATAGAAAGGAAATAATAGGTGATTTAAAAATTACTATAGCCATCTCACCTAAATTGAAATGCAGAAATATGTAGAATTAGAAAGTAAAGTATTTATCAAAATATAACGGTTGATCCAAATTACTGCTTTTCTTGTCAGAAATATTCAGGAACTAGGAAATAATAGTCATTACTGCCCCAAGTCAGTTATTCTTTATGTTCATAAGTAATTGCTTATTTGCTATAGCCAATACTCATGGAAGCCTTTGTCTTCTGTGACATTGCAGGTTTACAGTTCTGCTTCAAATTTTTGAAGTTTTCACTGTTATATTCACTGGCTCATTTTATTTCACTATTTTGAGTCTGGGAGACATTCCCTTGGCTCAGTGTTTTCGTCTATTGTAAATTCACTTCAACCACAAAGTTGCACCTTTTCTTCATTTTCATTATAATAAATAACACTTTCTTTGGTTTGGAAATCTAGAGTCAACCTTAAGTTTACATTCATATTATCTTAATTTGTCTCTATTTCATTCCTGCTCTCATAACCCCTACCTAATCAATGTCTAAATTGTGAAGAATAAGCATTGTAGTGACAAATGTCATGCTTGTCTACATTTCTTTAGACAATATCTTTTTATTTATTTATTTATTTATATTTCTTTTTTTTTTTTTTTTGAGATGGAGTCTCGCTCTATTGCCCAGGTTGGAGTGCAGTGGCGCGATCTCAGTTGACAGCAAGCTCTGCTGGGCACGGTGGCTCACGCCTGTAATCCCAGCACTCTAGGAGGCCGAGGCGGGCGAATCACAAGGTCAGGAGATTGAGACCATCCTGGCTAACACGGTGAAACCCCGTCTCTACTAAAAATACAAAAAATTAGCCGGGCGTGGTGGCAGGCGCCTGTAGTCCCAGCTACTCAGGAGGCTGAGGCAGGAGAATCGACAATATCTTTTAAAACCTAATTATTTGATTCCTGAATTGCCAAATTCCAGTCTGTTTTTTAGTCCTTTTCTTACTACTTTCTAAGGCATAATAAATGTAACTACTGGAATAAATGTATCAATGTCAACTTTGAAAATTTTTAACTATCTACATTTGGTGAAATGATAAGATATGGATATATATATATAAATATTAGCTTGAGCAACGACTCAGTACTTCAGAAACAAGTAGCAGGCTTTAAAACCTGAGGAAAAATTAGGCTTGTGTCACAACACAAACCACAAGAAATCCAAAAACAGTACAGTAAGGGTGACTGTGCAAGGAGGACAGAAAAGAAGTACTAGACCAATTTAACACTATCTTACATTTATCAGAAATAACAGAAATTATACATATATGCTCTACAGAATTTTAAACAAAGAAACAAAATATGCTGCTTTTCTCCAGATGTTTTGGCCAGAGGACACAATCTGAATGATTTAAATTCCTTGAAATTGACTGTGACTTGCTATACAGCCAGCATATGGTTGTTTTATTTTGTAAAATATCCTATATGCTCTTGAAAAGAATGTGCCTTCTGTTTCTAAGCCAATTCGGTTAAGTCAAAACAAAATTCTAACTATAAGATAATAATAACTGAGAATAAGTAGTCACCTGCAGAGGACCAAAGCATTCTATCAAACTTTTACTGCAACTGCATTGCAAGAAGGTAATGGCATATTAAAAGAGAACCCAGAAATAAACCCAAATACTTAACAGCCAACTGATCTTTGACTAGGCAAACAAAAACACAAAGTGGGGAAAAGACACCCTATTCAACAAATTGTGCTGGAATAATTGGCTAGCTACATGTAGGAAATGAAACTGGATCCTCGTCTCTCACCTTCTACAAAAATGAACTCAAAGTGGATTAAGAACTAAAATCTGGCTGGGTGCTGTGGCTCACACCTCTAATCTCAGCACTTTGGGAGGCTGAGACATGCGGATCACCTAAGGTCAAGAGTTCAAGACCTGCCTGGCCAACATGGCCAAAACCCCATCTCTACTAAAAAAATACAGAAGTAAACGAGGCGTGGTGGCATGCGCCTGTAATCCCAGCTTGGGAGGCTGAGGAAGGAGACTCGCTTGAACCCAGGAGGCAGAGGCTACAGTGAGCTGAGATTGCACCACTGCACTCCAGCCTGGGGCTAGAGCAAGACTCTAAGACTCTATCTCAAAAATAAATAAATAAATAAATCTAAGACCTGAAACTGTAAAAATTCTACAAGATAACATTGGAAAGACACTTCTAGACATTGGCTTAGGCAAGGATTTCATGACAAGAACCCAAAAGCAAATGCAATAAAAACAAAGATAAATAGGTGGGAAATAATTAAACTAAAAAGCCTTTGCAAGGCCGAAGGAATGGTCAGCAGTGTAAACAGGCAACCCACAGAGTGAGAGAAAATCTTCACAATCTATACATCTGACAAAAGACTAATATCCAAAACCTACAAGGAACTCAAAGAAATCAGTAAGAAAAAAAACAATCTCATCAAAAGTGAACTAAGGACATGAATAGACAATTCTCAAAAGAAGATATATATAATGGCCAATAAACATATGAAAAAATGCTCAACATCACTAATGATCAGGGAAATGCAAATCAAAACCACAATGTGAGATACCACCTTACTCCTGCAAAAATAGCCCTAAGCAAAAAATCAAAACACAGCAGATATTGACATGGATGCGGTGATCAGGGAACACTTCTACAGTGCTGGTGAGAATGTAAACTAGTACAGCAACTATGGAAAACAGTGTGGAAATTCCTTAAAGAACTAAAAGTAGAACTACCATTTGATCCAGAAATCTTACTCCTGGATATCTACCCAGAGGAAAATAAGTCATTACACGAAAAAGATACTTGCACATGTGTGTTTATAGCAGCACAATTCGCAATTACAAAAACCTGGAACCTACCCAAATGACCATAAGTCAACAAGTGGATAAAGACACTGTGGGGTGTGTGTGTGTGTGTGTGTGTGTGTGTGTGTGTGTGTGTATACACACACAATAGAATATTACTCAGCCATAAAAAGGAATGAATTCATGGCATTTGCAGCAATCTGGATGAGATTGGAGACTATTATTCTAAGTGAAGTAACTCAGGAATGGAAAATCAAACATTGTATGTTTTCACTCATAAATGGGAGCTAAGCTATGAGGATGAAAATGCATAAGAATTATACAATGGACTTTAGGGACTCAAGGGGAAAAGGTGGGAAGGGGGTGAGGGATAAGACTACAAAGAGGGTGCAGTATATACTGCTTGGGTGATGGGTGCACCAAAATCTCACAAATCACCACTAAAGAACTTACTCATGTAACCAAACACCACCTGTTCCCCAATAACCTATAGAAATATATTTTATAAAAAAATTATAGAAGGAAAACAGCTATAATGTAGAATTTTATATCCAAATAAAATGCTATTGAACATTGAGAGCATTTTTAAAAATATTCCCACACACATCCTCCCTCAAGTGGTTTGCTACCCAAAGCAGGGTACTAAAAACATTTTTAGAGAAATTATTCAAACAAGAAAGTCAAATATAGATGGTATGTCAAGAACTATCAGATGTACAAATCATCTGATGTCATAATAAAATTTACTGTTATTCATTAATTTTCTTTTTAATAAATGTTTTATTGTTGTTTCACACCCCTAAAAAATATACAAATCATAAACATAGATCTCAATGGGTATAACATAATAAACATTCAATGGATATTATAAAATTTTAAAAAGTAAAAACATAAATAACCATGCAGGCTAGGGAATTAGCTATTACTGATAACCCAGAATTCTCCTAAACTCATTCCTAGGATAATATTTGCCTACCTTTTCCAGGTAACTAATGTCCTGACTTTCAACAATTTTCTCATAATGCTTTCTGGGTTTTCATTTTCAGATTTTGTATTCTAGTTAGTAAATTAATTCCTGTATAATTGATATTTCTGATGTTATTGTTAGAGGTATCATTTTTTTCAAATTTCAATTTTAGAAGTTCTTCTTTCCTTAAAAAAGAAATACGATTGATTTCAAATATTATCTTATAGGCACATACCTTGTAAATGTATTCATATAATAGTTTATCTGTAAGTTATTCATTTTTTTGGTGAAAAATTAGCTTAATTACTTCTCCTCAAGTTCTTATATCTTTTTTATTTCTTCTTTACTTTCTCACTAGCAATTTTGTCAGGTGTAAGGTTGAACAAAGTTGATCATAGTATCATTTTCTCATTCCCAATGTCAGCAGGAAAATGTTCATCACAGTCATTTTGGAGGTAGCCTTTAATAATTTAAATATTTTTTTCATCATTGCAACTTAGGTAATAGGTTTTGTCACTCATAGACTTTGGAGTTTTGTTTTTTTTTTTAGTTATAGAGAATGTCATATAATTTTTGGCTTTTATTCTGTTAAGAAAACACACTGCAGTTTTAAAATTTTGAATATTAAAACACGTTCATTCCTGTAACAAGCCCAACCTATGTTTGCGGTTTATATATTGCTGAGTTTTATGTATAATATTTAATTTAAATTATTTTTAGCTAGGTTGTAAGAGAGATTGGCCTGTTACTGTCTTTTCTTCTAATGTCCTTCTCACATTTCTATGTTAAAATTATCGGTAACCTTATAAAACAAGCTGAGAAATTTTTCAATAGGGGAAATATGTAAGTAATGTTAGTTTTCTTTCCTATTAATATGTTTTGGAGAATTCTCTAGTGAAACATCTGGACCTAGAACTTTTGTACATATATGAGAAAAAGTTATTTATTATGGATTTTAAAAATAGTTACAGGAATATTCCGATTTTTATGTCTTCTCATGTCAGTTTTGGTAAGTGACATTTTTCAAGTTTTTTACAAATTTTATTTAAATTGTCAAATATGTACTGCAATAATGTAGCTCATAACTTTGAATTTCTTTCTTCTGTAGGATCAGTAGTAATACCTTTTCTTTTTATATTACTGTGCTCCCTCCCTCCCTCTCTCTCTCTCACACACACTTTTTTTTGGTCTCTGAATTTTGTAAAAGATTATTTTAACATTACAAGGAAAAACTTTTGGCTTTTTTTGATCCCCTTGATTATGTGATTCTTTTTGAATGTATTATTTTCCATTAATATCTCTTGTATGACTTATATTTTCATTGGATTTGGTTTACTGTTTGGTTTTCAGCTTCTTTAAATGTACCATTTTTAAGCATGTTCTGTTTTCAACCTGTGGGTATTTGGACTATTGGCATTTAATCTTTTATTCTTTGCAATATCACCATTAAGGCTATAATTTTTTTAAAAAAATCAATAGTTTTAGGGACAAAGGGTTTTTGGTTACATGGTTGTATTGTATTGTGGTGAAGTCTGGGCTTTTAATATAGTCATCACCTGAATAGTGTACCCTGTACCCACTAGGCAAGTTTCCATCCCTCACTCCCATCACCCTCCCCGCTCTGAGTCTCCAATGGCCATTTTACCATCTGTATGACTTTGCGTAACCAAGGATATCCATTTTCTTGAAATTCAATATGTCATACATTTATTCTCATTTTCTTAAAATATTTTCTAATTTCCATTGAGACTAATTTTGTGACTTGTGAATTATTTGGGAATATGTTGCTTGATTTTAAAATATTTGTGGATAAAGTTGTCCTTTTGTAAATGATTTCTAACAGTTTAACTGATGTCAGAAAATGTATTATTTCTACTTTCAAATATGAAAATTTGTCACAGCTTGATCTATGACACAACAGAGACCATTTGAATAAATATTAAATGTGCATTCTCATTACATTCAATTTTAAGTTTATCGAGTTTAATATTATACTATATATATCAATTAGATCAAATTTGCTAATAGAGATATCCAATTCTTTATTATTCTTAATTACATTTTTTTCTACTTATTCCAACAGTGTAAGAAAAGTGGGCAAAAGTCCCCAGTATGATAAGGATGCATATATTTCTCCCATTATTACATGCATACAAATTTTAAATTGTCACATCATGGTATACAGCTCATTTTATCATTTTGAAAGGTATTCTTTTGTCTTAGTACTGCTTCTTGCCACTAAGTTTATTTCATCTGTTATTAGTACATCTATCTCAGCTTTCTTTTGGTTATGTCAGCCTAACAGATCATTTTTACATTTTTTTCAGACTTCCTGTTCTTATTTTTAATAAAAAACATTTAATTACTTTTAAAATTCATTTTAGATATTTTTATTAGCTGAAGTATGAAAATCATTTATATTTAGCTCAAGATATTTTTATTGTGGTCTACCACTTTGCTATTTTTCCATCTGTTGTATTTTCGACTTGCTCTTTCTTGCCTTTTTTCTCAATTAAGCATTTTTTTCTCCAATATGCCCTTATAATCTCCTATAAGTCTAAGTATCTTTTGATTTTGCCCTAGATATTATTTCATGATTCCTTGACTTATTAGTGTCTGAGTATAAGGTAAAATTTTCATTACTTTTCCTAGACTATGAAGATCTTATGATACTTTTGATATTTTGTTAGGTAGTTTCCTTGATATTTATTTTAAATTTTATATGATGGATTTTATTTCTATAGTCACTATTTATTTAGATTTATCCAGATGTTTTGTCCTTCCTTTTCTTGATTTCATTTCTAAATTTCTACATTTACATCTAAAATAATTTTTCTTCTGCTTCAAATACATTATTATTTCATTTAGTGTAATGTATATATGATATAGATAGTTCCCTTATTTTTTGTTTTCCTGAACATGATTTTATTTTTTCTTCTACGCTATAATATTTTATTAGGAATAAAATTCTAGTTACCAGTTGGCTTCCATTTGAGAACTCATCCCTAGGTCATACTGCCACTTTTTGAAGGTAATATGCCTTTTTCTAGAACTATTTTTGAGACAGTCTCTTTGTCATTAATTCTCTAATAGGAGCTATGTAGTTGTCTCTGTATTTATCATGCTTCACTCTGGCACTTCCTGAGACTGTGACTTATAGTTTTTCCATCTTTTTTATTTTTTATTTATTTATTTATTTATTTTTTGAGAGAGTCTCACTCTTGTTGCCCAGGCTGGAGTGCAGTGGCACGATCTCGGCTCACTGCAACCTCCGCCTCCTGGGTTCAAGCAATTCTCCCACCTCGACCTCCCAAGTAGCTGAGACCACAGGTGCCCACCACTACGCTCGGCTAATTTTTGTATTTTAGTAGAGACGGGGTTTCACCATGTTGGTCAGGCTGGTCTGGAACTCCTGACCTCAGGCGATCCGCCCACCTCAGCCTCCCAAAGTGCTGGGATTACAGGCATGAGCCGCCATGCCTGGCTTCCAACATTTTTGAAAAATGTTAAGTTTACCTATTTAAATGTGGCTTTTGCCCTTAATATTTCTAATATTCTAATGAAATTGCAGCTAATAGTTAATTCTGGTTAACTCTAACTCTGTTTTTTGGAGGGTTATCAAGGGGGGGTTACAGATCATATTCATACAATCAGTGATTAAGCTGGTTTGAGACCGAACTGCAATTATTGTGAATGATAATCTATTTATTTCCATTAATATTACTAAGCCTTTGAAGTGTCAAGTGAAGCCTGGGGCGTATAAATGGGCCTTTCTCACTGATAAGTCTTGAGCCATATATTTTATTCTCTTAAAACTATAAGACTATGAATATTTCTGCTTAGGTTTTTGGTCTATCAATAGCCACATACATGTAAGAAAATCTTTCATGGGTCAAGGGATAGTCAATATTGTTCTCAATTCTCTGAAGTGCTGTTTTCTTCAGTATTTTAGCCCTGTAATCTTTAATGCCTTGGAATCTTTTTGATACCTCCATGAATATTTTATACAATTTTCATAAGAAGAGAGTTGAGTAGAGAGTCAGTTTATAGTTTAGAGAAAAGAGAAAAACAAGGAAAAAATAAAGGGAAAGCAAATTTTAAAACAAAAGCAATTCAGAATTGAAATTATAGAAATTATCTATATAATGAGAAAGATGAAATTGAAATCTAAGAAACATATGACTATGACAAAGCAAATGTATCTTTAGATACAATATGCAGATATCAATAGTTTAAGAAAGTAATATTTATTTTCTTATTTAAAATGTTAAGATAATTACCACAGAGATAAATTTAAATACTTGTTAAACTAATATAGTGAGCCATTCTATAGACAAAAAATAGAAGAAATGGGGAAAGGAAACAAACAAAAAATGTGAGTAAATGTATAATATGACATAAATTGGCCGAACTAAGTTAAATGTAACAATAATGACAATAAATGCAAATGGATTAAAAGCAGTAATTAAAGGATCCTGACTTTTATAAATTTTTTAATAATTAAGAGCCAAAACATGTTGTTGACATAAGTTAAAATTTAAAAGAAAATATATATGTATATAACTACTAACATTAAAATTATTTTATAACACACCAGGCTTAAATACTGAAAAGCTAGAGGGGCAATATTTACATGACAACATGACATAATATAATTTTAGGTAAAAATATGTACACCGAAATATATTTATTATTAAAGATTAAAATTATATGAGCTCTATTTTTCAATTAAAAATTGGAGAAAGAGCAGTGGAGGAAACCCAATAGAAATAGTTAATGAACAAAAATCTTTAAAGCAACAACAAAGAATGTTAATCTAACCAAAAGTTAGTTTTTGAGAAAACATTTAGGATACAGAAACCTGTGGAAGGTTAATCAAGACAATAAGAGAGACTGTGTAATATGCACAATTAAGAATTTTTAAGTATTAAAATAGCTTCATTATAATAAATGTGAATGCTAGAGATGGAAAGATGTAAGAACTGCAACAGCTAAGAAATATTAATAATAGGAACTAAAGATAAAGAACATAGGATTTTACAGGAAGTATCTAACAATCATTTCAATATTTACTTCTTAGTCTATTAAAGATCATTCCTTCAAATCCTCAGATAAGTAAATTCTATCAGAATTTTAAGAATCTTGTTATTTATTATGCTACTTCCAAATATAGAAAAACAAATTGCCTAGCTAAGGCTAGCATATGTTTTATTCCAAAATCAAGTAGGTAGCAGTAATTACTTTTAAAATAATATTTATGCCAGCAAAAGAGCACATCATTTTGTCCGACAATTTGTATGAGAGAGCGAACTGTTTTAGTCAGGGGTTTGAGCTAGATATAGATTTTTATTGTGATTATCATTACCTTCAGTCTACACAGGCTTCAAATTCCCATAGGAATGGCTGATGTTGGCTGGGTTTAAGGTGGGTCCTGGGGTGCTGGAGGATTTTGTTTAGTATCTCTTCCCCTCTCAGCTTTCAGCATCCTTACCTTCCTGTACCGCCGAGGTGTTCTCTGTCTTTCCTCTTTCCCTTACTCAATATGTAGACAGCTGATGCTTACTATTTGGTATGAGGCTTGGCATAGGGGTAAAAAGTGGGATGTTTTATGTTGCCCTGGCTCAGCCTCATTCAATCTTAGGTATGTCCTGTGTGAAAGAAGTCCAAGTTTTCATTCCTTTTTCTTTTTGTCATGTTGGTTTTAGACTACTGTCATTGAATTAAGCTGAATTTTTTTTTCTCAAAATGGGGCATTCTTAGTGTTCTTGCATTGTGTCCAACTCATCTACAACAATAAAACTCTGTCTTGGATCTGCGGTTGGTTTTGGGTGGAAATATTTACCACTCTATAGTAGTTAAAGGCTTCTTCTTGTTATTGGTATAGAACCTTAGCCACAACACTTTCCTAGCACTCTTCCAAAGATATAGGATGCATTCTTCCACTTGTTCCCAAGCCTCAGTGCATTTTTGCCTCTGATTAGTGGAAATGACAGTTGTGCTGTCTCTTCTATAGTGGCTTAAAGCTTTTGCTTCCTAAGAAAGAATGTTCTGGGTACTGGGCAAGGCTTTTTGCCTGTTCCCCAGCAGCAACCGATTACTACCCGAAGCCTGCACTATGCAGGAGGGTCTGTCTCATCTTCTGCCCAGTTCCCAGTCTTTCCCTTCAACAGACAAAGGTCCGTGGAAAAGAGTTTGAGAAATGACAATTTCTTGTGCCTGAGGCCTCCTGCTATTCTAAACTTACAATTTACTCACATTTAGCCTTTAAGAATTTATTAAAGTTTAGCTGATTTCTTATATGATTATATGGTGACTTCCTCTTCATTTTTTGATTGGTCAAAGATGAAACTTTTGTGTGTCCTTTCCATCCATGAGGGCTTGTCCCTCTCTGGAATCAGTTTACTTGGTTGCCATGCAACTTCATCTCTGATGGGCTAAAAACAACTTATGACTTTGTAGATAATTCAAATATTTCTCACCTTAAGGGTGGGAGCATCATTCTTTTCACCTTTCTACATCCTAATCAGAAGCTGAAAATCACACTGAGGTTTTAGAGATTACTCTTCCAAGCTGCAAAATATTAAGAATTTCCATTTTAAATCTTAGCAGAAAAAAATTACCCTAGTTGGAGTTTCACCAAAAAATCTTGTAAAATTTGAAGTTTTCTTGAGAGACACCTGCCTTCATCTAGTGTGAATTATGAAAACCTTAGTTACACTTGCAAGAGTAAATCCTTACAAATCAATATATTTAACACTGGTAAACAGACAAGCAATAAAAATAAATTATAAAGAAACAACAAAAATAAATCATTTAGATATCTAACATGATATATATGAGGATTTATCAAATTTTACCTCATGGTTTAATAATTTCTTCAAATTAAAGAGAATACCTTAACACTAATCTGCCTTTAACAAATAAAATTTATTGCTTATAGTTCATATATGTTGTCTTATTAATGCATTAGAAAAAAACATTTCACTATAATTTTAAAAATTATTTAAAAAACATTTAAGTATGTTTCAACAGAATTGTTACCTTTTATAATACTGTGCTTTCCTTTATGCATTTTCAAAATTGTGTTGAATTAGAAGTCAATATTGCGCATTATTCACAATAGCAAAGACTTGGAACCAACCCAAATGTCCAACAATGATAGACTGGATTAAGAAAATGTGGCACATATACACCATGGAATACTATGCAGCCATAAAAAATGATGGGTTCATGTCCTTTGTAGGGACATGGATGAAATTGGAAACCATCATTCTCAGTAAACTATTGCAAGAACAAAAAACCAAACACCGCATATTCTCACTCATAGGTGGGAATTGAACAATGAGATCACATGGACACAGGAAGGGGAATATCACATTCTGGGGACTGTGGTGGGGAGGGGGGAGGGGGAGGGATAGCATTGGGTGATATACCTAATGCTAGATGACGAGTTAGTGGGTGCAGCGCACCAGCATGGCACATGTATACATATGTAACTAACCTGCACAATGTGTACATGTACCCTAAAACTTAAAGTATAATTTAAAAAAAAAAAAAGTCAATAAAATTAAAACCAAAAAATAGAAAACAAATTGATTGAAAGAAAAAAGCTAGTTATTTGAAAACATCAATAATATTGATAAACTTCCATCAAGATTAACTAAAATAAATATAGAAGACATAAATTATTAATACCAGAAATGAAAGAGAGGACATCATTAGTGATCCCATGTACATTAAAGGATAGTAAAGGAATATTATGAACAACTTTATGCGTAAAAATTTAATGACGAGGGTGAAATGTACCAATTCCTTGAAGGACACAATCAACCAAAACTCACATGAGGAGAAATAGATAATCTGAACAGGACTTTATCTATTAAAGAAACTGAATTAATAATTAATATCCTGCTAAACAGAAAGCACCAGGGCTAGATGAGTTCACTGCTAAATCTTACCAAACATTTAATCAGGAAATTATATCAATTCTGCACAATCACTTCCAATAATAAAAGTAAAAAACAAGTTATTCTGGAAAGAGGGACCATGGCACAAGAAATGTTTGGCACAGCACAGCCAGTCCCCAGAGACCAAAGCTGGGCCATGTCTTCAAAGCCCAGAGTGTGCATAGCCTGAGTCAAGCTGAAGGAAGGAATAAAAAAAATGGGGAGAAAGTCAGGGGATATATGATGAAGCAAAATCTTTATGTCTGATGTTCTGAGAGTAAATAAAATTGTAAAATGCAAGATGCATATATCACAGTTTCAGAAGCAATATTGGTCCAACTGCTGATTTTCTAAAATGGAGAACAGATCAACCTCTATACAAACTGATAGTGAGGCAGAATATCCTGGTCTTCTTATTGTAAGAGAAGAAAATGTCTTTCATGGAAGTAACAGTGAAAGAATCCGTTATCAGAACATAGGACAGAACCTTTAGGGGTATTTTCCCTGCAGGCACTAATTAGATATATATCATAAGAGCTATGAGCACACAGGTTTACTATCAGTGAGGCTGAAGCAGTGTAATTTCTGGGAATTATAGGCATGACACGCATTTGTGACAAATCAAAGATAATACAGATTAAACTGCTGGATCTAAGGTCAACCTGTTTTTTGTAGAAAGCCTAGGGATGACTGACCAAGGTAAATTTTTACAATATGAGCACCTAGTATTTCCAGGGGCTTCTTTACTCCTTTCCACATTGCTTTTTTGATGAATGACACTTTGATTTTGTCCCCGATACAATGACCACAGCATAAAGAATTAGTGCCAGTATAGTTAGATTATAAAATCAAAAATTTGACTAAGACCATAGGAAATAAATCAATAGAATTACAAGATGTAGATTTTAAAATTACTTGGTAAGAACTCGCTTAACTCAAAATACAAGTACAAAATGATATATCAGACAGGAGTCAGACAGGGGAACAAAGTTAATAATGTGTTTTATGGGATAAAGGACTTATTAAAGGAATTAGATGTGTAGAGCTCTACAAGTAGCTGGGAAACTCAAGGTCTGAAAGGGAAGTTCAAGGATCAGAGGACCTCTCACTAACAAGTCAATATGAAATACCAAACATATCTCTTTATGTAAGGGTTGCTCCTGGGATGCCCTTTGAGAGGCTGTGATTTTGTGTAGCTACAACCTCTGTGGATTCACATCTAAGAATCTTTTGGTGAGTCTTGGGCTGCTGTTGATGGACAGAGGCAACAGTTGGCAAAGGTGTTGAACATGGAATAGAGCAGATTTAGGACAGGTTGCAAGCTGGCTGGAACCTCTGCATTGATCGGATACTGCAGTTGATTATGATGACCTTCAGAGAATAAGGGCCACCACCTTACTTCCTTTTTCCCAGTTACGTACAAGTTCCTCTTTTGGATAATACAGAGAAGGACATCTTGAAAAAAATGTACTTTTTTGCCTACCCAAGATGACACAATGCAAAACACCACAAATAATTACCAGAATTGAGGAAAATAAGAATTTTCTTTCTTATGAAAAGTTTATTTGGGAAAGGTGTTCTAGAATAGCCACACTGGATGGGAGGGTAGCAATGTTCCTCCACTCAGGTGAGGGGAGAGTATTTATAAAGCTTGATGAATATCTCCAAAATTTAGGAGTGGCACAGGGGTCTGATGTTTAATTAATTATTTTCCAGAATTGTAAGAGTAAAAGACAAAGGCTGATAAGCTGTTTTGCTGCTAAATTAAAGAACAGCTGCTAATACATTTAGATTGTCAATTTCAGGGGTTTGTGACCACTGTAGTTGTATAAGAACCCACATTCAGTGGATCCTTCAAAACTTTACTGTTACTGTCTTGAAATCCTTAATAATTTTATCTTTGAACTTGTGTTTTGTAAGTGAACTCTGATGGGACAATGGAGCATGAGCCAGGAGCATCGGGCCTCAGCTCACATGTCATCTCACCTTTTGCCATCTTGCTCCCCCACTGATACCTAGAGACCACTACCACCTCTTACCCAGCAGGAGGTCTGAGTCCAAATACAAGGAGACTCAGGGTCATATCCTGAGTAATTTTGAGCGCTCTGTGAGTATCCCTGTTTCCAAGGCAGAGTGAAATTAAGAGCAAAGAAAAAACATCATGACAGGTCAAGAAAGAAACCATAGGAAGAAAAATTCTATTATATTTTCTTTTGTTTGTAAAAGGGATCCTGCAAATTAAGTAGCTGACCCGGGGTTTCACTTTCTGGATTTCAGGGCCCATGAATGCATTACCTTTTAGCCCAGATCAGAAATGATCCACATGAGCAATGAAAGGTAGCAGATGGCTTGAAGCCAAGTGTTCTTTAAGAACACTTGGGTGGGATTCCACTGAATGGAATGAACTTCTAGAACAGGGGTGTTCAATCGTTTAGCTTCTCTGGGCCACACTGCAAGAAGACGAATTGTCTTGGGCCACATATAAAATGCACTAACACTAACGATAGCTGGCAAGCTAAAGAAAAAAAAATCACCAAAAAAATCTCATAATGTTTTTAAAAAGTTTACCAATTTCTATTGGGCCTCATTCAAAGCTGTCCTGGGCTGTGTGTGGCCTTTGGGCTGTGGGTTGGACAAGCTTATTCTAGAAAGTGAAAAGTTTCATGGGAATTGAAAGTTGTAGATTAAATGATCACTTACTATCAGTTAAGAAAGAAATTTATCTGTTCATTACCACTCCTATTTCCAGACTTCAGTCCTAGAGTGGTCAGTAGAAGCAGTTATCCAATAGGAGAGGGGGTAAGTAAGGTGAAGACAGCTGGAAAGGAAAAGAAACCAAGAATGACCCCTTTCCACAGCCTACAGATGAAAGAGGTAGGGGAGAAAACATATCTGAATTATATTTTAATTAAAATATAGAAATTCATATTCTAATTTCTGAAATAAAATTGTGGTTTACAATATAACTATCTATTAAATAGCAATAACCAAAAGAAGTCATGAAAGCTGCTAGATTTTTTTACAGATCTGGAAACTTTTCCTGAATACATATTTAAAGAACTACAGAAGACAAAAATGAAATTGCATTGAATGCCAATTAGAGACAAGTTTGTTCTTTCAAAAAAATTGGATATTTGCTTTGTAATTTTCACCAATTTTATTTTCCTGAATTATTTCTATTTTTAATGTAAAAATAAAAGTATCTGAGATGGGTCTAAGATATCAGAGAATTATCTTTATTTATATTGAGATATATCAAAATATAATGTTAATATGATTTGTCACTGAACTATATGATAACTCAGTCATACTTCTGTCTTTTAAAATTGGCTACAGTTAAACTTCAATCTGTCAATACAGTAAAAGCTACCTAAGTGGGAATTCTAAAATTATAACATGTGATGAAATCTCAGGGGGAAGTTTTGGATTCTGTTGTTTTTATTTTCTGCCATTTGTGCCGATTTGAGTGGTAACTGACCTCATGAAACATGAAAGTATTATTTATGTACAAGGAACTGACCCCTGAGGAATTGAAGGTCAGCACTAAAATAAAAATGTAGGGGGAAATGCGACTAATAAAATGTAGGAAAAAAAAAACGATGAACAGAAAATATAATAAACCTAAATGGTGGTGCTTACATAGATAAAACTGAAAGAGGATTGTAAATAGAACTGTAAGAATGGATTTGTCTACCATTTATTATATTTTGATAAAAATAAAGAAATTCAATTTACAATATTGAATTTTACTAGACTTTCTGGTTTGAAGAGCTAGAGTTTCTTTTTCCTTTCAGAAGGCTTGTATTCAGGTAATACTGATGAAGATAATCCTCAAGACCTTTACACTCTGGGTCAGTTCCAAGATGGCTGAGAAGCTGTTTAAAATAATCAAAAAACAACTTGATAGGATTGACAATTTCATGTTTTTTAATGTGTTGAATGAGATTGCTAACTACAATCAGCAGATATACATACGTGGTATCACAGATGTTAGGTTTTCAAAAATAAAGAATGTGTTAGAAAAATGCCTGCCAATCACTTGAATGTTACAACCTTTTATTATTATTATTACTATACTTTTTAAAAGAATCTGGCTGTTGAGTGCAGACTGTGCTGTTTCACCTTTCATTACAAAGACTCAGTGAATAAAACATATTTGATAGCTTGGCAATAGAAGAAAAATTTGTATTTAAATGAGGACAGAAGACACTGGGCTGGAATTGATACGATTATGCCACAATTGGTGAGTCATAACTAATGACACAGTCTAGAGCTCATGAAGCAAATCTGACAATGTGAGTGAGAGGAATGCAATCAGCATACTGGGAGGAAGGCAGGTGCATGCCCACAGGTGGCACCACAGAGGGGTACTTAGCACAACACTTGCTTCTCACGGTGTATCTCTTGGTTTCTAAGCAAAGGTCTTTGGGGAGAAAAGATGTTATTAAATATTATAGAACTGAAACAAAAATAAAATTGAGCCTAGCTACGCACTTGAAAATATACTAGTCCGTGACACAGTAAAAGAAAAATCATGCAGATAGGCAACAGATAGTTTTGGAAATTTAAAACTCAGGTTTTGTTTTATGTCTTCATATATGATGCTGAGGTAACAGATATAAAATTAGGAATTTGTCAGCAATAGCTCCTCCTGCCTTTATCATATGTTTTAAACGATTTAACAGTGACACTTTATTATATTTTCTTTTTCATTGAGATTCATTTCCTATCTTGTCTAATATTCTCCTACTCTCCTGATAGTTTACACACAATTATCACAGAACACTAGCAGTTCCATTAATTTTGTCTCCACTATCCTCAGAGACTTTCTGAGGAAATAATAATATTGTTTCTTTTATCTTTATCTCTGGAACTTAGTAGGGTACCTTGCCCATTGTAGTTGAGAAACAATAAACAGGAATGACTGAAAAAAAATACATTTGAAAACAGCTTCAACATAAGAAGAAGCTTGAGATATTTATAATATGGACACTTGTTTTTTTCCTAAAGCAAAGCTATTACTATTAGTTAGAGATTATGTAGATTTTAATTTATTTATAGAAGACAAAATAAAACTAGTATATTAAAAAAGTTAGTTCCTGCCACTATCCTTCCCCCAACAAGATATCTGGAGACTTAGTGCCAAAATGAGCAAAGAAAGATTCAAGGACCAAGACTGGTGGAATCCTCTCACTCCAGTATTCTTAGAGTCTTGCTTAGGCTTGAAGCATAACACTGTTGTCACATCACTTGACATTGCATTTACAGAATAAGATTCAGTGAGAAAGAACAAACAAGAAGTGATTATATCCTTTAAAGAGCTTTCTCAGAGGCATCGGCTAGTATCTTCTGTTCGCTTCTCATTTGCCAGAGATGCATCAAGTAGCTTCTCCCAACTGCTTAGGAAATTGGGAAGTATAGTTTTCTCAACATTTTCATACCACCATAAACACTCCCAAGAATGTTCCTAAGCAGTCTGTAATACACAGGACATGTCCCAATGACCAAGAATTATCTGGTCTGAAATATCGATAGTGGTGAGGTTGAGAAAACTTCCTCTGAAGCACCTGGCATTGGGATAAGTTCTCCAAAGGAAACGTTAAAAGACAATGCAAAATGAAGAAGAATATGGGGCACCAAAATTATAGTTATCAATCAACCACAGAACTTAGCTGTCCCCAAATATCTGAAAGGTTGTTTGTCTTGTCAAAATGGAAACAATGTACTCAGTATTGCTTCAGAAGGCAAACCTAAACCAAAGTTTGAAATTTGTGATGATGAACATATTAAAATTATAGAATCATTTGAAGGTTATTATTATCCAGCAGTAACACAGTAGATGCCTTTACAGAACTGAATGCAATGAGAGACTAGTATTGTGTCCCTTTGTGAAGTCTTTAAATTATAACAGTTTCAAAATACATGAAGATTTTGACCAATTCAGAACAAAGGCCACTCATGATATAAACCACTTTGAGACAGAAAGAGCTATTGGTTGGGTCTATAGGGCCACTAGTCTAGGACCCCGATAATTTATGCGCCAGGAGAAATGTCTTTGAGGAACAGATAATTGCCTTCTGCATGGCTCTCCTAGATATGTTAGTGGAAGGTGAAACAGGAGTGGTTATTATTAATCCCTTTTAGAGAACTATACTAGTCTCGCCTCTGAACCACCCATCAATATTGTGCTCAATTAGCACTTTGTTTCAATTGACAATGAAATTATATACTGAAAACAGTATGAATCCATGACCTGACCAGAAGCATTCTCTAGCCAGTGAATGATTTTTCTATCCTTGCCTCTTTTTCAATTTAACAAAAGAGGATAACACTGAATTCAGACTGCAGGTGTGCAGACTCTCATTAAGTCATCAGAAAGAACAGAATTAAAAATTAATTTAAAAACTAGGAATATTTATATTGTCTTTCCTCATAGTTTTCCTCTTCTGGTCTTTTGCCTTAATAGTTATTTACTATTTCTCATTCATATTTGGTAGAAAGTGTCATTATACAATGTATAATAAAGGTCTTGAGAATACAAATGTATAACTCTTTCATATAATTATAATCCAAAGAAATCTTTAATATATTCATGTTAAACATCGGTTTGTAGGGTATTTGCAATCCAGGTGAAAAAATCATTTTACAAAAATATTAAAATAAAGCCCAAGTTTTTGTATTTGAGTGATTCAGCTTAAGAAGACTTATATAATTTATGAAATAAATACATATTATGTGATCATAATGCAATACACCTTTAAAAACCACTTGTTTGAAAAGAAGCAAGGCATATCCACTGATTATATACAACTATTGCTTTCAAAATTTTCACTTTTAACCAGTAGACTATTCATCAATGTTTTATATTGTCAGGGTGTTTTTTTGTTTTTGTTTTTATGATTTAATGTATTTAACAGAGTTAAATCTGTTATGACAATCTACCTCTGAAGTACAACATGTTGGAGTCATTTGCTCTGGACAAAGTCACTTTCAGGAATGGTTTTATTACAATGAAAAGGAATAGGTATACTGGCTCTTAAGTGCCACTACTGCCCTTTATGAGAATGAGAACTAGATTAGCCGGCACGCTTACGTCCCACACTCTTTATGAGCCTTATATGTTTTGGGGTATTTTCAACATTTTAACCTGGATGATGTTATTTTCAGAAACATCCTAAAACAATTTTCCAAGAAGCAAGGAAAAGGTAAACACTGAACTTGCGTAATAAAAATTCAGTCAGGAAAATGCATTTGAATACATTTGTTTAGCAATCCTAACATAGCAATCTTCAGAAGTTGCCCAGAGATATTTTTGAGGTTTCATATTATGTCAAACATGCAAAAGCATAAAAACAGGGAAAAACGAAATGGTATAACAATAAAAAGGTTTAAAATGATGAGGAATATTCATTTGTTTCCCTGATTAAAATTAAGTTATATAATTATATAGATACCAATATATTAGAATTGTTATATACAATCTAATTTAAGGCATAAGAGATAAGTGTGTTTAAGGGGAGTAGAGAAAAAGTGCTCTTAATTTTTCTTTTTGATTTTTTTTGCTGTGGTTAGTGTTAACACATGTATATTGAATGGATATCTTATTTTTAAACAACAAAACCTTATTTCAACAACAGCAATTTACATATACCATATTTCATATGATATTTCATATAATGCACTAATGAAAGCATTATGATGTTAAAATTAGCATTGTAGAAAGGAAATTGATAAATGTAACTAGCAAACATTAATTTTGGGGGATGAATATTTTCTAATCTATTTCTGAAAAACTATTACTTGGTTATACTAATTTATTTGAGGGTACCTTCCCCTGTATCATTTTTACCTCCACTTTTGAAAGAAGCAAACAATACTCCTTCTGAAAAATAAATTTTAATTCTATAGCTTTCTATGACAACTTTTTTGTTATTCATACCAAAGATGAAGCCATGCCCATACCTCATTGATTATATATGCAAAGAGTTCTCTATCAGGAAAGTTTCAACATGAAAGATTTCTTCCCACTGAGGAGTCTCTCCATTACTGAAGGTCAATTGTTAAATGTTATTATGTTTCCACTAATAACCATTTGATCCTCTTTTAGATTTTCATTCACTCTAGTGTTAAATGAATCTCCACTGAAAATTATTAAATCAAAACTATAATACCTTAATAGAGAAAAATGAATGTTATGAGGCAGTATCTCACCATCAAAGTTGCAGGGACATGTCTTTTCAAAGTGAAATATATAGCTTATCTAGTTAACAAAAGGGCAGCAAGTTCCTTTGCAGGTCTAAAATTGAGCCAGCAAAGTGGTGGTTTTCAAGCAGATGCCAGTTTCAATTTTCATGTTAGATGATCAAATATATATTGAGTCTGCATAAGAAATGCTGTTATCACAGGATTCAACACACAATGTCGAATTCCTGCATACAGAAATTTCATTTTTTCATTACATTGTGTACATGCAAACTTCCTAGCTAGTGTGGAGAAAACCTAGGGAAAAAAAAAGTTTAAGGTGAAACTTGAAGGATGAGAATGAATGAAGTACAGACCATTATGCAAGGTTTGAAGGCATGACACTGTATACAATTATTGAGTAAGGATGGAACACATCCACACTAGTGATGAGAACAAATTTATATTTTGAATGCAATACATCCATCCATTCTTGATTCCTTCTTAGACATTATTTCCTAAAATTGAGCCACAGGATGGTCAGAATGGTCAGATCTGCTACCATAGGGAACTGGGACTTTTCTTTAATAATACATACTCCACAAACATGCGCAACCTCTTCTCCTCTTTTCCCCAGAGTAGCTGATTCTAGTACAGTGATTCATGTGACCTGGATGTGTAAAGGGGTATATGCAATCAACTGAGTTCATTAGAATAAATTTTAAAGTGTTAAAGAAATGATGAATCCCTGTAACAATTGCCTGGTGAGCTAGTAATACAACTATATTCAACTTAGATTAAAAACAATGCAAAAAATCTATTGTAAACTATGCCATTTCTGTATCAGGATTTTACCAAGTTAGCACAGGAGTAATTTACATTTTGAGTTTAAACTTTAGAGCAGAGCTTTTAAGTGGAAAATTCTGTGATAATAAAAATTTCCATAATATACTGAAACCTTGGAACAAGAATTAAAGGCATACAATGGTATATTTATGGAAGTTTTATTTTATTTTGATTAATTTAAATACAAATGTAAATAACCTCATGTGTCTATTGGCTACCATATTGGATAGCACAACTGTACAGCATCAGTAAGATTTAAACTCATACAAGTATTATCAAATCTACTAAAAATAGATAAGACTTTTTCCTATCTTAAAATAGAACTAAGGTGACATTTTTTTCCACAGCCATATTAATGGATAGCAATCTTTTCAATACTGTTTCCTCATAAGTGTATGGATAAACGGATTCCAAATATATTTGGTTAAAAGCAAGGCAAACAAATATATTGAATTCAGATAAGGACTCTAGGTCAGAGATCAATCGAAGGTGGGTCCTGATTTCAAGACTACATTATTTAGTGCTGAGTGAAACAAATGAAAGCTAACTAAAGTAAGTATAAAGAAATAAGATTTGTAATATAGGTAAAGCAAAGTGCCCTAGGAGAGCAGGAATGTTTCTTTCCATTGTCAGATATAAGCGTGATATTTGTGGTGGGCCTTGAAAGACTAGAAGAATAAGACATGTAAACAACAAGACTTAAAGGCATAAAATGGTATATTATATTTATGGACATTTGGAGTTCTCACTATTAAGTGGGAGGTATTGATAAGAACACATGGACACGCAGATGGGAACAACACAAACTGGGGCCTTTTGGAGGGCAGAAGTTGGGAGGAGGGAGAGGATCAGGAAAAATAATTAATGAGTACTAGGCTTAACACCTGGGGGATGAAATAATCTGTACAACACACCCCCATGACACAAGTGTACCTATGTAACAAATCAGCACCTTTATCCCTTAACTTAAAAGTTATAAAAAAAAAACAGTGACGTTTGAAGTGATGTTAAAAGAGCAATCTGGCAATAGGACATGAAAGGTCATGATGCTATGTCTGGAAATCTGAAACTTAGTCTGTGGATGATAGAGCCAAAAATATTTTAAGTATAACAACATGATTTGATCTCTGCATCAGGAAGATAGCCCTAAGGCAATATCTGGGGATGACTGCAAAGGTAAGAAATTACAGGCAAGGAAACCAGTGAAGAAGTTACTAGCTATAATTCAAGAATGATAAATACTTGAATCAGGCTAGTATTTTAGAAGGTATGCAAAGTAAAGGCTATCTTTCCGGGCGATTGCAAATTTGGGAGGTGATTACTGAGTAAACCAAGCATCTTCGGGAGAGGAGACAAAGACAGTCTGTGCCATTTCATTTCGAGGCCTGGAATAAAGAGTGATGACACTAAGAGAAGGTTTGGTTCTAAAATACTTCTTTATTTTCCTGATTTTTAGTTTTTTGTTTCTTTAATTGGAAAATTCCTAGTATTTTTGTGATGTCAGTGAAGAAATTGACGATTAAAGAGAAAGAACATGAGTTAAACACAATGTACAATTCAGAAACTAGGTTTTCAATTATAGTTATATTTTTAGGGAAAAAATGTAATGCAAATCTAATTTTAAAATTAAGTCAATACAAAAGTGTGTAATGCAAAATAAAAAGCAAAATTAACCTCACACCTACCTGTTAAAGAGTTTCCACTGTTAGTAATTTGCAGTATTTACTTTCATAACTTTTTGTACATATATATAAACATATATACATTTTAAAAATATTAATTGTTTCTCTTCACTGTATATTTGTATGCAGAAATATCTACAATGCATACCTAATAGCACTACTGAATTATATACTTGCTTGAGTTGCATAATGTTGCAGCCCTACAGGTACATATTTTTATTTACACAACTTGGATGATTTTCATTCAGTGAAACAATTTATTAATTCATTTCTTCCATGTCAACGTATGTAGAGCTTTATTATTATTTTCCATGGTTTTCAGGGTATTCCATAACACAGACACATCACCATTTACTCTTCCATAACACAGACACATCACCATTTACTCTTTCTGTAGTAGACATTTAGGGGATTTAAAATGTTTACATTATAAATACTGACAATTTAGTAATTAGTGTCAGAGAATTTATTCCAAGTTAAAAACAAAAATAGAGATTTAATATAAGTCCAACTGAGAAATCTATAAAGTAGGCAAAATTTTTAAGTTATCATACATATAAAAATTCAAATGTATTCTTATCTACTCATATTTTTAGTAGCTCCTCTGATAAAAAAGAGATCATAGCAGAAATAATCAGATATGAAAATAAAAAATTAAAGATTTAAAAATTTGGTATGTATTACTCTCCACTGAAGACATGATCTTATTGGTAATTATTGGAACATCGTGCTATCTATATACCTATTATTTTAGATATTTATCTATCCACATAGTTTCCACATCATGCTGACACACACACATCTAGGTGTGCACACACAATTTGGGCCCTTTTACACTATATCATCTTAAAGTGATATGTGCTGAGATTTGATCTGTGAAATAGTCACCCAATTACAGTTCAGAGAATCTCCATTTGAAAAGAGGTGAACACAATTTTCACCTTGTAAATATTCAGAAATTGAATCCAGGGAAGAAATTTATTCCTAGTGAACATTGTTTTTATATGAAAAATGAGAACCTAGGAAGTGGCTATTTTCATAATGATATACATCTAGAAACACAACTAGAAATACACTTCAGCTAAGTAAGAATTGCAAAGAACTCTGTATTAGTTCAAATGAAATTATTTCCTGGCAGGGAATTTCTTTTTTCAGTTTCTCTTTAATTTCATTCAGCTCAATTCTATTTTGTAATTTCCACCTTCATAAAAAGTAATCATAATAACCAGTTCTTCTGAAGGTGGAGAAACAACAATATGGCCAACTAATTACAAATGTTTGGAAACACTTATCAATAAAATGTATAAAACCAATTCATTTTCTGCCAATAACATGATCATGTATGTCTCAAATCACAAAGGACGATGAATTATGCAATTATTTTTCTCTTATTTGAGATCCTTAAAGATTGGGGTAAGAATAAGGAAGTTATATTATTTTTCCATAGGGACTAAAACGTAATCCACATGCTTTAATATAATGGGCTGCTTGTTTGCCTTTCTGTGAGACAAGGCAAGCATATCCACCATACACACGGCATTGATCAATCAATAAATCTTGCTATGCCAAAACCACAAATTTAATTGGGTCAGCATTAGGCATCCCGTATATTAGTTTTTCTCATGACCAATCCCATTTGGGAAGATTCTAATACATCTTCAAATGCAACTTCTCTATCGTAAAACTGATAGGTCTAGAAAATGTGGAGAAATACAGTGGGAGGAGAGGAAAAGAAGGGGAGAAAAGAGAGACGAGAGAGGAGAGAGACGGAAGAATGGGGAGAGAGACAATATATGTTTTTAAACATTTGGAAACCATTTGCTTCCTTTTTTCTTTTACATAAGGCAAATAAGATAATATGCATAGAAGTACTTTATGTTTCAATTTTGAGAGGAATAAGTTAAGAAATGTGATCCTAGGCTTATTGTAAGGGATAGACTCATTCTCTTATCTTCTAGGAGCAATTTTTCTTCGTGGTTTTTGAAACTGCTGACCAACCATTGTCATTAAAACCCTCTCTCTCGGTTTCTAAAATAGTGAATTTTCCTAATACCTTATAATCTTCTTGACTACTTTGACTTAACTTTTGATTAAGTTTCTATTTACAATCTACTATAAAATAGAAATGTTTATTTAATATTTATATTCTCTCTGTGTGTACACATAAACACACACACACACTTCCACAATCCTGTTAGAAAGTTATTATTTCTAATTTATAATAAGAATACAATGAAATTGTCCATTTAATAGGAAAGCCCAAGATAACATAGTAAATCCTGAAGCCACAATACAAACACAATTCAGTCTGATTTCTAAGACTATGTTCTCTAGTCAGTCACGCACGCCATGCTACATGTTCCCTTAATACCATGGTTCAACATTCTTCAGTTCTCTGTCATCATTTATAATTGCCTTTTGAGAGATCTCATCCATTCTTAAGATTTGAATGCCCACTTCTGCATGGATGGCATGCAACATCTCCAGTACTGGCATTTTCCATATATTGCAGTACCACTTTGGAAATGCACTGACTCTTAAAAGCCACATAAATGTTCAGCCATTAAATTCAAAATTATTATGTCTTAATAAAAATGATTTCCTCCCATCTCAAATCATTATTTTCTTTCAACTATCGTATACAATAACCTGTTACACATATCTGTACATTGCTTATGGTAAGTATTTTGAAACCATATTTTTATCTTCATTCTTGTCTGTAAAAGATAATCTATTATTGAATTCTTTTATGCATCACTCTAAACTCTTTTGCATTTTTCTCTTATCCACTTTTACTTTCAAGATTTTTATCTAACGGCTTTATCCCCTACATTGTGATTCATACGCATCCCCTGGGAAGTGAGGAGTGCCTCTGCCCAGCCACCATGCAACCCTCCAGGTGTGAAGTGGCAGCCTTATGTGTGATCTTTCTGCCCTCCCCAAGTTTGCATTTTCGACACTTAAGTTTACCTTTAAATTAAAAAAAATAATAATATAGAAAAAGGTTTTCCTATTAGAGTTTCCGTTTCTAAATTCTGCCTTAAATCCAGGTTTTATAAAACTATCGTTCGGGCGTGGTGCCTCACACCTGTAATCCCAACACTTTGGGAAGCCGAGGCAGGTGGATTACCTGAGGTCAGGAGTTCGAGACCAGCCTGGCCAACATGGTGAAACCCCCTCTCTAGTAAAAATACAAAAATTAGCCAGACATGGTGGTGCGCACCTGTAGTCCCAGCTACTCAGGAGGCTGAGGCAGGAGAATTGCTTGAACCCAGGAGGTGGAGGTTGCAGTGAGCCAAGATTGCACCATTGCACTCCAGCCTGGGTAACAGACAGAGACTCATTCTCAAAAAATGAAATAAAACAAAACTATCAATATTTCTAGTGAAATTCATATCACTCTAATACCTTAAGATATATTATCAAAATCTCCTACTTAATCAAGCCCTGTAAACTCCCATCAGTGAAACTCATACATATGTGGCGGTGGGGGGGAAAAACCACCTTTTCTTATTGCTGGAAACCTAGAGTATTTTTGAATTAGAAATCCAGAGTTGCTTCGAGTTACTGTCATTCCATGAGAAAAACAGTATTTTATGGATATTTCTAAACTCAAAAAGATAGATCTAACCAAAGATGGCTTCTCCCAGTGATTTTTTATCTTTCTAGTGGCAGTATATAATCCATTGCAGGAAGCTGTGGTGCTATCAGAAGCTGAAACATCAAGAACCCAGATTATTCACATTCCCCTGCCTCCTATCTCCTCTCTCTCTCCTTCTCCCATTGCCCCACTCATTGATCATTTACTATTTCTTTTCACACTGAATTATGCTTTTATCATGAATAGTATCTAGGTTTATAAGTGTACAGTAATATAAATTCTGAATTCTTTGGTTTACATGTATTAATTTTCTCTCATACTTTACATCCTAGAACCATTATCTTGGATTATGGTGTTCCTAGACATTCTTGGACTATTCTTTATCCCAAACTATTTCAAATTTAGAACTTCAATCTCTAAAAGACTGTTAGTAAAATTAATTTATTATTTTACCTGCTCACCTCTTTGCTACAGTGGGTCTTTCCTATCTGTGGATTCTCTATCCATGGACTCAAAGAGACACAGATTGAAAATATTTGAGAATAAACAACAAAAATAGCAATACAACAATAAAAATAATACAAAAAATACAGCATAACAACTATTTACAGAGCATTTACATCGTATTAGGCATGACAAGTAATCTAGAGGTTATTTAAATTATATAGGAGGATGTGTGTGAGTTATACGTAAATACTATACCATTTTTTATCAGGGACTAGAGCAACTGCAGATTTCGATATCTGAGGGGTCCTGAAACCAATACTTCACAAATACTAAAAGAAGATTGTACTTCTGTATCTGTTTTTTGTACTATTTAAAGATTCAGATTCTTCCCTTTTTATCTCAGTTTATAAGCACCCCCCATAGTTTTTCTTTCATCTAAACAAATGATGGAGCATTTTAAACAGAAATTTCATGCCCGCATTCTTAGTGTTTAAATCGCTTCATTTATGTTCTACCTTTCATGATGATCACAAGTACTGGATCACTGTACCAATTTTTTTTTTCTCTTTCTGTATCTTGATATCAGAATGCCATTAGAGGAAACCAGGTATTTGTGTAGATTATGGCACTCTAAACCTCATCTGGTCTATACGTACTAGTTAAACATGATCTTTTATCAGTCATCTTTTCCATTTCCCACGTAAGTTATTCTAAATGGATACCAAGCACTTCAAGTCCCTCACATTTCCACCGCTGCGAATGCAAAGAGTGAATATAATCATATGGGAAATTGTGGTTATTAGTAAGATTCCTTCAATGTCTTGTCTGTATCTCTTTATATAACAAATAAAAAGAAAAGCAATCGAATTAGAATTTTACTCATTTTCACATCTTTTTCTATAGGCCCACAGGATGAGCTTTTCACCATTCTCTTTTTAGAGGGGATTTTTCTACCAGTGACTTTGATTTCTATACTTTCATTTCTACCATAACCTGAATTCTGATCTCAAGTATTTTCAACTAATGTTTAGACACAGTGGCTCTGTCATAGTTCTTACAGTCAAGTCTCTTATTTTCTCTCACAATTTCCACCTCCGAGTAGAAACTACCCTAAATCCTCACCTTTCATTTTCAGTCAAGTTTCTGAAAAGAATATTCTATGAAATGTTTTTCAAATCTGGCTGCACATTAGAGTCACCTTGGGGGAGATTTTGAGCCACACTGATGTCCTTTTCCCTCTTCAAGAAATTCTGATTCCGTTGGTCTAGGGTACAGTGACAGTCATCTTTTTTGTTGTTGTTGTTTTGTTTTTTGTTGTTTTTTTGTTTTGTTTTGTTTTGTTTTGTTTTGTTTTGAGACGGAGTCTCACTCTGTCGCCCAGGCTGGAGTGCAGTGGCGCGATCTCGGCTCACTGCAAGCTCCACCTCCCGGGTTCACACCATTCTCCTGCCTCAGCCTTCCAAGTAGGTGGGACGACAGGCGCCCACCACCATGCCCGGCTAATTTTTTGTATTTTTTAGTAGAGACAGGTTTCACTGTGTTAGCCAGGACGGTCTCGATTTCCTGACCTCGTGATCCGCCCGCCTCGGCCTCCCAGAGTGCTGGGATTACAGGCGTGAGCCACCGTGCCCAGCCCTTCCCATGTGATTCTTATACGCAGCCGTATTTTGAAACCACTGTTCTACTAACTCAGACAATGGTTTCTCACTCCTCTCTCATGTACTCCAAATACTTTCTACTTTTACTTCTCCCCTAAAACAGTTCTTTTGAAGGGTACTAATATCTCCCTTGATTTCCAAGCCCAGTTAACTATTTTTAGTTTTTGTATTATTTTTTCATACAGAGTCTCAACTTTTCTTTAAAAGCCTTGCTTTCTATGACATCATTCTTTCCAAATCCATTTCTATATTTTTCTCAGTTTTCAGTTCTGGTTCTTTTTCTCCTTCCTTCCTCTCAAAGGCCGGCCACTGTTTCCCAACCTTCTGCTCTTTGCTCCTTTTTTTTCCTTCTTTCTAAGCACCCTCATGACTCCCTCCTCTTGAAGGGTTCCATTATTACACATTATGTTTCTGTAGCCCGTATAGACTTTTGCTGTATAACATCAGAATCATATTTAAGACCCTACTAAGTCCTTCCAGAATGGTGTTCCAGATCCACCTCAAATACCATGTTTCTGTCAAACAGCAGCTTCTCCACCTGAACTATTCTTTCTTTAGTATCATGAATCCCCCAGCCCTGACACTCATAAGAATCACTTGAGGAAATTTAAAATTCTGAGACTGGGCTAGGTGCAGTGGTTCAGGCCTGTAATCCCAGCACCTTTGGGAGGCTGAGGCGACAGGATCACTTGAGGTCAAGAGTTTGAGACCGGCCGGGCGCGGTGGCTCACGCCTGTAATCCCAGCACTTTGGGAGGCCGAGGCGGGCGGATCACGAGGTCAGGAGATCGAGACCATCCCGGCTAAAACGGTGAAACCCCGTCTCTACTAAAAATACAAAAAATTAGCCGGGCGTAGTGGCGGGCGCCTGTAGTCCCAGCTACTTGGGAGGCTGAGGCAGGAGAATGGCGTGAATCCGGGAGGCGGAGCTTGCAGTGAGCCGAGATCGCGCCACTGCACTCCAGCCTGGGCGACAGAGTGAGACTCCGTCTCAAAAAAAAAAAAAAAAAAAAAAGAGTTTGAGACCAGCCTGGCCAGCATGGCAAAACTCCATCTCTACTAAAAATACAAAATTAAGCCTGGCATGGTGGTGCACACCTGCAATCCCAACCACAAGGAAGGCTGAGGCAGGAGAATCGCTTGAATCCAGGAGGCAGAGGTTGCAGTGAGCCAAGATTGTGCCACTGCACTCCAACCTGGGCAACAGAGGAAGAAAGAGACTTTGTCTCATAAAATAAAAATATAAAAATAAAAATAAAAATAAAATTCTGAGACTGACTTTCAGAAATGTTGATGTAATTGATCTGCGGTACCTAGACGTTGAGATTTTAAAAATATCTGAGGTGCCCCTAAGGTTCAGGCAACCTGAAAGTTAGGAAGCACAAGAATGAATTTTAGTATCAGGGTATTCAAAGGTGGTTTCACATTAGAATCACCAGGAGAGCAATTTTTAAATACTATTATAGACCCAAACCCATTTCAATTGAATAAGAATCTCTGAGGTTGGATTTCAGGAATTCGTATTTTTTTAAAGTTCCCCAGGTGATGCTTATGTGTAGGCAAGGTGGAAAACCATTGCTTTAGTAGTTTCATCTCAATGAATGGCACTGTTTTCCACACAATTACTCATCCAGGCCTAGGAGTCATGTTAAACCCAGACTTTATCCCCCCCTTTCTCTTATTCCACACTCAAATAAAATCCAAATCCCATGAATCCTATAATTATAAAATATTCCTTTTAAACATCTTCTCTTGAATGTCTAATGGCCATTTCAAGTTTTAACATACATAAAATTAAGTTTTTGACATTTCTAACCAAAACAGGACTTGCAAAGTCCAAAATATCATTTTGACATTTCTTTTCCTAAAATAGTACTACAAATAAAAAATCAATATTGCCAATTTTTTGAAGCGAACTTATTTGAATAATATAGACTTTTAAAAAAGATCTTTGGATTTTGTTTTTCTTTGTTCCTTCAGGGAAAAGTGTTAAATAATAATATTTAAGATTGTAGTATTTTGAGTATATTTAGATAGAATGATACAACAAGAAATTTAAAGAACTTCTGTTGTTGGAAGAAAAAAACTTATAAAAAGATTTCATCTCTTTGTCATGAGTTAAAAACAAACATTTTAAGTGTCAATAAGTTTCCAAAGAGAATTTGGCTTATAGTAAAAAAAAAGGAAGAAGCAGTAGTATATTGAGAGTTAGTCTCAGCTCCTTGAACTTGAGATGTTTCTATCTATGCCTGTTTCTTGACTTTTTAAAAATACTTTAAATTTAGAGCAATAATCTGTTATATTATCCTCTTCGTTTTTAATATTGGTTCATATAATTTCTTAGTGTGCTACTTCTTTTGTTCTCTCAAGAAAAATGAAACTACCCAGAGATGGGTTTCCAATATAAGTTTTCACTACCTTTTGTGCCCCTGAGAGCCAGTAAATCCAGTCTGTTTTGATAATATTTTAGCCATGACACAGGCCAGTCATGGCAAGGAAAAAAAATGAATTAATAAGAAAAATATCTGCATATTTGTGAAAAAATCAGGATCTATCATATCCCAAGTTTATTTGGTGGCATTAACATATAATAGTCCATTTGCTTACTCCCCATAAATATGTAAAAAGGCAAAGAGAAAGTAAAAAATAAAATGATTCTTCCAGTCACACAAGTGGCTGAATAGGCCTAATCAATATTAACTTCATTGTTCCCCCATAATTCTATATATTTAGCTTTTAAACATCTATCTTTTAAATATGCTATTTTTTATTAATTTTAAGTTAATCAGCTAAAATAGGTTCATTCCTTTCATTTTATCAGTATTACAAGTGACTGTCTAGGAGCCTGAGTTCTAATGAGGCAGCCATTCCAAACACGTACAGACAAAGCAGTGGTTTCCCTGGCAACGAGAACCATGAAAAAGCTCTTAGAATAGTTATTCCCACCCTTACACATAACTCCTTTTCATTTCAGTAAAGCTTCCTGTCAGAACACATTCATCAATGTAATTTGCCAACAAAGTTTAAGAGATTAAATCCCCCTCCCCACAAGAATGTAAAAATAAAAAAACAAAATAAAACCTACAATCAAAAATCAACAGCTATGCTGAAATTGTAGTTACGTCATCAGGTAATGCTTCAAAGGAAGTAAAGGACATCGTAAGATTCCTGAATACAGTTAACACCACTTTGAACCTGAGATTAATTTTCATTTGATTTTTATCAGAGGATACAGAAGGTAGATGCATCAGGAGGAGGGGCAGGTGCCTTTAATCATTACCTCTGAAATTATCACTTATAACCTCAAAGCAGCTTTTATTTAATTTAGTAAAAGTTCATAAAAATTTAAATTATTGTATGCCTCAAATTAAGATTTAAGATGTCCTTCATAAACATTAACCTTTTGTTGGTGATGTTTACCAAGAAAGGTAAATTCTGAAAACATGATGTCATCGTTTCAATTGGTGGAATTAAGTAAAAGATTTTCAAATGAGGCACTTGAACCTATTTTCTATCTATGCATGCAGTAGAAAAAGCACACAAAACAGGCAGCATTTTGTGTCATGTGGCGTTTCAAACAAGAGGGAAAACACATCTGGAAATAAAAGGTGTTTAGTTGAAAGAATTGACCTTAAATAAAACAATTGCAACACTTTATTTGGGCTTCTTACTGGAAATCAAACTCTTTGAGTTTAAAATACACCTACTAAATGTAATACAAAACCAAAATAACACACTTTCAGCATTTCTTAAAATGTTAGCACCCAGCAAATGCAGAGTTTACAGTTCTAGTGATTTTCCCTGTTCTTTTCATGGAATGCATATCTAACCCGTTTTTCAGCCAGCATGCTACAGCAAAGGAAGATTCATGTTGTCCAGGGCTATTTCTTTAAAACAGTACGGAAATTACTTTTATCATAAATTAGGTTGTGCTTTAATGCTGAGAAAGGTCTATTTTGCCTTCATTTTGACCCATGACATACTTAGCCTTATAACAGCATAATAATGAGGTCAAAACTAACACTGCAAAATAAAACACACACACCCACACAAACACATATTATTTCTCAAGGAAGATGAAAAAACAAAAAGGTTACATTGATTTTTTTTTTAAAGCGGGACATTCTCACTACTTTTTTCACCTGAAGATTGAAAAGGAAACTCATTTCAGTTTGTAACATTGCACTGACTGTTCCAGACACAAAATGAATCAAGTCTCCTGTTGGATTATGTGGGTAGCATTTCTTCTCTTCCCTGGTGAGATAATTCGTTACTTACAGCTGTGGTATAAAAACTCAAACATTGTCTTTTCCAGAATGGATTTGAAAAGTGGGCCCCCATTCTACTTTTGTTAGAAAATAATAAAATCACAAATTTTATCAAGTATCAAAAATGTAAAGTGAAATACAAATGTGAAAGGTCTGATATTTACTTAATGAATATTTACCAAATACTTAGCATTTGCATATTAAGTACAAGCTTCAGGAAAAAAAAAATGTAGCTGCCTTTAAATCTCAACTTTATTTCTTCCTCTTGCTTTATTTTTTGAAAAATAAGAAATACTCACATTAAAGAAAAAAGAGAACATATTTAATAATATTTTAATCTATATTCTAGTCTAACCAGAGTATCTATAATTTATATTAGCTACCAAATGTATTAGACAAATTAAAACACAAGAGTTTTTATTTATTCTTATAATGCTTTTTTAAAATATGGACATTCACAATTTTATGCTTACAAGAGAATATATAATTCAAGTACTTCCATGAAATAAAGTACCAGTTCTCTACAATCAAACCTACAGTGCAAAACGTTGGCTGAAAATTACTTATAAAACTTTCAACTAAACTTTTACTAGTTTAGGTATTCTCTTCACAGTTGAGAAATATAATGCAAATAAAAGTTGAGTATGCTTCCCTGCCTCCAACTAGGACATAAAGTTGATCTTCCATGTCATGTTTCTTAAAAGTAACTCTAAAATAAGTTTCTTTCAAACCTTCTAAATTATTCTCTTTCCCTAATGGCTTGTTGTATTCTTCCCCAGCAGAAATGACTAAAATAACCCTATTGCACTTAATCTAATTAGGGATTTTTGGAGAAATGGTGGTTACATAGTTCTCATTAACTGACTAAAAAACTGTACCATCTCCAGAGGTATAGATTTAAAAAAGCGGGGGAGGGGGATGATTCCTTTTAAAGCTCCAGAAATGAATGTAAGTGTTCATATTCTGGTACATTAACAGTTTGTTCCAGTACATTGATATTTTATGTGGAAGCCCTACTCTGCAATTAATATGCCTGATGCAAATTGAAAAACCCATAATCCATCCTTCTCTGTTGGAATGTAAGAGTATATTATTATTGAGAAGCTACAGGATACCAGAACCATTTTTTAAACTTGAGTGCTCATTACCTTAAATCTGCATATAAAACAGTTTTGCATTCAGACGAGGTAATACATAACGGAATATATTGTGGCGCATATAAAAAAAAGTGCTCCAAATAAAAACGACCTGTGGTCTCCCTTTGTAGAAGAAATTTATGCAGTTCCAGGCATTAGGGATTAATGATAGCTAACAGCAAAAGAGGAGGAATGAGCATTAAAACATTGTGCCTAACTTTCCTGACTACCCCAAGGCTAAAGGATAAAGTGAATTGTCAAATCTCCTTAAAGGTAAGGACTAGGAATTTATCATTAAGCAAATATGGTATTTGGGGATTGCATCTGGTTCTGTCACATTAGTATTCAGAATATTTCTTATAGCTTTAAATGAGAAAAGACAACCTTAATGGAGGTATGACAGAAGAAAGATTTTAAAAATCCTTTGTTTCTAACAGCTTAGAGAGCCTCTTTCCTTTGTCTTGTTTCCAAAATTATGCATACAATTCTTCACAGGACATAAAATGCTATTGTCTGCTATGATTGACAAAAGCCAAGATTTTAATGAAAGTTATACTGTAACTATTTTAAAGGGAAGGGGAACCACATATCCCTAAGAGATTCAAATGTAATATATTCTCAAAAATGGAAAGATCCCAGGGATACAGATTTATTTCTTTCATGGATTTCTCTTAAGCCTGTTCAATTCATTTGATCATCACCGCCTGTGATCTGCGCTTTATTAACATGTTAGCATTTGGTTGGACCCTTCTTACCTCTCTCTCTATCCATCACTTAAGACATTTAGTGCTGCCTACTGGCAGTTATCTGTGTAATTGTTTTATTTCACTCACTAAGTGATAAGATCCTTGAGGCAAGACGCAATGCGATATGGCCTGTATCTTCCACAATAAGTAATCACATTGGTTCAAAAGATTCCCTCACAATACATTTTTATTGCAAAAATGATTTTGTATTTATCCATTTTGGAAAAGAAATTTTATCTCTTGAGCCCCTAAAAATGGAATCGTACACATTAAGACCCTTACACATATCACATAATAATCTTCAGGGTCAAACATTATAGTTTTCACCTGCTGCTATTCCTTTGCAGTAGACTAGAATAGAGAATTACATAAAACTTCTATGACTGTCAAAAAAAGATATATTTTTTGAAATCACATAAAATCAACCTTCTTTATTTTACAGATATAGAAATTTAGATCTGTAAGGACCATCAGTGTGGTGAAGGTCACATGGTAAGTTAATTACAGAATCAAATTTTTCCCTTTCATTTCAATCTGTTTTTAAGTTCTACATGATTCCACTTTCAGGAAAAAGCAATTAAAATATAGACTGGCTTTGGTAAGAGTGATATATATTTTTATGTTTCAGACCAGCATGTTGTTTCATGCTGATGTTAAAAGATAATGGTTGATATCAGATAAATACCCACACATATACACAAACACAAACTAACTTGGGGTCCAATAAAATAAGACTGGGTGGTTCACATATTTTTCCATTAGTGCAAATATTTTAAAGAGATAATTTTCTTTGATAAAGTCTGTGTTCTTAAAACTGATTAGCACATAGTTCTTACTAGAAACTCTTTATAAAAAAAAAAATGAGTGCAAAAATTGAGAGAATAAGTCAAAGGAGAAAGAGAAGTTCTCCCATAACTGAAATTCATGGTACCTGTACATTAATCAAAGAACAAAATTGACTGTCATGTGATTTGACTCATGCTAAAATGTCCCTCACAATGAAAATAATCTCTTTTATTGGCCCCTCACAGTGTTTAAAACTTTTCACCATTTAAAAAAAAAATTGACTTAAAATACTTCATCTTCTGACATTTTTGTTCAAAAAAATAGTAAAATTAAAGGAAAAAGGTAGATAATATACCAACTTTGCAGGGTATTGCAGAAAGTTCAGAGAGGGAAAGAAAGAGGAACTATAAATAGTTATCATAAATTACAGCTAAATATTTTAGTTTAGCATAAAGAGGGTATGATGAATGTAAAGAACATCACATATAGTTCAAAGTAGAGTTGTGGAATTACTTTTCCATGACAATGTTTAAGAATTGTACAGCTTTGCTGTTATCTAGTGATGTGTCCCCACCCAAATCTCACTGTGAATTCCCATGTGTTGTCAGAGGGACCTGGTGGGAGGTAATTGAATCATGGGAGCAGGTCTTTCCCATGCTGTTCTCATGATAGTAAGTTTCATGTAATCTGATGATTTTATAAAGGGAAGTTTCCCTGCACAAGCTCTCTTCTCTCATCTGCTGCCATGTGAGACATGGCTCTCACCTTCTGCAATGATTGTGAGGCCTCCCCAGCCACATGGAACTGTAAGATCATTAAACCTCTTTCTTTTGTAAATTGCCCAGTCTCGGGTATGTCTTTATCAGCAGTGTAAAAACAGACTAATACAGTAAATTGGTACCAGGAGTGGGGTGGGACTCTGCTCTAAAGATAACTGAAAATGTGGAAGCAACTTTGGAACTGGGTAACAGGCAGAGGATGGAACAGTCTGGAGGGCTCAGAAAACAACAGAAAAATGTGGGAAAGTTTGGAACTCCCTAGAGACTTGTTCTATGGCTTTGACCAAAATGCTGATAGTGATATGGACAATGCAATCCAGTCTGAGGTGGTCTCAGATGGACATGAGGAACTTGTTGGAAACTGGAACAAAGGTGACTCTTGTTATGTTTTAGCAAAGAGACTTGCGGCATTTTGCCCCTGCCCTAGAGATTTGTGGAACTTTGAACTTAAGAGAGATGATTTAGGGTATCTGGCAAAAGAAATGTCTAAGCAGCAAGGCATTCAAGAGGTGACTTTTTAGCCGGACATGGTAGTGTGCGCCTGTAGCCTCAGCTACTTGGGAAGCCGAGATAGGAGAATTGCTTGAACCCGGGAGTGGGAGGTTGCAGTGAGCTGAGATCATACCCCACTGCACTCCAGCCTGGGTGACAGAGTGAGACTCCAAAAAAAAAAAAAAAAAGAAAAAAAAAGATGTGACTTGTGTGGTGTTAAAGGCATTCAGTTTTAAAAGGAAAACAGATCATAAAAGTTTAGAAAATTTGCAGCCTGACAATGTGACAGAAAAGAAAATCCCATTTTCTGAGGAGAAATTCAAGCTGGCTGCAGAAATTTGCATAAGTAGCAAGGAGCTGAAAGTTAGTCACCAAGACAATGGGGAAAATGTCTACAGGGCATGTCAGAGACCTTTGCGGCAGTCCTTCTCCTCACAGGCTGGGAGGTTTTAGAGGAATAAATGGTTTCATGAGGCAGGCTCAGGGTCCCTCTGCTATGTGCCGTGTAGGGACCTGGTGCCCTGCATCCCAGCTGCTCTAGCCATGACTAAAAGGGGCCAAGGTACAGCTCAGGCCGTGGCTTCCAAGGGTGCTAGCCCCAAGCCTTGGCAGGTTTTACATGTTGAGCCTGAGGGTACACAGAAGTCAAGAATTGATTTGGCAACCTCTGCCTAGATTTCAGAGAACGTATGGAAGCACCCGGATGTTCAGGCAGAAGTTTGCTGCAGGGGCAGGGTACTCATGGAGAACCCCTGCTAGGATATTTTGAAATGGAAACGTGGAGTGGGCACCCCCACAGAGAGTCCCCACTGGGGCACTGCCTAGTGGAGATATGAAAAGAATGCCATCGTCCTCCAGACCCGAGAATGGTAGCTGTACCGACAGCTTGCACCAAGCACCTGAAAAAGCTGCACTCAACACCAGCCCATGAAAGCAGCTGGGAGGGAGGCTGTGTCCTGCAAAGATAGAGGTGCAGAGCTGCTCAAGACCATGGGAACCTCCTTTTGGACCAGTGTCACCCAAATATGAGACATGCGGTCAAAAGAGATCATTTCGGACCTTTAATATTTGACTGCCCTGCTGGATTTCAGACTTTCATGGGGCTGTTAGCTCCTTTGTTTTAGCCATTTTTTTTTCCATTTTCAACAGCTGTACTTACCCCCACTGGGGATAAGCCTGCACCCAGGCTGGAGTGCAGTGGGGTATGATCTCAGCTCACTGCAACCTCCCACTCCCGGGTTCAAGCAATTCTCCTATCTCGGCCTCCCAAGTAGCTGAGACTATAGGCACACACTACCATGTCCGGCTAAAAAGTCACCTCTTGAATGCTTTGCTGCTTAGACATTTCTTTTGCCAGATACCCTAAATCATCTCTCTCAAGTTCAAAGTTCCATACCTCCATTGTATGTACGAAGTAACTAATTTTCTTCTTATTTTACTGACTCATAGGTGGAAGGGACTTGCCTTGTATCAGATGAAACTTTGGACTGTGAACTTTTGAGTTAATGCTGAAATGAGTTAACATTTTGGGTGACTGTTTAAAAGGCGTGATTGGTTTTGAAGTGTGTGGACATAAGATGTGGGAGGGGCCAGGGTGAAATGATAAGGTTTGGCTGTGTCCCCACCCAAATCTCATCTTGAATTGCCATGTGTCATTTGAGGGACCCAGTGGGAGGTAATTGAATCATGGGGGCAGGTCTTTCCCATGCTGCTCTGGTGACAGTGAATAAGTCTCATGAGACCTGATGGTTTTATAAAGGGGACTTTCCCTGAACAAGCTCTCTTCTCTTATTTGCTGCCATGTGAGATTTGCCTTTAACCTTCCAACACAATTGTGAGGCATCCCCAGCCACGTGGAACTGTAAGTCCATTAAAACTGTTTCCTTTGTAAATTGCCCAGTCTTGGGTATATTTTTATCAACAGCGTGAAAACAGACTAATACAGCTAGGGTTGTTAGGATAGAGATATAGGCAAGATAGAAATCCTTAACAACAAATACATACATTAAATTGTTTCTTCCATCTAGGATGGTTCTTTTAACATACAGGTAATCACTTTGTGTGTTTCATTAAGGTATTTTCAAAATCTCTTTGAACAGCATAAGTATAACTTTTAAAAGCAAGTACTACTAATACTTTATAAAAGTATTTCATAAAGTACTTTAGAGTAACTGAGGTTGATTGGTGCCATTAAGGAAAAAACTTTTACTTTTTTATTACTAAAAATGTATGTAAATCTCACTGGCACTGAATGCATTTTTCAAACAAATAAAGAGGCTTGAAATGGTGAACAGCTATTCTTTTCTGTCTACTAAGGATGAGAAAGTACAGGCTGTTTTCAAATTAAAACCAGAAGCGTATACAATGAGACATTATGTGGACAGTTGTGACTATTAGGGTTGTTAGATCATGTGCTGTGTTACTGTGGGATGTTTGGGAGGCTCCTTTGAATATATTTTATTATCAAAAATTTTTATTTTTCTGATGTATATAATCAGAAGCTCTTGAAGTAGACAACCATATAAATATTAAAGGCTCACTTCCAACATAATATTCATTTGATTAATAAAACTGGAGACAATTTATCTTAGTTGGTGGATTATACTATACTCATCCTTGGTAGATTATGTCATAAAACTGAAGTATTTCCACCTCAGGAAATATTCCCACCAGTTAAGTTGATGTGCATTGCCAGAGTATAGTTACTTTGTTGAATTTCCACATGTAAACTCTTTTATTGAATTAGATATGTAGAAAAGTCATTGTTCTATGCTTCATCACCAGTTATCAGTGGCATTTATTCTTTTCTATATAAACTTAACATAGAAAAATTATAACCTACCTATCTATATATTCTACACAATATAACTCCTAATTTTATCATCAGTGAGAGGGTACAAAGAATCCAACTGTCAAATCAGACTCATATGAAGTAGAAATGTTTAATCATTTTTAGGATATAAAAGTCTAGTGTCCAGAGGCCCAGGGAGAACTAAGGTGAGAGGTCGAGTATTCACTGGATCTCTTCCTACTACAATAAATAAGTTCTGGCACATTACTTACACAAAAGATAAAAAGTATCAGTAATAAACACTTCCATTTTATAATCAAATAGGCATAAAGGATGCATAATATTTTCCAGGCAGCGATGCCCCATATATCCATAGATTCTAGGGTTGTTATTGTTGTTGTTTAACACAGGAGATGCTAAACAACCAAGTACATGCTGCTAAAAACACCCTGCAGATAAAAACCCTCCCACTAGCTAATGTAATTAGCTTGTTTGCTAAAAAGTCTGCTTTTAGCATGTTTACAAATGTATTAGTCTGCTAGGGGTATTATAACAAAGTATCATCAACCAGGTGGCTTAAGAGTGGGAATTTATTTTCTGACAGTTCTGGATGCTAGAAGTCTAAGATCAAGATGTCAACAGGTTTGGTTCCTCCTGCAGCCTCTCTCCTTTGCTTGCACATGGCTGCCTCCTTGCCGTGTTCTCACATTGCCTTTTCTTGATGCAAGCACTTCACTGGTGTCTTTTCCTCTTCATAAAAGGACACCAGTCCTATTGCACTAGGGTCCCATTCATATGACCTTAATTAACCTTAATTACTTCTTTAAAGGCCATATCTCCAAATGCAGTCACTTTGCGGGTTAGAGACTCAACATATAGGTTATAGGGGAACTTGATTTATTCATAACAATAAGGATATGACTTTTATTTCCTTGTCCTCTATATAAAGGAAGAGCCTAGATAGCAGATCTGCTTCCCAACCTTTTCTTTCTCAATGAAGAAGGATTTGTTTTCCAAAAAAACAAAAAACAAAAAAACTCTTGAATTTTATCTCACGAGACCAAACAAATTCAATCATTCAGCCCCTAAATGCCTCAAAAGTCTGTAGAATAGAGCAGCTTCAAAAGAACAAGTGGGAAGTAATGAGGAAGAGTAAGAGATAAAGCTTCACAAAGTCTGTGTTAAAGAAGAACTCTTACTCCCAGTGAATTCTGAGATGATATCACAGACTCAATTTATATGCAAACCTGAATTTAAGTGTACTAAAAATATAAAATTCACTTTGGAGCTAATGAAGTATCTTTTCCTCCAAAAAAAATTATTACTTTAAGTATTTCTCCTGTAGTAAAAGGATTTACCATTTTATTCATAGCTTTGGATTGAGCAAATAAATCTTAAGATATATGCATCATAATACAGACTATAAGATAAAATGTGGGTGAACACAGTAACTCATTTCACTTTTAAATCATAATCAAGTCATTAGCTTCTCATTTCCACAATTAAAAGAAATATGTCTTATCAGCTATTCAAAATCTTAGGTTAGAGAAAGTTACCAAGTAATTAGCTGCCATTCTGGACACACAGAAATTAGAGTAACAAAACCAGTTGCCACATAGATAAATTATTTGAGAGACAGAATAGTGGATTAACCACAAATATAAAGTAGAGAATGCAGAGAATGCCCCTGATGGAATTCTCAAGAAAACAATTTCTAGTGGACACAGTTGGCTGCCTAACCCTCTTACATTTTCCTTATCTTTCTTTCTTTTTTAAACAGAATCCATATTTTATTCAGATATCCATTCTATTTGTAAATAGTCCCTGTGTTTAGGGAAAGACCAGCTTTATCCATAGAAGGGATATCTGAATAAAATAAACAGAACTCCCCAGTTCCAGAGTTGGGCCCCAGTTAACTCTTAGACAATGTGGGTAATTATTTTCCCATTGCTCCTGGTTGTTTCAAAAAATCAGACATACATCAATCAGTACCTGTGTTTGTAAATTATTATCTGGGAATAAGTAGACAGTGCAAATGGTTTCTATTATAATATAAAGAAGGAAAGACTTCTATTCATAAAAGGGGAAAACTCTTTCCCTTGTATTCACTGGATTTAAATGAGAAATCCTGTACTGCTCATTGCTCTTACCAGCCATTGCATACTACAGGGGGAAGCAGAAGTAGGATGAAGCTAATAGGTGAACTGCAGGGTGGAGAGGCAGAAAGAATGTGCTTCCTTGCTGAGATCTCTGAACCATAAATCAACCAGAGCTGAAAACTTTTCTACCTATCTACTTCTTAATATATAATATATAATCCCTTCATTGTTTAGGTGGGCTTTCTTTTATTTGCAGGGTATAAGTTGTAATAAAAGAAGGGCCAAAGATGTAAATAAATGTGACTGACAGAGGACAGCATAAAAGAAAAAAAAAAGTTTCTTTTTTTGTTTTGTTTTGTTTTTAAAGCAGGACTGTGAGGAGAATTTTAATAGAGTCTAGATTGGTGAATAAAAAAGAATAGAATATCCCAAAAAGTATATATTAATGCTCAAACCAGTAAAGAAATATGAGTTACCATTTTGTGGAAAAATGACATGGGTAGATTCATATCCCCTACTGCGTGTAAGATTATTTTCAAAGAGATTAAAGCATTAAATGTAGAAAATAAAACCACAAAGGCTCTAGGAGTAAACATAGGACATGACATTTCCTTTATAACCTTTAAGTGGTTAAGGTATAAGTAATTATAACTAAAAGTCCAGAAGCTAAAAGATTAAAAAATGGGTGTATGTGAATACAGTAACAATAACTTCATGAAAAAATATTGTAAACATTCACTTCTCAGCCTTTTGGCTAAGATCAAGTGAAATATTGTAAACAAAACTACAAGTAATCAATTAAAGAATAATATTTACTCTTCATATAGTATAATTACTATATGAAGTGTTTCTAGAAATGTATGAGCAAAAGACTCAAACTCAAAAGAAATATAGGCAAGTATATAAACAATTGATAGAAAGTAAATGCAAGCCGTCGCGGTGGCTCACGCCTGTAATACCAGCACTTTGGGAGGCTGAGGCGGTTGGATCACGAGGTCAGGAGATCGAGACCATCCTGGCTAAAGCGGTGAACCCCGTCTCTACTAAAAAAAAATTAACCGGGCTTGGTGGCGGGCACCTGTAGTCCCAGCTACTCGGGAGGCTGAGGCAGGAGAATGGCGTGAACCCGGGAGGCGGAGCTTGCAGTGATCCCAGAATGGCGTGAACCCAGAAGGTGGAGCTTGCAGTGAGCCGAGATTGTGCCACTGCACTCCAGCCTGGGCAACAGAGCGAGACTCTGTCTCAAAAAAATAAATAAATAAAATAAAAATAAAAAATTAAGTAAATGCAAATTACTTTTAAGTATATAAAAGCATATTCAAGTTCAACCATAATAAAACTACAAATAAAACTCTATCAATACTCTTTCACCTATTAGAATAGCATCTTTAATAACACAAACTTCAGCAAACATATAGAGAAATAGGTACTTCCATTCATGCATCTGCATGATTGGAGTATAAATTAGCACATATTTATCAAACAAAAAATGCATGTGTGCATATCCAATCAATTATACTCTAGGCAGATTATCCTAAATAACTACTTACATATAAAATGACATATATGACTATATTCATTGCAGAAAAATATATAAGAACAAGATTCTGAAAACAACAAAGTTTTTAATATAGTATGACTTAATGATGACACATCCCTTTGATGTTCTGCAACAGTAAAAATACTGAAAATATTCTATATGTATTAATGTGGAAAGTTTTTCAAGATATATTGCTAACGAATAAAGCAATGTGCCAAAAGGATAACGTGTTATGCTGTCCAAATAAAGGAAATCAGTAATGTATTTTGCTATTTCTTATATATACATAAAATACTTAAGACACCAAGAAGCTGTCGTTAAGAGTTGAGAACCGGGCAGACAATAGAAAAGGATAGAATGTGGAATTTTCCAGTTCTGTATCATGTAAATGCATCACCTATTCAAAAAATAAAATAATGTTCACTGTTCCCTACATTTTCTGAGAAATATCCAACTCTTTAGCCAGTAATTTATAGCCTTTCACAATTGTTCCAGTAATATTTCATTTTTCTTGCTCATGCTAAACCACCTTCTCATCAAACTATTCAGTACCTTAAATTCTACTAAAATTTCTTTGTGGCATCACACACATACCCATTTCAATACACTGTTTTTCTATTATCACCTGTAGAAACCTACATAACTTTCACAGCACATCTCAGATGCCAGCTCTTTCAAGATCTTCTCTGATAAACCCAAGAAGAAATAATTTTTCCCTCATCAAAATCCTTAGTGCACTTGGGATTACATCACATATTCTTCTTATAGGAGTGGTCTTTCTATTAGCATTGAAGGTCCTTAAGAGCAAGATTGCTTTTTAAACATCTGTATTTCTTTAAGTATTCTGTGCAAAGTACTATGCTAGACCCTACACTTACTCAAACATTTTAGCTTAATGAATTAAAATATGACTCAAAATGGAATGGTAAGTTGTTCCATCTTAATATACTAAGAAATATCACCAACAGCAACTACATCAAGAAACCAAGAAGATGACCTTTAATGGAATATTTGATGGACGCTGAAGTGAGTCTATTAACAAAAACAAACAAAAAGAATCAGGGACTACATTTGCCATTAATTCTAAAATTGTTGCCATTTAGGGCCTCACTGAAATATAGGGCCCCAAATAGCTGTTGCTCTTCCAATAGCAGTTCTCATATTAAATGATGAATTTGCAAGGCATGCCCCCTAGAATTTCATCTGTTCTCCTTGAGAAAATGTCAATAACTTCTATAAAGAAAGAGTGGCCCTAGTTATAGTTAGTTAGTTCCAAGTCTATGTTTAACCTATTAAGAAATAATTCATACCTAGTATATATTTTTAAAAAACACTAAAATCTACTCTAAATTTTCCTGATTTTTTAAACTATGTAGGAATTATATAATAAAATGTGATTACCTAAAAGAATGTTCTGGTTTTTAGGAAATATACAATAAAGTACTTAGGATTAAAATAATAAGATGGCTCCAATTTGCAAATAGTATAGAAAGAAGAGAGAGAGAGAGAACACACTACCAATATATTCAAATGTAATTAAAAAAAAAAATCTGGATAAAAGGGTATATAGGACTTTCTTCTACCATTCTTGCAACTTCTTTGTAAGTTTAAAATTATGTCAAAATGGCTGGGTGTGGTGACTCACGCCTGTAATCCCAGCACTTCGGGAGGCTGAGGCAGGTGGATCACCTGAGGTCAGGAGTTCGAGACCAGCCTGGCTAACATGGTGAAACCCTGTTTCTACTAAAAATACAAAAAATTAGCCTGGAGTGATGGTGCACACCTGTAATTCCAGCTACTTGGGAAGCTGAGGCAGGAGAATCTCTTGAACCCAGGTGGCGGAGGTTGCAGTGAGCCGAGATTGCACCATTGCACTCCAGCTTGGGCAACAAGAGCAAAACTCCATCTCAAAAAAATATAGTATATCAAAGTAAGAGTTACACACACACACACACACACACACACGTCAGTGTACAATCAGGCAAACTGAGTCTATGTTAAAATTCAGTCATTACTATCTTTAATGGATGGAATGGAGTTTAGAGTAAATAGTGCAGGGAAGGTAGGGTTATGAGGTTTTAGTGTTCTCTTTCTTAATCTGCATTCTGATTACCAGAGTATTGTTCACTTGATAAAATTTTATCAAATTGTGCCCTGATAATCAGAATGTAAGAATGTCACATTTTCTATAAGATATCCTTCAATGAATTTTAACAAAAATACTATGAAAAAATAAATTTCTCTTTTTTTACTTGATTACCCTATTTTAGAATGCATATGTTTAGTGTCTGTACAGTGATAAGAAAATACCTCAAACAGGATTTAAAAAAACATAAACAGATGTAAATGACACTTTTATATTTTATTTATTTATTTATTTATGATAGGATCTCACTCTGTCACCCAGGCTATAGTGCAGTAGCATGATCACAGCTAATTTCAGCCTTGAACTTCTGGTCTCAAGTAATCCTCTCAAGGCAGCCTCCCGTTTTGCTGGGACCACAGACACGTGCCACTATGTCTGGCTAATTTTTTAAATTTTCGGTAGACAGGGTCTCACTTTGTTGCCCAAGGTGGTCTTGAATTGCTGGGCTCAAGCAGTTCTTCAGCCTCAGACTCCCAAAGTGCTGGGATTATAGGCATGAGCCACCAGGCCTGGCCACTTTTCTTTAATTGAAGTGCTATAGCCAATACCAAAGTTGGTGGCCTCCCATCCAACTTACAATTTACAGTATAGCACCTATACATTTAGTCTGCTGACTCTAAATGTCTCCCAGTAATCAAACTGTGTGTGAAATTCATAGTATGGGGCACACTATTTTTTAATCATTCTAACTACTGTAATTATGTCCTTATCTGTATTCGTGTCCTGAAAGTTTATGCGAGTACAATTAGCATAATGACATTTAAGTTATTTCATGTTTGTGTGCATGCATTTACTGGACATTGCTATTTTTTAAAACTTTGCATTTTAAATTTCTACTTTTCATCCAAGAACTCTCACAAAATATTTGACTTACCTTCTTTTGTTTTTACATTTTTCTGTTCTTCAATTTTTTCATTCATCCAACATATACTTAAATATCTAAGTTTTAATGTAATTACATATGCCGGTATATTTGCCTATAATCATCATGCAAATAGAAAACACTTTTAGAAGCTTCCTCTTTCATACCAAATTTAAACCATAAGGTCTAAAGGAAGTACTTAGAGGTTGTGGTATACATGCATTTATTTTACTGAAAACTGAAAATAACCCAGACAAAAGGATGAAACATATTGGGAATTGGTATGATACATAAGATATCTTTCACTCAGAAAAAAAGTAAGAATATACCATACTAAGTTCATTTTCTTCCAAAATTTTAGACGATTATTTAAAGTTGGATCCTTTCATTTTCTAGGGCTGCATATCCTTTTTCCTAAAGAGGAACTCCACATTTTATAAGTTGCAGTTCCCACAAAGACTAGATCTGTCCCTAGTTTTCATGAACTATACCTGGGAAACCAGAGGTATGGCAATCCTAAAATGAATATGGGAAAAGAGTTCCAATAGACACACATTCCCTTCCCCTGGTGAAAATGAAGACAGAAACAAAAAAAAAGATATTATGTAATATAAAATAAAACAAATGTTCATTACATTTGAACCTGTATTCTCTTTTCTAAACTGAGTTTCAGAGGGCAAGGAACATGTCCATCAGATACTACTTTCTATCCAGTACACATAGTAGCTGCACAATAAACATTTATGACATGAATTAATTAGCATTTCTCTGGCCTGCCAACGCCCTGTATATAGAAAATCTGTAAATTTCCACTAACTTTAAAAATACTCATATTTTCCTGGAACAGAAAGTAAAGATTACATGGTAGACAAAATTGCATCTGTCTACTAATGATTACCATGTAGTCTTTAGTAGATGGCCTTGTGGTTCTCAGTAAGAGTCAAGTGACAAAGGAGACAGAGGGAGCAAAGCTGAAAGACTTTAATAAACTCTCTTTGCAAATAATGTTTTTATTCAATGTCAACTGCTTATTAAAACATCCCAGGGCTTGACTCTTCTGAGTCCTTTATATACTTCTTTTCTACAACAAAGGAGAAAGTAATCACTATTGATTTGGGCACATATCAAAAATGCAAAAAAGAGAAATAAATGAACAGTTGCATTTCAATTGTGGCCACCATACAGCTAATAGTTTATCATAACTCTTAAAGGTTGGTCCCTAGGCTCTCATACAGGTTCACCCTTTGCTGACCTCTTACAATCTTTCTGTCAGCATTTTGAATGCTACTGATTCTGTGAGTAATATTTGCAACGGAGGTCAGACAGGCCAGTAAGTCCAGCGTGCCCTCTCACTTACGAATTCCCCTTCTTTTGTGGCTTTTCACCATGGGTTCACATGTCATGGCCTCTACATCGCAAACTGCAGTAAGCAAATTTCAATCCTGAGTGAAAGGAGAAAAAAGCAAATCCTACTTGACTATTGCTAGCTTGTTTACACGATAGGGCTAGAGTAAGCTGAAATCAACAGAGTATAAAGAAAAGAAAGTCCTCTTGCAGTAACATACACACTCATTTTCAGACTCATAGTTAAAATGCAGTCTTTTATTTGTCACTACCACTGCATTATTATCAGAGGATTTATATGCCTATAGCTGCCAGAAGTGTCACCAGCTCTGACAATGCCCATTTTGGGGTTTTTTCCGATTGCTTATTTTATTTATAGTCTTGATGAAATTGGGGCAGTCACAAAACTGATTAGCGATCTGGCAAACAGGGTCTGCTCTGCTAATGATCTGTGTAAATATTGTGCTGCAGAGCCTTTCTGTGACAGGTCATTGCTGCTAACAAACCGCAGAATGCAAACAGAGACCTGTGCTGCCTTCACTGCAGATGCACAGCAGCCAGCTTACACTGACAAAGCAAATGAAAATCCTCTTGTTGTCGATCATCTCAAGTAAAATGGCCTAAAAATCAATTCTAGGATAGGCTTTCTTTCTTTCTCGAAGCTTTAATCTGGCGATGATGACAGTGATAATGGTATTTCATTATACACATAAAGTAAGAGAGAAAAACGTAACAAAACAAGATATCAAAGATGAATTTAAACAATGGATTGTGAAAGCCTTGTTGCTTGCTTCTGTTTTTAAAAATATTTTGCTATTTTTTCTTGGCTGCTGCCGTTGCTACAGTTGTAGTCTGCACAGAATGAAGCCTTAATCACACAGTCATGCTGAAACATGTTTACAAAGGTAAAATTAATGGGCTTATCTTAAGCAAGATGTCTTTCTATGGCATCATTAACATGCTTTAGATTTTTTAAATAAATGTGTTTTTATTCTTCCAGTACATCAGAATTGGAATTGGAGTCATGTCAAGATGTTCTCACTGGCAAAGACAGGAGGAGGTTAAAATAGCTCCTTGTAGGGCAGTAACCTCGGGAGAAAAAGAACTAATAGAAAATAAATGGCAAGTATTTTTTTTGAATCATTTGTATGATAAGCTTATAATGTACTTGTCTCAATGCAGAAAGCACAGGGAAAAAATAAATATGTCCTCATCACATTGGTAGACAAAGCACTAAGCACGTAGGCTGTCAGAAATTCAATATCCCTTTCTCTTTTCTATATCCTCTACCAAACAGAAAGTTTCACATAAATCTGAGACTTCAGATGTCTATGTGACTTGAGTACAATTTCCTTTTTCGTCTTTGTTTTTCCTTTACTTACTCGTTTCCCTTTATTCTTACCTGAGATATAGAGAATAAAAAATAACACTATAGAATCAACCTTTTTTTCTAGGTAATTTAGAATAAATTGTCCAGAACATAAAAAGGATAATGATGGCATTATGTAAATTTGAGACCAAAATTTTCTGAATCAAATTATTTTTACATAGATAATGATTCACTTCTCATTAGGAACAATTAACAAGTTTGAATAAATAAAAAGTAATCTTAATAATACGACAATACAATTTAGCCTTCTTGCATTATCTTTTTTAGTCTAAATATTTAATTATTATAATTTCCACAAAATTGAAATTACACTGCAATTCTTTTCTTTACAAAATAATCACAATAAAATATTTTAATCAAGAAACTGAGCACATACAATTATTATTCTATGTCCATAAAATTTTTTTGCAGAAAACATTTATATAAGAATTTCAGTAGTCAAACATTGAGTAGCAGGAAAATACTATGAAAATTTAAAAACCAAACAAGCACTGGAAACAGAATGGATACGAACAGAAGCAAGTATTCTCCTGTATTTATAATTGTGGTACTTTACAATATATGTAATATATCTTTAGAAAGATTGTCTTTTATTCTCACAGAAATTCTATGAGCCAGGCAGAGGAACTGTTTTTGTTCCCGTTTTACTTCTGTAAAAACTGAGTCTCAGAATAACTGTGCTCCCCAAAAGTATAGAATGATTAAAGGTCAGAGACAGAGCTTGCATATTTTCATATTTGTTACACTTTTTTAGCTATTGTTGTCCAAGAGTACTCTTACTTTTGAGATACTTTATTTCACTGTTCAGAATTTTTATATTTGTATGATTATAACAAAATAATCAGTAAATTTCATTTTCGGGGATTAAAAATTAGGTTGTGGAGCTACATTAGGTTGTGGAAGTTGTGCCCCATCTGAGACAAATCTTGGATTAATCAGTGATTGATAAAATTATTGAAAGTTTAGTTTTTCAAAGAAATTGGCATAAAAGTACATTAAGCTAAGCTTTATCTGGTAAGATGGAGAACTAACATGATGCGGGCTTCTTTCTGTGACCACAACCCTGAAAATGGCACAGAAATCAGCATCTAATACTAAAAGATGAGAGAAACCCTTGCAGTTACAAACCACAGTAAAGTCTGCGAGTAGAGAAAAAAATGACAGCAAAGAGCAGAAAAGTCAGATGTAAGGGAACCAGAATATGCTGGGGCGGAAGTTTTTAGTGGTCACCATTTCCTTTCATTGCATTCCTGTATTTTTTTCTGCTCTTTCAATAGTTAGAGTACCCACAGTGTGCAAGGCACTCTTCTAAATAGTGAGAATACCCTACAGAGCCAGAAAGACAAAACCTTGACCAAATGGAGCTCCCATTCTGACAAAACTAGAGTTGAAAAGAGACCACTGCTAACTCCTTTAAAGCCATTTTGGAGTCGGCCAGGCAGAATATGACTCAGCCTAGCTTGGAAAATGAGGAAATAGTGACAAGTGCAGAAAGACCATCTGAACCCTAGGCATTCTCCTCTAATCCAGCTACTCCATACAATGAGTGTTAGAATGGTGATTAAAACTGAGGGAGACCAGTCTTGGTAAACAGCACCACCCAGGACACATGGACACATGAATACACCAACTTTTATGGAGGAGGAAGGCAAACAAAGGGTGGCAGAATCCAGTTATTTCCTAAGGAGTCCTTCATTGTAAACACTTCTGGTGGGTCAATCTTGAGCCTGATTTTAGTGCCATGTATTCTTAATCAGCATAATAAATCTTACCAGGAAAAAAAATAGGCCTCAAAGGAATTCAATGACTCTAAAATAAAATACATGTATATCGAAGACAACTAGATTTACAAAAATTAACAATAGTTTAAAATATGTGACCATGTGTGGTGGTTTATGTCTGTAATCCCAGCACTTTGGGAGGCCGAGACAGGAGCATTGCTTGAAGCTAGGAGTTTGAGATCAGCTCGGGCAACCAAGAGAGCCCCTGTCTCTACAAAATAAATAATAATTAAAAAAAAAAAAAGCTAGGTGTGGCGGCATGCACTTGTAGTCCCAGTTACCAAGGAGGCTGAGGGAGGAGAATCTCTTGAGCCCAGGAGGTCAAGGCTGCAGTTAGCTAGGAGGCTGTCACTACTGCACTTGCTCCAGCCTGAGTAACAGAGAAAGACATTGTCTCTGAAGAAATAAAAAAGAAAGTTAAAATAAACCCAAAAATATGTATAGTAAATGTTCTCAAAGACATAAGGCAAAATATTTGAAACCTGAAGAAGAAATTAGCAATCATAAAATATTTTTTCAGTATGAAAACCATATCTGTTGAAATGAAGGATTAAATATATGGTATAAACAGCAGAAGGGTTAAATTTGAGGAGTGCTCATTAGTGAGATGGAAGATAATGTTCAAATAATAACAATTTTTTTTTTAATTTAGAAAACTAGACTTTACATGTACTGCTGATGGGAGTACAGACTGATGCAACTATCCAGAGAGCAATGTGGAGTGAAATGAAATCCAAACCTATGAACCAGCAATCCTACTCTTGATCCACATGGCAAATCAACTTAAGTTTAAACTCATGAAAGGATATGATATCCATTAGAGACATCTGTTGTTGCAGGGAGTTGGAAGGAGGCAAAGAATCTATCACTGTAATACATACACACACACACACACACACACACACACACACACATACACACACACACACAATTGTTTATAAAAATGGAATACAGGCCAGGCGTGGTGGCTCATGCCTATAATCCCAGTGCTTTGGGAGGCCGAGGCGGGCAGATCACAAGGTTAGGAGTTTGAGACCAGCCTGTCCAATATGGTGAATCTCCATCTCTACTAAAAATACAAAACTTAGCCAGGTGTGGTGACATGCGCCTGTAGTTCCAGGTACTTGGGAGGCTGAGGCAGAAGAATCGCTTGAACACAGGAGGCAGAGGTTGCAGTGAGCTGAGATCACGCCACTGCACTCCAGCCTGGGCAATAGAGTGAGACTCCATCTCAAAAAAAAAAAAAAAGAAGAAGAAAGAATAGTGTGCTGTGCAGCATAAAAAATGAGGTAAAGCTACACACGATAACAAGAGTAGGTCTTAATAATATAGTGTTGAGTTTACAAAAGTAAAAACTATATATACAGCATATAACTCAAAAACAACCACAAAATTTTATAGTTTTCAAAAATGCATATTCAAGGGCCTACCACAAACACATGAATGCAATTGAAGTAAGAGGGAGAAGCAGAAGGAAATAAAAATAGAGATTAGAGATTAGGGTAAGATAAAATAATTAGATAAAATAAATCAAGAAATTCCTATTTTATTTATCATGATAAGAATGTACTTTAAAAAGAGGATGACTACATAAAATGAGTTAGGGAGGAGTACCTCTTTTTCTATTTGGAATAATTTCAGAAGGAATGGTACCAGTTCCTCTTTGTACCTCTGGTAGAATTTGGCTGTGAATCCGTCTGGTCTTGGGTCTTTTTTTTGGTTGGTAGGCTATTAATTACTGCCTCAATTTCAGGACTTGTTATTGATCTATTCAGGGATTTGACTTCTTCCTGGTTTCGTCTTGGGAGAGTGGATGTGTCCAGGAATTTATAAATTTTTTCTAGATTTTCTAGTTTATTTGTGTAGAGGTTTTTATAGTATGCTCTGATGGTAGTTTGTATTTCTGGGGGATCAGTAGTGATATCCCCTTTATCATTTTTTATTGTGTCTATTTGAGTCTTCTCTCTTTTCTTCTTTATTAGTCTGGGTAGTGGTCTATCTATTTTTTTGATCTTTTCAAAAAACCAGCTCCTGGATTCATTGATTTTTTGAAGGACTTTTCATGTCTCTATCTCCTTCAGTTCTGCTCTGATCTTAGTTGTTTCTTGTCTTCTGCTAGCTTTTGAATTTGTTTGCTCTTGCTTCTCTAGTTATTTTAATTGTGATGTTAGGGTGTCGATTTTAGATCTTTCCTGCTTTCTCCTGTGGACATTTAGTGCTATAAATTTCCCTCTAAACACTGCTTTAGCTGTGTCCCAGAGATTCTGGTATGTTGTGTCTTTGTTCTCACTGTTTTCAAAGATCTTATTTCTTTCTGCCTTAATTTCATTATTTACCCAGTAGTCATTCAGGAGCAGCTTGTTCAGTTTCCATGTAATTGTGTGGTTTCGAGTGAGTTTCTTAATCCTGAGTTCTAATTTGATTGCACTGTGGTCTGAGAGACTGTTTGTTATTATTTCCATTCTTTTGCATTTGCTGAGGAGTGTTTTACTTCCAATTATGTGGTCAATTTTAGAGTAAGTGTGATGTGGTACTGAGAAGAATGCATATTCTGTCGATTTGGGGTGGAGAGTTCTGTAAATGTCTATTAGGTCTGCTTGGTGCAGAGCTGAGTTCAAGTCCTAAATATCCTTGTTAATTTTCTGTCTTCTTGATCTGTCTAATATTGACAGTGGGGTGTTAAAGTCTCCCACTATTATTGTGTAGGAGTCTAAGTCTCTTTGTAGGTCTCTAAGAGTTTGCTTTATCAATCTGGGTGCTCCTATATTGGTGCATATATATATATACATATATATATATATATATAATCGTCGGCACTCCTTGTTGCATTGATCCATTTACCATTATGTAATGCCCTTCTTTGTCTTTTTTGATCTTTGTTGCTTTAAAGTCTGTTTTATCAGATACTAGGATTGCAACTCCTGCAAGGCTACAGTAACCAAAACAGCACGGTACTGGTACCAAAAGAGATATATAGACCAATGGAACAGAACAGAGGCCTCAGAAAAAATGCCACAAATCTACAACCATCTGATCTTTGACAAACCTGACAAAAACAAGTAATGGGAAAAGTATTCCCTATTTAATAAATGGTGCCGGGAAACTAGCTAGCCACATACAGAAAACTGAAACTGGACCCCTTTCTTAACGCCTTATACAAAAATTGACTCAAGATGGATTGAAGACTTAAACATAAAACCTAAAACATTAAAACCCTAGAAGAAAGCCTAGTCAATACCATTCAGGCCATAGACATGGACAAAGACTTCATGACTAAAACACCAAAAACAATAACAACCAAAATTGACAAATGAGATCTGATTAAACTAAAAAGCTTCTGCACAGCAAAAGAAACTATCATCAGAGTGAACAGGGAACCTAAAGAATGGGAGAAAATTTTTGCAATCTATCCATCTGACAAAGGGCTAATATCCAGAATCTACAAGGAACTTAAACAAATTTACAAGAAGAAAAAAATCCAAACAATCCCATCAAAAAGTGAGTGAAGCATATGAACAGACACTTCTCAAAAGAAGACATTTATGCGGCCAAAAAACATATGAAAAAAAATTCAATACTGGGCTTTACAGAAATGCAAATCAAAACCACAATGAGATGATGAATTCATGTCCTTTGTAGGGACATGGATGAAGCTGGAAACCATCATTCTCAGCAAACTATCGCAAGGACAAAAAAACAAACACCGCATGTTTCTCACTCATAGGTGGGAATTGAACAATGAGAACACATGGACACAGGAAGGGGAACATCACACACCAGGGCCTGTTGTGGGGTGGGGGGAGGGGGGAGGGATAGCATTAGGAGATATACCTAATGTTAAATGACGAGTTAATGGGTGCAGCACACCAATATGGCACATGTATACATATGTAACAAACCTGCACATTGTGCACATGTACCTTAAAACTTAAAGTATAATAAAAAAAACACAATGAGATGCCATGTTATGTCAGTTAGAATGGATATCATTAAAAAGTTAGGAAACAACAGATGCTGGAGAGGATGTGGAGTAATAGGAATGCTTTTACACTGTTGGTGGGAATGTATATTAGTTCAACCATTGTGGAAGACAATGTGGTTATTCCTAAAGGATCTAGAACCACATATATCATTTGACCCAGCAATCCCTTTACTGGGTATATACCCAAAGGATTATAAATCATTCTACTATAAAGACACATGCACATGTATGTTTACTGCAGCAGTATTCACAATAGCAAAGACTTGGGACCAACAAAATGCTCATCGATGACAGACTGGATAAAGAAAATGTGAAACATATACACCATGGAATACTACGCAGCCATAAAAAGGATTAGTTCATGTCTTTCACAGGGACACGGATGAAGTAGGAAACCATCATTCTCAGCAAAAGTACACAGGAACAGAAAAACAAACATCGCATGTTCTCATTCATAAGTGGGAGTTGAAAAACGAGAACACATGGACACGGGCAGGGGAACATCACACACTGGGGCCTGTTGTGGGGTGGGGGGCTAAATAAATATAAATATAATTTAAATATATACATAAATATAAAATATGTTATGACTAAATTCTTTGTTAAATAAAAAGTGAATGAACAAGTAAACGAATGAATCAATAAAGGTAGATCAGTAAGATTGGACCTGTTACTTTTCTGATACACTTCTGTCAGCATCTGTGCCAAGCTTTGCCTAACCACCTTAAGCTCCCAATGGTCCCAAATTCTTTATTCTTGACAAATGAACTCATTTCCACTTTATTGAAACCATCAGTGACCATCTATGAAGAGCTCCTTTATGTACCTATAAATCATCCTAGCTCACATTTCCCTACATTTGAAATCACCCATTCTTGAATTTTCAGTGCCCATTGTCCAGACTAACTTTTCCACTAGAACTTTAAATTCAATCAATTCCTTTTATCTCTAGCATCAAATGTTCTCTATCAACTTTAAGCTGTTAATCCTCTGTGGTTCCTCCTGTACTAATGCAGACTCATGCTAGTCCATTCCAAAAGACCTCATTGATATGGCTGTTATTACATAGTCCCTCCTTTATTAAAAATATTTCATCTCTAACTCCCTATTGTAACAATGTGTTGTTATGCTTCCTGTTAAGTTTCTTCCTAAAACTTTTCATTAATAACCTACTAAGAAATAAAATATACTAACATTGTAGTATTCTGTGACTAAGATATCTAAAGTTTGGTTTGATAGTCCATTTACGGAGTAGATTTTCCCATCTCTTTCTTTGGGAAAACGAACCTAGCCAAGCCCAGATTTGTGTGTCTATGTGAATCAATAACACTTCAGGAAGGAAGTATGACATAGTGGTTAAGGTCACAATCTCTAAAATCAGACAAAGTATATTCAAATGCCAATCTTAGCAGTTATTAGGTATGTAAAGTTGAAGAATTTCATTACATCTTCTGATACAATTGTCTCATCTGCAAAAGTGTGTATTGGTAGCATAGGCATTATATTTTTGTGAAAATTAAATAAAACAATAAATACAAAATAATATTTTTAGTGTTAGGCTCATAGTAAAGGGATACTATGTATTATTGTCATTTCACTGTGGCTCTTGTTATTTTTGAAGGATAGAACAGTCTACTAAATGTATTGTAATGTAATGAAAATAACTAAGCCATGTTATTCTATTACTTTGTAAAGTATCTCTTGTTTTTCATTCATTAAAAAACATGCCTCTCTTTTGGGGACTCTCCATTGTCTTTTTCTTCTAGTCACATTGAAGTCTGTTTGCCTTTGAAGGTAGCCACATTAACTCACTGTCCATAGGGAAAAATCTCACCCCTTTATATGGAAGGAAGTACAGATTTTTGATTCCTGAGTCCTGCTAATACAAGTAGCACCTCACACTTTACCTAGATTGATATCCCTCTTTCTCCACTTCTCAGCTTGCAAAATGGAGTGGGCAATTGTTTAAGGGGAAAAGTGTATGTGCTTTCAAATTCCAGTTCACTTCTCATTAGTGAAATCTGTGGATTGGTGAATACACTTAATCTCCTGAATTACACTTTGCAAAAACAACCAACACTTTTTCTGAGACACAATACAATGCAATTTCATACTAAAGAAAGAATATTACCTATTAGCATAATCATGTCCATTATTTTAATAATAATAAATGGATATTCGTTATCCATTTTTGTGCTGAGAATCATTTGGTGTTTTATTCCTTTCCTACAGCCCTGAAGGTATCAAAATTCTATAGCAGTAGTAAATAGTAATCTTTGTTGTTAGAGAAAAAGGCAATGGTTTTGATTAAATTCTGCTTTGAGGTAATCTGATTAAGATAGCATGTTTTGTGGGAGAAATTTGCGATCAATGTCTTTCTAATATTATTATTTACTGTAATATTTTTAAAATCTATCAACCTGTCCTTTCAAGGCTTTTATAACATGAACCTATCCTGAATATTTTTCTTTCTGTCTAATGCTTTATTTCTTTTCTTGATTTTTAACTTTCCGTCTAAATCACTATTTTTTCTCAAAATAGTGTAAACCATCATCTCTATGTAAATGATTATACTAAAAGCACATCATAATCCCTATCCTGAGCTCCAGTCTCAAATTTCCAACTTTTTTCTGGTCATTTTCATTTTTTACTTTGATATACATATAAAGAAAACAAACAAACAAAAACTAGCAAAAACCTAAAACTGGCTCCAGCTCTTATGCCAGGTGCTATGAGTAAAGGACAAAGTTCCTGACTCAAGTTTCTCCTATTTATGTCAAAGGTACTAATTGTCAAACTGATTAAAAATTTGTGGTCACAGACATTGTCATTACCTTAGTTTGCCTATGCCTACTCAGATACTTAAATTCTTTTCTTCAATGATTTCTCAAATTTATTTCTACTTTCTTTACCTTCTGTGACCCTTACACTTAAAAGGTGAAAGTGGAAGACACTCTTTTGATTTTTTTTTTGAATGTACACAATACATGTTATTCCCTGACTCTCCTTTTGATGGATAGCCCTTTTTTGGGCAATTTACAATCATTCTTTCTTTTTTTGATTATTTATGAATAAAGTTCAAATACTCACATCTAATATTCTAAATCCTTCATAATTTGTCCCAACATTTACTTCTAATTGTATATTCAAATATTCTGAAACAATCACATCATTCTGTCTAATGTATGCATTCTATACTTCTGAATGTTTTCTATGCTTATCACCAAATTTGCACTTGTCTTTTAAATAATCCATAATGCATTTTTCCTCTTCCCCATATTATTATTCCAAGTATCACATAATAGGAAGCTCTATTAACCTTTCTTTGATCATCATAGTCCACGATGGCATCTCCCTCCTTAGAAGACCCCCAGTATATATTGCACAGCACTTTTCTGAAAGTTACTTTTTTGTGTTTATGTTTCTTATGTTCAGACCTGGATATTAAGTGACCTGAAGATAAAAGATCTGTATTCTACATTTTCTGATCACACATAGCACTTACTAAGGAACTATACACATAGCAATTCTATAAAGTAGGGAGTGTTTTCTTTCCAGAAAAGAAGTGACTATGTGTTGATATGTCTCCTTCAATTTTATTAATAAACTTTCATTTACAAATATGTATTAAAAGTGTCTTTAGGCTCTCTTTATATGTTTGACCCATTTCGTGGTAAATGTGAACAGTAGAACGGGATAGTTGCAGTGCTAAACTTAGACTAAAGGGAAGAGGAACTCAGGTTCTAGGCCAGCCATTTAGAGCGAACCACAAACCACTTTCAACTTCCTCCCATGGGGGCTGGGAAGGAGAGTAGAAGGGGAAGTGGCGATGAGTCCACAAAACAAGTGAATGTGCTCATGTGAAACAAGACACATGCCCATCCATGTGCTATGCCAACATACCAATACCCAAGACTCTGGATTCCTCCTTAGGAGAAATAAAAGGTCCTAAGATTGCCTTCAAGGTCTATTCAAGGCCATTCCCTACACCAGCCTTTTTGAAGGTGGACTGGTGTGTACAAGCCTTGGTGAAAGGGATGTCTCATGAGGAGATGCTGGACAAATAGGCTGCAGTATCTTGAATGCAACAAACCCCTCATCGAGCAAGATGGAAAGAGGGATGGGAAGAGAATGAAATTGACTATGACCTGGGGTCTCTTTCCAATTCTCATATTCTAATATGGACCTCTCCTTGCAGTCCAAGAATGCAGATTTCAATTTAATTTTTTAAGTGTTATGAAGTTATCAATGCAGGAATTTCAATACACTTTAACAATTCTTAAGCTTGATTGATGTCTTATAAATATGTAGTCATTAATATGTGGGTCTAGATTTGCAATACTTCTGAGCTCCCACAAATGTTAGGGACAGGCCTGAATAGCTAACTTTTTTCTTTTATTTCAAGTTGACTTAATATTATAAAAAAAAAATTTTATTTTTTCCTTTAATAGAGTCAAGTATACAGTTTCTGTTTTCAGCCAGTAACTTTAGCAGAGACTTTTTCTCTCTGCTAGTGAAAGAGAGGACTCAGGTTTAGAGGAAATTTGCCTTTTCAGAACATTTGATCTTCATAACACATCAAGATGTATTTAGAGAAAAGAAAACATGGACTTAGTACTATTTATAAATAGCTTCCTTTATCCTTAATCCTAAATTAAAACAAAACTAAAACTTAGGAAAAGCACTTGCATTATACAAAATTTATACTTTAGCTATTTCTACATTTAAAAATAATATAAATCACCAATTTTATGTTTTAGGCAAACAAGTGTATTCTCAAACTTTATATTATTCAGCAATACCTATTACTCTCCAAGTATATTCATGTATCATCTCTCTCATTTAAAGTCTCTGACCACATCTAGAAAAAGTGAAAAATGGTGCAGTCATTACATTGTGGTTTTGGAACTGGGAATTTTATTTAGTACAATATCAATAATTAGGGAGTAATTCTTTTCATACTATTTTTCATCCACTTTTTTTTTTTTTTTTGAGACTCTGTCGCCCAGGCTGGAGGGAGTGCAGTGGCGCGATCTCCGCTCACTGCAAGCTCTGCCTCCTGGGTTCACGCCATTCTCCTGCCTCAGCCTCCCGAGTAGCTGGGATTACAGGCGCCCGCCACCACGCCCGGCTATTTTTTTGTATTTTTAGTAGAGCCAGGGTTTCACCATGTTAGCCACGATGGTCTCAATCTCCTGACCTCGTGATCCACCCGCCTCGGCCTCCCAAAATGCTGGGATTACAGGCGTGAGCCACCGTGCCCGGCCTCACTTTTTTTTTTTAACCATTTCTGATTTACTGAAACCCAGTCTGTATTTAATAAGACTTAAACATTTATATGTTTAATACAACAATATGTCCTCAGTGGCAGCTTGATTAGATTTGGATTTTAAAAGTCACTGTAGAAGGGAGGAAAAATATCAAAGAAGGGATACATACTGGTGACAAATACTTTTAAAGTAGCATAACTCAAGTAACACAAGTAACTCTCGCCAGCCAAGTGAAAATTGTAGGTGGAAATCTCACAATGAACCTGGATAATTTCCCCTTCCCGTCAAAGTATTTTCTTACTGACGTATTCATAAAACAATAATGTCCATTTATGCCTTTCGGAAACCATTCACTCTATTATTTTCATTAACATACCTGAATATTAGAATAAAAACTTTTTTACAAGGTTATATTTTCATTTTCCACTTTTTTTCTTGTTTCTGTATTACTTTATATTTTATATCAGTTTAATTTTGGCATTTAACCCAGCTATCTAATACCTTGGCAGTCAACACATTTCCCACCCTTGCTCTTGAGTATAATGCTGTCAGAGAGTGGGATATCAGAAAAGCAAGAGGTTTTCTAAAAGGAAAATTATCTGTCTGTCTATCTATCTATTTATCTATCTATCTATCTATCTATCTATCATCAGGAGAGAGAGCCTAGAGACATTATAAAAGAATTAAATTCAAATTGTAAGATCATAATAAAGTTTAACACATCATGATTTATAAACTACAGATATAAACTATCTAACTTGTTTAAAGCTCTAGATGCTGCTTTCCATAATATTTTAAGTGAAATACTGTGTATAACTTAAAACCATTAGGCCATGAAGACCATAGAAGAGAATATTTTAAGAATCAGTCACAATCGGAAGTGACATTATTGTTTTTTGTTTCAGTGCACATTATTACCAATTAGTTAAATAATTTTAATTTGTGGAATGAATCAGTAAACAATAAAAGGGTATGAAAGGGTAAAGCACAATTTAAAGTGTTTTGGAAAATGTGGTCAGAAAACAACATAAGATCGTAGAATAATTCTAGCATATCCATAGAATAATTAATATTATCACTATAGTAAACATGATTTAGCTCACACTATTTGGAGAAAAGAAAATTCACTTGCAGTATTCTGCACATTGTGTTATTTTTGCTCAAATGACGTACTTAGAATAATTTGATTTGAAATCATTTGACTCTCCTGAGCAATCACGTTCTATCTTCTGGTTTAAGGCTATGCAGATATCAAGAGACATACAGTGATCCATTTTCTTTGTGTGGAAATGATCAAACACTACAAGTCAGTTAATGTGTTTTCAATGGTGAGGGGTTAATACCAAAAGATTTATATTAGAATTGTATAGCATCTATATTTCTAAACCTTAGTTATTTGTAATGAACAATTAGAAGTCTGACCTGTTTGGAACTTATTTTGGGGTAAATATTACAAATAGTATCCCAAGCCTTCTTGCAAAGGACATGCAAATAATGAAAATATTATATTAAGAACCACTCCACTGTTATTAAAATGAAGATGAAAAGAATTAAATCAAAGTCTGCCACAGAATAATTTATAAATACCATATTGAACATTTTCTAAATATGCCCACATTCTTGGGAGTGGCAGATAATGTGTTAACAGTATAATAAGCACCAGTTAATAAACATTATGCGTATTCTCTATTACAGATGAGTATACTTTTTGGCCCTTTTAATAAAGGATAGGGGAATAAGCATCTCCCTGTAAGAAGAACAACAGAAATGGATCCATTTTTGACTTTAAACTTTTATAAAAATAGCTGTATTTGATAATGTTTTACTTATCATGGGTACTTTTTTTTAACTTATGTTCATAAGGCAGATTCATTCAGCAAAAGAGTAACCGATAGTAACTAGAAGAGAAGTAAGAAATTCATGGCTGAGTTGTAGTTAAACTATATCCATCTGTAACTCTGTCTCTGAGGAAGCTTTTAAAATTATTCTTTTTCATTTTTCCAGACCTTTTTTTCTTGATCTCTGTATTTTCCTCTAAAGCAAAGACTATCAATGACATTCTTAAACATTGAAAGATTTAGGATGAAAAGAATATTTACCTATATTTTAGAAACAGTATAATTTTGGAGACTGAGAAGTCTCTCAGGTTATTATTATCAATGTAGAACTTATCAGAGATGACTTTGGCTTTCTAAAGCATCTAAAATAAGCTATAGTATGCCCATGTTCCTGCAGCATTGGACTTACATAATTTCAAATGTTAATACCTTTCATGGATGCCTTTACAGGTATATATAAACAAAATATCTCTTTGTTTAATCATTCTGCCCTCCATATGCAACTATTGGTCTATTAGACATATTTTTATTTTTTAACTGTTGATTTGAAATTATTATAGATTTACAGAAGGTTGCAAATATAGTACAGAGAGGTCTCTCATACTCTTCACCTAGTTTCCCCAGTGGTTACATTTTTTTGTAGCTACAGTAAAACATTAAAACCAAGAAATTGACATTGAAAAAATATGTATGCATACATCTGTCATTACATGTGTAAATTCTTGTGATCACTACCACTATTAAAATATCTAACACTTCTAGTGAAGTGTAAAAATCTTATCTCATTGGAAGTCTCTTTACCAATCCTTGTTTATATAATTTTTAAAATTTTTCATTTAGGTATTGATAACCATTTCAATGTTACAGTTTTTGATTCAAAAGTCAAACATAATTTAGAAAACGCAAGAAGAAAAATCTCTTGTACTTATTCATATTTTTGCTCTTTCTGTTACTCTTATGATGATTTCAGGCACCTTATTCATTTTCTTTATGTTTCAAGAACTTTTTGCTTTTCTTTAGGGTAGGTCTGTTTGCAACCAATTCTTAATTGTTCTTCTTCTGAGAATTTATTTAATTCTCCTTCATTTCTAAAGGACATTTTTGCCTAATACAGATTTCTGGATTGACAGTTCTTGTTTTCCAGTACTTGAGAAATATATCACTTCCTTCTGGCCACCATTATTTCTGATAGAAAATCATTGTCATTCAAATTGTTTTTCTTCTGGAGAGATGAAGCATTGTTTTACATCACTGCTTCCAAGATTTTTTCTTCTGCAGAAGTTTTCTGAAATTGACCTGTTTCTATGTTGATTTTTTTTGTATCTGTCCCGTTTTAGATTTTCTCATTTCTTGAATCTGTAGTTGTATGTCTTTTGCCAAACTCGAAAACGTTTTGGACATTATTTTTTCAAATATATTTTTAGCCCAACCCACTTTTGCCTTTCCTTCTAGGACTCTGATGACATGAATAGCAGATTTTTTGCTATAGTCTTATAGGTCCTTGAGACTCTGTTCTTTTTTTTTTTTTTTTTTTTTTTTTCATTTTCAGTCTGTATTCCCTCTGGTCTTTGGATTAGTAAATTTTTAATGTCCTATTTTCAAGTTCACTTATTCTTTTCTCTATTTCCTCCATTACCCTGTTGAGCAATCAAGTATTTTTTAAAGTTTCAATTATATTTTTCGGTGCGAAAATTTCTATTTGTCTCTTGGCATCTTCTATTTCTTTGTAAAGCTTTCCATTGTTTCATTTGTTTCAGCATATTTGGAATTGCTCATTAAAACATTTTTATGGTGGTGGCTTTAAAATCCTTGTGAATAAATCTAATTTATGTGTTATCACTGTGTTGGCATGTGTTACCTCATTCAAGATGAGATTTTTTTCTGGTACTTGATATGATGAGTAATTTTCAATGTACTAGGGTAATTTGTATATTATGCTATGAGGCTCTGTATTTTAACTCTTAGAAATAAACCTCCTGTGACACCACACACGGTGAAAGTGGGGTGCCTTGTTATTGCTAGGGGTTATAAAAATTTATCCCTGCTCAACCACCTTTGGAGAGTGGGGGATTCTTTTCTTGTTTCTGCTCCCACTATGGCCTACACTGAAGGGAAGGCAAACATCAGGAGGCCTTGGACCTTTTTACCACTAGATGATGGTGAAAGTTCCAACTTCTCACTTAGTTTACTTTGACACCTAAGGAATCTGGTGGGGAAGGATGGGGCACATTGGAACTACCTGGTAGAGAAGAAAGTTATGGATTCCCACATGGCCTTCTCTGATATCACCCAGACATTGATAGGGGGCAGGACCTGTTAGTTTGTGTGTGTGTTTAAATTACACATTACCAATAGTATCACTTTGCATAAACCTATACTAAACTAAAAGCATGGACCCCACAGAAGATATGTAATTAAAGTTATCTTGTAGTACGCAGGTCTTTTTCACAGATGCATTCACAGTGTGTGGTTTAAAAGGAAGTTAAGTTAAAAATTTAGTTCTAGTTACCATGCTAGAAGAACTTAATACGTAAAAGATGACATCATCAAAGACAGTGAAAGTCCTCTTTAATGTCTCGAGGCTTTTCATTGTGTATCATGAAATTTTGGTTATCTGTTTCTTTTCAGTAAATATTTAGTCTATTTTTCTAAGTTTAATATATTAGGATTTTCATTTTCATTAATCCTAAGTGTTTGTACTACTGATATTTGCACATACAGTATGAGAACATACATTTCAAATGATCATTTTTTAAAAATTTTGTTGAGATATATCAAAAGTTCTATACCATATAAAGGAAAGTTATTCTACTATTCTAAAGCAGCTCATAAAATACAATGTACAAATAGGACAAAATACATACAAGAAGCGGGAGAAATGTTCCTAAGCAGCTCCACTGATACAGTGGAGATATAATCTCTCCTCTCTATTGAGTGAATTTGCTGAGGGTCAGTGCATATAGTAGTCAATGGAATAAAAACCAATAAAAATATGATAGATAAATAGAATGAAAAGTATCCAAGGGTCAAGTGCTAAATCTGTTCTGCTGATTCCAGCTGATATTTCCTTTTCTTCTTTAACCCACATGAAGACACTCTACTAAACAGGCATGTCTATCTCAGGCATACTGGTTTTCATTTGTAATTTTCATTTTATTTGCACTTTCAATTTTCAGGTTTTGTCCATCTTTCTTCCCCTTGGCCCTTCCATCACTTCTGCTACTTGATGAATTCTGTCTTAAACAGCAGCTAGAATATAAGTATTTAATAAAATATTAACCTGATTACTTGCCCTCCCTATAAACAATAAAATGACATACATGAACAAATGACAAATACAATATTTTATGTGTTTATTTCTACCTTTGTCCGAGGCTTCTTTTAATCTTTAAGTTTATTATAGCAAATTACTATAAAATATTTCCATGCATTTAACTGGTTATTGTAACATCAACACGAGAGAGCAAATGAAACTTGTGAAGCTTATACTTTCTATTGCTCTAAGGTGTCTATGCAGATCATTATGTATTCTTCACCATAGGTCAGTTGCTTAGCGACCAGAGAAGTAGAGAACTACTAATTGAAAGTATTCTGTATTGCTGGCAAGGCTTGCTGCAGGACGTTGAACTTGGAAACAGCAGAGACTGTTTCAGATAAAAATGTTGCAGAGGATGAAAGAAAAATAGTTGCAGCATTATCGTACTAGGAATGGTTATTATTTACTTTATGGTAAATTTTGCAAAATGCTTTGCTGTGTTTCTGTTTTATAATGAATATTCAAATTGATTTTACTATTAAGGATCATTTACACAATCAGATTAAAAATCAGAGTTGTGGAATCTATTTTTAAAAAGTAAAACAGAACACAAAGGAGAAAAAGAAGAGGAGGACAAAAGAGAAGAAACAGAAGCAACAGCACTAAGTTAGATCCAGGTCCCTAAAGATAAGTAACAATATCTGTATGAACTTTTCTGATTGCTTATTTTATTTTGTAATGAAAACAAAGAAAGAAGAGGATGAGGAGGAACATGAGGATGAGGAGACTGAGGAGGAAGGCAAGGAGAAGAAGGAAGAGGAGCAAGAGGTAAAGGAGAAGAAAAGAAAAAAGAGAGATAAGATTATTAAAAATCAAACTAAATACATATTGAAAAAACAACTGAAAAACAAACCAAAAGTAGCAACACTCTAACAGAGCAATAGTATAAACAAATTTATTCAAAGCATTAATTTTATATTAGTCTATATCAGGCTTTCTAACCTGTACATTATATAAAATTAGGATTATTTTCTCTCTTCTTTCCATGTAATGTACAATTCATGTATCCATCAAAAATAGATGAGTGGTCATTTTGTGACATCTTTCACTTAATAGAAAAGACTAAGTCAGAAAAGAGAAAATGTCCTTCACAAGACCAAGACTAAGTTGGCTCAATTTTCCTGATAGCTTATTTGCTATAAGAATTCTGATATAATTCTGTATTTACAGGCTTATTCTCACTCTCTCACAATCCACAGGCATACAAACATTAAAGTGTGTGTGTGTGTGCGCACATGCGTTTGACAGAGAGAGAAAAAGACTTGAATAACTGTTTCTTATAAGAATTCATTTGTGGTGATGGTTGCTACTTGTATTTCTATAAAGACTACTCCTGGTAATGATTGAAAAACAGGATATATGTTAATTAAATGTTCAGTGACTTCATAGTTAAATATACATATAATGCACATTCCAATTTTTTTAAAAAATATCAATCAATAAATAGCTAAATGTTTTAAATCACAGCTGGTCAGAATTTAGTTGTTAATATTCAGATACCATTTCAATATCATGTAGAGTCATTATGAATAGCATCTGTCTGCAGTACTCTGAAGATAAAGGTGGTAAAACATGTGTTAGTCAATGCTCTACCTGTTATACAGCCTTTTAAAACAAATCCTTGGCATGAGATTGTCATTTGTCTGTTTCTCATAAAAGCTGAGTGTACAACATCCTAAAAATCCAGTTCAGCTTTTTTATTCTTGTTACATTTCTGCAGAATTTTAATATAACTTTCCTTTTGTGTATTTATGCCTACTGTTTCTATTTACTTACAGGTGGCTTGAATTTTTTATCCAGAGATAAAGTTAATGCAAGAAAGAATTTAAAAATGTATGGTAGATTATCAAAATTCTTAATTGAAAAAAAAGGTCAAACCCACCTTTGCTACAGCACACAACGTAATCTTGTATCTATTAATCTTTTTTGTCTATCTTTGTTTTAAAAAAACATACTTGATAATCATATTAGATGGTTACAGCTTTCTATTGCTGCATAATAAACCAGTCTAAACACAGCAGCTTAAAACAGCTAAGCAGCACAGATGGACCTGCTCATGATTCTTCAATCTGGGCTGAACTCAGCTGGGTGGCTCATCTCTCCCTAGATGGTGTCTCCTGCTGGACTCTTTAATATGTTTGTATTTAGCAGGCAGCTCCATAGGGACTGGAAGATCCTAGCTGGCCCCATTCATATGTTGTGCTGGAATGACTAGAAGCTAACTGGGTCTTCCTCTCTATCTTCCCAGTCTTTCATTCCTCCTGGTCTTTTTTCATCATAAGGTGTCTCATCCACAAGGAAGCTAACCTAGACATCTTTGCACAGTGGCTCAAGGCAAAAGACAGAGTAAACAAAAGCTATAAAGCTTCCTTAAGCCTAGGACTGAAACTTATACAGTGTCTCTTTAGCTGAATTCTCATGGCTCAACTAATTCACAAGGCTAATCTATTGTCTGGTTGGGAGGGTAATGCAAGAACATGAAATCAAGGGACATCCATAATTCATTGGGGACTGTTTGGTAAGAATATGAGTTAAGGCTTAAATTTGTTTGAATACAACTAGTTCTAAAGCATCACATTGTTCTATTAGGTTTCCAGGGTTGTCATAACAAATTGCAATGAACTTGATGACTTAAAACAACAGAAATTGATTCTCTCACAGGTCTGGAGGCCAGAAGACAAATCAACATGTTGGCAGTATTGGTTTCCATAGGAGACCCAGAAAAAACCCATTCCATGCTGTCAGCAATTCTTAGCGGTTTTTGTCTTTCCAATCTCTGACTCTGTCTTCACATGCCCACCCCCCCGCCTTTTTTTCTTTCTGTTATTCTATCTCTTATAAGGACACTCATTAGATTTAGAATTTATTGTAATAGAGGATGAGCACACTTTATTACCTTATTATATCTTCAAAGATGCTTATTACAATTGAGGTCAGACTGCGAGATTCTGGGTGGACAAACCTTTTGGGCAAACACCATTCAACTCTTAAGATTTTCTATCAAAATGTGTAATTTTCTCCCATACGTTTTCAGTAATCTCCACCATAAAGAACCTGGATTTAGAACACTTGGATTCAGTAATCTCCATCATAAAGAACTTGGATTTAGAACACTTTTTTCCACATGTATTTACGCAATGTTTCTCAAAGTATATTCCTGAGAAAAGTATTTCAAAGAGTTGTTCTATGAGTAAAAAGTTTCTTGGTCACGCAGTTTTGGAAATTACTGCTTACTATTAACACCTCCTGGATATTTGCTTTGTACATTAATTTATTAAGGAGAAACCATATAGGAAAATATGCTAAAATTTTAGGAAGCACATGTTTTTCCCAAACACCAATAAACACTAAATATTGCCAATTTTATTCAAATGATACCTATCAATACCTTACAGAAAAAGGGTTATGTGTACCAAAGGTGCTGATCTGACCTATTATGTTGACTACATGGTATCTGTTTCAAAATTATAAACAAAATTACCATGAGTATTACTAAACATTTTAGTAATCTGTGCCCTGGCAATTCAGCAAGCCATTTCAACTACCTGGAATTTTCTTTCTCTTTTTTATGGATAACTCCTACTGGTCCTTTAGATATCAGATTACAGGTTATTCTCCAAAGAAAGCTTTTCCTCACTCCCCAGAGATTCAGTTAGATGTTCTTCCAGTGATTTTTATAGCTCTCTGTTCTTGGTGGTAATATATCACTGAAATACTCTACTGTAATTACCTTGGTTTTTGTTCTTTATTTAGTTTTCAACCATATGCTTGCTGAAGTTTAGAATGTTATTTGTCATTGATTTTTAAGACACAATGGATATTCAATCAATGCTTATTAAATGAATAGATAAGAAAATTTGACATTGGGTAGAAATCCTTTAAAATATTTTGCATGGAAATCACTTTTTGCTTTCAAAATAATGTAATTAAAGACTTTTAGTTCCCACAGTTTGCAACAATAATCTTAGGAACTTAATTATTTGTTTTGTGAATATCTAGCACTAAACAATGAGCTAGCAATTTGATAAAACAGTTCAAATAATTTTTAAATCTCTTTGACTCAATTAGTCATGACTGAATTCATTTATACCATTAGGATATTAACATGTCTTTTAAAAAACAGTGTTAAATGGAGCTGGTCAAGCTATGCATTTTAAGAAGAAAAAGTACTCCCTTTTTAATAGGCTCTGCATAAGTAAGGCTATCCTCTTTTTCATCGTTTTTCAGAAACAATAACTTTGTCATTTTCTATACTTATCGATAATTTCCCCAACATATTAACAATTAAGAAATAAAGTTATGGCAGCCTAATTAGTTGAGTCAATACAGGAATTAAATTGTTAAGACAGTGGGCATACCATCTTAGTTAGTAAGATATGGACATTCAACCACTCTCTTTCCCTACCCTAAGACACACACACTGTCAGAGAAAATGTTATGATGTGACTGAGAACTTTATGCTCAAAGCTTTCCAAAATTTCATATATAAATATTGTACTTTTATCAATATGAGATTTCACACTGTAAGAAAACATTGGCATAGGAATCATTCTCTTTTACACAGTTTGAAAATGAATTTTAATGACATTCATATCTGATAAATAATATAATGTCATGGAGTAAAAGTTATTTTCTTGATATAAATATTTTATCATTTGAGTATATTCTCCCTGAAATCTAGGTGTCAGTTTAACAAAATGCATTTCTCAGTTCACTGAATATGACTCCAGGATAAATAAAAAAGAACATTCATATTCAAAAAAAGTAATTTATTTACCTAGTTTATCCCAAGATTTATACTGTCAATAGCCTTCATTACAAATTAAGCGCTAAAATATATAGTAAGTTCCTGAAACTCTACCAAATGTTATCTATACGAAGTAGAATTAAATTAAATCATTGTGTTAACTTTTTATTCCTATTAAAGGATTTAGTCTTCTTCTAGTTTAGATATAATAGCAAAAGCAAATGTACATCCCTGGTTTCTTGCCAATTATAGCTGGGTCACACCTGCCTAAGTAGTGTTTTATAATAAATACATGGTAAGTAAATTAGTATCCAACCCTCAGGCCTACATGGAATAAATTTGGTGGGGTACTTCTCTTGGGAAAAAAAAATGTTGTTAGCATTTTTTGTTTGCTAGTATCCTTTAGACCTACTACCTATAAAAACCCCTCTAAATGAAGCCTCTGGCAGCATTTCAACAAGCTAACTTCCGTAGATTTCTTCAGTTCATGGGGGTATTTTCCTCCTTTAATTTGCCAGCAGATCTGACATGAAAAAGTTCAGGTGCTGTTATATAATATAAGAAAACATATACATGAGACTCCTTGCTCCTCGTCATAATCACATGTACAGTGTTTGAATTTCAACAAATCATATAGAAAAAAGAAGGTTGGTTTAAGTCATAATCACAAACAAGAAAGCCCATAAACCTACACCTATATTGTGGTCTTGTAACTCACCACTTGGAAGCTTGTAAAACCTAAAACTTAATATGCCTACAAATTTTGAATTTTTTAGAATATACTCAATTTGCTTCTACTTCTTCCATTGGGGTTCATAGCTATCATACATTGTAAGACAGTTAGTAGACCCAGCAGAAATAACTTCAAAATATTTGTGTTTTCTATGAAAGTTTGAAAATCTGTTGACTCCCTGGTTGTTCTGTTTGGAAGTCTCTTATGCGTTGCTTTCCCTTTCTTATCTCTCCTCACACACATACAAGCTCTTTTCTTGCCTATTGTGTGTACTTGGCTGATTTTCTGGGCACTGTGCCCAGTTGGTTTAATGTGTGCTTATTATTGTCTATAGCATTCCTGATTCTGTTTTGGAGATGGGTATTCTATAAATTATTAATGATTATTATCATCCTTTAGAATCAACTTTGCTTTTGGAATTTAGAAACAAAAGACGAACACTGAACCCTATGGGTAATAACCAGCAATATCAAGGCCATGTCCAATGCTTTACTGTAAGGGAAAGGAATAGTGAATATACTGAAGTGAACAAAACAGGATTATTCCTATAAACAGATAAAATAAACAGAAGAAACCTTAAAGTTCAAAATGTATTACTTGAAAAAGTGCTCATAATATTATTTTACCATACCCATTTTACCATTTAAATATTACCAGTAGTTTTTTTCTCAATATCCATTGATATGCTTATTCTTTAAAAACAGAACTAGGGAAAGTGCTAGCTTTTTCGCTTCTTATTCACAGGAACTTGTGCACCTGATGTAGTATGGCACATTCTCAAACATCGAATAGGTCACTTCTGAATTTTCCTCTGAATTTTGAATAGGATAAAAGTAATTTGAATTTAGCTATCATTTCAAAGAAGAAAAAAGTTGCATTTGTAAATTACACAAGCACAAATTTTTAGAGAAAGAAATACTAGAAAAAGAAAAACATAGAGGAAAATAGGTGGTGAAAAAATTCTTTGGAAGTGCAAAAGAAAGAAAACGTTTATTGGCAATGACACATGATTATTAATCTCCAAGTCTAAGTAAATTTGGGGTCTTTACCCTTGCTATAGTTTGGACATGGGTTATTCTCCCCAAAATTCATGTTGAAATTTAATTTCCCATGTAAGGTGTTAGGAGATCATGCTTTGAAGAGGTGATTAGGTCATTAAGATAAATTAATAACTTTCTGGTGAACTGGGTTATTTTTCATGATAATGGGTTAGTTCTCATAAAAGCTGGTCATTCTAAAGAAAGTTGCCTCTTTTATAAAGCAATGTTTTGCCTGATTTCCATTTTGTTTCTCTGCCTTGTTGTGACATAGCATGTGGCTCTCATCAGAAGCTCAACAGATGCCAATGCCATAGTCTTGGACTTTCCAGCCACCAGAACCATAAGCTAAATAAACCCTTTTTCTTTATAAATTACCCAGTCTCAGGTGTTGTTACAGCAACACAAAACAGACCAAGACAACACTACAGCTGTAATACGTAATATTTTGAAATTAGATTTTAGCTTAGGAACAATACATACCCAATAAAGTGGAGCTCAGAAGACATCACTTAAGAATTGTTAAATAAGTGCCATCTTTTTGTTTTTATACTGAAAAACAAATGTATCGATTCTCAATTATTTTCTCCCTAATGTAACAATAATAACATAATATTGTATTTTCCAAAACCATTCCTCCTTTCTCTCAATTGTATGTATTTTTCCTTTTTTATTTCTCCTTTTTCTTTTTGGAGCATGATAAATATTTTTAAATCTATCCTCCTGAAATCGCATCTAGGATTTGGGATATATTTTGCCATAAATCTTTGCTTCCTTGGAATAAAAATATTCTCTACATTTTTATTATTCTAATATTGATTCAGCTTTGGAGTTAATTCATATGCAAATCAAATAATTTACCCAAACTTGTAAAGGATATGCATTATCAGAACACAACACCTGCAGGACAAAAGAGAGGTTAATTTCATTGTTGCTCCAAAGCAAAAGGAGATCATTATGGAGCCTGCAGTAACCAAGCTGTGTGAAATAGCTGCATTAGTCATTAACTTTCCAGCACTAAATTTCATATCAAACTCAATTAACTACTACATAGCTTTTAATGACAATATTTTTTCAGATGCAGCTCTTGTTTACTAATAAGATTTCACATCACGACTATCTGTTCCACTACTTCCTCCATGTTAATGAATTCAAGTCTTGATTTTCTCCAAAGAAAATGGGAAAATGAAAATCGCATTTGCTAAAATTCTCCTTGAATTATGTTTTAACATTTCAAGTGTGTTAATGTAATGCTTTAGAAGCTAAAGGGAACGATTATATAGGAAGCTAAAGTCATCTATGTCTATCCTCGGGATTGATTAAGTTTGCTATTTATACATGTTTCCCCCACAACATTGCTGTGTTGGAATTTATCAGGATAGGAACCATCTAAATTGAAAATGCCCCTTCATATATTTTTATCACAGTGAAAGTCAAAGCCTAGAATAACAAAAAGGCACAAAATTAATGTCATCAGGAAACAATTTACTCAGCTAATTAGCATAACATTCTCATATAAAAAGACAGATGGATTAAGGGATCAGGTCATTCATAGCCTGCAGCAAACTGCTTCAGTCTTTAATCCCCTGCTGTTACCTATCAACTGGTACTCTTTTTATGGATTTGGATAGATCCCTGGGAAGATTTAGATTCTCCCATTGGATTGATTCACCTTGTTCCTTTAACTTTTTATTGATGATATATTTCATTATTTCCTGACTAAAACAACAGTAAGAACTCTAGTTAGCAGCTAAAGAATTGAACTAAAGGTGTATCTCCACATTTCTCATATAGTAGCTTCTACAACACACACACACACACACACACACACACACACACACACACACACACGATGCCCTGCAGTGCTAACAAATAGGCTCCAGCTTGAATACAACCATAGAAGAGTTTTATATATATATATATATATATCCTACTTCAATAAAAGTTGGGATTTCATGCTACATACAAAACTTTCAAGACAATTAGGAATAGCACAGCAACAGCCAGTAATAACTATGAAAAATATCAAATTCTTTACATGGAAGTAGTGAATCAGCATAGATTACAGATTTCCATGAGTCCTTTGAAAAATGTTTCCAAAAATAATGACTAAGAAAACTATCAGTGAAGATGTTTGATCTATTGTATAGAAACCAAAACCAACAAATGAAAGAAAAAGGCTTTGGGGAAAAAAAAATTATTTTAAAGTTTTACGCCACAGGGAGATAATTTGTTTCCTTTTGACTATTGTATTAGCTTTCTAGGGCTGCCATAACAAAGTATCACAATATAGGTGGCTTAAAAAAAAACAAACATTTATTGTCTCACAGCTCTGTAAGCTAGAAGCCTGAAATCAAGGTGTTGGCAAGATTGGTTCCTTCTGAAAAGTTCTGACTTAAAGTCCGTTCCCCGTGTGTCTTCTAGTTGCTGGTGGTTGCCAGCAATTTTTGGTGTTCCTTGACTTGTGCATGCATCACCCCACTGTCTGCCTCCGTCATTACATGGCCTTCTTCCCTATATTTCTTTATGTCTCTCTGTCTCCATATTTTCTTTCTTTATAAAGAAACCAGTCACTGAATTGGGGCCCATCCCATTTCAATATGACCCTGTTTCAAAATAACAACATCTGCAATAACCTATTTCCAAATAAGGTCACATTCACAAGTATTGGTATTAGGATTTCATTTTGGAGACACGATTCAACACACAATGACTATAAACAATCAGAATGTTAGTTTATTAATTTATAGCAAGAACTATGTTATATAAAAGAAAATTCTTACTTCAGCATAAACAGTACATACTTTCCACCCAAACGCACATCCGTATGGGAAAACAAAATGTAGTCACATGATAGCTGAGTATATATTAGATCAGAAAAATAAAGTTCAATGATTAGAATATTTAACATCGTGAAGCTAATATAAATGTGCACATGCGTTTATTTTTATTGTAGGAAGGCTTACCAACTTAATTGACAGTTTCACTTGCCCAGACTTCCTATCTCAGGAATTGGACTTCTACTTAGATGGAAAAGAGATTTATGCCTTAAAGATTCATCTGCAGCTCAGTTTCCATAGGCAACTAATTCTCCTTTCATTGACAGACTCTTTCTATAGCTATGTTAATGAATTCAGTCCCAACATAGGAAAATCCTCTGACTTTACCCCCCTTAGATTAGTTTACAGTGCTTCAGAAGGCATTCTTTCAGAAGGCATTCTTCCTTCTCTTAGTTTTATATATTTATAAAAGGTTATATAAAACTAAGAGGGTTGTATTTTTGTAGCCATCTTTCTGATTATCCTCATGTACTGAGAATGTGTGTGTGTGTGTGTATTGATACATACATATATATTTATTTGTGTGTGTGTGTGTGTATATATATATATATATATATATATATATATGTGCAAGACTATATGTATATAGTCTTGTCCTATTTGGAGACCCATTAAAGTATTTTTTCTTCCCATTCTTTTACTTCAACTATGATATACAATTAATTCTGTTATACACACAGACACATACACATACATATACACATACATATATATGTATGTATGTGTATACATATGTTTTAATAATCAAAGTTACAATTTATTTTGAACATATTATTTGCCAGAATTTATATGGCATACTTTGCATTCACTAACCTATTTAATCTTTAATATCTAAATGGGACAATTATTATTATTTACTTTTCAAAGATGGGGTAACAAAGGCTTCTGTTACCCCTCAATGTTGCCCATTCTCCACAGACTATGTAATAGAAGTTAAAATTATTTTTGCCCAACATCAAATATCTTGCATCATACTGCATTCCTTTCAGCAACCTGCATTTTTCAGCAACCTGCAATTTCCCTATAACCTGAAAATTTTGAACCTCCATGCCTTCGTGTGTAATATTTTCTGCATGAAAAATGTGTCATTTCAACCTATCTAACTCTTGATTACTATCTAAGGTAAGATAGAAGTGCCAACTTTTTCAAGGTTTTAGAAAAAAGGTGAAAATAATAGTCTCTTGGTCCACACTCACATAGCCCTTTGTTTATAATATTAAACACCATATTATATTATGCTATTAATAGCCAGCTGTTTATTTATTCATCTCCTTCAGCAGACTCTAAAGGCCATTAGGGACTTGCTAATTCATTTACTAATTAATTAAAGAAATTTGAGGAGAATATCAAGAATAGCCCTCTACTTGTTCCCATCCACCATTCATCACTCACTTTCTTAATTGTTCATTCACAATGCACATATACAGTAATGTCAGAAATGTTACGCCATACCTCCATGAGAAACAACTTTATTAACTGGAGCACTGTGCTGTATACACTTCCTTTCACCTTTAATTTTACAGTCTCCTCTCATTTCTGAAGTTACTTATTTCAGCGCATTTTTTCCCACCCATCTCAGTGAGGTTGTTTCATATATTTTCAATACATTTATAATATTTTGTCACACTCTGCATTCCATCTTGCAATCCCTCTACTTCCTAAAGGATAGTTTTTTTTTTAGTTGTATAAATTAATGTTTCCTCCTCAAGCTCAAAAACTGTTATGGATTTTGAGAAATGCATAATGTTATGTCCACCATTACAATATCATATAAAATAGTTTCAGTATAGTAAAAAACTTGTTTTCATGTTTCACATATTTAACCCTACTTCCTCTCCCCTCACCTCTGGAAGCACTAATCTTTTTTACTATATTGTTTTGCCTTTTTTACCATGTCATATAGTTAGAAACATATAATACGAGGCATTTGCAGACTAATTTCTTTCACAGAGCAATAAATATTGAATATTCATGTATTTATTCCTGTAGATTTGTATTTATTTCTTTTTTCTGGATGTACCACGGTTAATCAATTCACTTATTTAAGGTTTAAGGCCATGTAGGTTGCTGTCCTTTTTTGATAATTATAAAAAAGAGCTCTGATAAACACTCACATTTTTATGTGATATAAATTGTCAAATCATTGGGATAAATACCTAGAAGCATGATAGCTGAAGTGCATGGTGAGCCGATATTTAGACTTGTAAGAAACTGCCAATCTGTCTTCCAGCGTGCAGTACCAATTTTAAAATTCCCTTCAGCAAACGGCTACTATTGCTCTACATTTTCACCAGAATTTGTAATACTTCGGTTCATGGATTTAAGCCATTCTAACTAATGTGTGGTAGCATCACAATTGTTTTAATTTGTGTTTCTCTAAAGAAAAAAAATGCTGTTGAGCATATTTTTATATGCTAGTTGCCATGGGTATTTCGGGGCAGGGGTGAGGTGTCTTTTCACATTCTATGCACATTTGTAATTGGCTTGTTTGCTTTCTTATTATTCAGTTTTCAGAGTTATTTGTATGTTTAGATAGCAATACTTTATTAGATATACGGTTTACAGATACTTTCTCCTAGTTTGTGGCTTGTCTTTTAACTCTCTGCAGTCTTTCACAGAGCAGAAAATTCCATTTTAAATTTAACAAATTCTAACATCATTTTTTTCCTTTGTAGCTAGAACTTTTGGTATTAATATTATGTCTAAAAATCCATTATCAAACCTAATGTCACTCATAACATGTAAAGCATACTTCCTTTTTCAACTATTCTAGTGGTTCCCCCAGAGTATCCAATACACATTTGTTACTAATCTAAAATCACCTTCAAATAGCACTCCACCAATTCACATACAGTGCAGGTACCTTAATGAGAGGTGACAGCGTGCAGGCAGCCCTTGCTCGCTCTCCGTGCCTCCTCGGCCTCGGCGTCCACTCTGGCCGCGCTTGAGGAGCCCTTCGCCCCGCCGCTGCACTGTGGGAGCCTGTCTCTGGTCTGGCCAAGGCCGGAGCCGGCTCCTTCTGCTTGTGGGGAGGTGTGGAGGGAGAGGCACAGGCGGGAACTGAGGCTGCGCGCGGCACACGCAGGCCAACGCAAGTTCCGGGTGGGCTCGGGCTCTGCGGCCCTGCACTCTGAGCGGCCAGGCTGGCGCCACCGCCCCGGGCAGTGAGGGGCTTAGCACCCAGGGCCAGCAGCTGCGGAGGATGCGCCGGGTTCCCCAGCACCGCCAGCCCGCCCGCTGCGGGCTGGAATTCTCGCCGGGCCTCAGCCACTTCCCCGCGGGGCAGGGCTCGGGACCTGCAGCCCGCCATGCTGGAGCCTCTCCCCGCCCGCGCCTTCCCCTGCGGGCTCCCCCGCCCCTGTCCGGAGTCTCCCCGACCGGCACCGCCCTCTGCTCCGCGGCGGCTGGTCCCATCAACAACCAAAGGGCTGAGGAGTGCAGGCGCCTGGCGTGGGACTGGCGGGCAGCTCCCCCAGCGGCCCCAGCGCGGGATCCACTAGGCGAAGCCAGCTGGGCTCTTGAGTCAGGTGGGATCTTGGAGAACTTTTGTGTCTAGCTGGAGGATTGTATATGCGCCAATCAGCACTCTGTGTCTAGCTCGGGGTTTGTGGATGCATCAGTCAGCACTCTGTCTAGCTAATCTAGTGGGGACTTGGAGAACTTTTATGTCTAACTAGAGGATTGTAAATGCAGCAATCAACACTCTGTGTCTAGCTCAAGGTTTGTAAACGCAGCAATCAGCACCCTGTCAAAACGGACCAATCAGCTCTCTGTAAACTGGACCAATCAGCAGGATGTGGGTGGGGGTCAGATAAGGGAATAAAAACAGGCTGCCACAGCCAGCAGTGGCAATCCGCTTGGGTCCCCTTCCACACCTTGGAAGCCTTGTGTTTTCGCTGTTTGCAATAAATCTTGATGCTCACTCTTTCGGTCCACACTGCCTTTATGAGCTGTAACAACCACCGCGAAGGTCTGCAGCTTCACTCCTGAGGCCAGCGAGACCACGAACCCACCGGGAGGAATGAACAATTCCAGACGTGCCACCTTAAGAGCTGTGACACTCACTGCGAAGGTCTGCAGCTTCACTCCTGAAGCCAGCGAGACCACGAACCCACCAGAAGGAAGAAATTCCGAACACGTTCGAACATCAGAAGGAACAAACTCCGGACACACCATCTTTAAGAACTGTTAACACTCACCATGAGGGTCCGCAGCTTCATTCTTGAAGTCAGTGAGACCAAGAACCCACCAATTCCGGACACATTAATAGAATAGTCCCAGTTCATCCTTCGTATCTTTTGTAACATCACCATCAGTCCTTTCACTTACCCACATGCTGTAATTGCCCAACACATTTACTAATATTACTTTAAACAAACATATAGTTTAAATAGATTTACAATAAGAAAAAACATTTTTTTTCTTTTTCAACACACTTGCTTTCTTGTTGTAAATACAGGTTTCTGATCTATATCATTCTTCTCCATGAATAACCTCTTTTAACACATTTGCAGGAAAGTTTTCTGGCAGTATATTCTGTTAGTGTTTTTTTGTCTGGTAAATTCTGATTTCCCCTCTGCTTTTGAAGTATAATTTTGCTAGATGTAGAATTCTAAGTTGGTGCATTTATTCCTTTAACACTTAAATATTTCCCTCTACTCTCTGCTTTCTTGCCTGGTTTCTTAGTGGAAGTGGGCTGAAATCCTTACTCTTTTTTCTCTACAAGGAATGTAGTTTTCAATCCAGATTCTCTCAAGATTTTCTGTTTGTCTATTTATTGATTTATTTTATTTTATTTTATTCTACATATAGTAAATGCTATGTCTGGTGCTGTATTTTTGTTGTTTGTCATGAATTATATTCTCTGACCTTCCTGGACCGGTCGTTTGTTTCATGTCATTATGCTTTAAAATTTCTTGACCATTACTCATTTAGATAGATTCTCCTCATTTATCTCTTTCTCTTCCTTCTGCTATTCTAGTTTCCCATTTTGTACAACTTTAGAAACTGCCCAGCGGGTCTTTGATGTCCTTCACTTTTTTTTTTTCATTTATTTTTTTCTTGGCACTTTGTTTTAAAATGTATTTTTGACCTATCTTTAGTTTCACTAATTCTTTCCCCAAACATGTCTGGTCTACTAATGAAACCATTGAAAGCATTTTTAAAAAAAATCTATTGGAGTTATTTTAATTTCTAGCCTTTTCTTTTGGTTCTTTGTTAGAATTTTCATCTCTCTGCTTATACTAATCATCTTTTATTGAATATTTTCTACATTTTCCACTAGTGTCCTTAACATCTTAATCATAGTTATGTAAAATTTCTTGATTGCTATTTCCAAAATATGCATCGTCATCACTGAGTCTTGTTCTGATGATCATCATGTCTCTTCAGATTGTGATTTTTTTCCTTGCCTTTTACCATGTTTTGTAATTTTGTTGCCATTGTTGAGAGCCAGACATGTTGTATCCATAATAGATATTGAGATAAATTGATGCTGAGATAAATTGATACTGAGATAAACTGAGGATGTATGTTAATCTGTCTTGGAGTTGGACTGCATTTAGTATTTGTTATAGCTCAAGTTTCTGAAGGTTTCAAATTCCTCTAGTGTCCTTGTTTTTGTCTCCTCCCTTAACTTTGGGTTTCCTTAAGTACTCATCTTCAAACAGTGTCTGTTTCTTGTAGCTCTTTTGTCTATCCCCGTATATTGGAGTCATGTTGGTTTAAATTTTATGGTATGAGCAGAGAAATATGTTCTATAGTGCTCGATTGAATATCCGTCTCTCAGTGGGCCTATGTCTTAGGTTATGACTTTTACAAGTGTTTTGCCAGTAGTTTATCTTTTGTCCCTATTACAGGACTTCTAGATTCATATGCCCACTGAGCAGCAATAGACCAATACACTGAGACATCATAATTTGCAGCAGAAAGGGAGTTTAATAATCACAATGTCATTGCGCAAAGAGATAGAAGAAATCCTCAAGCTTCAAATCTGTCTGCTTGAGGGGTTCTGAGCCAGGGTTTTTAAGGGGATTGTGGCGGGTGAGGGTCTGGAGAATTGGGGTTGTCGATTGGTCAGGTCAAGGAAGATTAAGTCATCATGATGTGAAAACTGCATTCTTCCGTGAGTCGGCTCCTTGCTGGGACCTTCAGATCAACTGACATCAACAGTTTTATCAGTATGCCTAACATAAAGGAGAAACTCAAACAGAAAGCATGTCATCTCACATGCCTTAGATTTTATCTATAGAAAAGAAAAGGAACACAGTCTTGTGACAAGGGCTACACTATCTTGGGGGAGTAAGCAGCAACCAGCTACAAAGAAGTGGGCCAAATTGGAAAGTGGATTTCATGATTGCCACTGATTATTCTACAAGCCTAGTTGAATTTTATTTTCTCCCTTAATTGGTTTATAAACTTTTCTTTGGGACAGTTTCATCCTTCATCCCCTTTAGATGAGAAAAGAAAGTTAAATGGGGAGGTGCCAAGATGGCCAATTAGCAGCAGCTGTGGTCTGTGACTCCCACGTGGAAGAACAAAAATGGTGAGTGAATTCTGCACCTTCATCTGAGGTATCCAGATTCTCTCATTGGGACTGACAAGGTGATTGGCGTGACCCACAGAGAGCAAGGAAAAGCAGGGTGGAGCAATGCCTCACTTGGGAGCTGCATAGGGCAAGGGGCACTCCCACCCCCAGTCAAGGGAGGCAGTGAGTGATTGTGCTACCTTTCCTGAGAAACCATGCTTTGTCCATGGATCTGTGCAACTCACAGATCAGGAGATCCCCTTATGAGCCCACACCACCAGGGCCTTGCGTGCCAAGCACAGAGTTGTGCAGACTATCATCACCGCTCAGGCTGTGGCCAGTGACAGCAGACTGGAGACTGTCTAAGATGACTGAGTTCCCAGGGGAAGGGGTGGTTACTATCACTGTGGCTCCAGTTGGCTGTTTTCCCCTGGTGGTGCTGGGGAGACAGGGAGGTTTAGATCAGGAGCACAGCAGCTGTGGCAGATCATGGCCAGACTGCTTTTTTAGGTGGAACCTGGATCCATCCCTAGTCATTGGGTGGGGCCCCCTTGTGGGAATTTCAGCAACTCCAGCCATAGGTTTATGGACAGAACTCTGATCTTCCTGGGCAGAACTCCTGTGGGGAGGGGCAGCCACAGTCTCTGTGGTTCAGCAGACTTAGTCTTTCCTGCCTGCTGTCTCTGAAGGGTCTGGACATTCTGGACAAGGGAGATTCCCTCCAGTGCAGTGCACCCTCTCTGCCAAGGGGCAGCCAGAGTGCTTTGTTAAGTGGTCCCTGATCCTGTACATACTCCCTAACTGACTGAGACCACCAACAGGGGTCTCCAAGCATGTTATACAGGAGTGTTCCTGCTGGCATCACATCAGTGCCCCTCTGGGATGGAGCTCACAGAGGAAGGAGCAGGCAGCCATCCTTGCTGTTCTGCAGCCTCCACTGGTGACACCTCCAGGTGGGAGAGGAACCAAGTGAGTAGGGTCTGGAGTGGACCCCCAACAAACTGCGGCAGCCCTAATAAGGAAGAGGGGTCTGACTGTTGAAAGAAAAACAAGCCAACAGAAAACAACAACAACAAAAACATCCACAAAAATGACCCCACAAAAACCCCTTCCGAATATCAGCAGCCTCAAGGATCTAAGATAAGCTCATGGAGATGAGAAAGAATCAATGTAAAAATGCTGAAAACTCAAAAAGCCAGAGTGCCTTTTCTCCTCCAAATGATTGCAACACCTCTCCAGCAAGGGCACAGAACTGGGTGGAGGCTTGAGGTGGATGAACTGACAGAAGTATTCTTCAGAAGGTGGGTAATAAATTTTGCTGAGCTAAAGAATGTTCTAAAACAATTCAAAGAAGCTAATAACCATGAAAACATTATAGGAACTGTAAACCAGAATAACCAGTTTATAGAGGAACATAAATGACCTGATGGACCTGAAAAACACAACACGAGAACTTCACAATGCAACCACAAGCATAAATAACCAAATAGACCAAGCAGAGGAAAAAATCTCAGAGCTCAAAGACTATCTTGCTGAAATAAGAAAGGCAGATAAGATTAGAGAAAAAACTGAAAAGGAATGAAAAATAATCAGAGAACTATGGAATTATGTAAAAAGACCAAACCTACAACTGATTGGGGTACCTGTAAGAAATGGGGAGAATGAAACCAAGTTGGAAAACATACTTCAGGAAATCATTCAGGAGGATTTCCCCAACCCAGCAAGACAGGCCAACATTCAAATTCAGGAAATTCAGAGGACTTCAGTAAGATCCATGAGAAGATCAACCCAAAACACATAATCGTCAGTATCTCCAAGGTCAAAATGAAGGAAAATTGTTAAGGGCCAGGTCACCTACAAAGGGAAGTCCATCAGAATAACAGTGGACTCCTCAGCAGAAACCCTATAAGCCAGAAGAAATTGGTGGCTGATGTTCAACACTCTTAAAGAAAAGAATTTCCAGCTCAGAATTTCATATCTGGCCAAACTAAGCTTCATGAGCAAAGGAGAAATAAAATCCTTCTCAGACAAGCAAATACTGAGGGAATTCATCACAACCAAGCCTGGCTTGCAAGAGCTCCTAAAGTAAGCACTGAATATGGAAAGGAAAAACCATTACCAGCCACTACAAAAACACAGTAAAGTACACAGATCAATGATACTATGAAGCAACAACATTAACAAGTCTGTGAAATAACCAGATAGCATCATAATGACAGGACCAAATTCACACATAACAATATTAACCTTAAATGTAAATGGACTGAATGTCCCAATTAAAAGACATAGACTGGCAAACTGGATAGTCAAGACCCACCAGTGTGCTGTATTCAAGCGAACCATCTCATATGCAAAGACACACATAGGCTCAAACTAAAGAGATGGAGGAAAATTTACCAAGCAAATGGAAAGCAGGCAAAGGAGGGGTTGCAATTCTAGTGTCTGAGAAAACAGGCTTTAAATCAACAAAGATAAAAAAAGAGAAGGGAATTACATAATGGTGAAGTATTCAATTCATCAAGAAGAAGTAACTATCCTAAATACACATGCACCCAATTCTAGAGGACCCAGATTCATAAAACAAGTTCTTAGAGACCTACAAAGAGACTTAGACTCTCACATAATAATAGTGGGGGACTTTAACACCCCACTGTCAATATTAGACAAATTATCAAGACAGAAAGTTAACAAGGATATTCAGGACTCAAACTCAGCTCTAGATCAAGTGGACCTGATAAATATCTACAGAACTCTCCATTCAAAAATGACAGAATATACATTCATCTTGGAGGTACATGGCACTTACTCTAAAATCGATCACATAATTGGAAGTAAAACACTCCTCCGCAAATGCAAAATAACTAAAATCATGATAGTCTCTCAGACCACAGTACAATCAGAACTCAAAATTAAGAAACTCATTCAAAACTGCACAACTACATGGAAATGTAGCAACCTGCTTCTGAATGACTACTGGGTAAAAAATGAAATTAAGGCAGAAATCAAGTTATTTGAAACTAATGAGAACAAAGAGATAATGTCCCAGAATCTCTGGGATACAGCTAAAACAGCATTGAGGGAAATGTATAGCACTAAATGTCCACATCAGAAAGTTAGAAATATCTCAAATCGACATACTAACATCACAGCTTAAAGAACTAGAGAACCAAGAACAAACAAACTCCAAAGCTAGCAGAAGGCAAGAAATAAGTAAGATCAGAGCAAAACTAGAGGAGATAAAGACAGGAAAAACCCTTCAAAAAATCAACAAATCCAGGAACTTTTTTTTTTTTTTGAAAAAAATTAACAAATAATTTTAGCTAGACTAATAAGAAAAGAGAGACAATCAAATAGACACAATAAAAATGATAAAGGGGATATCAACACTGAGTATACAGAAATACAAACAACCATCAGAGAATGCTATAAACACCTCCATGCAAATAAACTAGAAAATCTAGAAGAAATGGATAAACTCCTGGACACATAAACCCTCCCAAGATTGAACCAGGAAGAAGTTGAATCCCTGAATAGACCAATAACAAGTTCTGAAATTAAGGCAGTAATATATAGCCTACCAACCAATGAAAGACCAGGACCAGATGGAATTATGGTGGAATTCTACCAGATGTACAAAAAGGAGCCAGTGCTATTTCTTCTGAAACTATTCCAATTGATTGAAGAGGAGAGACTCCTCCCTAATTCATGTTATGAGGCCAGCATCATCCTGATACTAAAGCCTGGCAGAGATACAAGAAAACTTCAGGCCAATATCCCTGATGAACATCGATGCAAAAATCCTCAATAAAATACTGGCAAACCAAATCCAGCAGCACATCCAAAAGCTTATCCACCACAATCAAGTTGGCTTCATCCCCAGGATACAAGGCTGGTTCAACATATGCAAATCAATAAACGTAATCCATCACATAAACAGAACTAAAGATAAAAACCTCATAATTATCTCAATAGATGCAGAAAAGGCCTTTCAACAACTCTTCATGTTAAAATTCAATATCCATTCATGTTAAAAACTCTCAATAAACTAGGTATTGAAGGACCATACCTCAAAATATTAACAGCCATTTATGACAAACCAACAATGCATATCATACTGAATGGGAAAAAGCTGTAAGCATTTTCAATGAAAAGAGGCACATGACAAGGATGCCCTTTCTCACTACTCCTATTCAACATAGTATTGGAAGTTCTGGCCAGGCCAGTCAAGCAAGAGAAAGAAACAAGTGGTATTCAGATATGAAGAGAGGAAGCCAAATTGTCTCTGCAGATGACATGATCCTTTATCTAGAAAACCCCATTGTCTCAGCTCAAAAGCTTTTTAAGCTGATAAGCAACTTCAGCAAAATCTCAGGATACAAAATCAATGTGCAAAAATCACCAGGATTCCTACACACTAACAACAGACAAGCAGAGAGCCAAATCATGAATGAACTCCAATTCCACAGTTGTTACAAAGAGAATAAAATACCTAGGAATACAGCTAAGAAGGGAAGTGATAGAAAGAACCAATATGATTAAAATGGCCATACTACCCAAAATAATTTATAGATTCAATGCTCTTCCCCTTATACTACCATTGACATTTTTCACAGAATTAGAATAATCTGTTTTAAAATTCATATGGACAAAGAAGAGTCTGTATAGCCAAGAAAACATTAAGCAAAAATAACAAAGCTGGGGGGGATCATGCTACCTTACTTCAAACTACACTACAAGGCTACCAAACCAGCATATAAACAAAACAGCATGGTGATGGTACAAAAACAGACTCATAGACCAATAGAACAGAATCGAGAACTCAGAAATAAGACCACACAGCTACAACCATCTGATCTTCAACAAACCTGACAAAAACAAGCAATGGGGAAAGGATTTTCTATTTAATGGTGCTGGAAGAACTGGTTAGCCATATGCAGAAAATTGAAACTGGACCCCCTTCCTTACACCTTATACAAAAATTAGCTCAAGACACGTTAAAGACTTAAATGTAAAACCCAAAACTATAAAAACCCTAGAAGAAAATCTAGGCAATACCATTCAGGACATAGGCATAGGCAAAGATTTCATGACAAAAATGCCAAAAACAATAGCAACAAAAGAAAAATTAACAAATGGGGTCTCATTAAACTAAAGAGCTTCTGCTCAGCAAAAGAAACTATCATCACAGTGAACAGACAACCTACAGAATGGAGAAAAATTTGCTATTTATCCATCTGACAAAGGTCTAATATCAAGAATTTACAAGGAACTTAAACAAATTTACAAGAAAAAAACAAACAACCCTATTAAAAAGTGGGCAAAGGACATGAACAGGCACTTCTCAAAAGAAGACATTTATGTGGCCAACAAACATGCAAAAAAAAAGTTCAACATCGCTAGTCATTAGAGAAATGCAAATCAAAACCACAATGAGATACCATCTCACACTAGTCAGAATGGTGATTATTAAAAAGTCAAGAAACAACTGATGCTGTTGAGGTTGCAGAGAAATAGGAATGCTTTTACACTGTTGGTAGGAATGTAAATTAGTTCAACCATTGTGGAAGACTGTGGCAATTCCTTGAAGTCCTAGAACCAGAAATACCATTTGACCCAGCAATCCCATTACTGGGTATGTACCCAAAGGAATATAAATCATTTTATTATAAAGATACATGCATGTGTATGTTCATTGCAACACTATTCACAATAGCTAATACATGAAATCAACCCAAATGCCCATCAATGATAGACTGGGTAAATAAAATGTAGTACATATACCACATGGAATACTATGTAGCCATAAAAGGAAATGAGATCAAGTCCTTTGCAGGGACATGGATGGAGTTGAAAGCCATTATCCTCAGCAAACTAATGCAGGAACAGAAAACCAAACATTGCATGTTCTACTTATAAGTAGAACATGCATGTTCACATTTATAAGTGTTAGCTAAACAATGAGAACACATACACACAGGGAGAGGAACAACACACACTGGGGTCTGTTGGCAGGGGCAGAGAGAGGGAGAGCATCAGGAAAACTAGCTAATGCATGCTAGGCTTACTGGACAGGTGATGGCTTGTTAGGTGCAGCAAATTCACCATGGCACACATTTACTTATGTAACAAACCTGCACATCCTGAATGTGTACCCCTGAACTTAACATAAAATAAAATAAAGAATTGGAGAATTTCTCCCTGGGAGGAAAAAAAGAAGGTTAAATGAATCAATGCCCTTCCTCTGGGTGTAATAAGGCTCTGGTAATGTCCTTTTCCCTAAATGGTATGTTTTTGTTTTGAAGAAGGCTCTTATAGGTCACTATGATTACTCTTCCTCTATCTCTGCCAATTTTAAAAATATTTTTCTCAGCTTTTTACCATTAGAACCCGGTTGGTTCCTGGATACCAAATTCATGCAAGTCTGAAGCATGAAAAAAACCGTCCCCATGAGCTTCTTCCCTCACCCTAATCCATACCCGGCCTCCACAAATTGTTAAAATTACCACTGAAGTGTTCATACAAGTTACGGCTCTAGCCACTTCTGCTTCAGGAAGTAGATCTTGGCTATGGCTCTCTGGTGTGCCAGTTTCTCTCAATTTTGTGGTGATGTTTGCCCTGCTTTCACAGTTTTCTGATAGACCTAAGAAAAGTCATTGATTTTCAATTTGTATAGCTTTTTTTATTATTATTATTGTAAGGCCAGGAGTGACAACTTCTGAGCCCTTCACATGTTGGTGATAAATCCAAAAGTCCTGTAATGTATTTGTTTTCTCATTTTTTAAAACCAAGTGTTTGAAGCTATTTTATTAAGGGTTTCCTTTTCCTCAAAAAGTAGATGCATTAAATATAATCTAGATATTCTACACTCATGAGAAAGATATTTCATTGTATATCATCAGAGCTATAGGCCTACAAACATTTGGACTTTATCAGAGGTAAATAATAAGAGATCATACTATTAGTTAAAATTAAAGTATAAATTTAGATCATTATTTTTAATTGGTTATTTTTTAAAGCCAACATAACTTTAATTTACAATGTAAACTCAGGAGTGAAAGAGCATTAAGTAACTCATGATCCGTAAAGAAAATTTCAAAATTTAAGGTAAGTAATGAGATTTCCCCATATTTTTGTGTTTAATTCATCAATGTTTTTAAAATACTTAAACCAGCTAAGAAGTGTGTTCAGGTTTCCTATTTATTTTAAAAGCGACTTATGTATTTTTCTCACAAGGGAGGATGATTGTAGAGGAGTTTAGAGCCTGCATAGTGGCTCCAAGTTAGCACGACTCTTCCTGGTCCTTCCATCTTTCTGCTTAGTCATATTTAACTTGTGTTTATTTCTTCATGATCAGAATATGTGTCTTTCTCAACCGTCATATGTATGTTCTAGGTAGAAAGGAGAAAAATAAGAGTTTATGTTGTTCTGTCAAATTATAGAAAGTTTATTTGATAATAAATCAACCGTTAAAATGTAACCCTTAAAAATATAATAAGTATACAATATTAAAAGAAAGCATGGGACTTTGCACAATAGATTTCACAATTGTGAAATCTATTGAGAATTTTGTAAATTTTTAAATTTTGATCTGTGCTGTCATTTATTAATTCAGTCAAAATTTGCTTCAAAAACACATAGTTGTCAGAATATGTAAGTGCCTTAGAAGAGTGCAATCTATAAGTAAAATAATTCTGATTATTCATCTGAAATAAAGTTTTAAAAGGTTTTGAAAATCTACTGTCTCTCTTATTTCTTGTAATCAACATATTTCTCAATAGGAAAATTCACCATTTGCCATCAAAATGTATTGTCTGAAACTTCCACTGGAACCTTCGTATGGCAAAATATTTAGGCATTCTGAGGAGATGCAAAGTTTGGTAAGCAGAATAAATATGTTTTAATATTTAATAATTATAAATGATATTTGGAAGATTATAAAGATATTCTTAGTTCAATTAATAGAGTAAGATTTATATATCTATTAAGAGTGCTGGGCCAGACAGGGTGGCTCATGCCTGTAACCCCAGCACTTTGGAAGCCCAAGGCGGGAGGATCACTTGAGGTCAGGAGTTTGAGACCAGCCTGGCCAGCATGGTGAAACCCTATCTCTACTAAAAATACAAAAATTAGCAGGGCATGGTGGTGCTTGCCTGTAATCCCAGCTACTGAGGAGGTTAAGGCAGGAGAATCGCTTAAAGCCGGGACGTTTCAGTGAGCCGAGATCTGGCCACTGCATTCCAGCCTGGGCAATACAGTGACACTCCGTCTCAAAACAAAACAAAACAAACAAAAGTGCAGGCAACAAATTATAATCAATATTAAAAGTTTTTATGTTGAAAGATGGATAAGAATTAAAACTTTGATTTTTTGACTGAGAAAGTTAGTTGAGATATTTGAAATTACTGGAAAGCAAAAGGAAATTTTAATGTACTGCACAGTAGCCTAGAGTAGTATGTGTACGTATTTCTACTAAATGCAAAAGAAAGTATCAGAGAAAAATGCAAAAGATTTCTACTTCTAGTTCAGGATGGGAAAAGATGGGGAAGACCAGAAAAGATCTGCATAATGCACAGATCTATGTGATTTCTGAAGGGAGTGGACACGATCAGTCTTGATAAACTGATAACCAGTTAGTGGATCTGCAGGTTTCATCTGTGGTATTTTCTTTTAGATGATTTGTGTAGTGACTAAAAAATAGTCAATACATTTAAATAAACTTTTTTTCTGGTTTAGTAATTGAGGTTGGCCAATGTCTATTATTAATTGTTAACTATTTCCTAATCAATAATCTATCTTATATTAAACTGTACATACACATTACAAGAAATTTGAGTTACATTCACTCATAACTGAATAACATATTTAATGCTTATATAGGCATGCATAAAATGTTAAAATCTAGATATAAAAATAAGAAAATGAAACCATAATTTTTAAGTAATGGAACTTGTTCCAAAAAATCAAATGTGGTTATGCATTGATATGACAATTCTGAATCCTGCCCTCAGGCAGCACCTGAACACTATGCTTTATTAGCTATCAATAAATTGTCTGCACTGCAGCCTGATGATGGTTTAAGGACAGCAGTGTTAATAATAATGTTCAAAGTGTCAGTCTGGAGGGGAGGCATTAATTGACCGTATGAGACTATTAAGCTATAAAAACAATGTTTTATTTTGAGCATCAAAATATGATAAGACAGAGCTTCAAATGCTCTTGATGAAGTCATTATTAACACACACAAAACTGATTTTCACTCAACTTTTACTGTAGAGAAAATTATGTTCCATCAGCCTTTAAAATTGAGAAGAAAACAGAAAGAGTAAGTCTTAAATGCCTTTCTTCCTCACCTTCCTCCTTCACCTAGTTTGCCTGCGGACCTACACAGTTACATTCCCACATGCCTCCAGTGTGTATCTCTTTGCAGATTATTTACCTTACATTTCTACATTTCCCCTTAATTTTTTCTCATCAATAGATGAGAAAAAAATTTGTTAAATCATGGTAGATGAATATGGACCAGATCATCCCATGAACTACATTCAGTCGTTGGTTTTACCTTTTAAAAAATTCTGAATGAAATATGTAATAATTTAATATTCTAAAACTTTATTTTTTCAGGAATATTTACATATATTCACCCTTCCTTCTAAAACAGTGGCCAGAGCAATTAGAAAACAAAAGCATGAGAAACGGTAACTCTTATAGTTGTATTATGTCTGTATGCCTCCCCGGTTCTGCAAAGATTGTGAAGATATTTTTTTAGGTCTGTACATAGTTTTAAAATACCCTAAAACAGTCCACATAAATAAACTCATTACCATAATAATCTTCGAGATAGAGATTGTCATCCTCAAGTAATATCAAAGAAATCTTATTTGCCTGAGAGATCTGACTCTGAAAATCCCAAAGCTCAAGTTTATCTAGCTAATAGGTAGTAAGACTGGGCCTCAATCTGGTTTATCTAATTCTGAAGTGTTTTGCTATAAAAGCACTATAGGAAATAAAACATTGGACTCTATACCTTTAGATAATAAGAATATTTATGTCATTGAACCTGAAAGGATACTGTTTAACTTTCATGTTCTATTTGTCATTTTTCTTTTCTGCTTTTATATGTAATTTAGATAATAGATACTCAGGAATCAACCTAAATTCCCATCAGTGGTAGACTGGAAAAAGAAAGTATGGTACATATACACCATGAATTACTATGCAGCCATAAAAAAGAATGAGATCTGTCCTTTGCAGCAACATGGATGGAGCTTAGAGGCCATTATCCTTAGCAAACTAACACAGGAACAGAAAACCCAATACTGCATATTTTCACTTATCACTGGGAACTAAATAATGAGAACACATTGACAGAAAGAGCAGCACAACAGACACTGGGGTGTGCTTGAGGGAGGAGGATGAGAGATGGGTGCAGTTCAGGGAAAAAAAATTGTTGGGTACTATGCTTACTACTCAGGTGAAAAAATAATCTGTGCATCAAACCCCTGAGTCACGAATTTACCTAAAGAACAAACCTGCACATGTTCCCATGAACCTAAAATAAAAGTTAAAATATTTAAAATAATAATAATAATTAAAAAGTGTGAAATGTTGTGATAATTACTAAAATGTCAAATAGAGACACCAGGTGACCATATGTTGTTGGAAAAATAGAATGAATAGACTTGCTTGATGCAAGATTGCCACAAACCTTCAATTTGTGAAAAATGTGTTATTTGTGAAGTGCTATAAAGTGAAGGACACGCAAAAAAGTGAGTTTGATTAATGCAATTCATTGTTGCTGAAAGATACCTTGAAATATGAGCTATAATGAGGGGCACTAGAGGTACTTGGCTTTAAAAAGACATAGGTGCAGTGACATGATGTTAGTTACATAGCCTTTGAAGCCATGTTGTGTGAAAGAGCAGTTGGATATGTTAGTTACATAGCCTTTGAAGCCATGTTGTGTGAAAGAGCAGTTGGATATTGAGGTTGGCTACCAAAACCAATGGGTAGGCATTTAGATTTTGGTTCAGTAGAAAACCTGAATCATCTATCGATTAAGCTCTCAAAAACTAAATAGACTGCTGCCTCCTAAATAAAATATGTCTCCCACCGTGGAAATGTCAAACTAGGGTCACAATTCAAGTAATGTAAATATGGATTTTATAGACTTCCAAGATGCTTTTCCAATTTAAAGTGTTAGGCAAGTACCTTTTAAAACAGTACACGATTTGAATTACCTGTAACCACTTTTACTATTTCTGAGAGGGTTTTTTGTGTGTGTGCTCCCTCTGTCATCACATGGAGAGTTATTTTGCCTTTTAGAATAAAATATAAAAACAAATGCACATCACAATATGCTGTGGCAAACGTTACCCAGAAGCCTTAGTGATGTTGATGCGATGGTATTAGCATGCACAGAGTATGCAACTCGCAGCTCTGCTGTGTGCACTTGTTCTTTTGCTTTCTCTCATGTGTTCTGCTCCACATATTTTAAGAGAGTTTAATGTGGGTATTCCTATTCAATCCCATTAGAGTACTATGTATATTATTGTTACTAAATCTTGCCTTCATAATCATTCCTATGTATGTGGTCTATTGAAAAGCAACCATTTATATCTTTAGGAGGATGAATGGGAAGTTACAGATCTCGAGCAATAATCAACTTGAACTCATGCTGCTAGCACAGGTATGGATTTTTAATATAATCTCAGGCAGGGAAGTGCTTGCAGGCATGTTTTCTCAGTCGGGAGTTGAGGAGAGCATATGCATGATGGCAGACACAAGGTAACTAGCCTTTGGCTGGTTGAAAGATGAAGTCTTTATAAAGCTGGATTTTAAACCAAATGTAGTGCTGGCTGCTGTCTGGACTTACCTAAAACATACACTATATTTTAGAAAGAAGGCTGAGAGTCACAGAATTAAAACAAATAAATTCCAAAGTTGGCATTTTATATTATCATTTATCTGTAATAAGTGATAATTGATATTCCAAAAATATACTTTGCTTTGAATTCAAATTGTTTATTTTGAACAGTTAGTGAGTTCATCTCTGCACATGCCTAAAGAAGATAAATCAATAAATAAAAGAATAAAAATTAATACTCTATATAATAAACACTTGATTTCCTAGTCCTGATTTCTCTTTTATTATGAAGACCAGAAGCAGAATGTTATTCTATTTTACCTAAATATATATATATGATCTTTAGAAACTCATTGTCAGCAATCATCTGTGTGTGTGTGTGTGTGTGTGTGTATGTGTTTGTGTGTATATATATATATATATATATATATATATATATATATATATATATATATATATATATATATATATATATATATATATATATATATGTCTTCAGCACAATCACACAACCATATAATTCTGGAAACTGCCTAAAGTTTTAGAGGTCTGCACTGAGACCCATAAAATTACTTCAAAAACAGGGTGTTCTGAAAACGTGTTAATTGATATTTGGAGAAAGAGCCAATGAAAAATTTCTCATTATGTCCACCAAAACAAGTAGTACCAATAGGTTTATCTGCACCATAAGATACCAATTAGCAAGCTTATATTTTAAATAATAAAATTACATGCATAATTTTAATATATGTATACACATATGTATACATAGATATTTTTCCATTCTAATTCAGAGATGCAAAATGAAAGTCATTTATACCATCATAAATCATAGAAATTATTGTGAATTTAAAATTTATATTTATTTTATTTATTTATTTATTTTTGAGACAGAGTCTCGCTCTGTTGCCCAGGCTGAAGTGCAGTGGCGCCATCTTGGCTCACTGCAAGCTCCACCGCCCGGGTTCAGGCCATTCACGTACCTCAGCCTCCCGAGTAGCTGGGACTACAGGCGCCCACCACCACGCCCGGCTAATTTTTTGTATTTTTAGTAGAAACGGGGTTTCACCAGGTTAGCCAGGATGGTCTCAGTCTCCTGACCTCCTGATCCGCCGGCCTCGGCCTCCCAAACTGCGGGGATTATAGGCGTGAGCCACCACGCCCGGCCTATAATTTGTATTTATTTTTTAAGAACAAGGTACAAAGCTATTTATTAACAGCTGAACTATAATTGTACCTCCTTTTGTCAAAATCTATTCTTTGCTTCCTGTTTACATTGTCAAATGACATTTTAAAATACTAAATGATCTCTCATTCACATTAAAATTCTACTCATGTAACTTTCTGCTGCAAATTAAAATAGCCACAATGTAAGAAAAAAATCACGTCAAAAAATAAATGAGGCTAATTTTGTAAGATTGCAACTCTTAAACAAATAAGCCATCAGATTATACGAGAATAGTTTAATGGTATCATTAGGAATGTTGTTAGACATTTGTATATGGAAATTGGTATGAGCACCATTCTAGAACACAGATTTTTCAAAACTTAAATACTTTATTTAGCATCTATTTTCATTAGGCTCAAAACAAATATATCCAGATCTGATGATGTGGAGGAAGATGGTAGTCATAGGTGCCAGGTAATAAATGTATAGATTTTATGATTATCAAAGGTTAGTCATATCAATTATTTAATCCTCATATCAATTATTTAATCCTCACTGTAGCTCTAAAAAGGACTAAAGACAATACCTAGTATACAACAGAACCACATAAATGTTACTGACTCATTATCATAGAATTACAATACTGAATATTATAATTATAGAAATAGAATAGAATATAGACATAGAATATTATAAGTTATAGAATTGCTATGTTCCAGGTAAAATAACTACCTTTAAAACTGTGCCCAATACAATGCAGGGAATTTGGAATCATGGCTTGGAACTGTAATCTCCTCATTTTAATGTTTTTTTTTTTCACTCAATCTTGTACTCCTATAACTTAGAATAATAACTTCTATCAAAATTCTACTTCATTCTTTTTACTTTAAACTTAATTGAAGGCCAAAAGAGAAAGCTGAAATAGCAAAGATGACATAGTTTCTTTGACTTTTGATAAAATATTGTTCACAGCTCAAAGTAACAACCAATCTCATGGTATTGTGCAATTTTTTTAGCCACTGTTTTGAGCTTACCGTGAGCCTGGAGGAAGAATTTTCTTTTTGTAGAATCTATCTGTTTGACTCCACTCCAAATAACATTGAGTCAAAGTGCTGCTTTAGAGAAATAACATGAAATATATGATCTTATTTTTATCAACATTACCTTTCTACTTTTCTAAAGCGATTAAAATGTCTTTTGTATGCTTGCCAAATTCTATGTCTACCAAGATATTCTTAATTTTCACATCTAGAGTGAATCTCACTTTTCTGCCCTTAACTCTTCTACAGCAATTACAGCGAACTCTTGGAGGCATCTGCGCTACTAAGACAACGGAAGCTTTATGAAATATTCCATAGCAGTGCAATACTATAACTTACTTTGTCTGTCAGCACCATTCTTTTATTTCTCATAGACCCTTGCACTTGGGAGAAATAAAACGGTCTGCGTCATTAATTTCTATGCCCAAATAAAGAGTTTCTCAGCAGGGTGCACATGAGCTATTTAAACTAGAGTGGTAGTAAGACAGTCATTAATTATCTGGAAATGAATCTTAAGAATGTGAAAATTGTATTCGTGGGAGTACAAATCCTCTGAGAGGGGCCAGCTAAAAGCTGGACAATGACATATTAGCACGATGCAGCAAAAAAATTCAGTGTTATTTCACACGGTCAGGGACTTTAGGCCATAGGTTAGCCATTCAAGATGATCTTAGAGCAAGGGGTGGCAATGGTACATGTATAATGCATTTCATCTCTCTCTATCTAATCAAAAACCATGAGAAGTGTTAGCTATAGATACATGAGATTAAATATAAGATTCAAAATACACAAAACAAAACCAAAACCACAAATACTCTTCGTCACCATTCTTCTGAATTCATGGATAGGGTATATATTTTTTTCTAAAGTTATCATTTAGAATAGTTGTCTAAACTAAGATTTGTAATAATTTATGTTATTTTATTAGCACTTAGCATATATTAATTCATTCAATATTCAAAACAACCACACGAGCTAGGTATCTAATAAAATTCCCATTTGAAACATGAGGACAATTAAAGCAGCGAAAAGTGAAGTTACTTTCCAGAGCTGAAATTTGGACTCAGGCAGTTCGGCTCCAGAATCTGTTCTTAACACCACACATGGATATATATCATTGTTATAATATCATTGCTTCTATAGGCCTGAACTGAAGCTCTCTGGGGCCTGACGTTTACTTTTAGTAATCTTTTGCATTCAGCAAATCATCAGTTCTAAGCACTGAACATTATGAGTCCTCTGATAAAAAAGATAATGTCAAAAGTCAGTAGTAGGGGAAAATTTACCTCTAAAAAAAAGCAACTTAGCCATCTCTAGAGCTCCTTTGTTTTTTGGTTTCATTTTTTCTCTACCTGTATAATAAGATCGGGCAGAACTTCTTTTGAAAACTTTGTCAATTATAACCCAAAACTCTTCTAGGTTTATAAAGTAACTTGTCAACCTACTACTAATTTTTACATAATTTTTTATTTTAATTTAGCTGATAGAGGCCTTTAAAGAGTATACAAATGTAATAAATATTTCATAAAGATGTGATTTATTAAGACTTCTCTGCCTTCACTTCAAAAATTATCCACCCCTTAGAAAGCAAATACACAAAAACTACCTGCTGGTATAATAACTAAACCAAATCCCCTGAAAGCAAACCTGGATTTCATAATAACTTCTGGGCCCTATACACCATGGAAAGCTAGTTAGTCAATGTTCTATTAATATTTTACCTGGCAAAGGAATATAGTTCTAAGCTACCACATGTGGCTGTCAGAACTGTCAGGTATGCTACTGTAAAATTATTAATGATTTAATTTTTTATGAGCTCTATATCTTTTTATATGAAAATAAAATTGGTTTAAGGTCTAGAGGTAAAAAAAAATGCTTGTAACAGTTCCTTAGGGTACCTTAACAATACTGCCAATTCCTTTTCAAATATTGGCTATAACTGGTTACATCTCCACACTTGGAAACTACACTTATGTGTATTCATCCATTTTATTTATGGATAGAGTTGTCTCCAAATGAACACCTTTTACTTTTACTAAAATATTAATATTATTTCATGGTCTTAGTTACCTATGGTAAGGTAAGGCATAATTTGGCACCATCATTAACTATTATTTGAAGATTGCCCACTAGACGAATGCCTTAATGGTCAACAGAAATACCTAAAGCACAAAAGAAAATGAATAATTGTAATCTACATATTCTTCTTTGTATGACTGATTTAATATCTGACTTAATCTCAGATTGTATTGCATATTACTCTTAACAAAAATATAATATAGAAGGTCAAATTTCCAATTGCCTCATTGGTACTTGTAACATTCACATCATCCCAAATATAATATATTTATTTGTATTTAGTTAAGGATATATTTATCTGTTACAAATACTTCTTAAGGTGGTCGATTAACCGACATGCTAGAATACACAATTAGGGATTTTGTTTCGACAAATGTAGAGACCTACATATGTCACAATTTTAGACACCCCAACAAATTTTTAGGAGACTCTTGAAGTTCAATGCTAATGATTAAAACACTGTTTCTTCTTGCTAGCTGGTATGTAATATTATTCCTACTGATTTTAAACTGCCTAATTAAAAGCAAGTAATTTTCATTAGATTCTAATAAACTTTTAAAACCGTTTTAACACAAGCCTAAAGAGTCTGATTGACAAATCGTTATATATATATATTTTTTTTTTCCAAGATGTGCACATTGAAAAACATCACATCTTTACCTGACTGTGAGATATCTCTTCAACAATATTTTAAAACCATAGTCTTGATTAGTAAAGTACTGAATTATATAATTCACTAAGTGATATTGTGTATAAAGCCACTGTAGGTATTACGCTAAAAATCATTTCTTCTTGAGAACGTTTTATTATAAATTGTGCCACTACCTCCAAATAAGCTTCAAAATATCTTTGTAACACTGGTGCGAAAAGAAGAAAAGCAGCAAGGATTTTTCATGTTAGGGGAGAAGACAAACCAATTTGAGAAAATACTGTTGGTATTGCACTGTAACAAAATTTGTGGAAAGTGCCTCTCAATGAAAACCGAAGATATAAACATTTACATAACTATCACAAAACTCAAAGCAAAATGTACACCCTAAAATTATGACACTGTTAAGTTGCTGCTTCTGTGTGGCAGGGGATAAAAAGATTGATTACCAACCTAAAAGAATTGAAGACTTCCCAAATATCTATTTTCCCAGAAAAATTAGATGGGTTCCTTCCATTTTAACATGTTCCTAATGTCAGGTCATAGCACTCTGGCTTCCTTTCTGGTACTGTTCCTGTGTAGCAATTATTATTTTGTCGAGGCCAACTGACCCATTAGGCCCAGTGGCCATAGTGCCTAGGGACCACAGTACTCTTACAGAACCACAAAAATGATTTAAATTCGTTAAAATGAAAAGAGAAAATGAACTTCAGGTCAAATCAAATGTGTTAACATATGATATTAATCTAGTTAGCTTTATAGTAATAAAGTCATAAAATATGCTTTTTGATGTATTTTTAATAGAGGAGGCAGCCAACAAAAATAAATGTGCATACAGCCCATTAAAGTCAGAACATAGCCCTGCATATTTCAGTTGATTATTTGTGTAATAATATAAAGTTTGTGTTCTCTGTTCCACTGTAGCTACAAGATTATTTTGTACCTTATTGTCCAGCACAGGGTATTGTGCAGAGTTGGCATTTAGTAAATACTTGTTGAACTGATGCAGAAATGAAGTTACTGTGCATGAATTAAACAGCACAACCCCCCTTTTTCTATTAGAAGTTAATGATTTGAATAAAAGAGAATGCTAATATAGATATGCCACATATATATATAAATCAGAATTTACAAAGCAAACACAAACTTGATATTCATGAGGAATATGTACTAATCTTAATAAAACATCCAACTGTGTGACTGTAACAGGGCAGTTTAACATACTAGTTAAGCTCATAGACTTCTTCTGGAAGCCCCAGAAAAGGGGTTTGGGAATCAAGGTATTGGGTCTGGCCAATACCTTGATTCCAGACTGGTGATACACTAAGCCAATGATCCAGTGGTGCTATGCTGGGCTTCTGAATTTTAGAACTGTACAGGACTGTGTGTGAGTTTATAAAAAGGTGTTGTTTGAAGACACTAAGTTGTAATATGTTAGTAACTGGCAATACAGCAACATAAAACTAATGTATTACCTGTATGAAAATGTATTTATTCTCTGTGTCTTTGTTTCCCCATTTGAAAAATAGGAACAATATTACTTGTTCACAGGACTATTGTGAGGAATCTGAGTGTGTGTGTGTGTGTGTATCAAACTTAAGATAAATGTTTCCTCATGTAAAGATTTGTTTAATTTATATAAATGTTTATTATTATCACTATAATCTTACTAAACTAAAACAACAACTCCTTCCCAAGAAAAACTATTCACTTCCATCACCTGAATAACACTTTCTTTTGGACAATGTTTCCTAAAGAATCAAATGATTATTTTATACGATTTACTAAACATCGAGGTAGAGAACCACAAAGTCACTTTTAGGTTCTGATGGTAATAGTGGGATAGGCTCACTCAATAATCCTATAGGACATACCATTTTCTGACCCACAATCTTCTTTTGGGTAGATACCTGTTCCCCATTTCTTACTAAACCAACCCAGTTAGACTGAGCCTGTCCTCTCACCTACTCCATTCTTAGATGCTTATAGCTGAGATATGCTTAGCTAATCAGAGAACTTACCCTGTCAGCCAATAATTAGCTCAGAGAGAGCGATTATTGACCTAAATTAGAACAATTTGAGTCAGAGATATGCGAGGAGCTTCCTTTGTTTCCTTCAGTATTCTGAGCTACAGCTCCAAGATAGCAGGTGCCATCATGCAACCACACAAAGAGAACATGCCTGAGTATAACAGGCAAGCGCAAGCAGAGATGAGCAGTCTTGAAAAAGAGAGGCTGACTTCTCATATTATATGAATCTCTGAATTTAGACCTTATCAAGGCCTCCTTGGACATAAAGTCAGATGAACCAATAAAGTACCTGTTTTGTGTAGGCTAATTTTAAATGTGTATCTGGCAGTTGGAAGATATTGCAAATTGTACACCACTGAATGGACGCTTTCTACTAAAAGAAAGACATAATAGTGTATCATATTTAAATTCATATTTCATAATGTTATAAATCAATGCATAACATAGAACTTTGAAAATAATGTGAAATATAAATTCCCTTAGAAGCACAAATCTAGTATAATTCAAACTTTTGCTTCATAAAACAGAGAAAAGTCAAATTTATTGATGTTTATTGGAGACCCTACTGAGTGTTCTTGGTCATTAAAAGAATACATTCTGTCAATGTATAATGTCATTAGGTAAATTTACAGTTAACATGGTTTTGCTGTCATTGTTTCTAATTTATGCAGCACATTATCTTAGTCATATAATAGACAGTATTTATGACTGCACATTTCCATTAAGTCTTATGTTGATATTAAACAAATTATAAATACTGGCTGAATTAAATAGACTATGAAAATTATAATTTATATATGACAGAATTTATAATATATCATTTTTGAGACTAAATTTATTTCATATTCCTTGCAATTTAGAAGTATACTTAATAATTTTATTTAAAATTTGCATATATATTATGCTTCTGTACTTTTATACTTACTGTTAAACTAATTTTGTATTTCTTTCCCCAAACTAATACTTTAGGTTTATCTGAAAAAATTAGGTGGTCTTTTTTCTTTTTTTTTTTTTAAAAAAAAAAAGCAGGGATGCTAAAAGAATCAAATAAATGTTAGATGTAACTTGAAAATCAAATTTATCATTTGTAACATTAATATGATTCTTTATAAGGGTGACACCACTTAAAAGCACAAAAAAATGGAAAATGAATCTGAGTTTAAAGAGCATTTTTTCCATTTTGTCTGGAGAAGAATATACTAAAATTACACTGCCCTTGAGCAATGGCTCTCAAATTTTAGTGTGCCTAAGAATGTTTTAAAGTACAGATTTCTGGATTTCACCCCCAGAGGTTTTGATTCCTTCGATCTGAGGTATGGGCCAATAATCTGCATTCCTAACAAGTCTTCAGGTAATTCTGGTACTACACTTCCTGAAAACACCCTTTGAGAACAGTTGTCTTTAAAAGACTTTAGACATAAGCACCAATTGATCTAAAGCCATGAGAAAATAAATGTTCTCCTTACAATCACAGATAACAACATTACCTGACACTGGAGGAGAAGAAAAATGAAAAATGTAAAAAAATTAGAGACTGAGTGTGATCTAATTAGGATTAATATTTTTCATGTTTTGAACAACATTGGGTAAGAAAAGAAATCAAATTACAGGGAAAATAAACATGCTGATTTAATGCATGCCACATTGCTAACATAAAATAAGAAAATGAAATAAAACTGCATTAGGAAATGGATTATAAAAAAGATTTAGGCTTTGTGTTTAGATATTAAAACTGAAATGCGATATTCAGTTACAGTTATTTTGTTTCTTGATAGGCCTTTTTATAACAGAAATTTGAGCAATAAGAGTATGAGAAGAATAATATTGAAACAAGGAATATAATTTGATGTGTAATATGGTATTGTAAAAGAATTGCCGGCCTAACAATTAATATGCGCTATAGAGATGGGCTCTGTAGGTGGCAGGATTTTTCCATTACCAAATGTGCTCCACTCATGACCTCTTCGCAAAATCTACCACCATAGGGTGTAGCCAATGTCTCACAATGTATTTTTGACAAAGACCACTACTAACCACTCATGGATGGCCAATTCATTCTCAGCCACAGCAGGTTTCTAAAAAGCTATTACAGTTTCTACTGACCAAGGGATCACTTAAGTTTCCAAGAAAGAAAGAGCTCCTTAATGTGTCACTTCTCTAGTTATGTATAACACCATTTCAACTCCAACCCAATTATTCAGCATTTCTTTTCAGTATCACGTTGGAATGCTCTGACTTTTCTATTACCTGGTGACACAACTTATTAATATATTGTATAGGGAAATTTTAACATATCAATTTAAATATTCATAAATCACTGTAAGAGCTGGGGGAAAAAACAATATTTTGCCTCTAGTGGCATTCCAGGTTTATTTGGATCATAATACCTGAGTCAAACCTAGGCTGCCATTTTCTGTTATTCATTAATACATTATTAAACCAACCCAAATTTGTTAAGTATCTATTTCCTGCCAGTTTTGATATAAGAAGTGAGTATACATGAATGTGTAAAGATGATGTACTTTTTGACCTTAATAAACCATAATTCTGAGGGGCAAAAGGTAGGATTACAGATTCACAGTCTCCTGTGTTGTTCAGCAGAAACATGTACCTAATTCTGACCAATAGGTAATGCTCACAAAATATCTGGGCTCGTTTAGATTAGGACATTTAACTGCTGTTGCAAGACTCATCAAAGTCATTTTCTGTTACTATTAAAACAAATTACTTTGGTATTCCATTTTTGAAAGGGTCAAACCAGTTCTTTTTTTGTGCTTTCCATTTGTAAATTGTGTTTGTGAAAATATTTTAACTTTGGAGAGTGAATTGTGGAATACATGGCCTCAATCCAGTTTGTCTGACTATAGCCTCATTTGAGGAGAGAGAACACCAGGAAAATGGGTGAATGGGCCTTCAAGGTTGCATTTTGTGATTCATTTTGTTCTGCAGACATTAGTTTAGTCCTGCACCTGGACCCTGGAGTGGAGTGGAAAGCCTTGGTGGGTAGAAGTGACTTTTGCCCTTAACTCTTTTATAGTCTGAGAAGAAGGATTACTATGTTGATCTTGTTGCTTTGCATAATACTGTTTTCCTTTCCTTATTTGTGGACAGAAAAGGTGTTTTGAGGTGGTGTTCCTGCCCCCTCCCTAAAAAAATAGTAGTAAAATAAATTTGTAATGCTCTTCTCTTTTTTTAGAGTTCATTGTGGTTATTTCCAAGCACAAAGTGAAAGGAAAATATTTCTTTTCTTTTTTCTCGGAGATGGAGTTTTGCTCTTGTCACCCAGGCTGGAGTGCAATGGCATGATCCCGGCTCACTGCAACCTCTGCCTCCTCGGTTCAAGCGATTCTCCTGCCTCAGCCTCAAAATAGCTGGGATTACAGGTGCGCACCACCACGCTCGTCTAATTTTTGTATTTTTAGTAGAGACGGGGTTTCACTACATTGGCCAGGCTGGTCTTGAACTCCTTACCTCAGAGGATCTGCCCGCCTCAGCCTCCCAAAGTGTTGAGATTACAGGCATGAGCCACCCCACCCGGCCATATTTCTGATATTATATAATCCTAGGTTTACAGAAAGGATAAAATTTTTAGGAACTAGATAATCAAAATTTTGTACTATATCACATATAATCCATCACATGTAATAATTTAAATAGAACACATATAACAGAAGTTTTAAAAATCACTATAAGAATGGTTAATGTAATGAATTTAATAAAAAAGTTGTGCTAAATATTTTTAAATTATTACATTTATACAGTAAAGACATGACATTAAGTTGGAGTTAGAACTGCTGACCTAAAAACATGTCATACAAAGTAACATTTCCATGCAAATATTAATATCAATATTTTATTGAAAATCCTTTATTGGCTTCTCATTTTGTACAATATAAGAAGCAAAATTGTGAATATGGCTTAAAAACACCTGAACAGAAACTTTCAGTGTTTTCTGCCTTATCTCATAGGACTACTCTTTTTTTAAAACATTTATTTTAAGTTCAGGGCTACATGTGGAGGTTTGTTGTATAGGTAAGCTTGCGTCGTGTGTTTGTTGTATGTATTATTTCATCACCCAGATATAAAGTCTACTACCCATCAGTTATTTTTTCTGATCCTCTGCCTCCTCCAAACCTCCGCCCTTTAGTAGGTCCCAGTGTCTGTTGTTCCCCTCTTTGTGTCCATGTGTTCTCATCATTTGGTTCCCACTTATAAATGAGAAGGTGCGGTATTTGGTGTTCTGTCCCTGCATTAGTTTGCTAAGGATAATGGCCTCCAGTTTCAATATATTCCTGCAAAAGACATAATCTCATTCTTTTTTATTCTATCTATTTCATGGTGTATTCCATGGCATATAAGTATCATATTCTCTTTATCCAGTCTATCGCTGATGGACATTTAGGTTGATTCTATGTCTTTGCTACTGTGAATAGTGCTACAGTGAACATATGTGTTCACATGCCTTTATGATAGAATGATTTATATTCTTCTGGATACATAGCCAGTAAAGGGATTATTGGATCAAATGCTTGTTCTGTTTTTAGGTCTTTGAGAAACTGTCACACTGTTTCCCACAATGATTGAACTATTTTATACTCCCACGAACAGCGTATTAGTGTTCTTTTTTCTTCGCAACGTTGTCAGCATTTATTATTTTTTGACTTTTTCATAATAGTCATTCTGACTGGTGTGAGATGGTATCTCATTGTGGTTTCGATTTGCATTTTTCTAATGATCAGTGATCTTGAGCTTTCTTTTTATGCTTTGTGGCTGCATGTACATCTTTTGAAAACTGCCCACTTTTTAATGATTTTTTTTCTAGTAAATGTAAGCTCCTTATAGATGCTGGATGTTATACCTTTGTCAGATGCATAGTTTCCTAATGTTTCTTCTCATTTGGTAGGTGGTCTGTTTACTCTCTTGATAGTTTCTTTTGCTGTGCAGAAGCTCCTTAAGTTAATTAGATCCTATTTATCAATTTTTGCTTTTGTTCAATTGCTTTTGGCAACTTGTCATGATATCTTTGCCTGTTCCTATGTCCAGAATGGTATTGCCTAGGTTGTCTTTCAGGGTTTTTATAGTTTTGGGTTTTAAATCTTTAATCCATCTGGAGTTGATGTTTGTATATGGTGTAATGAAGGAGTCCGGTTTACCATTTATTACACAGGGAGTCCTTTTCCCACTGCTTGTTTTTCTCAGCCTTGTCGAAGATCAGATGGTTGTGATGTGCAGCCTTATTTTTGGGCTCTTTATTCTGTTCCATTGGTCTATGTGTCTGTTTTTGTATCAGTAATGTGCTGTTTTTGTATCAGTAATATGCCATTTTTGTTACTGTATTCCTATAGTACAGTTTGAAGTCTGGTAGTATTATGCCTCCAGTTTTGTTCTTTGTGCTTAGAATTACATTGGCTACTCAGGCTCTTTTCAGGTTCCTCATGATTTTTTTTTAAACTATTCTCTAGTTCTGGAAAGAGTGTCATTGATACTTTGACAGGAATAGCATTGAATCTATAAATTGCTTTGGGTCCTAAGGCCATTTTGATGATATTGATTCTTCCTATCAATAAGCATGGAATGTCTTTCCATTTGTTTGTGTCATCACTAATTTCTTTGAGAAGTGTTCTGTAGTTCTTATTGAGGAGTTTTTTCACCTCCCTTGTTAGCTGTTTTCCTGGTATTTTATTCTTTTTGCATCAATTGTTAATGGGATTGTGTTCCTGATTTGGCTCTTAGCTTGACTGCTGTTGGTGTATATAGGTATGCTAGTACATTTTGTACATTGATTTTGTGTCCTTTGACTTCACTGAAGCCCTCTCTTGCCACTCCTATTCAACATAGTGTAAAAATCCTGACCAGAGTAATCAGGCAAGAGAAAGAAATACAGGGCATCCAAATAGGAAGAGAGGAGGTCAAACTATCCCTGTTTGCAGACAGCGTGATTCTATGTCTAGAAAATCCTGTAACCTCAGCCCAAAAGCTCCTTAAGCTGTCAAGCTGATAAACAAGACTACTCTTTCAGATCCCGTTTTTTTTTTTTTTTTTTTTTTTTTTGGAGGCAGGGTCTCTCTCAGCTCCCAGGCTGGAGGTCAGTGGCAGGATCATAGCTCACTGCAACCTCAAACTCCCAGCCTCAAGGGTTGCTCCCACCTGTACCTCCAGAAGAGCTGGGACTACAGGCTCTACCCACCACACCCACATAATTTTCAAATTTTTTTAGTAATGTGATCTCGCTTTGATGCCCAGGCTTGTCGCTAACTCCTGGCCACAAGTCAGAATTTCATATATATTTGTATGCCTCTTTAACTACATCGGCCTTATTTCACTTTTGGAATTACCTCATGATTCTTCCCTCATCACGAATTTGTTCATGCTATTGAATAATATGGACATCTTAACAATATTAAGTATTTAAATCCATAAACATAAAATGTCTTCACATTTATTTTCATCTTTAATTTCCTTCAGCAATGGTTCATAGTTTTCAGTGTACAAGTCATTTGTCTCCTTGGTTAGGTGTATTCCTAAATATTTTGGGGGTTTTTGGCTATTTTAAATGCAATAGTTTCTCAATTTTTTAAATATTTTTATTGTTAGTGTCCAAAAACATAATTGATTTTTGAATGTTAATTTTGTATCCGGAAACTTTGCTGGGTCTGCTTTAGTTATAACAGTTTTAGGGGAAGAAAATTTAGGGTGTTTTACATATCAAATCATGTAATCTGTAAACAGAGCCAATTTTATTTCTTCCTTTTCTATTTTAAAGCCTTTTATTTATTTTTTCCTGACTAATTGCTTTGGTTGAGACTTACAATAATTCTAAGTCTTAACAACAGGAAAATACTTCGTTGAGTGGGAGTGGTGAGAGTCAACATTCTTACTTTGTTCTGATCTTACAAGAAAAGGTTACAGTCTTTCACCATTGATTATATTGAGGTAGTATTTTCCATTCTTAGTTTGTTGAGTGTTTATATCATGAACGAATGTTAAATCTTGCCAAATGCTTTTTCTTCATCAACTGAGATAAACTTATACTTGTTTGGTATTTTTATGTATTTCATTCTATTAATGCCGTGTATTACATTGATTGATTTTTACATGTTGAAACATTCTTGCATTATAAGAGTAACTCTCACTTATTTCAGTATATATTTCTTCAAATACGTTATTGAATTCCGTTTCTTCATATTTTATTGAGGATTTTTGCATCAATATCTATCAGAAATATTGACCTGCAGTTTTCTTGTAGTATCTTTATATGGCTTTGGTATCAGGATAATGAGCTTGGTAGTGTTCTCTTTTTAAATTTTGGGAAGAGTTTCAGTATCGTCAACTCTTCTTTAAATGGTTAGCAGAATTATCCAGTGAAGCCATCGGGTCCTGGGAATTTTTTAATTGAAGATGATTTTGATTACTGATTCAATCTCTTTACTCATTATTAATCTATTTATATTTTCTATTTATTCACATTTCAGTCTTGGTAGGTCATATGTTTCTAGAATTTTACTGATGTCTTGTAGGTTATCCAGATTTTTGGTATATTAATAATATTGCCTTATAATCCTTTTTATTCCTGTGACATTGGTTGTAATGTTCTCTTTTCCATTTCTTATTTTAGTTATTTGTGTGTTCTCTGTTTTTTTCTTGATTACCCTTGCTAAAGGATTTTTAAAATGTTTTCCAAGCACCAACTCTTTGTTTGGTTTTGTTTTTTCTCTATCATTTGTCTATTCTATGTTCTAATCTGTATTATTTCTTCTCCTGTCTGCTTTGGGTTTAATGTGTTAATTTTTATAATTCTTTTTGTTTAAGGCTAAGCTAACTTGAGATCTTACTTCTTTATTAATGTGCCATTTACTGCTATAAACTTTCCTGTAAGCATTATTTTTGTTGCATTCCATAAGTTTTGGTACATTGTGTTTTCATTCTAATTTTTCTCAAGGTATGTTCTAAATTTTTATGTGATTTAGTTTAGCCATTGGTCATTAATAGTGTGTCATTTAATTTTCAAACATTTATGAATTTCCAGTTTTCTTTGTACTGTTGATTTCTAGTTTTGTTTTAATTTTTGTTTAAAAAGATACTTTTTATGATTCCAATGTTCTTGAATTTGTTAAAACTTGTTTTGTGGCCTACCATGCAGGCATTTCTGAAGAATATGTGTTCTCCAGAACGTGCACTTTAAGTACACTTAAGTATAATGTATATTTTGCTTTTGGGGTAGACTCTTCTATGTATGTCTGTTAGTCCCAATTAGTTTATAATGTTGTTCAAATCCTGTACTTCCTTATTTATCTTCTGTCTGGTTGTTCTACACATTATTTATGGGATATTGAGGTTACCTATCATTATTGTGCTGCTATATTTCTCTCTTCAATCTTATCAAAGTTTACTTCATATATTTAGAAGCTTTGAGGTTTCACACGTAATTATAATTGTTAACACTCATTATTATATAATGTCTTCATTTGTTTCTTGTAACAGGTTTGATTTTAAAGTCTATTTCGTCTGAGATTAGTATAGGTACTACTGCTATCTTTTGGTTACCACTTGCATGGATCATCTTTTTCATCCTTTTTCTTTCAGTCTATGTTTGCCCTTAGACCTAAAGTGAATCTCCTGCCCATAGTTGTACCCTGTGTTTTCATCCATTTAGCCAATTTATAATTTTTTTATAAAGGAGCTTAATTTAGATGTAAAGTAATTACTGATAGAAAAAACTTATTATTGCAATTTGCTAATTGGTTTCTATATATCTTGTATCTTTTATTATCCCTCCTTCATTCTCTCACTTTCTTCTATTGAGTTTCATTGATTTATTTATAGTAATATGATTTGATTCCCTTATCATTTCCTTCTGAGTGTATTCTATAGCTATTTTCTTGTGGTTGTCATCACAGTTACATAAAATCTGTCAATGATACAACATTGTATTTTACACTGATAACCACTTAACTTCAGTTCCATCCAAAAGCTGTACTCCCTTACATCTCCACCCTCATATTATCTTATTAATGTAACAAATTATATCTGTATGTATTGCATACCCATTTACATAGACTTAGACTTTATTTTTTATAATTTTTTTATTTAAATACTGTCTGTCAAAATTTCAAAAGTACAGTTTGTTATATTTGTCCATGTATTTTCCTTTAGTGGAGAACCATCTTTTAATAATAGCTTCATGAAGTTGTCTATTGTCCTTTCACTTCAACTTGAAGAACTCCCTTTAGTGTTTATTTTAGAGCCAGTCTAATTGTCATGAACTCCCTCAATTTTGTTTATCTGGAAAAGTCTTAATTTCTACTTCATTTTTGAAAGACAGTTTTGCCAGATATAATATTTTGTGTTTTTTATTATTTTATTTTTTTAATCTTTGCAGGAACATAAAAAGTATATATATTTATCTATATGTGTATATATATTTGCAGGAACATGATAGTTGTATATATTTCTGGGGCACATGAGATGTTTTGATATAGGGTTGCAGTGTGAAATAAGCAGAGCATTGAGAATTGGGTATTCATCTCTTTAAGCATTTATCCTTTGAGTTACAACAATCCAATTACATTCTTTAAGTGATTTTTAAAATATACAATTAAGTTATTATTGACTATAGTCACTTTCTTGTGCTATTAAATAGTAGGTATTATTCATTCTTTCTATTTTATTTTTGAGCCATTACCCATCCGCAGCTTCCCCACAACCTTTGGCAGCCTCTGGTAACCATCCTTCTACTCTCATGTCCATGAGCTCAATTGATTTGATTTTTAGATCACACAAATAAGAGAACAGGCAATGTTTTTCTGTGCCTGGGCATATTCCACTTAACCTAATGACCTTCAGTGCCATCCATGTTGTTGCAAATGACAGGATCTCATTTTTTAGGGTTGAATAGTACTCCATTGTGTATATATACCACATTTTCTTTACCCATACATCTGTTGATGGACACTTAGGTTGCTTCCAAATCTTAGCTACTGTAAATAGTGCTGCAACAAATATAGGAATGCAGATATCTCTTCAATATACTAATTTCCTTTCTTTGGGTATATACCCAGTAGTGAATCTTATGGTCATATGAGTTTTCAAAAAACTTAATTTTTAGTTTCTCGAGGAACCTCCAATCTCTTCTCCATAGTGGTTGTACTAATTTACATTACCAACAGCGTATTTTTTTTCCTTTGCTTTGCATCTTCACCAGCATTTGTTATTGCTTGTCTTTTGGATATAAGCCATTTTAACTTGGGTGACAAAATTTTTCATTGTAGTTTTTATTTGCATTTCTCTGACAATCGATGATGTTGAACAGCTTTTCATATGCCTGTGTGCCATTTGTATGTCTTCTTTTGAGAAGTGTCCATTCAAATAATTGCTCATCTTTTGATCAAATTGTTAGCTGTTTTCCTGTAGAATTGTTTGAGCACCTTATATATTCTGGTTGTTAATGCCTTGCCAGAGTGGTAGTTTGCAAATATTGTCTTTAATTTTGTGGGCTGTCTCCTCACTTTGTTGACTGTATCATTTGCTGTGCAGAAGTTTTTTAACTTCATGTGATCCCATTTAACCATCTTTGATTTGGTTGCCTGTGCCTGTGGGGTTATTACTCATGAAATCTTTGCCCAGACCAATGTCTTGAAGATTTCTCATAATGTTTTCTTGTAGTAGTTTCATAGCTTGTGGTCTTAGATTTAAGTGTTTTATCCACTTTAATTTGATTTTATATATGGTGAGCGATAGGGGGTCTAGTTTCATTCTTTTGCATATGGTTATTCAGTTTTCCCAGCACCATTTTTTAACGAGACTGTCTTTACTCCAGTGCGTGTTCTTGGCACCTCTGTCAAAAATGAGTTCACTCTAAGTGTGTGGATTTGCTTCTGCATTCTCTATTCTGCTCCCTTGGTTTATGTGTCTGTTTTTATGCCAGCACCATGCTGTCTTGGTTACTAAAGCTCTATTGGTGTCATTTAAAGTCAGGTAATGTGATTCCACCAGTTTCTTCAAATCCATGAACATACAATATTTTTTCCTTTTTTATGTCTTCTTCAAATTTTTACATCAGCTTTTTATAGTTTTCATTTTAGAATCTTTCACTTTTTGGTTAATTACCATGTTTTTAACATTATATGTGGCTATAATAAATAGCATTACTTATTTATTTTTTACATTGTTTACTGTTGGGGTATAAAAATCTACTAATTTTTTTAAATTTTACTTTAAGTTCTGGGACACATGTGCAGAATGTGCAGGTTTGTTACATAGGTATACATGTGCCATAGTAGTTTGCTGCACCTATGAACCTGTTATCTAGGTTTTAAGACCTGCATGCATTATTTGTCCAAATGTTCTCCTTCCCATTGCCCCCCACCCCACGATAGGCCCGAGTGTGTGATGTTCTCCTTCCTGTGTCCATGTGTTCTCATTGTTCAGCTCCCACTTATGGGTGAGAACATGCGGTGTTTGGTTTTCTGTTCTTGTGTTAGTTTGCAGAGAATGATGGTTCCCAGCTTCATCCATGTCCCTGCAAAGGACATGAACTCATTCTTTTTTATGGATGCATAGTATTCCATGGTGTATATGTGCCAAATTTTCTTTATCCAGTCTATCATTGATGGGCATTTGGGTTGGTTCCACGTCTTTGCTATTGTAAATAGTGCTTCAATAAACATACGTGTGCATGTGTTTTTATAGTAGAAAGATTTATAATCCTTTGGGTATATACAGAATTTTGGAATTGCTGAGTCAAATGGTATTTCTGGTTCTAGATCCTTGAGGAATTGCCACACTGTCTCCACAATGGTTGAGCTACTGATTTTTTTATGTTGACTTTGTATCCCACAACTTTACTGACTTTGTTTATCAGTTCTAATAGTTTTCCTGTGGAGTCTTCAGCTTTTACTAATATGAGATTATATCATCAGCAAACAAGGATAATTTGATTTTTTCTTTTCTAATTAGGATGCTCTTTATGTTTTTCTATTGTCTGATTGTTCTAGCATGGACTTCCAGTACTACATTGAATAACAGTGGTGAGAGTAGACATCCTTCTTGTGTTCCGGATTTTAGAGGAAAGGCTTTCTCCACTTAGTATGATACTAGCTGTGGATCTGTCATATATGGCTTTTTATATGTTGAGGTATATTTCTTCTATCACCAGTTTTTTGAGCGTTTTATCATGAAACAATGTTGAATTTTATCAAATGCTTTTTCAGCATCATTTGAATGTTTCAATGGTTTGTATCCTTCATTCTGTTGATATAATGTGTCATGTTGATTTGTGTAGGTTCAACTATCCTTGCATCCCTGCAATAAATCCCACCTGGTCATTATGAATGTTCTTTCTAATGTATTGTTGCATTAGGTTTGTTAGTATTAGGTTGAGGATTTTTGCATTAATATTCATGAGAGATGTTGGCCTGTGGTTTTCTTCTTTTAATTTGTCTTTGTCTAGTTTTGGTATCAGGGTAACACTGGACTCATAGAATGTGTTTGGAAGTATGCTCTCCTCCTCTATTTTTTTGAATAGTTTGAGTAGGATTGGTATCAGTGTTTCTTTAAATATTTGTTAGAATTCAGCAGTGAAGCTATTAGGTCCTAGGCCTTTCTTTACAGAAATAATTTTTATTACAGCTTTGATCTTGTTACTTATTGGTCTGTTCATGTTTTAGATTTCTTCCTGGTTCAATCTTGGAAGTTGTATGTGTACAGGAATTGGTCCATTTACTCTACATTTTCCAATTTATTGGCATACAGCTGCTCATAGTAGCCACTAATGATCCTTTGAATTTCTGAAGTATCAGTTGTAACGTCTCCTTTTTCATTTCTGATTTTATTTATTTGGATCTTCTCTCTTTCATTATTAGTCTGGCTAAAGGTTTGTCACATTTTTTTTAACTTTTCAAATAACAACTTTTTGTTTCATTGATCTTTTCTATGTTTTATTCATTTCAATTTTATTTATTTCTGCTCTGATCTTTATTATTTCTTTTCTTCTCATTTTGGGTTTGGTTTGCTCTTGCTTTTCTAGCTCTTTAAGATGCATCCTTATATTGTTTGTTTGAGCTCTTTCTTCTTTTTTTAATGTAGTCACTTATGACTGTAAACTTCACTCTTACTGCTGCTTTTCCTGTATTCCAAAGGTTTTGGTACATTGTGTTTTCATTATCATTTGTTTCAAGAAATTTATCAATTGTCTCCTCAATTCCCTCACTGACCCACTGGTCATTTATCAGTATATTGTTTAATTTCCATGTATTTGTATAGTTTTCAAAATACCTCCTGCTATTAATTTCTAGTTTTATTCTATTGTGGTCAGAGAAGATGCTTGATATTATTTCAATTTTTCTGAATGTTTTAAGACTTGTTTTGTGATCTAATACATGGTCTATCCTTGAAAATAATCAATGTACCAAAGAAAAGAATGTGTATTTTGCAGCTCTTAGATGAAATGATCTGTAAATATCTATTAGGTCTATTTGATCTACAATGCAGATTAAGTATGGTATTCCTTTGTTGATTTTCTGTCTGGAATAGCTGTACAATGCTGAAAGTAGGGTGTTGATGTCTCCACTTATTATTGTATTGAGGCCTATCTCTCTCTTTAGGTCTAATAATATTCTCTTTATATATCTGGGTGTTCCAGTGTTGGGTGCATATATATCTAAAGTTGTTATATCCTCTTGCTGAATTGACCCCTTTATCATTATATAGTGATTTCTTTGTCTCCTCTTATAATTTTGTTCTTGAAAACCATTTGTCTTATATTAGTGTAGTGACTCATGCTCTTTTGGAGTTTCCATTGGCATGGAATATCTTTTTCCATTTTTTGTTTTTAGTCTATGTGTGTCTTTAAAGGTGAAATGAATTTCTTATAGGCAACAGATTAATGGGCTCTGTTTCTTCTTTTTTTTTAATCCATTCATCCTGTCTATGTCTTTTGATTGGAGAGTTTAGTTTATTTACAATTAATATTATTATTGATAAGTAATATATCTATTACTGCCATTTTGTTGTTTCCCTTGCTAGGGCTGGGTTAAATGTTCCCTCAGTGGGTGGGTGTCAGCTGAGACGGATCAGGTTTTCCTTTTTGCTCTAACAGAACAGCACGGAATTCAATGCCTCACAACTGTTGTGTTCTCCCTCTTCCAGCATCCAGGGATGCTCTTTGAACCACGTGGCTGCTTCTAGGGTTGGGGGAGGGGTGGCATCCATTGGTGACTCGGGACTTTTTCTATCTCTTCAGTGCCTCTTTCAGCAATATGAAGTTAAAACCAGCTACTATGATTTTCCACCAGATTTTTGCTTCTTATAAAGGTGTTTTTTCTGTGTAGATAGTTGCTAATTTGGTGTTCCTGTGGAGGGGAACAACTGCTGGAGCTTTCTATCCTGTCATCTTGCTCCACCTCCCTCCAGATACAGTTTTTTTGGTTGACAGGTTATTTCTTTCAGCACTTTTAATATATTATCCCACTGCCTTTGATTTGCAAAGTTTTGCTGATAAACCAGCTGATAATCTTATGAAAACTTTTTTGTGTGCAAAAAATCATTTTTGCTGTTTTCAAGGCTATCATTTTGTCTTTAACTTTAGACAGTTTCATTACTATTTGTCTTATTTGGTTCTCTTTGAATTTTTTCTACTTGGAGTATGTTGAGTTTCTTTAATCAATATGTTAATTTTTTTCCCTCAGATATAGGAAGTTTTTAACATATAGGAACTTTTTTCCTCTCTTTTTCTTCTGAGTTGATGTGTATATTCATTAACTTCACAGTATGCCACAAGTTTCTTATGTTTTCTTTAATTTTCTTACTTTTTAGTTGCTCTTCTGACTCAAGGATTTCAAATGACCTGCCTTCAAGTTTATGGATTCTTTCTTCTGCTTGATCAAGTTGTTTATGAACTTCTGCAATGTATTTTTCAGATTCAGCATTTTTGTTTCATTTTTTATAGTTTTAATCTTTTTTGTTGATATTCTTATTTTATTCATACATCATTTTCTGAATTTTGTAATTATCTGTGCTCTGTTTTAGATAATTGAGCATATTTATAGTTATTGTACATATTTGTCAGACAGTTTCCAGCTCTTCATTTCTTTAGGGTTAGTTTCTGAAGTTTTACTTTCTTTATTTGCTGGGGCCATGTTTTCTTGGTTTTGTTTTGTTTTGTTTGTTGGTGTGCCTTATAATATTTTGCTGAGATATGGGAATTTAAGAAAACTACTACTTCCTTCAGTTCTTGCGCACTAGTTTGTGCAGGAAAAGACATCACCAATCAGCCCAGCTGGGGATTCTAAGACCTTGTAAATCTTTTCCGATATTTTGCTCTCCATAGTTTCTCCCTGGAGAATTTTAGTTCTAATATGCTACTTGCCTCTATTTTCAATGGCTTCCAGATTATGGCACTTGTTCTTTCATTGTTTCCAGACAGATGAGAAAGAAATCAGTCTCCCTGGTAGCCCTAAGATAAGCCAGAACATTGGATATATAGTGAACCCTTTTATTTACATCTAAATGTGGGAGCCGCAGTATGGAAGGTTTCCTTCTAATTGTTCTGCACTATACCATAAAGGGAAGGGGTTGGGGCACAAAAGAATGTGATAATTTTTTTACCCCTTTCTCTGGAAACCTCTTCTTGGTTTTACAATGGCCTGGCTGTTGTACCTTCTCACATGGTCTCTAGAGTTCTCACAGAGGTATTCTGGTCCATATATTGTTGTTAACTTGCTTCTCCATAATTTCCTAATCTGCCATCTCATGACAATCTATCCTAGTTTTTTTCTGTCTCTCTGGCAGAAGCTCAAAGGAGCAATTTCAATCAGGTATGCATTTTGCAGGCCTTTGGTCACATCTACCCTTGCACCATCCTATTAGTCAAAGCAAGTCACTTTCCAAGTCAGGCAAGGACATTTCAAGTCAGGTAAGGAAATCGTTTCCATTAGACTGGTTGGGGGTGGAAGGCATTGGGTAAGGAAAGACATTTAATATTTCTGAGACACAATGTAAGTTTTCAGAGTCTGCCCTCTTGTTGAATATTTTCCTTCCAACAATTAAAATATGCACATTGTCCTTTCTATAACAGCATTATGCTTAAAGTCCAGGATCTTGTGATGTATACCAAGCCTAGATAGGATTTTGATCTAGAAACTTATGAAGTAAAAACTATTAGTTATCTTCATATTTTTTCCATCCCCCTTTAACACACAACACACTAATGGTGCAATTAGGAAAAGATAACTAAAATAACTCCTATTTGGAAAAGGAATGACTGAGAAGCACATACTTGTTTGCAGCAGTTTTGAAATACTGCCAGGCAAATGTCATTGTCAAGTATTGTTATCATACGTCCTGTGGGTGGAGGATATTTTATAATTAGGATCTGATTCTGCCGGCCGAGAATGACTCCCTGGTCTGCTGCTTTTCTCCAGTTTTTGGCTTTATCTAATGGGACAATCTTTTTTTCTATCATTCTCTTTGGGCAACTTCTGGAGAAGACATTAGAAAATGTACATTTTTTTATATTATTGAACAGCATTTTCCGCCTGCTTCCTGTCTGTAAACTATGTAAGTGCAAGAATAAATTTTACATTTGGAGCAATCTCAGTCACTTTGAATTCTGAATAATAATGCACATAGACATAAAACTCTATCAAAATCTTTGTGGGTATTTATGTAAGTGATTCTAGTGTTCATGCACTGAGACAAAAGACATACCTGTAATAGCTCTTGTGACGTACATCTCTTTCTGTATTTAATATATGATATTTTGAGCCCATCAAGCTGCCTTGGAGCATACACTTAAGATTCCTAAAAGACCTTTCTTCTACCTAAGAGGAACTTTAATTTTTTCAAAGTTCCTAATAAAATGTTTTAAAGCTAGGCCCCTAATTTAGTCTTTTCTCTGGGACCATGTTTTACCGTGGATGCACTAAATTTTGACTATACTCCCATACTGAATTTTAATTTGAGAGTGTGTTACTAACTGAAGAATCCAGGAATAAGAACCAGTTTCATTTTAATTCTCTGTAAATTCTGCTTAAAAACTACCCTTTTATTTTTATTTTTATTTTCTGAGCTTACGTGCTTTTTCCTGTCTTTACTTGCTTTCTAATTCCAAAGCCACTCTCACATATGTGAGGACTTTAATATAACAACACTTCATTTATCTTTGCCAAGTTTTGTAATGGTTGACTATTGATGCATAACAAAATACTCCTGGGTTCAGCTGGATGTTAGTAGATCTAAGATGGAATCAGCAAAAAGGCATATGTTCTATATTTCTCTTATTTTTTTTATACCAACAACTAGACCTTCACGTTTTTCTTAGGGTGGTGACAGAGTTTCAAGAAAGCAAGATCAATAGTGAAGGTGTTGTAAAGCCTCTTGCCACTTCCTACCTAGTATATTCTACTGACAAAAGTAAACCACATGACCAATCCCAAAGATCAAGGGTAGAGAAGTACCCTCTGCTCACAGAGGTGGGGTCAAAATCGAAATAAATATTTCTGAATAGTTATCTAATCTGAAACCAGTTAGTACTTTATTGGTACTTACACTTTTTAATAAAAATTTTACTTATTTCTGTGTCTTCAGTAAATACACACACTTAGACACACACAAAGCTATAACTAGCTCATTTACAAATTTTAAAAAGTGTTTTTTTTCTTGTTGGTGCTATGGTGGATATTTTTCTAGTGCGCAAAGCTTGGCAAATAAAGTGAGTGAAAAATTTTAGGATCTTTTAACTTCTTACTGATAGATACTCATGGATTGAATACATTGCACCACTCAGGGTAGTAGTTGCCCCTTACCTGGAGGAGATTTGTCCCAAGATCCTAGTGGATACCTAAAACCATGGATAGTGCCAAATCCTATGTGTAATATACTATGTTTCTTTCCTATACATACATACCTACATACCTATGATAAAATTTATGAATTAGACACGGTAAGAGGTTAAAAACAATTATTAATAATAAAGTATAGCAATTATAACAATATGCCAGCATCACTACTGTTGTGCTTTGGGGCCATTACTAAGTAAAATAAGAGTTACTTAATCACAAGGATTGTGACATCAGTACAGTCAATTTGATAATCAAGAGGACCACTGAGTAGCTAATGGGAAGGTGGTATAGACAGTGAAGATATCCTAGAGAAAAAGCTAATCACACCCTGGTGGAACAGAGTGTGATGTGAGATTTCATCACACTACTGAGAATGGCACACAATTTAAAACTCATGAATTGTTTATTTTTGGAATTTTCTATTTAATATTTTCAGACCGTAGTTGAAAGACAGGAATTAAAACTGTGAAAAATGAAACCATAGCTAAGGAAATCTACTGTGTAGATACCTTTTTTATTTAAAAAGTTTATATTATTCATTTTTAAATACATTTATTGTAGATTTAAGGTATACAACATGATGTTATGGGAGATAGATGATAGATGGATGATAGAATAGATAGATGATAGATAGTAAAAAGATCACTATAATGTAACAAATTGACATATCTATTGTTTCGAACACCATAGGAAATGAAATCAAATATAGATATCTTATAGGCACACTATCTAACAACAGAATTAGAAGTGTATTCTTAACAGCTCATCACTTCCTTGAGTTAAGATGTGTGGTATGTAAATTCATGTGCCATCTTCCTTAAAGCACATTTTTTTGTGTGTGCCTGAATCACCAACAACACATTCAAAATAGGATCTTTTACATTGAAAGAACATTATGCTTCGTTACTATGGAAACTATCTGCTCTTTCTGAAAAGCTTTCATAGTCCCTGTTTCTCTTTTTCTCTCTGCATGTTTTACCCCTCAAGTTCCTTAGCTGCCACTTTGTGTCTGCCTTTGCTCTGACTTTGATTGAGTGGAATTTTATGACCTTCATACTCCTAGTATAATCATTTATTTGATCTAAAATTTTGATTTCTTATCCAATAAAAGAAGTTTAAGTAATCAGGTGTCATTTCACTTCTATTATTTCTTTAATTTTTAGATGGCAAGTTGTCACAATATAAATACATCTTATAGACGAATAAATATTTAAGTAAATAGAATTATTTCTAGTCATTGTGCAGATTATATGATCATTTTTCATTTTAATTTAGAGCTATGAGGGAGCGTTAATCAGAGCCCTAAGCTCAGTCAACAAGGCTGCTGAAATCTATGATTTTTCCCTAAGGCCTCGGTGACTGATACAAATACTGCCATAAGTTGTGCCAATGAAGTTCTTATAGGATTTAGGGCACTCCAACTATTAAAACCTGAGAATGCTTCAATTGAGTGTTACATCTGTAAAAACAGCTAATTTGTGAGTAACATGACAGCTACATGTCCATCAAGATTTTTAGAAAGATTATGAATCTGCTACCCTCCTATCTCGTACAATATTACTGATCTTTTTGAAATATGTGACTATACTTTAAATTTCAAGCTCCTTTTTAGTTAGAAATTAGTCAATGATATACAAATAGTGGAATGTAAGCCAGTCACGATGGCTCACGCCTGTAATCCCAGCACTTTGGGAGGCCGAGGCGGGTGGATCACAAGGTCACTAGATGGAGACCATCCTGGCTAACAAGGTGAAACCCCGTCTCTACTAAAAATACACACACACACACACACACACAAAATTAGCTGGGCATGGTGGCAGGCGCCTGTGGTTCCAGCTACTCAGGAGGCTGAGGCAGGAGAGTGGCGTGAACCTGGGAGGTGGAGCTTGCAGTGAACCAAGATCACACTGCTGCACTCCAGCCTGGGCGACAGAGCAAGACTCCGTCTCAAAAAACAAACAAACAAAACAACAACAACAACAAAAAAAACAAATAGTAGAATTTTGATAAAGATAAGGTAGTGAGTGCCAATAATCCATATTTAAATAGAGTTGTGCTGTGCCTTTTAATTATTTATACAAACACTTTTTTGTATGTTGAATTGTTTGGAACACTACAGACTGACTTTTGGTACTTTTGATGATAATTTTTATGTGCCAGTTTAGCTAGCCTATGGTGCTAAGTTCTTTGGCCAAATACCAATCTAGATGTTTCTGTGAAGACTTTTTGTAGAGTGATTAACATTTATAATTACTGTACTTTAAGTAAAAGAGATTATTCTAAATAATGTGAGTGAGCATTATCCAATCAAGACTCAAAAGTTAAACCTTAGGTTTCCAGCAGAGGAAATTCTGTCTCAAAACTGTAACATAGCAATCCTGCCTGATTTTCTAATTTGCTGGCCATCCACATAGATTTCAGAGTTATCAGTCCTCACAATGTCATTTGCTAATTTCTTAAAATAAATCTCTTTCCATATGTATTTATATCCCATTGGTTCAGTTTTTTGGGAGAACTGATAAAGAAAAAGAATTCTGACACTTACTAAAATGATAATGAAGATTTTATTCAAGACTATTGCAATAGAGGTATTAAAACATGGGCGAGAGATTGGGCTCATCTCTGAATACAACAAGCGTTAAGTGTAGATTTAAAGCCAAGGATCAGGGTGTGGGGGTGAGTGGGTAGAAATTACTAATAGAAAACATGAAAGGTAGGGGGATTCTTGCTAAGCCTACTTAACAGGATTCTTGCTGAATGCAATACAGGGTGATCAGAAATCAAGGGTTGAGGATGAAGAATTTGATCAGGTATCAAGGGTGATCAGATATCAAGGGTGAGAAGGTTCTCCACACACTGATTTTACCAGGATTCTTCCTAAAATTGGACTTGGCAAGGACAGACAGAGAATGCCAAGGTCAAAGTCTAGTCCAAAAAAGAACTCACAGGAACCTAAATAAAGTTTGGTCAAGAGAGGGGCTTTGTCAGAACCATGAATAATACAGTGGGTGCTCTTCCCAAAAAATATTTGCTGCTATGCATTTAAAAAGCATTAACACATTTCAGCCACATTTTCTGGAAAAGCATGAAACATGACATAAAACATAAATCTTCACCTTTCTTTTTTTTTTTTTTTTGAGAGATGGGATCTGGCCGTGTTGCCCTGTCTAGGCTCAAACTCCTGGACTCAAGTGATTCTTCTGCCTCAGCCTCCCACAGTGCTGGGATTAGAGGTGTGAGCCACTGTACCTGGCAATACAAATATTATTTTAACAGTTTGTATGAATGCACTAAGGTTTGAGAAGCCCAACTTTTCTATAAATAATTGGCTAAACATAGAAACATGTTGGGATTCGTGGAAATAAACACTTGCCTAAAATGAGCAGAAATTTAGTATCTATGAGGGTAAATCTAAGATAATTGTATTCATTTTACAATAGATTATATTTTAAATATACTGACTGAGTTGTAAACTTACTGTGTAGAATGTAAACTGTGTTCTTATTATATCAAACAATAGAATTCTATATGATTAAATATTTAAGTGGCAGCAGCTGGCTTACTGCTACATAAAATGCAACCCCAGTTACACCCACTATTTTGAAATTCCTAGAATTGGAACTGAAAACAAAAGCAGATAAAGCTTTATTAGCAAATACACAAAAATGTATTCACTTATAATTATGGCCATATAATTCTAACAAATGGTTTAATTTTATATAAAGACCAAGTCAGTAAAGGTTGCAGATATAAATACTCATTTTTGCACTACTATTTATAACAATGAACAATTTCTACTATCAAGATGAAGAGGTAATAATAGTGTCAAGGGATTGTATGTAAATGAATCTCATAGGCATTATAAGAGCACATAATAGAAATGACTTTCTCACGTGGTAAATGACTTTCTAAAAGGCCAGTGGTGGCACAAAATTCAATTACTGCAAATCTGTGAGTTTCTTTTCTCTCTCCTAGTTAGTATGTCATTTTTGTTTCCTTGATAATGGAAATTATTTTTAAAGTAGTAATGGAAAAAATTATAGATAGCTTATATAAATAAGTGAGATAGAATATATCTTATTATATTGCAAATTTGTCACTATCCTTTGAAGTGATAGAGGTTATTTCTAAAACAACAAATGACCAAAAAGCTTTATGTATGTTTATTATGTTAAGTTTTAAAATAATAGATGGACAGGTGAGTTTTCTGTCAGTCTGATACATTTCTGGGCAGAATCCTAAAAATTTGCTAAAAAATAAGAAGTCTTTATAAGAGATATGTGATAAAGTCACTGTCTGCAGAATTTAAGGTGTAAAGCAGACTACTGTAAAAAACTCCATTAAATAATAAACGTAAAAATTCATTCATCTTTATACTACAAAAAAGTAAATGCATTTAATATGTTAAATGCATTTTAGTGTGCTTTGTATTTTATCAGAAAACCCCAGATTGGCTACAAAATGTCTAATCTGACTGCAAATAGAAGTCATGAATAGTCACTCAAAAGAAATTTTTTTCATTAGATTTAGAAAAACAGTTCAGGACTATTGCTTAAAGTGTGTGGCCAAGGACTGTAAGGTTTACCCTATGGATAATGAGAAACTGTTAATGGTATTTGAATTGGGTTGAGAATGGAGTCACTAGCAGACCAATCACTTAAGAGAATTAGAAATACTGTAAAACACTCCTTAGGCCTTTTTCTGAAATTGCCTGTATGAGTTTCCTACTGTTGCCATACAAATTACAAAAGCTCATTGACTTAAAATAGCATCCATTTATATAACCTCACAGTTCTGTAGCTCAGAAATATGAAACAGATCTCACTAGGCCAAACTCAAGATTATCACAGGGCTGAATTCTTACTGGAGGTTCTGAGAAAGAACAACTCTTTTAGGCTGTTAGCTAAATTCAGTACTTTACATTTATAAGACTGGGGTCCTGGTTTCCTCACTTTCTGTCAATCAGAAACCGCATTCACCACAAGAAGCTTCTTTCAGGTCTTTGCACATGGGCTCTGTGTTACAGAGGCACGTGAAATCTTTTTCATAAATGGAATCTTCTTGACTTTTCATTCTACAGCAAACACTTCCAAAGAACGTCTAATTGACTTGAAGACCAAGGAAATTTTGTTCCATGAATTTAATATGAAGAGTAAAGAAGAATTCTAGTGTTCATGGATATAAAGCCACTCAACTGGGTATGTTAAATATGTATGAAACACAAATATTGTTATAATGGGTATTTTAAAACATCTAGCCATATGCTGAACTTGGTCTCAATGTTATTTAGTAGAAAAAGGCAGAAAAGTTAATAAGTAGACATATGAACAGAATAAGGAAAAAGAACAAATCTGGAGGCATCACACTACCTGATTTCAAACTCTACTATAAAGCCGTAGTCACTAAAACAGCATGGTACTGGTATAAAAATAGGCACATAGACCAGAGGAACAGAATAGAAAACCCAAAAATAAACCCAAATACTTACAGCCAACTGATCTTCAACATAGCAAACAAAACAGAAAATGGGGAAAATACACCCTTTTCAACAAATGGTGCTGGGATAATTGGCTAGCCACATGTAGGAGAATGAAACTGGATCCTCATCTCTCACCTTATACAAAAATCAACTCAAGATGGATTAAGTACTTAAATCTAAGACCTGAAACTAAAAAAATTCTATAAGATAACATTGGAAAAACACTTCTAGATATTGGCTTAAGCAAGGATTTCATGACCAAGAACCCAAAAGCAAATGCAATAAAAACAAAGATAGTTGGGGCTTAAACTAAAGAGCTTTTGCATGGCAAAAGGAACAGTCAGTAGAGTAAAGAGACAACCCACAGAGTGAGAGAAAATCTTCACAATCTATACATCTGACAGAGGACTAATATCCAGAATCTACAAAGAATTCAAATCAGTAAGAAAAAACAATCCCATCAAAAAGTGGACTAAGGACATGAATAGACAATTCTCAAAAGAAAATGAACAAATGGCCAATAAACATATGAGAAAATGCTCAGCATCACTAATGATCAGGGAAATGCAAATCAAAACCACAATACGATACCATCTTACTTCTGCAAGAATGGCCATGATCAAAATATCAAAAAACAGTAGATATTGGCATGGATATGGTGACCAGGGAATACTTCTACGCTGCTGGTGGGAATGTAAACTAGTACAGTCACTATGGAAGACAGTGTGGAGACTCCTTAAAGAACTAAAAGTAGAACTGCCATTTGATCCAGCTATCCACCTACTGGGTATCTACCTAGAGGAAAAGAAGTAATTATATGAAAAAGATACTTGCACATGTATGTTTATAGCAACACAATTCACAATTGCAAAATTGTGGAACCAACACAAATGCTCATCAACCAATGAGTGGATAAAGAAACTGTGGTATATATATATATACACAATGGAATACTAAACAGTCATAAAAATGAATGAATTAGCTGTAGCGACCTGGATGAGATTGGAGAATATTATTCTCAGTGAAGAAACTCAGGAATTGAAAATCAAACATCATATGTTCTCACTGATATGTGGGAGCTAAGCTATGAGGAAGCAAAGGCATAAGACTGATACAATAGACTTTGGGGATTTGTGGGGAAGTTTAGGAGGTGGGGGCGAGGAATAAAAGACTACAAATATGGTGCAGTGTATACTGCTAGGGTGATGGGTGCACAAAAATCTCACAAATCACTACTAAATAACTTACTCATGTAACCAAATACCACTTGTACCCCAATAACTTAAGGAAAAAGAAATAATTAGTATAACTTTTCTTGGAAAGTAGTAGGGAGAGGAATGGGGAAAAGAGAATGAAATGAAATATCAGAGAATTTTATAACATGTTTATACAGACAGTGACTTTTCTTCCTCTAAAATTAACCCCTTTACACACTGTATTAGTTAGTTCTCACGCTGCTATGAAGAAATACCCAGGACTGGGTAATTTATAGAGTAAAGAGGTTTAATTGACTCACAGTTCTGCATGGCTGGGAGGCCTCAGGAAACTTACAATTATGGCAGAAGGCACATCGTCACAGGATAGCAGTAGAGAAAATGAGCACAAGCATGGGAAATGTCAAACGCTTATAAAATCATCAGATCTCATGAGACTCACTCATTATGAGGAGAACAGCATAGGGAAAACCTCCCCCACGCCCTGCCCCACCTGGTTCTGTACTTGACACATGGGGATTACTACAATTCAAAGTGAGATTTAGGTGGGGACACAGAACCAATCTGCGTCACACCACCACACATATACATAAACACATTAATATGCACATGCATAAACCTATAGAATTTATGAGAAATTCTGTTTATTTGTTGTTTGAATCTATTGTAGATGGATAGGTGTAGAAATCTATATACGTTATGAAAACCAAATCAAATGTAAATGGAAGTAGGCATGGATAGAGGACATGTATGTCTAGTCAGACAATAGTTCTGAATCTAAATTTTTGTGAAATCCTTATGACCACATGTTTTCAAAAATGACATCGTTCTGAAAAAGATGGCATGTTAGCTGTAGTTAAGAATAAACAACTTACAATTATAAGGCCAAAATGTTGATAATCATATGGGAAAATGCTGAATCAGAAACAGGAAAAAGTTATCCTTTTAGAAAAAGAAGAACATATCTTCCAGTGGAGAAAAATGGGTTTCAAATACATTGTGTGTTTTTATGTATACATGCATGCATGCTGAGTTGTGCATATATAAGCACCTTTTTACTTTACAGGTGTACTTAATACATTGAAGTACTGAATTTTGTCATTATCAAACAGAATGAAAGAATATCAGAATTCTAGGAATAACATCAGGATTCAAATATGAAAGGCATTGAGTATCTGAGGGCAATATTTTCAGGTGCCTAAACTTATGCCAATATAAATGTCAAGGGAACTAGAAAGATCATACACAATCAGATCCAATGCACAAAGATCGTAACAAAAACAGGAATTGTGACATCAGTCTTTATTTTAAAATAACATTAACTAGTCAATGAATTTGAAAAAATATATATCAAATTTTCTTTATCCATTTGTTCTTTGATGGGCATTTAGACTGGTTCCATATTTTTGCAATTGTGAATTGTGCTGCTATAAACATGCATGTGCATATGTCTTTTACATATAATCACCACTTCTCCTTTGGGTAGATACTCAGTAGTGGAATTGCTGGATTGAATGGTAGTTATACTTTTAGTTCTTTAAGGAATCTCCACACTGTTTTCCACAGTGGCTGTACTATTTACATTCCCACCAGCAGTGTAAAAGTGTTCCCTTTTCACCACATCCATGCCAACATGTTATTATTATTGTTTAAATTATGGCCATTCTTGCAGGAGTAACATGGTATCCCGCTGTGGTTTTAACTTGCATTTCCCTGATGATTAGTGATGTTGAGCAGGTTTGTTGGCCATTTGTGTATCTTCTTTTGAGAGTTGTCAATTGAGACAACTTCTCTTCTTTTGAGAGTTTTTGTGTTTGTTGGCCATTTGTATATCTTCTTTTGAGAGTTGCCAATTCATATACCGTGCCCACTTTTTGATGGGATTGTTTGTTTTGTATTTTGCTGATTTGTTTCAGTTCCTTGTAGATTCTGGACATTAGTCCTTTGTCTGATGCATAGTTTGCAAATATGTTTTCCCATTCTCTGTGTTATCTGTTTACTCTGCTGAGTATTATTATTATTATTTGCTGTGCAGAAGATTTTTAGTTTAATTAGGTCCCATCTATTTTTGTTGCATTTGCTTTTGGGTTTTTAGTCATGAGGTCTTTGCCTAAGGCAATGTCCAGAAGTGTTTTTTGGATGTTAATTTCTAGATTTTTTATTGTTTCAGGTCTTGCATTTAAGTCTTTGGTCCATCTTGAGTTGTGATACTACTCAGCAATAAAAAGGAATAAAATAATAGCATTTGCAGCAACCTGAATGGAGTTGGAGACTATTATTCTAAGTAAAGTAATTCAAAAATGGAAAATCAAATAGCATATGTTCTCATTTACAAGTGGGAGTTAACATATGATTACACAAAGGCAAAATTATGATATCAATGATCTTGGGGAATCAGAGGGAAGGGTGAGAGGGGGTTGAGGGATAAAAGACTACGCATTGGGTACAGTGTACACTACTTGGTGATGGATGTACCAAAATCTCAGAAATTACCACGAAAGAACAAAGAACTTATCCATGTAATCAAAAACCACCTATTCCACAAAAAACTGTTGAAATAAAATAAAATAAATAATAAAAATAAAAAATAGAACTATGAGAATTCACTTTAACCTAAGAAAATTCTCCACAGTGTCATATTCATACAGAAGTTATTATCTGAATATATATTAAATATATTGTTTTATCTTGGACGAAAAATGAATTTTCTTAGATAATTGGTACACTGGTTTCTTAAAAGGATATATAATCCTTCTCAATAGATGAGTAGTTTGCTGTCAAGAAAAGCTTTCTTTTTAATATAAAATAAATCTCCATGGATATTTAGCACTAATTTGAAAGTTACAACAATTTGAAGTGATGGCAAACTGAGGATTATCTACTCTGTTTATTAAAATTATTTAATAAATGACATGAAAAACAACCAAAAAAAGGCCGATATGTAGAAGCTTAAATCTTAGAATTAGCTTGGCCCTTATTCATTTTATCTAACATTCTAGCAATGGAAAAATTTTCTCTACGATGTCTTTGAAGCCTTTTTTTTTTCCTTTATTTTCTCTCACTGATTTCAGTTCCTTAAAAGCAATGCTTATAGAAAACCATTTCTGAATTATTTTGATAATGCTTCTCTGTCACAGTATGTCATTTAAAATAGTGCCCCAGGTATGGGGTGTGATATTGCAGACACTGTCTGAGGAGTGCAGATTTCAGTTATTACTTCACATGACACACAGTATTGTTCCATTAATTTTAAAAGAAAACATTATTTACAGTTAGAATTACCCTTCAAGCTGACTAGATCATGTTAAATAGGAGCCTCTTTCATTTTCCTGACTCCTTGAAGAGTGCAGGTATTCTAGTTTTGAAAAGAGTTCTAAGCTACAGAATTTCTAATTGTGAATAATAGAGGAAAAATGAATGATTCTCACGGCATTTGGGGAGAAAAATGGAACAAAAATGATTGGCAGTTAAATGCTATGTTGTGTGAAAGAAAAAGTAATATTTCTATTAATACTAATTTTCTATATTTGTATTAATGAAGACAAATATATTCACTTTTACATATTTATTTCTATTCAGCCAAGTGATCAAATGCCACAGGTAATATTTACTTATTTATTTATTATTTTTATTTTTATTTTCATAGGTTTTGGGGGAACAGGTGGTGTTCAGTTACATGAATAAGTTCCTTAGTGGTGGCTTCTGAGATTTTGGAGCACCCATCACCTGAGCAGTATACATGGTACCCAATTTGCAGTCTTATCCTTTACCCCCCACACTTTCCCCTGAATCCCCAAAGTCCATTGTATCATTATTATGCCTTTGCATCGTCATAGCTTAGCACCTACTTATTAGTGAGAACATACAATGTTTAGTTTTCCATTCCTGAGTTACTTCACTTAGAATAATGCCTCCAATTCCATCCAGGTCGTGTGAACGCCATTATTTTATTCCTTTTTATGGTGGAGTAATATTTCATGGTGTATGTATACCACAATTTCTTTATCAGCTCGTTGATTGATGGGCATTTGGGCTGATTCCATATTTTTGCAATCGCGAATTGTGCTGCTATAAATATGCATGTGCAAATATCTTTTTGTATAGACATAATGACTTCTTTTCCTCTGGGTAGATAGATACCCAGTAGTGGGATTGCTGGATCAAATGGTAGTGCTACTTTTATTTCTTTAAGGAATATCCACACTGTTTTCCATAGTGGTTGTACTAGTTTACATTCCCACTAGCAGTGTAAAAGTGTTCCCTTTTCACCACATCCCCACCAACATCCATTATTTTTTAATTTTTTGATTATAGCCATTCCAGTACGAGTGAGGTGGTATTCCATTGTGGTTTTGATTTGCATTTCCCTGATTGCTAGTGATGTTGAGCATTTTTTTTCCTACGCCTTTGGCCACTTGTAAATCTTCTTTTGAGAATTGTCTATTCATGTTCTTGGGCCACTTTTTGATGGGATTGTTTATTTTTCCTGGATATTTGTCCTATGTTTGATATATAGATTACAAAGATTTTCTCCTACTTTGTGGGTTGTTTACCCTGCTGATTTTTTCTTCTGCTGTTCAGAAGCTTTTTAGTTTAATTAAATTGCAACTATTTATTTTGTCTTTGTTGCATTTGCTTTTAGGTTGTTGGTCATGAAGTTTTTGCCTAAACCAATATCTATCTAAAAGGGTTTTTCCAATGTTATCCTCCAGAACTTTTATGGTTTCATGTCTTAGATTTACTTCCTTAATCCAGGTTGAGATGATTTTTATATAAAGGAGAGATAAAGATCCAATTTCCTTCTTCTACATGTAGCTTGTCAATTATCTCAGCAACATTTGTTGAATAGGGTGTTCTTCCCCACTTTATGGTTTTGCTTGCTTTGTTGAAGATCAGTTGGCTGTAAGTATTTAGGTTTATTTCTAGGTTCTCTATTCTGTTCCATTGGTCCATGTGCCTATTTTTATACTAGTACCATGCTGTTTTGGTGACTATGGCCTTATAGTATAATGTGAAGTCAGGTAATGTGATGTCTCCAGATTTGTTCTTTTTGCTTAATCTTGCTTTGGCTATGTGGGCTCTTTTTTCGTTCTATATGAATTTTAGGATTGTTTTTTCCAACTCTGTAAAGAATGATGGTAGTATTTTAATGAGAATTGCATTGGATTTGTAGATTGGTTTTGGCGGTATGGTCATTTTCACGATATTGATTCTACCCACCCATGAACATAAGATGTGTTGTCTATGGTTTCTTTCAGCAGTGTTTTATGGTTTTTCTTGTAGAGGTATTTCACCTCCTTGGTTAGGTATATTCATAAGTGTTTTTTCTTCCTTTCTTTTTTTACAGCTATTGTAAAAGGGGTTGAGCTCTGGATTTAATTCTCCACTTGGCCACTGTTGGTATATAGCAGAGCTACTGGTTTGTGTGCATTAATTTTGAATCCTGAAACATAGCTGAATTCAGTTATCAGTTCTAGGAGCTTTTTGGATGAGTCTTTAGAGTTTTCTAGTTATACTGTCATATCATCAGCATACAGTGACAGTTTAAATTCCTCTTTACCAAATGGATTCCATTCATTTCTTTCTCTTGTGAAACTGGAGTAAACATTCATTTCAAATAGGAAATGAAAGTTACCCTTAAAAGAAGATATTGGTTTAATTGAAATTTACTAAAATGTAGAAATTTGTTCAACAAAGAAAATTACTCATAAAATAAAAAGGCAAACAAACTACTGGTATAAAATGTTTGTTACATATAAATGAGTTGGAAGATTTCGATGTATATAGGAAAATGAACTGCTTCGAATCAATAATAAAGACAGAGATAAAGATACGAGGAAAATAGAGTTACCTTGAATATAAGATATCCAAATGATCTAGAAAAATATTCAAAGGCACTTAACATCACTAGAATAAAGAAAAACTCAAATTAAACCACAAAGACATAATAGTTGATATAAAAAAGAATGACAATAGTAATTGTTGGTAAGATCAGTATTAGATAGAGCAATTAGAAATCTTATGCATAATTGCTAAAGTGCAATGCCTGTATTCACTTTGGAGAACAATTCAAAAATACCTGAAGCTAAACATATAGAAATTCCAGTTGTAGGTATATACCCAAGAGAAGGAAGTGCATATTACCGAAAAAGGATGCATTAAAAAGGTAATACCAGCTTCATTCAAAATAGCTAACAACTAGAAACAACAGAAATGCTCATCTAGCAGAAAATCAGTAAATGGTAGTATTTTCATCTAATGGGATACTATATAATAACAAAAGATATACTAGTGATAAAGGTGAGTAAAAAAATTATTTTGAGCAAAATAAGCTAGACACTTTAGGTTATATTTCCATTTATATGAAGTAACAGGAAACTCATCTGTATTTTTAGAAGGGGTAATAATGGTTACTGAGAAGGGACACAGGAGAATATTTTGGGTGTGATAGAAATGTTAAATGTATTAGTCTCTGTGGTAGTATTTAGGTATGTGTCTAAGTGAAACACGTGGCTATACATTGAAATGTATGCATATTATTTTATGTACCTCTTATGTCATTTAAAAACAACTTAAATTATCCAGATTATGAATACTTTTATAAGCAGGGTAAATTTACAAATAACTTTGAATGGTCATAGTCTTAGAAAAATACAACACTTAGCAATAGAGGCTTATATAAATATGAGACTAAATTAATTCTGTAAGTATTTGGTAACTAGACTCTTAATTTTAAAATGTTCCCCAGTGAAATTTTGGGAACCACATGTTTTTCAACAGGGAATTCTCAACAGAGTTTTTTAAAATGAATAGAAACAAAGAGAATCTTATCTAAAACTTTTTATGAGACGTACATTATCTTTATATCAAAACCTGACAAAGATATCACAACATGGGACATTACTATGCCATTCACACATTCTGAGTAGAGATCCCTGAGATTATATACAAAAATGCGAAGCATGAGAACAAATACATTTTAAAGATAGCATTTAATATGAAATATGAAGATTTAGAAAATTGTTATTCAAGTTCTTAGGTTAATGAATTAACCTAAAAAAGTGACTGGAAAGTTGGATGTTGACTTATGAATTGCTGCAGATAAGAAGAAAGAGAGGGTGGGCAGAGAGAAGGAAGCACAAAGAAAGAATGAGACTTTGGATTTTGCCATTTTCCTGGATCAATGGTTCAATCATAAAATTATTATCAAATTCATGTCTTTATATTTTAACTATACACACATTCATTCATACACATTACACAAATATAATATTGTTTAGTGAGTGTTTTCAATTGCTGTAAATATAAAAAATTGTGATATTTGCTCTCTTCACTCAACATTACATTTCCTAGGTACAGGGATTCATACAGATCTGGTTCATGGATTATAACTGCTAAATATAAATATACAAATAAACCAAGGTTCATTAACTATTCTATTAATTATGGGCATTTCACTTATATCTAACATCTTTGCCCATGGCTCCTTATATTTTTTTCTAGGGCATATAATTAGATAAAAAATTTCTTAGTTATCACATATGTGTACTTGAAACTTTATCAGGTATTACGGAGCTGATCTCCAAAAATATTTTACCAATTGTCTTCATAACCAGCAGTTATTGAAAATTCCTATTCTCTTATAAGGAAACAACAGATGTTTTAATGTATACATGAGGATTAATGCAGTTAGGAGTTTAAAAAAGAGAAATTGAGAGATGAAAGGTATTAACAATTAGCACAAAACTCTATTTTGTGATGGATGCTATAAAGAAGAGAGAAAACATTAAATATGTCATATTTATTATATAAATATTGGTGTCATTTATATTATCAATTATTTTCTAGGCCTTGAGGTAACAGCATTTAATAGAATGCACATTTTGGCCTTTATTGAGACTATATTGTTGTCAGGAAAATATACCATAATCAAATAAATACACAGTATAATTCCATTAATATATTTTTTAAAGAGAAATAAAACCAGATTAAAAAAAAAAGAGATGGTTGAAGGAGATGGTAAAAGATGAAAGATGGTCATGTGGGATTGAGATATTTTACAAATAGGAAATAGAGATGAGTGATAGGCTTGTCCAGTAAGACATCTTTGAGGAAGAGATAACTTAAATGTTGTGAGTGTGCAAGCCACGTAGCTCCATGGAGGATATTCTAAAGAGAAGTAACAAAGCCAGCAAAAGCTCTAAAACAAAAATGTGATTGATATGTTCAAGGTATGACAAAAAGTCCAGCACGGCTGGATTGGAGTAAGCAGGCTAGAAGGTCATGGAAAATTAAGTTAAAGAATTTGGCAGAAGTCTGATGTTATACGACACTTTGGAAATGTTACTGACTTCAAATTTTATTCCAAGTATGACCCAAAATCATTAGAGAGTTGAAGGCAACTCATAATATATTATATTTTAAAGTATCTCCTCTCCTAAGAAGTGAAGAATAAACTGTAGGGACACAGAGACACCAGGAGTAGAATCAAAGAGGTAAGGTTAGATAGAGGTTATTGCTGTAGTCCAGGGGAAAAATCATTTTAGCTTAGAAAAAAATCAGAAATAGAAGATTTCTGATTGAATTAAAAATATAGTTTGATGATTGAAATACATAGTATTTGCAGAAAGATACCTGAAAAGTAGACAAAGAGAAAAATAAAGGATGAATACTTGATTATTGGCCTGAGCACCTGGGGTAAGGCTATGAAAATACCTCTTACTGAAAAGCCTAGGGCAGGGTTTAAAGAGATTAAGGAGAAATTAAGAGTTCTGTTTTACATGATAAATGTAAGATGTTTATTAAATATCAGTGGGAATATGTCAAGTAGGCAACTGGATACGTTTGGAAATCACAGGGGAGGTCATGGCAGGAGATAATAATCTGAAGGCCATCAATTTATTTAAACTCATTGAGCAGTATGAGGGCACCCAGGAATGGGTGTACATAGAAATTAGAAAAAGCTCATAATGGAGCCCTGACCTCTCAAGATGTTAAAGTTTGTAAGATGAGATGCAACAGCATGGGCTCTGAGAAACTATTGCTATAGAAGTAGGAATAGAACAAAGAGGGTATGATACACTATGGGCTAAGTAAAAATAAAGTAATGATTAACGATAATAATAAAGACTGATCAGTTGAACAGTCGCTACCAAGAGATTAAAAAAAGAAGAGAATGGAGAACTAACTCAATAGTCAATAGCCAATGTCATCAAAGCATTGGCTACATTTACAAGAGTGATTTTAGTGGATTATTGAGAACAACACACCAATTGGAGTAGGAAAAGCAGAAAGGGGCATATGAGGAAGGAGAAACAGTGAATAGATAAAACAATATTCTACCACCCTAATTTTGGTAATTGTGAATATATGACACAATGTCCTTCTTCTTAGGAAGTACACATAAAATCATTTATGGGTACATGGTTATCATGTTTGCCACTTTTCTTTCAAATGCTTCAGAGCAGTAATATTTTCTAGAACTTTTTATATTAGGTAAGTAGAAATGAGTGGTGCAAGTAGGTCCATTACAAGCTAGTAGTGGATGCTGTGATACGCTGCCCAATGTAGTGAATTCTTATGATTTGATGTCTCCTCACCATCCATTTGAAAACAGGAATAACTTTCTATACTAGGAGCATGGCTTAGTCATCCCTGACACAATTTTCAGTTCTCCACTTCTTTCCATTTCTCAGTGTGATTGATCAAACATCTACCTCATACAACGACCTTCTGGTGACTACCTCCATATGCGATAGCTAGATACAACTGACTGTCTTACCCCACTGACCCCCAAATCCTGCGTGGACTTCACAGATACACCACAGCAACCACCTCTTGGTCACAGCATGACTCCATGGAACTCATGACTGCTCTAAATCTACCAATTAGAACTCCTCTGGGGAAATCTACCTAGGTAACACAATGGACCCCGGTAAAGGCCTGTGCCTGTAGGTCCCTTGCTCTCTCTTTTTTGCTCTGTATCTTCTGGTTGGGCAAGCATGTCCTGGACACCTCCCTCACCTTCCTTTTGGCTCTTCAAGGTGTACTTCCATCTTCTCTCTGTATTTGTAAATAATAAACTGTTTTTGTTATTTCATGTGTTTTGTTGGGTTGCCTCCTCTGTGTCTTACCTGACTGACACACCCAAATCTAACCTCTTTCCCAGTCAAGGCTCTCCTAGGGAGTAGCTAAGTTGGTACAAATACACTGGAAATAGGTTAGACAAGAGCTATTAGGTTGTCTGCCAGTGTGATTAACTTTTCTGTGAGAGGGACTCCTGGTCACACTTGGGCACTGGGCATTAGGCGTTAGGCTGTCTGCCACAATAAAAAGTATCCCATGAAAAACACTCTGTAAAATTCACAGTTCCTCCACAGGAACCCTATTATGGCATGTTTGGAGTTTATACCCACTCTCCTGGGAGAGAGAACCCAAAACCAAAACACAACAACCAAATCTCTTATACCACTGTTGGGAGTGTGAATGAGACTATCCTTAGCCAGGGTATTTTCTAAGGCCACATCCCCACCTTGGAGACAACTCACATTCAATCACTGGTTGATGCTAGGATTCAAAGCCCCAGCCTCATTTATTCAGGTGGAACATCTCTAAGAATACTCTGTGGAATTGCCTGCATCATAGATCAACTTTTTTTCTTCATCCAATCTTTCTCCATTTCCTCCCTCTCATGTGTTTATCCTGAGTCCATTCCTCAATAAGCTTCTTGCACACAAATCTCCAACTGAGTTTGCTTTCCAGAAAAACTGATTTTAGATAACTAAGGAAGTATTTTGATATATATTTAATTATTTCATGTATATATTTTAATAACTATTAAACTAGTATCTCTTATTCTTTTAATTTTTATTTTTGTTTTTGTTTTTATTGTTTTTTTTCTGGCTATCATTGTTTGTCTGCTTTTTTCAAAGTAAATGTTAAAATCAACTTGTCAAAATTTGTTTTTTGAGTCAAAATAGCATTTATTTATTGAATACGTACATGCAAATAATACAAAAATAAAAGTTTCAAAAGGAGGGACAATTAAAAGCAAGAGTCCCCTGACTCAACCACTGAGTTCCCTTTTCCAGAAGTAATCATCAAGATCTGTTGTTATCACGGGAGATAGACAGAGACCTGTATTTTGTAAACTGTGATCCCAACCCAGTAATGGATGAATTTAGTGGGTTCTGACCAGCGTATTTTTTTTATTATACTTTAAGTTTTAGGGTACATGTGCACAACATGCAGGTTTGTTACATATGTATACATGTGCCATGTTGGTGTGCTGCACCCATTAACTCGTCATTTAACATTAAGTATATCTCCTAATGCTATTCCTCACCCCTCCCCCCACCCCACAACAGGCCCCGGTATTCTTTCTAGACCTTATCAACTTACAAAGAATTGACTTTTTAATATTGACTTTTCCTATCTAAAAGCATGATAATTATTTCCATATATTCAAAATGTATTTAGTGCCTTCAGTAGTGTTTTAAAATTTGCTTTATATAGTTCTTTCAAATTTCTTTTTAAGTTTATTCCTAGGAATTTTATCTTTCCTGTTACTTCTTTAAATTGTAACATTGCTTTCATTAAAATAGTTTCTAAATAGCTGTTTGAAACATAAGCAGTGGTAACGTATGTGTATTAATTTTGTACTTCTGTAACTAACTGCATTTTATTATTGCTTTAGTCATCTTTAGTTTTATTCCTTGAATTTTGTGGTTATGCCAGATACATAATCATATCTATTGCAAATGGTAATAATTGTAACCTTCTTTTCCATTGTTATACTCCTAATATATTTCTAATCTGGAATACATCTTAACACTGAAAATTTTCTTCCAATTCACATATGCTTATTTTTCAGTACTTTAGGTGTCTTATAAAATGTTACACACTCACACAAGTCTTCAAATACAGTAATAAAAGTAACTCCCATGAACAAATCAAATGACTTGAGAATTAGGTCATTATTATTACATTAAATCTACTTGTTCAATTATTCCCAAGAGACTCTGTTGCCTTCCAACACATTTGTGTTTATTCTGGATTTTGAATGTCTCATTATCATTTCTCTTTGTTTATTTTGTCACATGTATAAAATGCGTGAGGAAATTTGTGAAGCCTTATAAATAATACTGTTAAATTTTATGTGTTCTTCTGCTGCTTGTTTTTATTCATGCAATATCTTCTAATATTTTCATTCATATTAGTAATCTATATGACATAAATATAGCTTATGTGTTTTCACATCTATAAATTATATGACATATTTTATTTATTGAATCTTACATCAAATATTTAAGTTGTTCATAATCACTAGCTTTTATAAACAATGCAGCTATGAAGAGTTTGTACTTGTGAAAGTGCCCAAGAATCTCTCAGTAGGCTAAGCCTTGAAATTGAACTACTAAGCTATAGAGTATGTTCATATTTAATTTTAGTGGATAACATCCCATAACTTTCTAAAAATTGTTGAACCAATTTGTGATCTCCCCAGAAATATATGTGTCTCTATTGCTATATATTCACCCAAAACTTAGTAATACAAAACTTGCCAACTTTCTGCCAGTATGATCCATGCAGTCATAATGCATTGTGGTCTTTTATGTATTTTCACAATCACTAATGAATTTGAACATCTTTTCACATGGCTATTGACAATTGTCTTTTATATGAAAATACTACATGCTTTTTGTCTACCTTTATATTGATTTCATGTTGATTTATAAGACAACTTTAAACATTTTAGACATCTCTGGTTTCAAATTTTTTGTGTTATGAATATTTCTTCTGGTGGCAGTCCACATGAATCTCAGGAACTCATATATTCACATTTTGGCTTTTTGCTGTTGTTCTCAGTCTTTCTGGTTTAATCCATTTCATTTATTTTGCTTTAGGATATCCCTATTTCTTGTTTTTTCTTTGCTTCTATCTAGCCAACAGGCTATGAGCTCTTTAGGGAGCTTTGCTTCCTAGAATTTGGCATTAGTAACTTACACAGAATATACTAAATTTATGTTAAAAAAATGAAAAGGTAGATGTCAAATAATAAATAATTTTATAAGGAATAGCACAAATTATGAATGAAAACTGAAAAATAGTTTGTAAAGATGCTTAAGAGCTTAATTGCCTAGGACATGTGATAACCGAACAGAGATATTCTGCTCTGAGAGAAGAAGGCAAGAGAAGGAGGCTGGAAACTGTAAAGGCAAATTTCAAACAACTCACAGCTTTGCCTTTGGCTAAACCTGAGGCTGAAACTGTTAGGTTTAGCAGAAAAGAGCAAGTACCAAAATTTTGAAATATTACTTACTAAAAGCCTAGATTGTTGTAGATTATTGTGTTTTTTAATATATAATATATTTACCATGTTGATTACCTGCCAGTTTCTTAAAGTGATAAAACAAGCCTTCATTTTTCACTTTGATGGTTTCAAAAGATATCATAGACTCATGGTTAGTAGGTGATGCTTTCCAATGATATATGCATAGTAGATAGTCTTGAACCTTAAAAGTAAGAATTTCCCAGGAAAAAAAATATGTTTAAACTGGATTCAGCCTAAAGCAAAATTCCATTTATAATGTATTGATATTTGTGGTTGGTTCAATCACTGCAAAGAAATTATGTTAAAAAAGCAGTTTTTGTCACCTTAATGAAACTTAACTGTCACCCAATAAATGACAAGCAGTGCTAAGGTTTCACTTCTCTATATACCAAAAACCTAGGAAGCTATGAAGTGTTCTAAATATAAACGTTTCTTTTACCATGGGACAATATTGAGGAACATCAAGTTTACAAAGTTCTAACTACAATAGAACATTAAGTTTCACTCTTAATTAGTGATCTAAATGTCAATTTAAAATGTTTTCATTTCAAGGAATAAATGCATGTAGTGGGATTAGTGAAAATTTTTCTTTTAAATATCTCTAGGAGGGTTAAAATAATAATTCAATTTCATTCATCACTATTCTTTCCACTTAATAAAACTGAATAAACACTTTGTGAATCATAAAAAAATCTATAGTTTTTTCTGCAATTAGAAATAATATCATCTTCAGTCTTTTTTTTTTTCATCTTCAGTCTTACTAATCAGTTCATTTTGGTTTTAGATAATATCTTAAGTACAGGTGTGCATGTATACAGTGAAGTAGGTAGCTAATATTTACTAAATTTGGAAGCCATATACAAAATTTTAAAACATAAAAAGTATGTAGGAGAAGAATATAGAATTTAGTATGAGACAAATTAACTTTTAACTGCATGTAGTACCTATGCCACCAACTGTAAGACCTTAACCAATTATTTTATCTGAATTTCAGTTTCCTCACCAGTATTCAGTGGAGAAAAATTATACTTCTTTCAATTAGGTGAAGACAAAGTGAAATTGCAAATGTTAAATAAAATCACCTAAGAAATCACATGTCAAATTGTTTTCTGTAAAATGCAAGACTCCATGTGGTGTTACGGTGTTATATAAAGCATTAAAAATTGTATTGAAAATGGTTTTTCTTGCAGAACATTTTCCCAAGAAAACTATGCAGATAGGATCTTGGCTTACAGGAGTTTACAAACTCTTTTTATGTGACTTCAAATTAATAAGTGGAGTTTTGCTTAAGCTATTAGAGAAATATATTGAATTCAAAAGAGTTTTCCTTTATCTGTTATCCTGTTACTAATCAAGTTTATGTTAACAGACTATACATACGGTTGAAGAACCAATATATTTGAAATTCAGATATACAATAAATGGTTTAGTATAAGTATAACCCATAAAATATTTAGGACATACTTATAATAAAAATTATTCCTTGTTTATTTGAAATTCTAATTATGTTAGATTTTATGCATGTATATTTGCTAAATCTGGCAAACCTAAGTATAGTTCAGATTTTAGAAACAATTAATGCAAGATAGTATTGCAGAATAGCTATAAAATTGTAGGTAGTAAAGTACTCTGATTGTCAATTTCTCTTTCTCCTCCCGCTATTAATTGAGAACTTTATATTAACTAAGTTGTGTTTCCTTATTTACTGAAATTAGTACGGTGATTCAAAAATTATCTATAAATACATATTTCTAGGTTGAATTTGGAGAGCAAACATCTTGTAAAATGTAAGTAAAATATTCATTTGAAATATCACATATGTGATTTACTGTTATATAATTCTCTTATTTTGGAAGCACCATGAAGTTAATCATAAATATTATGTCACAACAACTCTCCAGTATTATGTTTCGGGGATCTTCAACCAAAGCTATTTATGTAACTATAAAAAAATTGAATTTTTTTGTATTTGTGTATTGTTATTAAATATAAATATAATCATTTACCATGATGGCAAAGTGATCTTCCAAATTAGATTTTTTTAAATGCCTATAAATGCTGCAAAGGATAATATCCCACTTGAAAGTTAAATAGTGTGATTGCCAAAGCCCTTGAATATAATTTTACATGATCTAAATCAATACAGGAATAAGGACTTGCCTATGACAATTTTTACCAGTGTTAAAAAAAAGTTTAAGAAGACTTAACAATGGAAAAATGACCACTTTTTCTCATGGACTAGAAGACTTAATATTATTAAGTTGGTAGTAATCCCCACGTTGATCTACAGAGTCAACAGAAGCTCAATGAAAATCATAGCTGCAATGTTAATTTTTTTTGCAGAAATTTTCTACCTGATTCAAAAATTAATATGAAAATCCAAGAAACTAAAAATATCCAAAATGGTTTTGGAATATTAGAATAAAGTTGGAGGATTCACACTTTGTTATTTCAAACCTTACTTCAGAGCTACAGTAATCAAGGCAGGGATATTCTGGCTTTAGGATAGATATACAGAGCAATGAAATTGAATGGAGAAGCTGGAGGGATCACACTATCTGACTTCAAATCATACTACAAGGCTACAGTAACCAAAACAGCATGGTACTTGTGCCAAAACAGATATATAGACCAATGGAACAGATCAGAGGCCTCAGAAATAACACCACACATCTATAACAATCTGATCTTTGACAAAACTGACACAAACAAGCAATAGGGAAAGGATTCCCTATTTAATAAATGGTGCTGGGAAAACTGGCTAGCCATATGCAGAAAACAGAAACTGGACCCCTGCCTTACACATAAATTATACAAAATTTGACTCAAGATGGATTAAAGACTTAAACGTAAAACCTAAAACTATAAAAACCCTAGAAGAAAACCCAGGAAATACCATTCAGGACGTAGCCATAGGCAAACACTTCATGAATAAAACACCAAAAGCAATTGCAACAAAAGCCAAAATTGACAAATGGGATCTAATTAAATTAAAGAGCTTCTGCTCAGCAAAACAAACTATCATCAGAGTGAACAGGCAACCTACAGAATGGGAGAAAATTTTTGCAATTTATCCATCTGACAAAGGGCTAATATCCAGAATCTACTAGGAACATAAACAAATTTACAAGAAAAAAGCAACCTCATCAAAAAGTGGGCGAAGGATATGAACACACACTTCTCAAAAGAAGACATTTATGTGGCCAACATACATATGCAAAAAAGCTCATCATCACTGGTCACTAGAGAAATGCAAATCAAAACTACAATGGAATACCATCTCAAGCCAGTTAGAATGGCAACCATTAAACAGTTTGGAAACAACAGATGCTGGTGAGGATACAGAGAAATAGGAACGCTTTTACACGGTTGTTGGGAGTGTAAATTAGTACAACCATTGTCGAAAACAGTATGGCGATTCCTCAAGGATCTAGAACCAGAAATACCATTTGACCCAGGAATCCCATTACTGGGTATATACCCAAAGGATTATAAATCATTCTACTATAAAGACATGTGCACACATATGTTTATTGCAGCACTATTTGCAATATCAAAGACTTGGAACTAACCTGAATGCCCATAAATGATAGACTGGATAAAGAAAATTTGGCACATATACACCATGGAATACTATGCAGCCATAAAAAATGAGTTCATGTCCTTTGCAGGGACATGGATGAAGCTGGAAAACATCATCCTCAGCAAACTAACACAGGAACAGAAAACCAAACACCACATGTTCTCACTCATAAGTGGGAGCTGAACAATGAGAACACATGGGCAGAAAGAGGGGAACATCACTCACCGGGGCCTGTTGGTAGGTGGGAGGAAGGGGGAGGGAGAGTATTAGGACAAATACCTAATGCATGCGGGGCTTAAAACTTAGATGATGGATTGATAGGTGTAGCAAACCACCATGGCCCATGTATACCTATGTAACAAACCTGCACGTTCTGCACATGTATCCCAGAACTTAAAGTAAAAGAAAAAAACAATAGAAAAAAAAAGAAATTGAATGGGGATTTTAGAAATAAACCCTTTATTTACAGCCAACTGATTTTATACAGGGAGTCAAGGTAATCAATAAGGTAAAGAAAAGCCTCTTCAACAAATGATTCTGAACATGCTGACACCTGAATATCCACATTTAAATAATGAAAGTGTATGCTTACCTAGCATCTCACACAAAATACAACTTAAAATGGATCCTAGATTCAACATATATGATATCTAAAACTATGAAACTCTGAGAAGAAAGCATAGAAGTAAACCTTCAAGACGTTGCATTAGGTGATGTTTTCTTAGACATGACACCAAAAACAAAAGAAACAGAAGATAAAAAAATAGATAAAGTGAACTTCAACACTTTAAGAGACCTTTGTGCTTTAAAGGATACCACCAAGAAAATGAAAAGACAACTCACAAAATGGAACACAATATTTACTAATTATATATTTGATAAATGACTTGTATCCAGACAGTATAAAATATTTTGCAACTGAACTTTAAAAAGTTGGGCAAAGTATTTGAATAGAAATTTCCTAAGGAAAATACACCAGTAAGCTCATAAAAGATGTTCAACATCATTAGTCATTATGGAAATATGAATTAAAGCCACAATGAGACAAGATTCAAGTTCATTAGGATTGCTACAATCAAAAAGTCAGACAATAACATGTATTACCAAGAATAGGGACAAATTGTTACCCTTGAAAATAGTTGGTGAGAAAGTAAAATGTTGCAGCCACTATGAAAAAGAGTATAACAGTTTTTCAAAACATTATACATAGAATTAATATATAACGCAAAAGGGGTGCTCATATATATATGATCAAAAAACAAATGCCCATACAAGAACTTGTGCACAAATGTTCATAATAGTATTATTTATATCAAGGAAGTGTAAAAATCTCAAATTTTCGTGGACTGAATAGATAAACAAAATGTAGTTATCCAGATGATGAAATATTACTCAGCTAGAGAAGGGGTGCAGTAATAACAGATGCTATAACATGAATTAACCTTGAAAACTTTTATGCTAAGTGAATAAAGACAGACACACAAAAAGGCATATATAGTATGATTTCATTGATATCAATCAAGAGTATGTAAATAATAGATTAAGACAATGATAGATTAAGGGGTTGGTGAAGTGGAGAAAGTGGAGTGACCGCTAATGAGTATTGGGTTTGATTTTGGGTGATAAATCGTCTAAAAGTAGATAGTGTTGATTGATACACATCTTTGTGAATATACTAAAAATCACTGCATTGTACATTTTAAGGAGGTGTGTTTTATGAATGTGAATTTTATCTCAATTAAAATAATAGAAAAAAATGGCTTCCAAAATGTTAGTTGTTGAGTTAGGTGACTGAAAAATTGGAATTTTAAGAGATGCCGACTGCTCTTATCTAAATGTTCATGTCCCTCCAAACTTCATATGCTAAAATTCTAAGCCCCCAAGATGATGATATCAGGAGGTGGGGCATTTGGGAAGTGATTAAGTCATATTAGGTCATATGGGATCAGAACCCTTACAAAATACACCTGAGCTGATATAGTTTGGATGTGTGTCCCTACCCAAATCTCATATTGAAATGTAATCCTCAAGCTGGAGGTGAGTCATGGTGGGAGGTAATTGGATCATGGGTGCAGGTTTCTAGTGAGTGGTTTAGCACCATCCTCCTTAGTACTGTCCTCATGATAGTGAGTGAGTTCTTGTGAGATCTGGTTGTTTAAAAGTTTGCAGCACCTCCCCTTTTGCTCTCTTGCTCCCACTTTTACCACGTGAGGAGCCTGCCTCTGCTTCGCCTTCCACCGTGAGTAAAAGCTCCCTGAGGCCCCCTCAGAAGCAGATGGTACTATGCTTCCTGTGCCACCTGCAGAACCATGAGCCGATTAAACCTCTTCTCTTTATAACTTACCCAGTTTCAGGTATTTTTTAAGGCAATGTGAGAATAGCATAATACAGGAACTCATTGGCCCCTTCTACCATGTGAGGACAAAGCTAGAAGACTCTGTGAACCAGTGTGCACTCCCCGGACACCAAATCTGCCAGTGCCTTTATCTTGGACTTCCCAGCTTTCAGAGCTGTGAGAAATAAGTTACTGTTGTTTATAAGCCACTCAATTTTTGGTATTTTGCTATAGCAGCCTGAAGAGACTATGACACTTACCTACCTTACAGTTAACATAAGTATGAAGAAACCACCTGACAATTTGAAAGTCAACACATTCATCAAATTATTGTACAACCAAAGGCTGGGTCAAACTAAACTATGCAGCATACCTAGGCTTATGCATGAAGCTGTCTCCAGGTCATCTTACCATGTTGACAGTTCTTGCTTTGTTTTGTTTCATTTTCACAACACTTTGGATTTGTACTTTAAATATTTGTCTTCTACAGGGGGGTTTGCTCCTAGAGGAGTATAATATACTACAAAATAGGACGATAAATTTAGAACATATCTTTATATGTGTTTAATTAAAATTTAAAATTAAGATTTAATAACATTTAACATGTAGTTAGAATAGCACCTTTCTTATGTCTATATCTGAGAAAACTTACAGGTATTGTGAGAGATTAGTGATATTTCTACAAAGATGAGAACATTGCAGCTCTACTCCCAGTTTTTATTTTGATTGCAGAGTTTTCTGACATACTGTAATATGTATGTGGATGTTGAGTAGAGTCATGGATTATATTATCTAGTTTTTAACTACATATTATCAAGTAGAAAATAGCATAGAAATATCTAAACAAAAACGCGGATGAAAAAATTATTAACAATGAAAGCAAAAGAAAACAATGAAAAAGCCAAACCAGAAAGAATTATTGGTCAACCAAGATTACAATTATAATGATGAAAACACAACATGACACTAAAAAAAAAAAATCTTGCAACTGCTCTTCAATATAAATGTGACATCTTAACAAGAGAGATTGGAAATCATTTGTCAAAAACAGCCCTCATATTTTGAATATAATATTTTGGAAATTGTCATTATTATATGTTAGCATTGGCCAAGGAAATATAAGGAGGTTATCATTTCAGGAAATTTAAAATTGAAAATTTGAAAGACATAAAAAATATTTTCTAATCTTTAAAAAAGTTTCAATTAAGTAGATTCTGTATTCGTTTCAAATTATTTTTTAATTATAAAAAACAAAAATAGAAAGTGGGACCTAATTAAGCTTAACTAAAGAGCTTCTGCACAGAAAATAAACTATCAACAGGGAAAATAGACAACCAAAGAATGAGAGAAGATATTTGCAAACTATGCATCCAACAAAGCCGCAATATCCAGAATGTATAGGAAACTTGAATCAACAAGTAAAAAACAAAGCCCAATAGGGTTTTAACCAAAAAAAAATTGGGCAAAAGGCATGAATAGACACTTAAAAGAAGACATACAAGTGGCCAAGAAACATAAAAAATTCTCAGCATCATTCATCACGAGAGAATATGCAAATCAAAACCATAATGAGATACTACCTCACACCAGTCAGAATGGCTATTATTAAATAGTCAAAAAATAACAGATGCTGGCAAGGCTGTGAAGAAAAGGAAATGTTTATACACCCTTGGTGGGAATGCAAATTAGTCTAGCTACTGTGGAAAGTAGTTGGAAGATGTCTTAAAGAACTTAAAATGGAGCTAACATTTGATCTAGCAATCCAATTACTGGGTATACACCTAAAGGAAAATAGACAAAAAGACACTTGCACTTGTATGTTCATTGATGTGCTATTTATAACAGCAAAGACATGGAATCAACCCTGGTGCCCATCAATGGTAGATTGGATAAAGAAAATGTGGCACATATACACCATGGAATACTATGCAGCCATAAAAAATAATGAAATCCTGAACTTGCAGCAACATGGATGGAGCTGGAGGCCATTACCCTAAGCAAATTAACACAGGAATAGAAAAGTAAATACTCCTTATTCTCACTTATAAGTGGGAGCTAAATATTGAACACATGTGGACATAAATATGGAAACAATAGATACTGCAGACTACTAGATGGTGGGGGATGGGTTGAAAAACTACCTATTGGGTACTATGCACACTATGTAAGTGACAGGATCTGTACCCCAAACCTCGCCATCAGGTAAGATTCCCACGTAACAAGCCTGTATGTGTACCTCCTGTATCCAAAATATAAGTTGAAATGTTAAAATAAATAAGTAAACAAGCAAAAGAAAATGCTAAAAAAAACTCAACTCCTGTTAATTAGTTTAAAAATATCACTGATTTACCTTGGGGAAGTAGATAATGACAGCTAACTTTCAGTAACTACAAAAATCAGTAATTGTTAGCACGAACGAAAAAAAAAAAAAGAGCATCATACGTACTCAGGAGAATAATGCCCCTTAACAATTTGGCCCCCTCTAGAAAAATGTCATTTTCATTTATGACAAATTTAAGAATCAGATGAATTTAGACTTAAACCTTCTAATTACTATTGAATGAAGAGATAAGAAGGGAAACAAAGAAGGGAAATTTATAATTTACTGTCATCATAAATATTCATAAGCATGGATATTATTCTTGTTTTTCAGGGGGAAATCTAAGCCTCAGATATCTTGAATAACTTTCCCAAATTAACACAGAGATTCATTGATTTAGGATTCAAATCCATTCTCCCTGACTCCTCAGTCAGCCTACCTGTACTTCCCTTGGAAGTTATTGTTTCTTTTAGCAGAAAATATTTTACCTTATTATATTAGATAGAATTATTTTTTCCCAACTTGTAGTTCATCTGTAAGAGATGCGTGAATGTCTGTCTCATTTACTTTAGGCTTGGTTATGTGTCATGTTTTATCCAATGAGATGGGACTACAATAACATTGCCCCATCATAGCAGAAGCTTTAAATAGGATTGTGTGATCCTTTCTGGCTCTCTTGTGCTTCTCTCCTCTACCTCCAGCATGGTACCCAGAACAAGTTTCTCTGGACCCAGCTGGAAAGTCATGGATTCCAGCTGAGTTCAGAGGAACTCCAGCCAATGAGCAGCTCTCATGTAATATGAGCAAAAAATAAAAGTTATTTTGTAAAACAACTAGATTATGTGAGTGATTTAAATTTTTAATACTACTGCAAAAACTGAAAACATATATTCTATTCAACTTCAACTTTTATTGTGTCCTGCAAATATTTTATCAATATTTTAAAATAATGCACATATAATGAGACCCACTACCTATTATTCTCAGACAAGGAAGATTCTGCCTTTATAGGCAAATAATATGATCTTGCAATTATGCAATAGTAGGAATGAATTTAGGGCACTGCAGAGAGTAATTATCTTATGTTCTTGTTATCTCCTTTGGGTCGTGTAGCAAGATTTTTTTCCAAGAAAAATCTCTCCTCTCCTGCAGCCCTCAAGAATTGAGTGAGCATGTATACAAAGAAAACTTTTATATGTACCAGTTGTAATTGAGACAACAAAAAAGAGTAATATCAAAACAATATTCAAAGAAATTGTTTTCCATAAAATATTCTATAGCTGAAATTTACTTACTCATTGATTGCAGTCAAAGTATGCAAAAGCTGGTTATTCAGATCTCACTGGCCCACTATCAGAACTGTTTACCTAAAATGTAATTCTACATGATATTGCCAATTGATATTAAGTGCCATTATAAAAAAAATACAGTCTCGTGGAGCTCATTTCTGAGTCTCTTTTAAGAATAATTTGAAAATATTGTTTATTACACAGCAGAGAAATTTCTGTCTGCAATTTGTACAAAGAATAATATATTTTTTATTAGCAAATGTTTGTTTTGATCTTATCTTTGCAGTGAATTTGTCTAAGTAACCAGGTTCCCTTTGTTATTTTCAATATTAAAAAGATAAAGCTAAATTTGACATTCATTTTTCTTACGTGTATTTTCTTCTTAGATCTATTATATTACCTTCTTGTTTGTTATTTTATTTCAATTTTTATCATTTCATATCCTATGTGCCATTGTAAATCCCCTAAAACTTATAAATTCCCTAGAACAAATTGTGGCATCATTTAAGAAATACAAATGTTATAAATGTTATATACATATATATAATTATAATTCTTACATGAATCTATACACATCTTTAACTGCTTTCCCAAAATACCAAAGTGATAAAACAATATATCTTTGGTTTCTTCATGTAAAAATTACTCTCTGTGTAATATCCAGGATCTGTTTAAGCTCAAATAATATAACTCTATAAACTCTTCCTCTTAAAACTAACACTTAGGCAGCCATTTTCTTCTGCACTACCAATAAGAGTAATATAGAAATAAACCTCCCTTTTACAATACCTACTTCTTTCACCTGGCTGTTAATTAAAGGACCATGGTTCTCACACTTTCATGTGCATGTTAATCACCTTAGAATCTTGTTAAAATGCAGCTTCTGATTAGTAATTACGGAGGGTCTGAGATTCCACATTTCTTACAAGATGCTGCTGATGCTGCTTGTATTCAAATAACTAGTGAAAGCGATTAGACTCAGCTAAATGCTGTAGTAAATAATTTGTTAGCCACCTATGCAGGAAAAATTTAAAGGTGATCTCAAAATTTTAAATTATAGCAGGAACCTGAAAGCACATTTGAGGCCTGATATTCCAAAAACTAGTTAAAACACTATATTTAACCTACCATTGACCTAAAATTCCCCTACTTTCAATAATGTGGATATTTGCATAATGTAATCTATAAAACCAAAACAGTAAGCAGGAAAATAATTTAAAGAATAATAAATGAGTAAACATTATTCACCTTGAGGAAAAAGCAATTCTGTAACACCAGAATCATAATTTCAGTTACTGAATTTCAGCATATTACAAAAATAAATTCTGGAGTGTAAGTTGTAGAGAGAGTTAGCTTAGAGAAGATGTGATTGTTTATGCATTTTGTTTTGGTTTAAACAAATCTGTTGGCATTCTGCAAAGAGAAACAGAGACAAATGGTTTAAACAGACCTTCGCTCTGTGTTTCAGTACACTGCCATAAAACAAGCAAGATGGAAAATTTTTGCTGGCGTTATCACAAGTACTTACCATAAATATATTATAGTACACGCAGAAAGACTGCAGGGAAACTAGTGCTATCAAACTGTGGATTGATTTCATTCCTACTTTTTATACTGACTGCTTTTGTTTGTTTATTTTGGTTTGCTTTGTTTTGTGTGATTATCATACACAATTGAAAAATGCAGGAAAACACACCATTAATTTTCTCCATTATTTGCAGAACATTAATGAGGAATTAAGCAAACATTGATATTTTTAATGAAGACAGCTTTTCTTTTCGTGAACTTATGGGTCTAGGAGGATATGAGTGTTTCATGTTATTAAAAACAAATCTGGCTTGACACTAGAATGTGATCTTCTTAGGGGATTTTCATTTATTCATCTTTGGACCCTCAGAGCTTACCATAACTGTTGGAAAATAATTATTTGCCAAAACATTGCTTCTTCATACTGTATTATAAGATAATAAGAAAAATCTTATTAGCTAAAATTAATGCTATATTAAACTCAGTTTTCTGTTACTTAGAATAGCATTTAAGCCTAATTATAGAGGGGTATAACAGTGATAAAGGAGGTTAGGAGAGACATGTCACCATATGATGTTATTTTATTATACACAAAAGTAAATAGGGAAGAATCGAGTTCTTTATTTCTATCTTTTTAATTTCATAAAATATATGGGACCACTTTTGGCTTATAAAAAATATTTTGTATCATCTTCATGATGCTTGGGCTTTATATTTTGACCTTTTGTTTAATCAACACAGAACTTATAGGTACAGGAATCTGAGACTGTTCTAATAGTCATCCACTCAAAAATGTTGGCTCCTCCTCCTCAATTTGATCAATTAATTTTCCTTCTCTCTTAATGATTAGTGGTCAGATAGCCACAATATTTCCCGCATTGTACAACTGACTATTTTTTATATATTGAGTACCTATTTGTATCAATTATTTACCAGTGAGTAAGACCTAAATCTGCCTTCACAGTGTTCATAACCTAATTGATGCAGACAGGCATGATATCAATACAGAATCATATGAGTGACATATGTTTTAACTCTTTTAAAATAAGAAAAACATCATACATATAAAAATGCTCATCTAGTTAAATTAATAATGATAAAATGACACCCATTGAATGATCAACAAAAATAAAACATTATCAATAATTATACCACTTATGTTCTACTCTTTTTTTTCTTTCTAAGCCGCTATTCCAGATTGAAATGCTAGCTGAGATATATCATTTGATTTAAAAAATATACTTTATTAGCTAATGTGTGTGTTATAGGAGTTATTAAGAAATTATTTTAGGCACATAGAGAGGAAAAGGGGTCCTTGGGAAGTTTTTGTCTGTTTTAAAGCAGCTCCAGAAATGTTTCTTGTCTAGCAGGAAAGTCTCAGCTCTTAGAGCCTGGCCAGCAACCTTTGATATGCAAACGCTGGCCATTAGAAACTGGGTCCACCCAAACATGGCGATTCCAGACCTCTTCTTCCTTGCCCTCACAGGTGCCTGGCAACATGGCAACCCCCATATATCCCCATGTTTGTAGGACATCATGGCACCCTGCATTTGTCTATTAAAAAGCTAGGGTGGGAGGGCCAGTTTTTTCACAGGCCACGTGATTGACATGCCTGGTCAAACCAATCCCCTGAGCCCTATGCAAACAGACACCACCTCCTTCAACCTCCTCATATAAGCAGCCACATTTCTGCTGCACAAAGGGCTTCCTCTCTCAGCTTTGGAGCCCCCCACCCATTCTGTCTCTGTACAGGGTATCTATTTTCTTCTTCCTTCCTTCTTTCTTGCCTAATAACTTTTCGCTCCTTAAAACCACTCCACGGGTGCCCGTGTCATTTTATCCAAACTGGCGCAAGGACCAAGGACGCTGGTGTTCCTCCACTTATCGGAGCCATGTCATATGTATGCCTAAACTAAGTTGTTTAATTTTACATTTTTTAAACTTAAAATTTAAATTTTAAAAAAATTGTATGTGTTTTCTGATTTGCTTCTTTGGTTCAAAATTAGTATTTGAAATTTATCTGTGGGAATACATAGTAGTTTATTCATTGTCACTGCTGCATAAAATTACATTTTATAATTATGCCCTGATCTATAGATGTATTATATAACTTTTGGATATACAGCCTGATTTGAGTATATTTGTGTTAAGGCAAATCTGCTATGGAAGTTATTATACTTGGGCTCCAAAGCACATGCACATCAAGTTTTTTTAAGGAATATGTCCAGTAGTTGAAATGCTGAGCTGTAGAGCAAGAGAACATGCAAATTACTGGAAAATGACAAATTGTCTTCTGAACTGTTATGTTAATTGAACTTCTACCAGCAAACTATAGGAATGATCTTTACTTCATAACTGTGCTGTTAAATATGTTGGTTGCTAGTTAGATATTGCTATAAAGTTAATCTTTATAATGGTGTAACATTAAAACCTCATTTTCTCAGTATTATTAGTCACATTGCAAGAATTCAATGAACGCACATAGAATTGGGGAACGGAACTGGTGTTGTACAACATAAGACAGAACATTTGTATCATTGTAGAAAGTTTCTGTTATGCCCGCATCTAATTGAAGAGACTACCCAAACACACTAAGTGTGAGCAACAAGGCTGTTTATTCACTCAGGTGCGAGTGGGCTGAGTTGAAAAGGGAGTCAGCAGAGGGTGGTGGGATTGGAGCTAGTTTTATAGGTAAGGGGTAAGCAGTGGAAAGTTATAGTTAGGGGCCGTTTATTGCGGGCAGTATCACAAGGTGGGGGAGGTCACAGGGCACAATGTCACAAGGTTGACTGATCAGTTAGGGTAAGACAGGAACATGTCACAATGGTAGAATGTTGCAAGGTCTGTTAATCAGTTGAAGCAGGAACCAACGTCTTTCTTCTTTTTTTTTTTTATTATACTTTAAGTTCTAGGGTACATGTGCACAATGTGCAGGATTATTACATATGTATATATGCGCCATGTTGGTGTGCTACACCCATAACTCGTCATTTACATTAGGTATATCTCCTAAGGCTATCCCTCCCCCCTCCCCCCACCCTAAAACAGGCCCCGGTGTGTGATGTTCCCCTTCCTGTGTCCAAGTGTTCTCATTGTTCAATTCCCACCTATGAGTGAGAACATGTGGTATTTGGTTTTTTTGTCCTTGTGATAGTTTGCTGAGAATGATGGTTTCTAGCTTCATCCATGTCCCTACAAAGGACATGAACTCATCATTTTTTATGGCTGCATAGTATTCCATGGTGTATGTGTGCCACATTTTCTTAATCCAGTCTATCATTGATGGACATTTGGGTTGGTTCCAAGTCTTTGCTATTCTGAATAGTGCTGCAATAAACATACTTGTGCATGTGTCTCTATAGCAGCATGATTTATAATCCTCTGGGTATATACCCAGTAAAGGGATGGCTGGATCAAATGGTATTTCCAGTTCTAGATCCTTGAGGAATCGCCACACTGTCTTCCGCAATGGTTGAACTAGTTTACAGTCCCACCAACAGTGTGTAAGTGTTCCTATTTCTCCACATCCTCTCCAGCACCTATTTTTTCCTGACTTTTTAATGATTGCTATTCTAACTGGTGTGAGACGGTATCTCATTGTGGTTTTGATTTGCATTTCTCTGATGGCCAGTGATGATGAGCATTTTTTCATGTGTCTGTTGGCTGCATAGATATCTTCTTTTGAGAAGTGTCTGTTCATACCCTTGGCCCACTTTTTGATGGGGTTGTTTGTTTATTTATTGTAAATTTGTTTGCATTCTTTGTAGATTCTGGATGTTAGCCCTTTGTCAGATGAGTAGATTGCAAAAATTTTCTCCCATTCTGTAGGTTGCCTGTTCACTCTGATGGTAGTTTCTTTTGCTGTGCAGAAGCTCTTTAGTTTAATTAGATCCCATTTTTCAATTTTGGTTTTTGTTGCCATTGCTTTTGGTGTTTTAGACATGAAGTCCTTGCCCATGCCTATGTCATGAATGGTATTGCCTAGGTTTTCTCCTAGGGTTTTTATGGTTTTAGGTCTAACATGTAAGTCTTTAATCCATCTTGAATTAATTTTTGTATAAGGTGTAAGGAAGGGATCCAGTTTCAGCTTTGTCCTTGTTTGCAGATGACATGATTGTATATTTAGAAAACCCCATTGTCTCAGCCCAAAATCTCCTTAAGCTGATAAGCAACTTCAGCAAAGTCTCAGGATACAAAATCAATGTGCAAAAATTGCAAGCATTCTTATACACCAATAACAGATAAACAGAGAGCCAAATCATGAGTGAACTCCCATTCACAATTGCTTCAAAGAGAATAAAATACCTAGGAATCCACCTTACAAGGGATGTGAAGGACCTCTTCAAGGAGAACTACAAACCACTGCTCAATGAAATAAAAGAGGACACAAACAAATGGAAGAACATTCCATGCTCATGGATAGGAAGAATCAATATCGTGAAAATGGCCATATTGCCCAAGGTAATTTATAGATTCAATGCCATCCCCATCAAGCTACCAATGACTTTCTTCACAGAATTGGAAAAAACTACTTTAAAGTTCATATGGAAGCAAAAAAGAGCCCACATTGCCAAGACAATCCTAAGCCAAAGAACAAAGCTGGAGACATCATGCTACCTGACTTCAAACTATACTACAAGGCTACAGTAACCAAAACAGCATGGTACTGGTACCAAAAGAGAGATATAGACCAATGGAACAGAACAGAGCCCTCAGAAATAATACCACACATCTACAACCATCTGATCTTTGACAAACCTGACAAAAACAAGAAATGGGGAAAGGAGTCTCTATTTAATAAATGCTGCTGGGAAAACTGGCTAGCCATATGTAGAAAGCTGAAACTGGATCCCTTCCTTACGTCTTTCTTCTTTTGTGGTTTTCCTATTCTACCAGACTTTCTGACTCCAGGAGACCTTCTGTTCGTGTACGTGTGGCTCACAGGGGTCACAATGACTTGATCATGATGTAGCCTTCTCAGAGGACCTTACAGTTTCATCACACAGCTCTGCTCTATGGCCCTGACAAAAGTAGGTACGGATCAAACTTTGAATTTTGATTGTGAACTGTTTCATAATTGTGATATTAATTTATATTTCTGTAGTATTAATAAACATTTTCCCATGTCAAATACCTATATGTTCATAATTTTTGCCTTTTTTTTAGTGAGTGGTCTTTATTCCTTGTTAATGCGTAGATATGTTTCCATATAATTAGGCTAATAATTATTTGTCAGTCATATGCACTGCAAATATTTGTCACTGTGGCTTCTCTTTTTATTCTCTTTGTGGTATTTTCTGATATGGGGTCTTAATTTGAATGTAATGTATAAACATTTCCTTTATGACTAACATGTTTTATGGCTCAAGAAATTATTTCATACATCAAATCATAGCAATATTTTGCTTATATTTTATTCTTAATTAAATTTTTTTGGAATTAATATTTATTTACATTTAACCTCATAATTACCATTTTTTAAAAAAATTTCTTCCTTCTGGTATAATATTGTATCTTCTTTAGATATTACTTTGGAGAAGAATTATACATAATAAACTTTCTACTTTTTTATTTTATAAAAATATCTCATTTCCTTCTCATTTAGAAAAAAAAAATGGAATTGACAGTCTTTTGGTTTCCCTCTTCAGGATTTTTTAAAAAGCAGAGCATGATCGCTTACACCTATATTCTTAGCACTTTGGGAGGCTGAGGTGAGAGGATCATGTAAGGCTGGGAATTTGAGGCTGCAATTAGCTATAATTGTGCCACTGCAATTCAGTATGGGCAACAGAGGGAGTTTTTTTATATCTAAAAATAAATAAATAGACAAACAAATAAGTAAATAAATAAGGCATTCCACTGTCTTCTGACTTCCATTGTTAACATTGAGAAATCTCCTGTAATTTCTGGCTAATCTTTCTTTTCATGTGTTTTAAATATTTTCAGTCTTCTCCTTTAGTTATGTAACCATGTTAAATAAACTTGTGTTGTATCCTGCACTTGTAATTTTAGTGTCTTCTTTTTTCTGAACATTTCATTACTGCAGTTTTTTTTCTGTTTTGATATAAGAGAGAGGGAGAGAGAGAGAGAAGAAAGAGAGAGAGAGAGTGAGCACTAATGTTTTTGGAACATTATCTTGGAGAATATACTGAAATTTTCATATGAAGTAAATTTATCCAGAAGGGAGTTTCTTTTGACTCTGTCTAGTGTCTAAGGATATATACCAACACTTTGAATCATATTAGTTTTCCTTAAAGCTAGAAAGTTCTATGAGCCACATATCATAGCTAAAACATGTACATTCCAATGCTTATGAGGGGTTAAGAATTTCCAGGAGAAACATTCTCTATAGCTGTTCACCAAGTTCAAGATAAGTTTACATACCCAGTGTCTTCCCCAATGGAATATGTTTTATTTTCCCCAGCTGAGAATTTTGCCATTTAGGCATTCCAGTTTCTAGGTTTTTTGTTCCCTGTAGTATATGTATTTCACAGTTCTATCAATGAATTATAGACACATACACACACACACACACACCCATGGTCCTTAAAAATTTCATGGAAAATGCATATATAAAAAAAGAATGAATTTTAAAACATTTTTTGCATCAGAAATAAACTGGTGCTAACTTGTTATAACATGTCTCAACAGGATCTAATTTGAGGTGCTAAGAAGGACAAGATATCAGTTTGAAAAGAGCTCCTATCATAGCAGCATGAATTATTCTAAAATTGAGTCAAGAACAAACATCAAATTTATTGTGAAACTTGCATGGGAGAATGGTGAAATCATTGATGCTTTATAAAAAGTTAATGGAGACAATCCCCCCCAAAAATTAGCAAATAGTTACAAATGGTTAACCCATTTTAAGAAGACAGGAGACTATGTTGAAGATGAAGTCTGCAGTGGCAGACTATCCAGATCAATTTGCAAGGAAAAAGTTAACCTTGTTCATGTCCTTATTAAAAAGAACCAATGATTGACAGTACAAGCAATAGCCAACACCATAAACATCACAATTGGTTCAGCTTGCACAATTCTGAATGAATAAAGCTGAGCAGACTTGTGACTCAGATGTCAAAACCTTTGCTCCCAAATCAGCTGCAGACAAGAGCAGGGCTTTCGATGAAAATTTTAAACAAGTACAATCAAGAACCTAATGCATTTTTTCAAAGAATTGTAACAGAAGATGAAATTGGCTCTACCAGTATGATCCTGAAGATAAAGCAAAATCAAAGCAATGGCTACCAAGAAATGGAAGTGATCCAGTCAAAGGAGTGTACTGGTCAACAGCAAAGGTCACGGCAACAGTTTTTTGGGGGTGGTGCTCAAGGCATTTTGCTTGTTGACTTTCTGGAGGACCAAATAAAGATAACATTTTCTTATTATAAAAGTGTTTTGAGAGAGCTTGTCGAAACATAGGCAGAAAAACACTCAGAAAACCACCAGAGAGTCCTTCTCCACTACAGCAATGCCCCTGTTCATTCCTTTCATCCAACAAAGGCAATTTTGCAAGAGTTTTGATGGGACACTATTAGACATCCACATTAACAGTTTGATTTGGGTCTCTCTGATTATGTTTGTTTTTCAATTAAAAAACAAATCTCTAAAGGGTATGCATTTTTCTTCAGGCGATAGTGTAAAAAAGACTACATTGACATGACTAAATTCCCAGGACACTCAGTTCTTGAATAAACTTAATGGCTGGTATCATCATTTACAAGACAATGTTGAACTTTATGTATATAGCTTATGTTAAAAAATAAAGTTTATATTTTTTATTTTTAGATTTTAATTCCATTTTCCAGAAACTTTTTGTTGTCCTCTTGTTTGTGTATATATGTCTGTGTGTAGATATGCTTATGTATAAATATACGTTAAATATATTCAATTTTTTGAGCCGAAATTTGTTGCCAAAGTCATATGCATATGAATATGTTAAGTATATTCATTGCTTTTCTGAGACTGTATTTTACCATATTGCCAAAGTAAATTTCTCATTTGACAATTTACTAAATTTTTACATTTTATTAAAATGCTATACTTCTTTGTATTAGCACTTTTAACAATCTAATTTAACAAATTTGCACTTTAAAGTGTAACTACTTTTACACTTATAACTCATACTGGGCTTCAATAGTTATTGAACATTTTGATATTAAGCACAAACTTTGATATAATACAAAAATATGATAAACTAATGTTTGAGTGTGTCTCATTGTAAGCTGTAACCAGACTCACTCAGAGAGGATTTAAAATTATGTACGTATAACAAATTTAACAAATATCCAAAGTTTATATTAAAACTATAAAACACTTCTGAAAGATAAAAAAGTAGACAGGAAAAGTAAAAAATCTTACTCTCTTCTTGAATAATGATAAATATAATAGATATTAAAATACTTTATAGTCTTTTTATCACCTTTTTATGCATTTATTCATAAACAGAGCCATTTAATACAAATAAAAATCCAAAAATGTATTCAAGTATATTTAAATATTTTATGTATGACAAGGTACCAGATAAATCAGTGGGAAGTGATAAATGTTTTGAGAAGAGGTATTGGGGTAACTGGATAATAATATGGAAAAATTAAAATTTTATCAGGTTCTGATGTCATATATAAAAAAATAGGAAATTTATAAGTGAATTAGAGATTTATAGACAAAAGTAAAAATTTGTTATGGCTAGAAAAATTTGAGCAATTTAATTTTAAAAAGACTAGAGGGAAATGTTCTTAGATAAGGCTCAAATACAGTAGTATAGTACAAAATATTAATACACAGGACTACATAGAAACAAAAAAAAATCACATGTAGAAATATACCATGATAAAAGTAAAAAACGAATGGAATATCAAGGTAAATTTGATACCACACAAAGAATTAATACACTGAAGATATTAAACATTTCTAACATTATTTGAAAAAAATCACATAATAAATGGATAAGAGGTAAAAACAATTTACAGAAATTATTATTTATAATTAGGAAAAATACACATTAATATTACATAAAATGCTACATCTCACCATTGAGACATTTGACATTTAATAACAAACTCTCTGGAAGAATGAATAGAAAACAAGTATGCTTCTACTTTAATGATAACACAAAATGTTATACCTCTGGAGGTTAGTTTGGCTACATCTAACAAAATTGCACCTCTGTTTACCTTTTAATCCTGTAAACTTACCTCTAGGAATTAATTCCTCAAAAATTCAAAATGCCTCATGCCTATTGCACTGCCATTTAAAATAGCAAGAGACTGGAAATAATACAAATATTCATCAATAGCAGAATTTATGAGAAAGTACTGTACATGCACACCATGGTAACAGTTTTCAAAAACACAATCAATACACTACTATGGGTTGATAGCTATAAAAATGCAAATAGTATCATATATTTTAATCTAATAAATTGATGGAATGCAAATATATCCAAGTATGTGTATATGAGTTCAAATAATTAAATTGATAAATAAATTCAACATTAATAAATATTAATTAATTGAGGAGGTGGTGAGTACAGTTTGGGTAAGACAGATTGGAAGCTAGACTTCCTGAATATATCTTGTATAATATTGATCTTGAAATCACACAAACATTGTCAATATTAAAAAATATTAAGGCAAAATGCAAAAAAAAGAAAAAGAAAAACACATCAAAACATCATTGTGATTCTATGTATTCGATTGGTAATTTAACCGCAGAAAGAATTACTTTCTGTATCTTTAAAGTACAGTAATTTGCTTGAACAGCCCTGGTGAGATATATCCTAGGAAAATTAATAACTGCAAATAATCATAGCCTGTATCCAATTTTATATTTATTAATAATATTATAATTTTATGTTTATTAATGTATACATATTTGTGCATAATATGTAGTAGAGATATTCATGTATATATATACATTGTATATAAAGTATATAAGTAAGTATTCTAATTTTTTGTAGAACAAAGATTTTAAATGTAAAAATTCAAATTTGAATTAAAATAAGCACAACTGTAATCCTAAATTAGATTTTGACATATTAACATGTATTCATGCAATATTGTTCTCTTTCAATTTTTTTTTATTTTTGTTTCCTATAAGGGCCTAGAAGCAGTGACTACCCTTTTAGCAATGAACCCCCTTAGTGTTCAAATTATAATCTCTATTTACAATTTATTTATCCAAAAAACAAGGTTCTATAGAGAAATGGTAGGATATGAACAATATGAAATCGGAAATTTGTATTAAACTAGAAACCAAGAAACTACTAATCACTACTGGTTTTGTGCCATCAGAAGACAGACACCAATGTGAACTGGCTTCCACTAGCCATATGAATGCCACAAAATCATCTATGGAGTATTGTTAACAGAAAATAAAATCTAACCTAGTTTCCAGATAATTCACTGTAGAGACATCAGTTGGAAAAAATCTTAAATGACACAACACAGATAAGATCAGCCAAATTAGAATGTGAGAGATGTTCTCTGAGGTGAATAAATGAGAAGAAAAAACAAAGAAAGGGGTCTCTCATAAAGTAAAAGAAAAAATGCATGCGATATAAGAAACATGTTTGACTTCTGATTTGAACAAATATACTTTAAAATGTATATCTAAAAAATTCAAGGATAAATGACATTGATAGAATATTTGAATATTTTAAAAAGTTCTTAAAAGCTTAGGTGCTACGCTATTATTATGGTAGCTTTAAAATGTATTTTAATTTATCAATATGTACTAAATTATTTATGGGTGAAATGACATCGTTTCTAAGGTTTGCTTTAACCTCCATTTGTGGGAGGGTAATGGCTGGAGAAAGAAGGAGATAAGGATGAAATAATATGATGATGTATTAATGGCTGTTAGACAGTAGTCCTTGGTGTTATTATACTATTCTTTCTACTCATGTGTGCATGTTTCCACAATGACAAGTTAAAAATAAATAAGCAAACTCACTATTGAACACTATAAACCAAACACACAAACAAAACAACACAACAACCAACTGAGTTTCAGGAGTTCCTCCAGTAATTTAAGTGTTCAGGCAAAGGGAAGGACCACTGCTAAGGAAATACAAGGTGGGCAAGGTTAATATAACCACAAGCAACTCTAAAATATCTGTTGATGTAAGCAGTTTTGACACACTTTAGCTTTCTTGTGATTATGGATAGTAAATGAGATTTTTCCTGTTGTGTGAGTTTTAGGCACTCAAAGCTGTTAATAAGGTAATATCTTCCAAAGAAAGCTATTTTTGTTTTTTTGGTATCAATGAAGTAACTTAGCCAAAATCAATTTTACTACACTTAACTCATCATTTTTAGGGCTTTTTGAAAGAATTGAAAATTCTATGTAGTAAGGAAAAATTAGAGTAAGAGCCTTAGAAAGAGTTAATGGGGTATGTGGTGCTTTTCCTTAAAAGTGGGTAGAAAAGAGGTGTACTTCTTTTCAAAACAACTAAAGGAATCTTTATGGAAAATTAGGAGATATTGGCTGGTGTTGTTTGAAGTTTATGGGATATATAGATTTATTTTCAGATTGTGCATGGACAAGTGTAAATACAAATGACCATGGCTACAATGACTTGAGGTGGCCAAAATTTAAAGAAAAAAAAAAAGGAAAAGAAAGTCACTACTACTAGGAGCTGGTACTGTCCCAGTGGACCAAAGACATTCCTGTTTACCAGGGACCAGATGTGAACTTGCTGGGAGATATTAAGGGGAATTCTATTTAGAAGTCTCACTTAGAAGGCAAGGAGATCTCAGTGAAATGGTAAACTGCCGAATTTCCAGGACTAAGGAAGTATTAAAGAGCATTTGGCTAGAGAAAGTATGAAAGCCGTATAATTGCAGGTTTCAGGAGTTTTGTCAAGAGCTGTAACAACAAGAAAAAAAAATCCCAGAGACAAAAATTCAGCAACTGAACATCTTGTACCCAGTGGCACCAACACCCAGAGTTGGAGACTTCTCTTGCTTCTTTCCTAATTCATCCAAGAGAGACTAAGATCTATGGCCGCTATAGTGTTTTGGAGTGAAGGCATAGCATCCAGTTTATAAAGCCCCCCTATCCAGCTTAGACCTTCAAGCGTAGGTTAGGTTTGAGTTGCAGAAGTGTCAGAGGCGTTCAAATGAGTGCAACTCCATCTTGAGTGAGGGCTAGGAAAATGAGGCTGAGAGTTACTGGGCTGCATACCCAGAAAGTCAGGCATTCCTAGCTTCTAAATGTTTAAGGTTAAGGGAACAAATTAACAATGTTTACTAAATAGAACGAGATTTTGGAGTGTCCTAATATCCCAATATCTTGAGAACAAAAGAATTCCTAATTTTGGTTTAAAAATAGTATTGAATCTTGCAAAATACAGTAATTAAGAAAAGTAATCATTTATCACAAAACCTTGTAGCAAAGCACATCTGCCCATGATCATTTTTTTATTCTATATATACAAGCATTGTACCTAGGGTGGATGTTCCTCCTCTTACTTTTGGGAAAGCTCTACTCTGTCTATGGAGTAGCTGTACTTTCACCACTTTACTTTCTTAATAAACTTGCTTTTACTTTGCATTGTGGACTAGCCCTGAATTCTTTCTTACATGAGATCCAAGAACCCTCTCTTGGAGTCTGAATTGGGACCCCTTTCCTATAACAGAAGGAGGTAAACTTGAAGATTTTTAAGTGTTTGGAGCATTGAACAATGGACCTAAACAAGGTAAGTCTTTTTGCTTATTAACTTGAGACTATTTTTGTGACTGAATAATACCTGAAGAGCAATTGGTCCTGTACAAGATTTCATTCAAGTTTGGAGAATATGAAGACAAGAAAGAAAATATGTGAAAGGAAAGGAAAATATAAATTATGCTGTGTTTGCTGTCTATTTAGAACAGCTCATTTAAAATTTTTTATAGGAAGTTACAAATATGTAAGTGAGAAAGATATCACATTTATCTGTCTAAGATCTATTTATGTAATATATAAAAGAACTTAAACAACTAGAAAATAGTTTTAATATTATTTTCATGTGCCAAAATATAAAATCATATATCCACCAAAATGTCTAAAAATTTTCATTATGAAAACATTGTATACACCTCTATGAGACTCTGTGTGTGTCTATGAGTGAGAGAGCAACAGACTGCATGAGGCTGCATGATTCATTGAAGAAGAGAAAAGTGTGGAAGAATATAAAGCACACCTGGACCTGAATCTCATGGAGTTACATAGAATGAGTTTTCAGCCTCTCATCATGAAAATTCACAAAGGGTGATGGTGGGTCTGATCTCATATATATGAATCTCTAAACCACTGTTCCACAAAGACACAGAAAAGGATCAACCAAAGAACAGCAGAGGAGCCATGCTGGCATTCAATGAATGCACTAACTGCTTTTTTACAGTGTTCTTCAATGTGTTACTTCTTTCATGCTGAGACCTGCATAAAAATGAAATGTCATACTTCACTACCCTTCCAGCCAGTGGTACAGTTTATTTTCTTGTCTTCTGATAGAGTTCACAAATTTAATAACTGCCTTTTATCCTGGTCTCTATATTCCCTTTCAGCTTCCTATTCAGTCTTCTCTGTCTCTGCAGGCTTGCAGGAAATGCCTCATTTTAGGTTTTCTATAAAGGACATAATAGACAAGAAAAGCAAAAGCGAAGAGGTTATCATCTATCATTTAGAAATGGACAAGGGGCAATCAGACCATTTTAATGGAGGCAGAGTGGAAAAAAAAAAGAAAAAAAAAACTCTTTGCTTTTGTGATATTTACCGTGTTCTTTCGGTTGAGACAATTTGTGCCAGAATAAATTGAGTAGTTTATGTTGAAAAGTGTATTATGGTTCTTTTAATCAGTGGCCACTTTGGAAAAAAAAAATTTATACTTAATAAAAAAATAATAATGAGGTTATTTTCAGGGAAATGGTGATAAAATGGGACTGATTTTTTTTAGCTAATTAACAAATACAGTGATGAATTTGAGTTTTTCTGCTTTGATGCATGTGTCTATAATTAATAATGACTTTGGAGGGCTCCACATGTTTCCTAAATGACAATGACAATATCATTAATGAGATACATTATTGTACAGGATTTTTGGAAGTTGGAAAATAATAGAGAAAGGTTCAGGCAATATTTCTAAAGAAATATCATCTGCTGGTGGAACCAATAATCCTTCATTTACATTCTCATTAAGGATTGAATAGGCAACGCATCACATTCTTCTGAGTTGCTTTTAAACATGCAGGCAAGCACATTACTAGCAAATCGCAAGAGTGAGTTTGTAACTAGACATCTTTGTTCCTGTCCCATGCTCTATATCTTTCACCTCTTTGATTAAAAACACAGCATGTGAGAATGAATCATTGTTAATCTCAGAGAAAATGGTTTCTAACATTGAATTATTTAAATGCTAATTGCAGTGCTTTGCCTACAAATAATCAACCTCAACCGGAACTTTTAACTAGATGATGTTTAATTCTCTTTCAAAATACCAAGTGGCTTTCAATGCTTCGATAGTTCTTGCATCCCAATAAGTAAATATCAAAGGATGTACTTTAGAAGAAGCATGAGATCGAAAAATGCTGAAATTAATTTTCTATCACATTCTATTCTTACTCTAGAGCATTGGCTTGCAGGATCACACTTATCCTATGTACTTCTAAAAATTCCAGTACTAGATACATTTGGCATGATACTACTCTAATTATAATCAGAATTTCATCTGAATTCGTTTCATGCCAATTTTTTTTTCTTACAACACTAAAGACATAGTTAGCTTTGTGAGAAAATTGTGAGCTGACGTGTAGTTAAATCATTCTCTCAGTGAACATTTTCAGAGTTAATAAAAGAAGATCTTTTTAGGTTAGAACATTCAGGAGTTATTCTTATTGGAGCGCATAAGAATGATCTGAGATGTCTATTAAATATATAGTTTCCTGGGCTGCGACTCTAGAGATTTATAGTAAACACTGGGCAGGAGACCTAAGCTTCTGCATTATATTGTTCTGCCTCGTGTGATTCTTTTAAACTCTATGAAATCACATTTTGAGAATTTGTTTTTCATTATATTATCAACACTAAGATATCCTTATATTTTTAATGCCATAATCACTTTTCCAATTCTTCTGAATTTGACAAAACATTTTATTGAATTTTATCCTTCTTTCCTCCAGTCTTTCTTAACACTCCTCTTTCTCTCCGTAAAATAAACTTTCTTTGATTTATTGTCTGTTTTCTTTTATATTACTACAACATCTACCTAACTGGCTTTCCTATGCCATTTTGTTCTATTTCACTACATTACAAATATTGCTATTAAAATAATTATCAAATTTAGTTATCTGTTGAAATATATTACTGTCAAAGTGATTATACATATACTAAGACAGTAGCTTTCAAAATGTTGTGACTATGACACAAGAAATGTTTTTTTACACTGCAATGGTATATGCATACATATGTAACTGAAACACACACACACGTGCAAAACATGTTTTACAAACCAGGACTTATCCTATTGTATGTAACTCAATTCTTTTCTATAATGTTTTGGTTTATTCTGGTCTATGATTTTTTTAACTGTTGATAAAAAGTCACTAAATTGACCCACAAATAAATTTTGACTTGCATTTTGATTATTGGCCCTAGACTTCAGTTATCCACTGTAAGAGTCATGGTATTTTGATTATTTTAAATTGCTGCTTATTGTCCAGCAAGTCATCACAGAGAAATGTAAATTTACTCGACGATGAAATAGAAGACCTGGAATTGCTCCCATCTTGCTGAAAACCAGATCATTACAAATATATAATATCAGTTTATACTTCTTAAGATGTTATTCTGTAAATACATTACTTCTAATATTCACATTTTAAAAAATATGCAGAGTCTTGCTGTATCTCCCAGGCTAGAGTTCAGTGACATGATCATGGCTCATTCCAGCCTAAACCTCCTGGACTCGAGTGATCTTCCTTTCTCAGCCTTCCAAGTAGCAGGGACTGCAGGAGTGCACCACCCTGCCTGACTAATTTTTATGTTTTATTTTTACAGAGATGGAGGTCTAACTATGTTGTCCAGGCCAATCTTGAACACCTGGCCTCAGGTGATCCTCCTGCCTTAGCCTACCAAAGTGTTGGGATTACAGGTGTGAGCTACACCATCTGGCCCAGATTTAAATCCTCAAATATGGTACTGGCATAAAATCAGACACCTAGACTAATGGAACAGAGTAGGGAACCCTGAAACAAATCCACTCATCTACAGTGAACTCATTTTTGACAAATTTGCCAAGAACATACACCAGGGGAAAAACAGCCTTTTCAAGAAATGGTGCTGAGAAAACTGGATATTCGCCTCCAAAAGAATGAAACTAGATACCTATCTCTCACCACATATAAAAATCAAATAAAAAATGGATTAGAGACTTAAATCTAAGACCTCAAACTATGAAACTACTACAAGAAAACACTAAGGAAAACCTTCATAACATTGGTCTCTGCAAAAATTTCTTGAGCAACATCCCACAAGCACAGGCAACCAAAACAAAACTGGACAAATGAGATCACATCAAGTTAAAAAGCTTCTGCACAGCAAATGAAAAAACCAACAAAGTGAAGAGACAACCCACAGAATCAGAGAAAATATTTGCAAACTACCCCTCTGAAAAAGGAGTAATAACCAGAATATGTAAGAAACTCAAACAATTCTATGGGAAAAATTATAATCATCTGATCAAAAGATGGGCATAATGTTTGAATACACATTTCCCAAAAGAAGAAAAAAAAAGGCAAACCAGCATGTTAAAAAGTGCTCAACATCATTGATCATCACAGAAATACAAATCAAAACTACAATGAGATATCATCTCTCTCCTGTTAAAATAGCTTTTGTCCAAAAGACAGGCAATAACAAATGCTGGAGATAATGTGTTGAAAAGGAAACCCCTGTACACTTGTGGTGGGAATGTAAATTAGTATAATTACTGTGGAGAACAGTTTGGAGGTTCCTCAAAAAACTGAAAATAGAATTACCATATGATCCAGCAATCCCACTGCTGGGTATATACCCAAAAGAATAGATATCAGTATATTGAAGAGATAACTGCAATTTTGTTTGTTGTGACATTGTTTGCAATAGCTAGGATTTTGAAGCAACGTAAGTTTCCATCAATAGATTAATGGATAAAGTAAATACGGTACATGTACACAATGGAGTACTATTCAGTCATAAAAAAGTAGTGCGATCTAGTCATTTTCAACAGCATCAATAAAACTGGAGATAATTATTTTTACTGAAATAAGCCAGGTATAGAAAGACAAACATTGCATGTTCTTAGTTATTTGTGGGATCTAAAATTAAAACAATTGAAATTTTGGATATAAATTCTAGAAGTATGGTTACCAGGGGCTAAGAAGGGCAGTGAGGGGCTGAGGAAGAAGTGGAGATGGTTCATGGATACAGAAGAAAAAAAAAGAAAGAAAGAATGAACAAGACCTAGTATTTGCTAAGGATAACAAGGTGATTATACACAATAACTTAATTGTACATTTAAAAATAACTAGAAGAGTGTAACTGGATTATTTGAAACACAAAGGATAAATGCTTGAGGGGATGGATGCCCCATTCTTCTTGATGTGATTGTTTGACATTGCATGCCTGTATCAAAACATCTCATATACCTCATTAATATATGTACCCACAAAAATTAAAAATGTAAATTAAAAAAATAAACTAACAATAAATCTTCAAATAGATTATGATTTTCTTTCTCATCGATAATCCTCCACCCTTTAGTTTTTACTACTCTCAGCAACTTACTTTGCCTAAAGTGAGCACTTACATCTATTTCTACTAAAAAATGCTCAGCCCCAAGAAATCAGTATCATAGATGAACTATAATGTGTATTTTATATAATATTAGAGTTTGGGGCACCTGAGAAGCTAATTATTCCTCTGACTCATGAAATTCTTCAACAATGTCTCTCATAGAAATTGATTGTGGTTAGAAAACTTCTGGGAAAATGGGAGGCATTGATCATAGCAGGAAAAGAAATGGAAGTTACCTAAAAGAAATTGAAAAGAGAAAATAGAACAACACTTATCTGAAAATAATTAATTATTAAATGTAAAAAGTAGGTTTAAAACAGAAACAACAAATTTAGAAAAATAAACAGCAGATAAATGAAAACGATGTGGATTTGGTGTCAATATTCTCCTTTTTATCTTCCCCTGTTGGCTCCTTGGCTTCATCATAAGGCAGTTCATATTATTTACCCTTTTGTTAACTTGCAATTTTTATGTTTAAATATGATCCCTTGAAGGACATTGCAGTAATAAATACACTGATCTACTCTTAGTTAAAACACTATCTCTTGTGTAAAAATCAGCTTACTCTATCTGCTGAAATACACTAAACTAGCAATAGACTTTACATTTCTCATTCTTGGAATTTGATAGCCATGGTTTACCTTTGTTTTTTGTTTTTAATTTGTCTTTAAATGCTTTTTAATTTGTGTCAGAAACCTGTGAAGTTAGTTTCTTAATGTTGATTCTTCGGATCTCTTGGGTTTTATTTTATTTATTTATTTATTTACTTATTTATTTATTTTGAGACAGAGTCTCACTCTGTCCCCTGGCTAATTTTTGTTTTTTAGTAGAAACGAGGTTTCACCGTGTTGGCCAGGCTGGTCTCAAACTCCTGACCTTAGGTGATCTGCCTGCCTCAGCCTTGCAAAGCGCTAGGATTACAGGTGTGAGCCACTGTGCCTGGCCATCTCTTGGGTTTTAAATGCCTTTCTGTCTTCTACCTGAAATTTCTAGGTTGATCCTTTTTAAACCAGTATTTTCAGGATCTGAACTACTGTCAATGTTAAGTGTCAACATTACTGTGAATTCAACTGAAGAACTTTTCATATCATCAAGATACTCAGTTCCTTTTCTGTATAATTGTATCTTTCAGCATTTGAAAATGAATTATAGGACATGATAGTGCTGGCATTTCCACTGGTAGAAGATATGATTCTTTCCATGTTAATTAGTTTAAGTAATACATTGTTGACATTTACTTCAGTGAACAAAACAAACAATAAAAAGGCAATGTTAGAGGTACGGAATAAGCCTATATAAAATAATTTGAATGTGTCTTAACACAATACTTACAAATAAATTATTCATTTACCTTATTATTGCCCTCATAAGGCAAGTATAATGTGTCTGCAATTAAATTGAAATCTAGAATTCATATTAATAAAATAAAGTTAAGAAAAAAGTCTTCTAGAAAATTGTCTAATAAATTATCTTTATATTTCAATAATATTATAATTTAATATATTACTTGGCAGCTAGACAGCATTTTAAAAAAGTGATGCCTTAGTGAGTAGTTTGTGAATCAGATATATGGATTCCTTTTGCATTTATATACTGACCTGATATAAAATACACTTTTCCATTAGGCAAAACATTAACAGGGATTATGAATAACCTAGCAGCATGTATTAAGGTGACATAAGTAGAATTTGTTTTACATTTTAATACATGTATTAACAACTGAGACATCACAAAGTAAATTTCCAATAGATCATTACAATTCTTTGCAATATCAAGCCTTCAAATAATCTCTTACAACACACAAAGAAAACACATTTGCAATTCATGCATTAAAAGTTTTAGAATCATTCATTATTAAAGTTTCAGAAGGCTGAGTAATATTATGAATTTGTCAGATTAATACATATGCATATATGATTGATGAATTATACTTTCATAACAGCCCTTTCAAGTTTAACTTTTTCTTCTAATGGGACAGGTGGTCTTCAAGCTAAACAACATTGTGAACGTAAATAAATATGAATTCATTCTTAACACCATGCATCCAGCACAGTCATTTACATGACGTTTTCTCATTCAGTTAAAAATGCCTCCAGTGAAGAGTAAACAAACAGGATAGCAAACCACTATGAAATAATTCTAAATTGAATTTTTAGTTACTCAGCTGTTACACTCATGGATTTTGATGATTTCAGTTGGAAACTCTGTATTTATGTGCATATGATTTTTGTTGAGGAAAAATACACTCAACTTGTAGGCTTTTACGGAGTAACCATTTTTATTTTTTATAAAAAGAAGTCAAAAAATTTAGTTTCTGTCTGATACTTTAATTGATGTTGATTTATCATATATTTATCATCCCATTTTTTTCCTGCAAAATGGACTGTACCCATCAGTGGTATCTAAAAGAAGGGCAGCAGAAGCAGTCTGCTAGATGCAGTATTTCATCAATGTCATTGTTTAAAATCAACAAGCAAACTGTCTTTTAGTTGGTTTTATCATTGTTTTAAAGATTTTTAACATAAAATACACCCCTTTTTGCACACATCCTTGGTATTTTCTTCACATCACCTGTATTGCATGATTGTTAAGATTAAATAAAACTTGTGTGGACCTGGCTATTTTGATATTGTGTGCATTTTCCTTGTCTTAAAAAATAAGTAAGCGGCCAGGTGCAATGGCTCAAGCTTGTAATACCAGCACTTTGGGGAGGCAGAAGCAGGCGATCACTAGAGCTCACGAGTTCAAGACCAGTCTGGACAACATGGTGAAATCCTGTCTCTACAAAAAAATACAAAAATTAGCCGGATGTCGTGGTGCATGCCTGTAGTCCCAGCTACTTGGGAAGCTGAGGTGAGAGGATGTCTTGAGCCAAGGAGGTAGAGGCTGCAGTGAACTGAGATCGGGCTACTGCATTCTAGCCTGGGTAATAAAGCCAAACATTTTCTCCAAATAATAATAATGATAACAATAAGTAATTCTAGACATAAGTGCAATTTTAATATTTGGAATAACATTTCTTCATACATATATATATATATTTATAAAGTAAAATCCCAAGATTGTCTCCATTTGTTTTATTTGAGCTGTAAAAATGAAGTGATTATTCAAAACACTTTCACAAGGTACCTGAAAACAAAATATGTTTGCCAAATTTTTTACATAAAAATACTCTGTTCTAAATGTCCTAAATAATTAGCTCTTAACTAATACATGGGTTGATTATGGTTAGATCATAACTATAGAAGACTACTTCATATTTCAAAATTTTTGAAATATTTCAAACATATAATCACAAAATTTTTAAATATATAAATTGTAGTAAAATAGTTACATAAAATATAATTTATTAGTTTATTTTAGATACTTTCTATCTCTACTGAATTATGTAGCATTAGATCATACTTTACATATGGACAGATTATGTGACTAAGTAGTAGACATATAAAGCCTAGGTTTTATAAAGCACTTCTGTATCTGCTGATGACTAATCATATTGAGCACCATTTCATATGATTATTGACAACTTAGTTATTTTCCCCTGCTAAGTGTCAAAAGTTAGGTTGTAGCCCAGGGTGGTGTTGTATGCCTATACTCCTAGCTACTTAGGAGGCTGAAGTGGGAGGATCCCTTGAGCCCCGGAATTCGAATCTAGCCTGGACAGCATAGGGATATCCTGTCTCTCAAAAAAAAAAAAAAAAAAAAGGTTGTTGAAAATTTCTTATTAATTTATAAAAGTTCTTTATATATGTCCTAGATATGAGTCCTTTGTTTTAGATATACATCGTAAATATCTTCTCCCGTTTGTTGCCTTGCATCCTGGCTTTCTTAATGGTGACTTTTGAGGAAAATAAATTTTAGCAAAGTATAATATATCAGTCAATTTCTTTATAATTATGTTTCAATTTTTTCCAAGTGTATCAACAAAAACCTGACTTAGTTCAAAATTAGGAAAATATTCCATTCATCCTCAAGAAACTTGTTTCACAATTCAAATTAATTTTATAATCTGTGTGCATTTATTTTTTGTGTATGGTATTAGATAGAGTCAAAGTTACCTTGGTAACTTGGTATCTACTTGATCTAGAAACTTTACCTTTCTCCACGGTTACTTTAGCAATATCTTTATCAGAATTTAGTGACTACATATGCATCAGACTATTTTTGGTCTCCCTATTCTGCTGAATCAGTTTTTTTTTGCATCTCCTTGCACCAATATCTCTTAATATTTGGTGCTGTATGACCTCCAACACTGTTCTTCCTCAAATGAGTCTTTGATCTTTTCTTCCTTTTTTGCCTTCATTTTGGAATCAGCTTGTCAAATTTCATTTCAAATCTGCTGAGATTTTTTATTGGAATTGAATTATATCTATAGATCATTATGGAGGAAATATCTTAACCATATAGAGACTTCTAATTGATGAACATAGTGTAATTTCCCCATGGATTTATTACTTTAATATGATTTTTTTTAAAAAAATTCATTTTAATACTTGCTCTAGAATGCACAACCTGCATTTTGATTAATTGGCATCTAACTTTAAGTAGAACTTTAGGCAGCTCCAAGATGGCCAAATAGGAACAGCTCCAACCTGCAGCTCCCGGCACGATCGACACAGAAGACAGGTGATTTCTGCATGTCCAACTGAGGTACCTGGTTCATCTCACTGGGACTGGTTGGACAGTGGGTGCAGCCCATGAAAGGTGAGCTGAAGCAGGGCAGGGCGTCGCCTCACACAGGAAGCACAAGGGATTTGGGGATTTCCCTTTCCTAACCAAGGGAAGCCGTGACAGACTGTACCTGGAAAAATGGGACACTCCCACCCAAATACTGTCTTTTTCCCAAGGTCTTAGCAACCGGCAGGCCAGGAGATTCTCTCCTGTGCCTGGCTCAGCAGATCCCATGCCCATGGAGACTTGCTCACTGCTAGCACAGCAGTCTGAGATCAACCTGCAAGGCTGCAGCCTGGCAGGCAGAGGGGCGTCTGCCATTGCTGAGGCTTGAGTAGGTAAACAAAGCAGCCAGGAAGTTTGAACTGGGCACAGCCCAGCACAGCTCAGCAAGGCCTACTACCTCTGTAGACTCCACCTTTGTGGGTAGGGCATAGTAGAACAAAATACAGCAGAAACTTCTGCAGACTTAAACGTCTGCAGTTCTGAAGAGAGCAGTGGTTCTCCCAGGGTGGTGTTTGAGCTCTGAGAATGGACAGACTGCCTCCTCAAGTGGGTCCCTGACACCCATGTAGCCTAACTTGGAGACACCTCCCAGTAGGGGCCGACAGACACCTCATACAGGTAGGTGCCCTTCTGGGATGAAGCTTCCAGAGGAAGGATCAGGCAGGAATATTTGCTGTTCTGCAGCCTCTGCTGCTGATACCCAGGCAAAGAGGGTCTGGAGTAGACCTAGAGCAAACACGAACAGAGTTTCAGGTGAGGGACATGACTGTTAGAAGGAAAACTAACACACTGAAAGGCATAGCATCAACATCAACAAAAAGGACATCCACACCAAAACCCTATCTGTCAGTCACCAACATCAAAGACCAAAGGTAGATCAAACCACAAAGATGGGGAGAAACCAGAGAAGAAAAGCTGAAAATTCTAAAAACCAGAGCACCTCTTCTGCTCCAAAAGGTCGCAGTTCCTCACCAGTAACCAAACAAAGCTGGACAGAGAATGACTTTGACGAGTTGACAGAAGTAGGCTTCAGAAGTTTGGTAATAACAAACTTCTCCAAGCTAAAGGAGCATGTTCTAACCCATCGCAAGGAAGCTCAAAGCCTTGAACAAAGGTTAAATGAATGGCTAACTAGAATAAACAGTGTAGAGAAGACCGTAAATGACCTGATGGAGCTGAAAACCATGGCACAAGAACTTTGTGACACATGCACAAGCTTCAATAGCCAATTAGATCAAGTGGAAGAAAAGATATCAGTGATCAAAGATCAAATTAATGAAATAAAGTGAGAAGACAAGATTAGAGAAAAAAGAGTAAAAAGAAATGAACAAAGCCTCCAAGAAATATGGGACCATGTGAAAAGACCAAATGAACATTTGATTGGTGTACCTGAAAGTGATGGGGAGAATGGAACCAAGTTGGAAAACACTCTTCAGGATGTTATCCAGGGAAACATCCCCAATCTAGCAAGGCAGGCCAACATTCAAATTCATGAAATACAGAAACACCACAAAGATACTCCTCGAAAAGAGCAAACCGAAGACACATAATTGTCAGATTCACCAAGGTTGAAATGAAGGAAAAAATGTTAAAGACAGCCAAAGAGAAAGGTTGGGTTATACACAAAGGGAAGCCCATCAGACTAACAGCAGATCTCTCAGCAGAAACCCTAGAGCCCGAAGAGAATGAGGGCCAATATTCAACATTCTTAAAGAAAAGAATTTTCAACCCAGAATTTCATATCCAGCCAAACTAAGCTTCATAAGTGAAGGAGAAATAAAATCCTTCACAGACAAGCAAATGCTGAGAGATTTTGTCACCACCAGGTCTGCCTTAGACGAGCTCCTGAAGGAAGCAGTAAACGTGGAATGGAACAACCGGTACCAGCCACTGCAAAAACATGCCAAATTGTAAAGACTGTTGATGCTATGAAGAAACTGCATAAATTAATGGCAAAATAACCAGCTAACATCATAATGATAGGATCAAATTCACACATAACGATATTAACCTTAAATGTAAACAGGCTAAATGCGCCAATTAAAAGACAGAGACTGGCAAATTGGATAAAGAGTCAAATGATAAAGGGGATATCACCACCGATCCCACAGAAATACAAACTACCTATAGTTCTCTATAGGTAGAATACTATAAACACCTTTACGACAATAAACTAGAAAATCTAGAAGAAATGGATAAATTCCTGGACACATACACCCTCCCAAGACTAAACCAGGAAGAAGTTGAATCCCTGAATAGACCAATAAGAGGCTCTGAAATTGAGTCAATAATTAATAGCCTACCAGCAAAAAAAAGTCCAGGACCAGATGGATTCACAGCCAAATTCTGCCAGAGGTACAAAGAAGAGCTGGTACCATTCCTTCTGAAACTATTCCAATCAGTAGAAAAAGAGGAAATTGTCCCTAACTCATTTTGTGAGGCCAGCATCATGCTGATACCAAAGCGTGGCAGAGACACAACAACAACAACAACAACAAAAGAGAATTTTAGACCAATATCCCTGATGAACATCAATGAGAAAATCCTCAATGAAATACTGGCAAACCGAACCCAGCAGCACATCAAAAAGCTTATCCACCATGACCAAATTGCCTTCATCCCTGGGATGCAAGGCTGGTTCCACATAAATAAATCGATAAACGTAATCCATCACATAAACAGAACCAATGACAAAAACCACATGATTATCTCAATAGGTACAGAAAAGGCCTTTGACAAAATTCAAAAGCCCTTCATGCTAAAAACTCTCAATAAACTACGTATTGACAGAACGTATCTCAAAATGATAAGAGCTATTTATGACAAACCCACAGCCAATATCATACTGAATGGGCAAAAACTGGAAGAATTCCCTTTGAAAACCTGCACAAGACAAGGATGCCCTATCTCACCACTCCTATTCAACATAGTGTTGGAAATTCTCGCCAGGGCAATCAGGCAAGAGAAAGAAATAAATGGTATTAAATTAGGAAAAGAGGAAGTCAAATTGTCCCTGTTTGCAGATGACAGGATTGTATATAAAGAAAACCCCATCATCTCAGCCCAAAATCTCCTTAAGCTGATAAGCAACTTCAGCAAAGTCTCAGGATACAAAATCAATGTGCAAAAATCACAAGCATTCCTATACACCAATAATAGACAAATAGCCAAATTATGAGTGAACTCCCATTCACAATTGCTACAAAGAGAATAAAATTCCTTGGAATACAACTTATAAGGGATGTGAAGGACCTCTTCAAGGAGAACTACAAACCACTGCTCAACAAAATAAAAGAGGACACAAACAAATGGAAGAACATTCCATGCTCATGGATAGTAAGAATCAATATCATGAAAATGGCCATACTGCCCAAGGTAATTTATAGATTCAATGCCATCCCCATCAAGCTACCTATGACTTTCTTCACAGAATTGGAAAAAACTACTTTAAAGTTTATATGGAACCAAAAAAGAGCCCGCATAGCCAAGACATTCCTAAGCAAAAAGAGCAAAGCTGGAGACATCAAGCTACCTGACTTCAAACTATACTATAAGGCTACAGTAACCAAAACAGCATGGTACTGGTACCAAAACAGATAAATAGACCAATGAAACAGAACAGAGGCCTCAGAAACAACACCATACATCTATAGCCATCTGATCTTGACAAACCTGATAAAAACAAGCAATGGGGAAAGGATTCCCTATTTAATAAATGGTGCTGGGAAAACTGGCTAGCCATATGTAGAAAGCTGAAACTGGATCTTTTCCTTACACCTTATACAAATATTAATTCAAGATAGATTAAAGATTTAAATGTTATACCTAAAACCATAAAAATTCTAGAAGAAAACCTAGGCAATACCATTCAGGACATAGGCATGGGCAAAGACTTCATGACTAAAACAGCAAAAAGCAAAGGCAACAAAAGCCAAAATAGACAAATTGGATCTCATTAAACTAAAGAGCTTCTGCACAGCAAAAAAAAAAACAAACAACAACAACAACAAAAAACTACTATCAGGGTGAACAGGCAACCTACAGAATGGGAGAAAATTTCTGCAATCTACTGATCTGAAAAAGGGCTAATATCCAGAATCTACAAGGAACTTAAACAAATTTACAAGAAAAAAAAAAAAAGCAACCCCATCAAAAAGGTGGCAAAGGATATGAACAGACACTTCTCAAAAGAAGACATTTATGCAGCCAACAGACACGTGAAAAAGTGCTCATCATCACTGGTCATTAGAGAAATGCCAATCAAAACCACAAAGAGATACCATCTCAGGCCAGTTGGAATGGTGATCATTAAAAAGTCAGGAAACAACAGATGCTGGAGAGGATGTGGAGGAATAGGAACGCTTTTACACGGTTGGTGGGAGTGTAAATTAGTTCAACCATTGTTGAAGACAGTGTGGCAATTCCTCAAGGATCTAGAACTGGAAATACCATTTGACCCAGCGATCCCATTACTGTGTATATACCTAAGGAATTATTAATCATGCTACTATAAAGACACATGCACATGTATGTTTATTGCGGCACTACTCACAGTAGCAAAGACTTGGAACCAACCCAAATGTCCATCAATGATGGACTGAATAAAGAAAATATGGCACATATAAACCATGGAATGCTATGCAGCCAAAAAAAAGAATGAGTTCATGCCGTTTGCAGGGACATGGATGAAGCTGGAAACCATAACTCTCAGCAAACTGTCACTAGGACAAAAAACCAAACACTGCATATTCTCACTCATAAGTAGGAACTGAACAATGAGAACACTTGGACACAGGATGGGGAACATCACACACCAGGTCCTGTTGGGGGGTGGGGGGCTCGGGAAGGGATAGCATTTGGAGAAATACCTAATGTAAATGATGAGTTGATGGGTGCAGCAAACCAACATGGCACATGTATACCTATGTAACAAACCTGCACTTATACCTTAGAACTTAAAGTATAATAAAAAATAGAATTTTAAGTTCAGCTTAAAACATTAAGATTGTTTAAAAATTTCCCTCACACTTTCTTTTTGTACTCGTATCATAAAATATACTTCCACATATATTCTAAATCCCAGAAACAACTAAATCATGTATTTATCAAAGTAAATGCATGTTTGTTTGTTTGTTTGTTTTTAGATGAAGTCTCACTATGTTGCCCAAGTTTTACTCAAACTCCTGGGCTCAAGTGATCCTGCCACCTCAGCCTCCTGAGTAGCTGGGACTACAAGAATGCATCAGCATACTCAATTCCATATTGAATTCTTAATTTCATCCAAGGTCAAAAAGTCTAATCTACATGTAATTGGAATATTGGGCAGAGAGAAAATAGAGGACAGAGGGGGGAGAGAAATTACAGAAACCATATCAAAAGAAATATTGACCATGTTTATTCCCCAGTGTCAGAAGACATTAAGCCACAGATTCTAAGAGTTCTTCTGATTCCTACTGACATCTTAAAGCTTAATTGAAGTTAAATTCTAGAACTTCCTCTATAAGCAAGTTACATACAAGGTACATGCAACATAAACCACACCTATGACACACCCTAGAAAAACCAGTGACAAAGAGTAATTACTAAATACCGTCAGTAAAATGGACACTTAATCTTTAAAGGATGTCTTAAAATAAATGTATTTTAATATGTTATGCTTAAAAACAAATATAATAACATGTCTGAATTATATATAATTTCCTCATCAATGTCTGAGATATTTAGTTATTTATGTCAATAAATTCTAGAATAGATAAGCTATCATAAACAAATGCATAAAAATAATTTTTTAAAAATTGTGTGTGCCAAGATAATCTTTGTTTTGCTGCAGTAATAAATACCACTCCCATCTCAAACACTAATGGCTTACAATAAAAAGGTGTGTGTCCATGACATGTCTATATCTTACTTTCTTTCTCCAGGATCTAGAATGATAGAGAGTACACAGTTTGGAGCATTATTGGTCACCATGACAAAGTAAAGAGAGCATGATTATTTACTTTTTTGCCCTTACAATGTCTGCCAATAATAAATTATGACATTTTATTGTCAATGGAAATCATATGGTCATATAGTCAGTAAGTTGAGATGGTGTCTAGAGGAAAACCATAGATCATGGAGAACAATGAGCAAAGGCCTCATGTTTTTCTTTTCTCTATCTCATTATTGTATGTAGCTGTGGAGGAGAGGGGAGGAGACCACTCGTGTTTTCATTTTACATTGCTTTCATTTTGTTTTTCTGTTTATAAGTATATAAACATTAGAGCTGATTATAATTACTCTGAATATCCTTTTTCTGAGAAAATGGTAAGTTTGCATGTTTCTGCTGTATTGGTGCATATCTTGCCAGGAAAACAGTCATCTAAGTATTCTGAATATAAATTAATATAGGAATTGAGATTTACATGAATGTGAAGGAAATGGGGAAGCAAAGCACAGGGAAGGCCTTTTGAAAAGGCAGGAAGCTGCCACCATAAGGTTAGAGAAACAGTGACCACCTTGGCATGACATATTGAAGAATGTGTTTGTCAAAAGCTACCAAGAAATCATTGACTTTTAAAAGGAAATTCTAAACAAGTTTCCTACACTTATCTCGGTAGGCAGCATCATAGCGGTGCTTTCGATTCTCACCAACAGGCAGCTGTAAATCCCACATCTGCTCACATGTCTGCTAGTAATCACTTCCAGGTAATAATGACCTCTGTTTCTTTCTTGCTTTCTAAGAGAAGATTTTAGGAAATATAGTTCCAAGCTTCTCCACTGTTATGTAAAGGAAATTTTAAAAGTGTATGGTGATAATACTGAATTGCTAACAGATAATTCAGCCATCGTACTAATTTGAGGTTAGATGTAGTTGTATAATTTCTTCTGGCCAATGAAATATGAGAAGTACTGTGTCACTTCCTAACAACCTATTATTATGAGAGTCCAGGAGTTGTTGCAAGTTTCTCCCACACACGGAGATGATGGAAGCATGTATCAAGATGAATCTTCATCAGCCTGGGTCTCTGAGTGATTATAATGAACAGAGTCACCCTTCAAACCCACCTTGGATGGGTAATATGCTCAAGAAATAAAGTTTTGTCACATTAAGTCACTGAAATTTTGTTACTATAGCCTGACTATCCTAATGCACAACAACAAAATCACAAACACACACACACACACACACACACACACACACACGCACACACACACAATCTTGCTGGCTTAAAGTAAGACAGTATTATTTCTTTATATATCACATCACATCAATCTAAAGTTTGTACAAGGTCACTGTTTTGGTCATTCTCACTCCAGGACCAAGCTGTTGAAACAGCTATCATACTTGATGCTGCCGTCACAGTGACAGAGGGAAAAATAACTAGTTCTTATTGGTTATTTGCAGAAATGGTCTAATTTACCTAAATTTATTGGACAAAGCAAATCACAAAAATGTACTTAATTTCTGCAATGCAGGTAAGTGCAATCTTGTCATGTGCCTGAAAAAAAATATGAACTAAAATACTTACTAATATTCCTGATGACTGCCTCCTTGGCAAGAAACTCGAAGAGATAATGAATGACAATTATAGGTTATGAAAGGATTTTCACAAGATAGAAAGGTAAGTTCAGTTACAAGATATAAAATCCAAGAGGAGTATAAATAAAGTTCTATATTCAAATCCCCAAGAATCAACTCAGAAAGAAAAATCTTTCAGGAGTTATAGTTAAAAATAAACAAATAAAAAACCAAAATACTGGTACTATTTTATTAAAAAGATTCAATTCCTAGTAGCAAATGATTTTTAAAGAGGGAAATTTATCCCTTAATCTTAAATATTTCTGTGGCACACTTGTGATTTTTGAGAACCACATTGGAAAGAGTATAAAAAATTCCACACTAGTATTAAACTAAAGCCATTCAAATATATTTTAGGGAGAATAAGGGAATGAATTATTGAAAATTCTGGAAATGATTATTCTTCAGAACAAATTTCATAATTTAATAACATCTATTTTGATATATTTTGAAGAGAATTATACCAGTTCTTATTCAAAGAGAGAAAAAGTGTTGAAACAATAGGAGAGATTTCAGTCTAATGTAAGGAAGAATTGTATGACATCTTTCAGAGCAAAAACAAAAGACAATAATAGCAATAACAATAAAACAATTAATCAGAGAAATACTGTAGAAAATTCCATCTATAAATAACTAACAAAGAATGTATTAAGCACTGTCTTGTTGATGTTATTAAAATATTCTTATTGTATGAGAGGTTTGTTATGCCTGAGATGGTTAGAGATTGTATTTCATCATATACTCAAAGAAGGAAATTATAGGTCAAGCAGAATATATAGCAGCATTTTGAAAAGGGAGTTAATTTTGAATTTCAGACAATTTCAGTATGATATCCAAAAAATTACTTTATTGAAGTAGTTTTATGTACAATTATTATTTCATCTAGGTAAGAAGCATGGTTATCATGTTTTCAAATAGAAACAATCAGGGTAGGGGGCTGGGCGCGGTGGCTCACAACTGTAATGCCAACACTTTGGGAGGCCAAAGCAGGCGGATCACCTGAGGTCAGGAGTTCAAGACCAGCCTGAACAACATGGCAAAATCCCATCTCTACTAAAAAATACAAAAATTAGCCAGGCATGGTGGCACGTGCCTGTAATCTCAGCTACTCAGGTAGCTGAGATAGGAGAATAGCTTGAACCCAGGAGGCGGAGGTTGTGGTGAGCTGAGATTGCGCCACTGCATTCCAGCCTGGGCGATAGAGCAAGACTCCATCTCAAAAAGAAAGAAAGAAAGAAAGAAAGAAAGAAAGAAAGAAAGAAAGAAAGAAAGAAAGAAAGAAAGAAAGAAAGAAAGAAAGAAAGAAAGAAAGAAAGAAAGAAAGGAAAGAATCAGGCTAAAACAAAAATGAATCAGATTTTAAGCAAGTAAAATTATTGGCAATAGTTTTTGTTCACTTTGGTATGAGGGTATATGTGAAAATCAGAGATCAATGTTTTAACACTTGTAAATATGTTTTAAAGTTGACACAAACATTTCTTCTCAAATATGTATTTTAATATAGAATATCAGGAAAACAATAATGAATTTTATATAGAATATACCTTAAACAATGAAAAGTAATCCAAATATTAAAGACATACTATTGTCTTAGAAGAAAGAAAAAGATTCATCTTTTATAAAAGTAAAAAATATGTATTATAATAAGCAGAGTCACACTCACACTGTTGTGTTCTCACATAACAGAGTTAATTTTATACTTACTTTTTAAATAAGAGTGCATGATGGTTTCTGGACATACATCATTGAGAAGTTCCTTACAAAGGAATTATACCTTTGCTATATGAAAGATCTCTATACTATGGGTCAAGGTAGAGGATAATCTATTCCTTTACACATTCACAAAAGAGTTGTGGAGTCAGTCTTAAAAAGTCTAATACCCAGGCAATAAATAAAGTCTATCCGGCTTATGTACCGTTGATAAAAAGGCTGTTTCTCTTGACCAGTTATATGCACAGTAATGAATGCAAAACTATTCTTTAGACTCGCCAGCAGATCTGAATTAATCTAATACATTTTTGTTTCAGAATACATTTGTGATTTCCATTAGAGGGATAATGCAATTTTAAGTTTTGTAATTAGTAAAGGCAATAGATCATACAAAGGTGACTAATTTTATGTTATATCTAGTATCAATATATATACTAATTTTAAAACAAAAAGGGAAGAATATTTGAATATACTCATGATTCAATGTAAAAGTAAACCTTTAATGAAATAGCTTGAAAAATACCATTTTGTTATTTAAAAATAAATGCAATTCAAGAAGCCAATACTTACCCAGGCATAACATATGTATAGCATTACAACAGTAAGGTCAAACTTTTGAAAGTTCAAGAATTCACAGATGACATGACACTGAAATTTAGACTAAACCTTGTGCTAGTTGAATAATTATATCCCATAACTTGAAAACTGAATTTGTGAAATAAATCAGTAATAGGCTTCTTATCCCAGACTTGCTGTTTGGTGTCTGCTAATTAATGTGTGAAATCATTAAAAAATAGAAAAATTGAGTTGTTTTCAGACCCAGTGAAGACTTGAAATTATTTAAATGAATGTAATCTCATGTCAGTTCTTCAGTTCACAACATTTTTATTCCTATTTTCTACCTTTACAGTTGCTACTTATTGCTAATTTAGACAAAAATCTTTAGATGTGTTTACAAAGTCAACATACAATATACATTTTGAAGTGGAAAACTTTCATTGCTTGTGGTAATGAGATCTAAAAAGTCATAATTTGATTTATTAATTAGAAACTGAGTGTTGTGTTTTATATAGAAATATATATATAAATTTATATATTTCTATATATAGAATCTATATATAAATTCTATATATAAATCTATATATAGAAATATATATAAATTTATATATATATTTCTATATAGATATTATATATAATATATATTCTATATAGAATATATAGAATATAGAATATATATATTTCTATATATATTTATATATATTTCTATATATAGATATATAAGTATATATATCTATATATATATTTATATATATAGAAATATATATATATATGGAATGAAAAAGTGAGATTTGGTTTTACTCCCTAAGGAGTCTACAATGTAATTGGGGAATAGAGATTTAGCAGGGGTGGGGGGCAGTGCTGGGGAGAACATATGATTTTACCAAAGAATGTGAAATCTGCAAGATTCCTTAAATACAATAGAATCTGTCTTCCTCATACTGCACAATCAGTAGGAGCAAAACAAAACAAAACAAAAAGTTTCGAAACTTTCTCAAAGCCCTTCAAAAATTAGTGACCAACACAAGAATAGAACTCAGGTGAAAGGCTGAATGGAGTAGGCAATGTTAATGACTTCCTACACAGAAAATTTCTGAAGCAGCCACCTAATTTTATGCATATAACTCACCTTTAAACTCACAGAACCTCAGTTGCCTGGTATATAAAACCCTCCTGTTATGGGTTGAATTGTCTCCCATGTAATATTTATATGTTGAAGTCCTAACCCCTACTATCCCAGAATGTGGCTGTATTTGAAGATAGGGCTTTTAAAAAGATAATTAAGGTAAAATGAACTGATCATAAGTGAGTCATGATTTAATAAGACTGCTGTCCGTCCATGTAAGAAGAGGAAATTAGGATACAAACACACAGAAGATCATGCAAAAACAATGGGAGAAGATAGCCAAGGAGAGAGACTCTTAGAAGAAACCAACCTTGTCAACACTTTGAACCATTAACCTCCAAAACTGTGAGGAAATACATTGTTGTTTAAATCACAGCCTGTGGTACTTTGTTAGGGCAACCCTAACAAACTAATATACCTTCTAAAGCATAGAGTTCGCATAAAGATTAAACAGGATTATATATGCAAGTCATTTTGCATACAAAAGGTACTCAGTTCTAGTTACTTTTCCTTTTTTAATAGTACTTTCTCCCTCAATCAAAGACCAAGATGAAGAATACCCAGCATATCTGAAAAACTCAATACGCAGAAAGTTTATAGATGAGATGTTCAACTGATTCAAACCTGTAAAGAAGAAAAATAAGAAAACCAAAAAGCTAATACTTATCATCTCAGAACAGAGTGCTATTCTTTCAAAAAGGAGCTGAACTAACATCTCTCAGTTCATCAGGAAATGGCAGAAGTGAACTTGGTTTAGTATTCTTAAAGATATACTCAAAGAGGCACGAAAGAGTTAAATAAGGATCCACAGAGCTCTTTCTTCTTATTGTCTATAATTACTAGCTAGAAGGAAAGACCATTGTTTGTCAAAACATGCCATATCTGTATATAGTTAAGCATCTCCGAAGCATATAAGCTGCAAAAATGAGTGACAAGTAATCTAATTTTAACTTTTTCTGGTTTCAGAAAGAGTTCACGACATTTGTCCAATCAATCTACTCATTGACTAATTATTATTGACTAGAGATAGTTACCTCGAAAAAATCCTTTATTCCTTATATGCTTATTCTAGGGCCCCTCGAGGAGCTTTGTGAATTAACTAGGCAAACAACTTGAGACATTGCCTCAAGATAGATTTATTTAAAATAAACGAATACCATTAATCTCATTCAGACACTTGGCCAGGCAGGCATTTCTGCTTAAGTGTGCAATTGCACACAGCTGAGCTGTCATGCTGGGATGCAGAATAGAACTCTGACATTTGAGTTTAGTAAAGTATATCCCCCCAGGTCTCCAAAAGATAAAAAGGTAAAGTTGACATATGGAATACTTTGCCTTTGTGTCCCATTAGTACCTTCAACATCATAGTGCAATGCCTGAGAGTCCATGAAATGTGCTAAGGAACGGTGTCCTTTATTTATAGCATGACTTTTTCTTGTGAAAAAACAAAGAGTAAAATAGTACGTAATAACAATTTTTAAAGTTGCCTTATTTTTTAAATAAAGAATTGTTTTTTATATCATATCATACGAATAGACTATAATCAGTTGGCTGTGTGCCTCTCTGGAAAAACATCAATCAAGACAAACCAAATTAAAAAAATAAACAAAACAAGATCAAACACATCAATCTATGAAGCTAATTAAAAATTAGACAAACCTTTCTTCACAGATTATTGTATGATGGGATGGAATGCTTGGAAAGGACAGGACATTTGATAGCCTTACACTCTGGACCAATGAATACCACCAATTGATTTGTCAGAGTTATCTAGGTCTCTTGGACAACAACCAACAACAATGACCCACTACAACTTCACCTCATGTATCTTGAACTTTAGGGATATAGCACCATTTAAAGAGACTAACCTCTCTTGGTTCTTGTCAGTGAAACTGGGAAGAAGAATTTGGAGGTATCCAAGAAAGGTGTCTTATCTAAGGAAAAATTAGTGTCTATTTCCCAAATCATGTGTTGATTTTAAACACGGAGAAAGAATGTACACCCCCTTTCCCAACACATTGGTATGCTTGTTGTTTGTTGTCATTTATATCTATGTTAAATTATTTTTAAAAATTGTCATGGTAGCTTAAAACAATACTATTGAAAATGATTTTAACACAAGTATAATAGAAAATCAGAAGCATAAAAATCCACTTACTGACTTAATTCACTGGATACAATTTCTTACAGAGCAATTGATTATGTTTTTTGTGGACCAGTTACACAAAATAACCAGATATGCATAAAATGATAGAGATAATTGCTAACTAAAAATACCATTTCTTGATTCTTGATTATGTGCAAGGCATTATATCCCAAAACTTAAAACTGTATTTTCTGTTAAAATTTCATAGATGAGGAAGCTTAGATAGATGAGTCTTAGTGGGGATGAATAATTTACCTGTAATTGTACAGATAATAAGTGTTAGGACCTAAATTTCAGGATCCTAATTGGAAGCTGATTTGAAAGCCGGGTTTGTCAGACTGCAGAGCTAATGTTCTTAACCAAAATAGTTTAAGTCGAAATCTACAGAAAGAGGGGGGAAAAAAGGTTTGAATAAAAATTAGCCAATCTATAATGGACAAAATGGAAATCATTACTTAGTGAATGGTATTTTTCTTGAATGTCCTCAAACTCGTCTTTTCATTATATTTGTAAAGGCCAAGAAAAGTTAGTGTAAGTAGTGGTTTACATATATGGTTATTCTTAATTTAGCAATACACACACACATACACACTCACACAAATAGTCACACATATATGCATACATATATATAAAAATGAATAGATGGATAAGTAGGTAATAAGCATTAGAGTTCTCCAGAGTAATCAATGGAAAAATAGACTAACTGGAGAACTATAGCTATAGCTATAGCTATAGCTGTGTCAATTATAGAGGCAGAAAAATCCCAAGATCTGCAGTTGTAAGTTGGAGATGCAGGGTTGTCAATCATATAGCTCTAGTTCAAAGGCTAGCAGGCTGGAGACCTAGTAAAAGCTGGTGTTTCAGTTTGTGTTCTGAGGCAGGGGCAAAAACCCAACGTAGCTCAAAGACTGGCAAGAAAAAATATCTCTTAATTTTAGGAAGGTCAGCATGTTGTTTCTATTCAGGCCTTTAATTGATTGGATGAGGCTTAGTCAAATAAGGGGAGAGCAATCTCCCATATTCAATTGATTTAATATTAAACTCACCCAAAATCACTCTCACAGAAACAAACAGAATATTGGTTGACCAAATATCTGAGTCCCTTTTATCCTGCTTAAATTAACACATAAAATTCACCAGCACAAGCGCATCTCTTGTTAATTTGCCATACATAAGCATCTCCTTAAATCATACTTAATCTCCAAATGAAGATAATACACAAGGTCATAATTCCACCTAACATGATACAATTATCCTGCATACAACTGAACAGACATTAATTCCATTCCCAGAAAGGGAGGTACAATCCTTGAGATATTTACTCTTTTCATTGATATAACTATGACATAAAATTAACCACTGTTAAATTCTATGATGTAGAGTTAATACATCTTATGGTACATTATAAGGAAATGAGGAGAAGGAAGAAAATGAAGACATTTGATGTACAAACACAAATATAATTTTTAACAAAATAAGAAGGAAATACTCATGAGAATTACAGTCCTCATTTCTATAAGTGGTTATGTTATCATAGCTGATATTTATAAGTACATTCTTCCACTATCCATTCTGTATTACCTTTGACTTCAGCAAAAAACTTTTCTGGCTGTCATTTACCTAATGATACGTGACCCAAACCTTTATTTCTAAAACATCTGGACCCTTAGTAGTCCTGCCTGAATTGAGTTGCAGTTTTTAATTGACCTTAATAATCATGGCAATACTAATAGACACTCTAAAGGATCTTCTATACTCCAACATACTCTTCCTTACCTCAGTTGTGAAGATGTAGTGTAATTTCCCCTTGGTAGTCAGGATCAAATTGCAGTCAACACAGTAACTCCCTTCCTTGCCTTTAATTCAGAGGCATGTGGAGTCTAAAGTGGCCCAACATTAGCTTTAACTTCCAGTTCAATGGTATTACTGTAGGGTCTGCTAGTGAAAGCATTTCTCCTTTGGGAGCTGAGACCCCTAGACCAGCAAAGCATAAGACTGTAGAAACAGGAAGCAAAAAATTTGCTAGTGAGTCACTGGGGTTTATAGTGAATGGTGCCACTTCCATTTCTACTGATTCCAGGACTCATGAATCCTGGCTATGGGAGAAAAACACCATATAGTGAATGCTAGTACAGAGCATCCACAGCCTCCTGTAGAAGCCTGCCCCAGCTTTGCAAGGTATTGTCACCTAGTTGACACTGTGAGTCTTCAAAAGGCCATCCCCCTGTTGTATTAAGTCATTTGCATCAGGATGGTGAGAAAAGTGGTAAGATCAGTCAATTCCATGAGCATGAGCCCATTGCCATACTTCAATGGCTGTGAAGTGAGTTCTTTAATCAGAAGCAATGCTGCATGGAATGAGGTAACAGTGTATAAGGCATTCTGTACATTCTGTACATCTATGGATGGTAGTTTTGGCAGGAGCAGTGCATGCAGGAATGACAAATCCATATCTGCAGTAAGTGTCTATTCGACTAAGAAAAATATGCTGCCCCTTCCATGATGGTGATCCAATGGAATCAACAATCAAACTGGGTGATCACACCAGAGAAAGGTGCCCTATGTGAATCTATGCTACTGAAAGATTGGGTACTCAGCAGTGGCCATAGCCAGGTCAGCCTTAGTGAGTGGAAGTCCATGTTATCGAACCCATGTATAATCTCCATTTCTATCACCATGGCTACTTTGTTTATGAGCCGCTTGGGCAATGACAAACACGTATGGGAATAGAAGCTGACTAGTATCCACAGAATGAATTAAATTATCCACTTGATTATTAAAATCCTCTGCTAAGACCACCCTGTGGTTAGTATTCACCTTGGATACCAATATTTTCACATTTTGATCCATTCTTAGAGGTCTGTCTACATATTTTTCCCCCAGATTTCCAATCATGTTCTTTCCTGACCTTCCAGCCAAAATATTGACTACGGCCCATGAGTCAGAGTACAATTAAAAGTATAGCTATTGGCCATTTCTCCTAGCAAGTAAAATGAATAATCACTGGAAGTTCTGCCCACTGAGAGGATTTTCCTTTACCACTGTTCTTCAGGGAAGTCACAAAAAGAGGCTGTTGTGCTACAGCTGTCCACTTCCAGGCAGTGCCTACATATATATATATATAAAAATCATCTATACATCAAGTGTCAGGATTTACTTCTGTCAACTGATTGTAGAAGATTCCCATGAGACTAGATGCAGGCTGGTTAAGAGAAGGTAGTGTCACGGGAGTTGGGATCATGGGCATTTGGGCTACTTCTTCATGTACCTTACTTGTGTTTTCCAGAGCCTGCTCAGGACTAGTCATGTACATACCATTTTCATTTGATAATGGAGTGCTGTTGTGCATACCCTACTTTATGGTTTAGTGGGTCAGATAACACCCAATTCATCATGGGCAGTTTAGGTCCCATGGTTACTTGGTGGCCCTTAGTTAATTATGCAGTCTCTACTAAGGCCCAGCATCCAGCCAAGAACTGTTTCTCATGAGGATGAGTAGTTATCTGCATAAAGTAGCAGATTTTTGCTCCAAAATCCTAAGGGTTTGAACTGTGATTCACCTATAGGGACCTTCCAGAATCCTTATCTGCTACTGACACTTCAAACTTCATCGGATCTGCTGGATCATATGGTCCAAGAGGCAGAGCAGCTTGCACAGCAACCTAGATCTGTTGCAGAGCCTTCTCCTGTTTTGAGCCCCACTCAAAAGTAACAGCTTTTCAGACCTCTTGGTAAATGGGTCAGATGTGAGGACATGCAAATATCTTACTATTAAGTCTGGAGAATTTATTACTTCTTGTTCACTAGGTCCTATTGGCATATTTTAAGCAATATGATAGAACATCATGCTATCTTGTGGAAGAATCAAGATCACTGTAAGCAAAACTATAACAGGGCTGGAGAGTTCATATATCACTGAGGTACAAAGGTGAAGGTATATTGCTGGCCTTGCCAGCTGAAAGCAAATTGCTTCTTGTGGTTCTTATTGACAGGTACAAAAATAGAGCATTTGTGAGATTGATAGCTGAATATCAGGTATCAAGAGATGTGTTCAGTTGCTAAACATTGAAACCAAAGCTAATACAAAAGCTGCAATTGGAGTCACCATCTAGTTAATCTTTCAAGAATCAATTGTCATTCTCTAACATCCATTTTTCTTCTCCACAGGCCAAATAGCTGAGTTGAATGGGAATGTGATGAGAATCACCACTACTGTATCTTTCCATTCCTTAATGGTGGCACTAATCTCTCCAATCCCTCCAGGAATGTAGTAGTGTTTTTGGATTACTATTTTCCTCCATAGAGTCCACTGTAGCATCCCCCACCATAATGCCCTCACTCCACAGGTTGAAGAACCAATTTGGAAATTCTGCTACCTGTGAAATACATCTGTTTAATTTAGGCATTAAAGGACTCTCATTCATTCAAGGGGTTCTGGGTCTGCAAACTGGGAATGGGCAATCCTGCCCTCTCAATTTCCAGTTATGATTCAGGATAGACTTCTGTTCATTTGCCCTAGAAATGTTTTGCGTATACAGATGAAGTAAAAATATCTATTTATTTCACTTCTAGGAATACCATGATCAACTAGTCAATGCCATAGGTTTTTGTGAGTAGGTCTTAAATAACAAATCTATTCTCTAATGCCAATATCCCTAAGACCCGAATCCCTTCCTCTGCATTAAACCAAAACAGATCTGACATTTTCAGCTCACTCACTCTAGGATACCTTTTGGTCCATGTTTTAGCCAACTAATCAAATTAACCGGTAGAGTCTTTTCAAATGCCCTGAGACACATCAGTAAATAAATAATCTCTGCTTAGTGAGCCTATTAATAAATGTGACATGATTCAACTTTATTTTCCTTCCAGCATTATGTCACATCCTTAATAGCTAATCACACACATGTTCCCCAGATTTCCGTCTGTATAAAGTAGAAAACTCAAATAGCTCTTTTGGGCTGTGGCACGCCTCCTCATGGTTTGTACTTTGTAGCTTACTTTTGGGAGCTTGCTAGTACTTAAGCCTAGTCACAGGCCTAGAAGAAAAGAGGAGTGATGTGGATGTGTCCTGAAGAGACCCAACATTGTCCTGCATGGCCACTCCCTTGCCATTAGAGTTTTTTCTCAGACATTGCAGAGTTAATCCCCTCTGATGGGGATGGAGGAATTGCTTCTATTGTAGGTGAATAAGTCTCTTCCACTGGCAAAGAAGTCATATCAGAATTTAGGAGCTCAGTGTTACCAGCTTCGTCAGGGTCCTCCCACACATCCATATTCCAACCTCAGGATTCCATTCCTTCCCAATTAATGTCCTCACTTTAACAGTAGACATTCTTCAAGGCTGTCAGTTCAACTTGCATTGTAATTCAGCCAGTCACAGGATGAGGATCTGTCTTTGAATTTTCAGAAATCACAGCTGTGGCGCTACGGGAGATAAGGAATTCATTGGGGAGTAACTTAGAAGATTTCACATTATTTATCCGCACTTGATTTGGGAATTTGAATCCCTGAGTTCATCGTTTTGCCCCCTAAGTTGTCCAACAATACTACGAGTAACTAGTAAGTCTCATTATATTTATTAGCTTGACAAAAATGTTCAAAAGTATCATGCATTACCACCTAGATCCTGGTTTCTTACAAATGGCTAATTATTAGATTGGTGCAAAAATAATTGCAGTTTTTTAGATTTGTTTTTCTTTTAATTGCAAAAACCGCAATTATTTTTTCACCAACCTAATAGAAGTATCTGACAGTGATATTTTGCATATCCCTATCACCAGATAATGCCATGGACAGTCAGCGCTCTCTTTACTACTGGAGTTAGGGCCATTACTATCTTTAAATCTAATCAGATCAGAGTGCAAATTCCAGAAACCCTAAAACCGATTCATAAATCTTACTTTTAAAATTATCTTCCTTTAAAACCACTCTTAGCATGAAAATATTTATTTTTCAGGGACCTCTAGATAAACAGAACAAAAAAAAAGTATATATACACACACACATACATACACACACATATATATATATTCTCTCTATACCTATACATATATATTCTCTTGAGAGAGAGAGAGGGAGAGAGAGAGAGAGAGAGACTCTATTGGGAGAGAGACAGAGAGAGAGAGGACAGTTTCTGGAATGTAAGTGTAACTAGGACACAGATAATGAAAGAGATAGATAGATGATAGATAGATAGATAGATAGATAGATAGATAGATAGATAGATAATAGATAATAGGTTTTTTTTTTAATAAAAAGTTGGCTCACCTGATTATGGAGGCTGCTTTGTTTCACCTCCCCAAATTAATATGTTCAAATTCTAAACCCAAAAGTGATGGTATTGCAGGGGAGAGGGCTTTGGACCTTCATGAGGGGCCATCATGACTGGTTATTAGTGCTCTTAAAAACGAGGTCTTAAAGAGCTGCCTAGTCTCTCCCAGCATGTGAGGACAGAGAAAGGTGTCATCTATGAAGAATGAAACTTTGCTAGATATTGAACATACTAGCGTTTTGATCTTTGACTTCCCAGCCTGCAGAATTATGAGAAATAAATGTCTGTTGTTTATAAACCACTTGGTTTATGGTATTTTTGTTGTAGCAGTCCGCATGGGTAAGACAGAGGTCAAATCCCAAAATCTGCAGTCAGCAAGCTGGAGACCCAGAGGGGTTGATTGTGTAGGTCTAGTCTGAGTCTGAAAGCCTGAGAGAACCAGGAGATCCAAAGGTGTGGGTCCAGTCTGAAGGTGAACAGGCTCAAGACTCAGAAAGTGCTGATGTTTCAGTTTGAGTCTGAAAGCAGAAAAAAACCTATGGCCCAAATTGAAGGTGATTAGGCAGAAGAAATTTTATCGTATTTTGGGAAGAATCAGTCTTTTGTTCTATTCAGGCCTTCAGTTGACTAAATGAGGAATACAAATTAGGAAGTGCCTTACTCAGTATTTAAAAATGCTAGTCATTCAAAAACACTCCCAGGGAAGCACCCAGAATACTATTTGACCAAACATCTGAGAACTCCATGACCTGGTTAACACACAGAATTAACCAGGTCATGTTACAGATAACTAGATATATAAATAGGTACAGATCAGATACAGAACAGAAGGAAGGAAGAATGGAAGGGGGGAAAAAGGAAGGAAGGGAGACACATCTAAAGTTGGCTTCAAAATTCAGAGAAAACAAAACGTAGCAAACAGAAATAACTGTGGTAAGATTAACAGTAATCATTCCTTAGAAACATCAAAAGTATAAACCATGAATAGACAACAGGTCAGTATAATAAATAACATCTCTAATCTACCTTTATTTGTAAATCTATAACTATTTTCATTCTGATTTTAATATTTTTATTATATTTAATTGAAGATTATATGGCATTGAAAATATTTTTCACTAATCAAAGCTTTTTTGTGTAGTTAAGTAGACATCTTTAGGGCCAATTCTATTGAAAAGACGAAAGGTTTCATGCATTGAAATTTCATTCCCTTTGACATTAGATCCATTGATTTTTCTTAAAAGATGTTTATACACATCAATTTTACAGCTTTCTAGAGAAGAGTGTATAATTAAGTATTGACATTCTAAAATACATGTTTTAAAATAGAAGATTTATAACTTCTATTTTGAAAATGGTCAAAAATAAAAGGTTTGGAATATTTCTTGCAATGTATGATGATGTTCATTTTCTCCAATGTTCTGCTTCAAAGAAGATCATGATTAATTCATTCCAAAAATCCACAAAGGATTTCTTGCAATTATAATTAAACATTTTTTGTCTTTATCACATTCTAATGAAAAAAGATGATTGATTTTCAAACCAGGGAATTGCCTTACATGTCAAACATCAAGACACATTTCTTTATTGAAAAAGACACTATCCAATGTATATTTGAATAAAAAATTATGGATTTTTTCCCTTCTGGTCTTTCTTTATGAATCTTAGTCTTACTTTTTTTTATATACGCAAGACTTAATTATTTGATATAAGATAGAAGAGAGAAGCCAATTTACCTGCCATTAAAAAAACCTTTAATTAGTTTCATCTTTGTCTTGCCCCTCTCCCTCACAGCAACAAGAATTCTACGTAAGGATTTATCATTTAATTCCATGGAATCAAAAATTAATTAATATTTTTCAGATCTCCCTTCTCTGTATGTATTTCCCTAGGAGCTTCAACTGTGAAATGGGCTGCTCTGGTATCAATCCCAAGAGAAATCGGAAGAAATTGTGCACTATGAATATAATTTTCCTTGATAACATAATCCATCTTATTATTTGAAGGAATAGTAAAATATATATAAATGTATATAAATATTATATACTGTAGTGAAGCATAGAATTAGAGGCAAACTGCTTGGGTTTGATCCTGTTTTTGTCAGTTGCTGGCTGTGTGACCCCTTTCACCTCCATTTTGTCATCATTATAATATGAATAAAAATAACTCTATTGTACCAGTTACAGAATTAATAAGAGCTTAAATGAGTTAATAGAAGTAAGGCACTAACAGTGTGCCTGATATATAGAAAAATACATTTTATTGTTATTATTTTAAGCAATGAATTCATTCTTATAAAATGTCAGTTTTTGCATATGACTAATGGATTTCTATTAAGGCCAGGTTTTGGAAAGTTGCCATTGCCATGCATTTTCTCATTTTAAAAACTAGAAAAAGGAACTGCTACTCCTACAGCAGATTTAAAATTCTATCACAGTTATTTGACTTGCCCCATTATTTAACTGATTTCATAGATAAAAGTACATTTCCTCTGATTACAAGAATTGTTATCAAGTGATGAATAATAATTTTATTGATTTGCTGGGATTTGGAAATTTATTTCAGCCCAGTTGCCATTAGTATAAAAAGCATGACTGTATTTATTTATCATGTTTTATTTTGAAATGTATGTATATGACAGAAAGTAAAAAGACTTTTGGTAGATATTAGTATAAAAATGAGCAGATTTGTTGTTTAACCATCTGAGCAAATTTTTATATACTCCTAAAATGTTAATACATTTTGCGAAAGCCATAACAGCATAATATTTTCATATGTAATTACAGGTAGATTAAAAAATATGTCATGTTACGTCTTGTTATATGTATTTAGTTTACATTTTTAATAATCTATTAATACTCCTAATTAAATGCTATCCAAATGTGGCTTCTCTTTTTTGCCTAAATTTGATGATTTGCTGATGAAACATGTAAAGTTTAGGTTAAATGACCCAAACTAGTTTGATCTCCTTAATCATGGAAATTGTAAAAGAAATGTTTGTGTAAATATGCTGTAAAAATGAAGTTTTGGCTCTAAACCTCTAACTAAACAAAATTTTAATTTAGTTGGTCCAGAGAGATTAGATTATAACTTCTGTACATTTTGTGACACATAAACTCATTTAGTTAAAATACAATTTCAACTTGGATTTTTGAAATCACCATTCGTTATATCTATATTGTACTTTATAAAATGCAAAGAATAACTAAGAGTAATCTACCACAAACAGAAATATGTCATTAGTAGGTATATGGGAAGTATTCTGAAATTATGCTCTCAAATATTAAAAGTACCATTGAATTTTAGATCATGTACAACAGAAATTACATCTTAAATTGTGCTTGAATCAATGTAAATAGGATCAAATAATGTATACTTTGACCTGGGAAAATTCACATTTCCTGGCTATTGAATCGAGTTTCTTGTCAATAGGGTAAATAGAAATTAATCTTGATGACATCTCAAAACTAAGCATGAAACTCAAGGGCTACACTTCAAGATTTTCTTCTGCTTTTTCTGGGAAATACAGCAAGACTGCACTGGCTACTAAGTAAATGATTGAACATCCAGGCCTACTATGATAGTCCAAATATAAGCACAATAGCTTGATGCTTAAAATCAGGTCAGTGGACTAAGAATTCTACATCTATTCTATAACACTGGATATTTTGTTGGATAAAGAATGACTTTGAAAAAAGAGAAATGGATTTATGTATCTAATTCTGGCCCAACTCTTAGTCAGGTCTTTATGTTACCTTTAGACATGTTTTTTAAATATAAAATAAGTGAAAATACATCATAGGGCTCTTTTAATTCTGTTTTTAAAAAGTACAATTTATATGAATGTCATCTTTTAAATGTTTAGAGCATTTATATGGACATCTCTTAAGTTGTTGGATCTGATTTTAAAATGTAAGAGGCAAAATCCCCGATATAGTGATGTGAGTGGGCTGCCATTCTTTTCCCTAAAACCAACTACAAATACTCAACAAAATACTTGTCAAAAACATATGTATCAGAGTTATCGAAATTGACCAAATAGGAAGAAATGCATTCTTGGGAAATCATGGAACTTTGAGCAAAAACAATGGAAGTCTGTGGCATAATCCCCTGGGGCCATTCTCATCCACCCAGACTTGCAGTGCTGTAGTTCCCCGAGGATGAAGAAAAACCCAGAAACCATTGGCTTCACCGTCAGAGGTGATTCTCTTAACTTGGAGTGGAAGGCAGAAAAACCTATATCCACACTGTCAGTAAAAGTAGCAATATCAGTAGCAAGTGAATGGAGAAGATCAGCAGCTCTGATTGCCTGAGGTTGCAGTTCTGGTTAGAGAAGGCGAGGGATCAGCTAACTAGCCAGAGTTGTAATAGCTTTATATAAGGTCTCCATACATCACTGGCCACCTTCTGCATGCATGTGCCGGAGACCAGTGGGATTCCAAGATAAACACATATTCCTGGATGGCCAGGTGACTAGGAGACTGATCGCTTATGCAGACGAGATGCAAAGAGGCCCAGAGACAAGCCCGGTACATCTGAAAACTGCCGGATGTTTGAAGGCACACTCCAGCGTGCTTCTGCACAGTCTCTAACCAGTTGTTGCCCGACCACTAAGCAACGCGACAAAAAGGTGACCTCTAAGATTCAAGATTTAAAAATGAAAAGAATAGGTAAATAAAACTGACCACAAACGTGAATATTTACACACTGCTATAGAGACAGATTTTACAGATTTATTACAGGAAAATCACTAAGCAATAAACAAAGACAACAATGGCACATCTCATGGAGGGAAATCAGAATCCAAAGTTGCTAAAATATATTATCTGTGACCAGTTTTCAGCAACAAGAAAAAAGCATCAGATATGCAAAGAAAGAGGAAAGCATAGCACATCTCAGGGTAAGTTAATAAAAGCTCTCTCTTTTTTTTATGGGCACTAATGCTGGATTTAGCAGACAAAGATTGTAAAGCATATGTTTTATATACATATTCAAAGGGCTAAAGAACATAATGTTTAAAAAGTTGAAAGAAAGTATAATGTCAATGTTTCCATGATGTAAGAATTTTAATAAAGAAACTGAAACATTTAAAATGGAAATTCTTGTGTTAAAAGTACAATTTTGAAGAATATATATTGTTAAATATACATTTTTATGAACTCAGATTTATATAAAGATACTGAAATGAACATAACATTGTATTAGACAAATTGGTCAATGGAACAAAATAAAGTCTAAAAGCAGACCTCACATACATGATCAATTCATTTTCATCAAAGGTACTCTGGTAATTCAATAGGGAATTTTCAGTAACTGCTGCTGGAAAAACAAGAATTATGAGAGAGAAAAACAAAATGTGATCCCTACTTCATAACATACACGTAGAATTAATTTGACATGAGCCATAGATCTAATAGTAAAAGTCACAGCTATTATTTCTTCCCAAAATTATAAGACAATATGTTAGACATTTTGGGGTAGGCAAAGCTTTTTTAAATAAGACACATACACACTAGTTAGTCAAGAAACAAAATTATCAAATAAACTCATCTGCCATAAAAATACCTACTCTCTGAATGACAACTTGGAGAAAATGTTTAAAAAATATTTTAAACTTTATTGTAAGATGAGTAAAATATGACCTAGTTAATGTTTTTTTCCAAGTTTAATTTTTAATTTTCGTGGGTACATGGTGTATATACTTATAAGGTATATGAGATATTTTAATATAGACATACAAAGAGTAATAATCACATCAAGTTAAATGGAGTATTCATCACCTCAAGCAATTTTTCTTTCTTTATATTACAAACAATGCAATTATACTCTTTTAGTTATTTTTAAATGTACAATAAATTATTGTTGACTGTTGTCACCCAGTTGTGGTGCCAAATACTTGAACATATACATTACATCTAGCTATATTTTTGCACACATTAACCATCCCCACTTTCCCCTTCCACCACCTCCCACCATTCCCAGCCTCTAGTAACCATCATTCTATTCTCTACTTCCAAAAGTTATGATTTAATTTTTAGCTTCCATAAATAAATGAGAACATGGGAAGTTGGTCTTTCTGTACCTGGCTCATTCCACTTAACATAATGAACTCCAGTTCCATCCATGATGTGGCAAATGACAGAATCTTATTCTGCTTCATGGCTGAATAGTACTCCATTGTGTATATGTACCGCATTTGTTTTTCATCCATTCATCTATTGATGGACACTTACATTGCTTTCAAATCTTGGCTATTGTGATTAATGTTGCAATAAATATGGGAGAGAAGCGATCTCTTCCACATACTGATTTCTTTTCTTTTCTGTATATACTTACCAGTGGAATTGCTGGATTATATGGTAGTTCTATATGGGGGGAACCCCTAAACTGTTTTCCATACTGGTTATACTAATTTACATTCATACCAACAATGTGTGAGGGTTTCCTTTACTCTACATCCTCACCAGGATTTGTTATTCCCTGTCTTTCGGATAAAAGCCATTTTAACAGTAGTGAGATAATATTTTATTGTAGTATGATGTTGAAAACTTTTTCATGTACCTATTTGCTATTTATATGTCTCCTTTTGAGAAATATCTATTCAGATCTTTTGCTCATTTTTAAACCGGATTATTAAATTTTTCCTGTAGAGTGGTTTGAGCTCCTTATGTATTCTGGTTATTAATCCCTTGTCAGCTGGATAGTTTGCAAATATTTTCTATTCTGTAGGTAGTCTCTTCACTTTGTTGATTGTTTTCTTTGATTTGCAGAAAAATTTTAACTTGAGGTGATTACATTTGTCCATTTTTCTTAGGTTGCCAGTGGCTGTAGGATATTACTTTAAAAATCTTTGCTGAGACCAATGTCCTGAAGATTTTGTTTAATGTTTCCTTGAAGTAGTTTTATAGTATGAGGTCTTAGATTTAAGTCTTTAATCTATTTTGATTTTATTTTTGCACATGGTGAGATATAGGATTCTAGTTTCATTTTTCTGCATATGGATATCCAGTTTTCCCAGTACCATTTATTAAACAGACTCTCCTTTCCTCAATGTTTGTTCTTAGCACCTTTGTTGAAAAAGAGTCTACTATGGATGCATGAGTTTGTTTCTGGGTTCTCTATCATATTCCTTGGTTTATCTGTCTGTTTTTATGCCACCACCATGCATGCTGTTTTGGTTATTACAGCTTTGTAATATCATTTGAAGTTAGGTAATGTGATTCCTCCAGTTATTTTGTTGTTGTTGTTTTTATTTGTTTGTTTTTTTCATTTTGCTCTGTATGGCTTTGGCTATTCTGGGGCTTTTATGGTTCCAGGTAAGTTTTAGTACTGATTTTTCTATTTCTGTAAAGAAAAATTAAATGGTATTTTGATAGAAATTGCATTGAATCTGTGGGTTTTTAGAGAATATGGACATTTTTAAGATATTAATTATTCTAATCAATGAACATGGAATACCTTCCCATTTATTAGTGTCCCCTTAAATTTCTTTCATCAGTATTTTATAGCTTTCATTGTAGAGATCTTTCACTGCTTTGGTTAAGTTTATTCCTAGGTAGTTTTTTTTTTTAAATTATTATTATTATACTTTAAGTTCTGGGATACATATACAGAACGTGCAAGTTCGTTACACAGGTAAACACATGCCATGATGGTTTGCTGCACGCATCAACCTGTCATCTACATTAGGTATTTCTTCTAATGCTCTCCCTCCCCTAGCCCCCCACCCACTGACATACCCAGTGTGTGATGTTCCTCTCCGTGTATCCATGTGTTCTCACTGTTCAGCTCCCACTTATGAGTGAGAATGTGTGGTGTTTGGTTTTCTGTTCCTGTGTTAGTTTGCTGAGAATGATTGTTTCCAGTTTCATCCATGTACCTGCAAAGGACATGAACTCATCCTTTTTATGGCTGCATAGTATTCCATGGCATATATGTGCCACATATTGTTTATCCAGTCTATCATTGATGGGCATTTGGGTTGGTTCCAAGTCTTTGCTATTATGAACACTGCTGCAATAAACATATGTGTGCATGTGTCTTTATAGTAGAATGATTTATAATCCTTTGGGTATTGATATATACCCAGTAATGGGATTGCTGGGTCAAATGGTATTTCTGGTTCCAGATCCTTGAGGAATAGCCACAGTGTCTTCCACAATGGTTGAACTAATTTGCACTCCCACCAATGTGTAAAAGCATTCCTATTTCTCCACATCCTCTCCAGCATCTGTTGTTTCTTGACTTTTTAATGATTGCCATTATAACTGGTGTGAGATGGTATCTCATTGTGGTTTTGATTTGCATTTCACTAATGATCAGTGATGATGAGCTTTTTTTCCATATGTTTTTGGCTACATAAATGTCTTCTTTTGAGAAGTGTCTGTTCATATCCTTTGCCCACTTTTTGATGGGGTTGTTTGTTTTTTTCTTGTAAATTTGTTTAAATTCTTTGTAGATTCTGGATATTAGCCCTTTGTCAGATGAATAGATTGCAAAAATTTTCTCCCATTCTGTAGGTTGCTGGTTCACTCTGATGATAGTTTCTTTTGCTGTTCAGAGCTCTTTATTTGAATTAGACCCCATTTGTCAATTTTGGTTTTTGCTGCCATTGCTTTTGGTGTTTTGTTTATGAAGTCTTTGCCCATGGCTATGTCCTGAATGGCATTGCCTAAGTTTTCTTCTAGGGTTTTTATGGTTTTAGGTCTTATGTTTAAGTCTTTAATTCATCTTGAGTTAATTTTTGATAAGGTGTAAGGAAGGGGTCCAGTTTCAGTTTTGCTGCATATGGCTAGTCAGTTTTCCCAACACCATTTATTAAATAGGGAATCATTTCCTCATTGCTTGTTTTTATCAGGTTGGTCAAATATCAGATGCTTGTAGAGGTGTGACATTATTTCTGAGGCTTCTGTTCTGTTCCATTTGTCTATATATCTGTTTTGGTACCAGCACCATGCTGTTTTGGTTATTGTAGCCTTGTACTATAGTTTGAAGTCAGGTAGCATGATGGCTCCAGCTTTGTTCTTTTTGCTTAGGATTGTCTTGGCTATATGGGCTCTTTTTTGGTTCCATGTGAAATTTAAAGTAGTTTTTATTTTTAAAATTCTGTAAGAAAGTCACTGATAGCTTGATGGGGATAGCATTGAATGTATAAATTACTTTGGACAGCCTGGACACTTTCACAATATTGATTCTTCCTATTCACGAGCATGGAATGTTTTTCCATTTGTTTGTGTCCTTTCTTATTTCGTTGAGCAGTGGTTTGTAGTTCTCCTTGAAGAGGTCCTTCGCATCCCTTGTAAGTTGTATTCCTAGGTATTTTATTCTCTTTGTAGCAATTGTGAATGGGAGTTCACTCATAATTTGGCTCTCTGTTTTTCTGTTATTTGTGTATAGGAATGCTTGTGATTTTTGCACATTGATTTTGTATCCTGAGACTTTGCTGAAGTTGCTTATCAGCTTAAGGAGATTTAGGGCTGAGACAGTGGGGTTTTCTAAATATAAAATCATGTCATCTTCAAACAGAGACAATTTGACTTCCTCTCTTCCTATTTGAACATGCTTTATTTCTTTCTCTTGCCTGATTGCCCAGGCAAGAACTTCCAGTTCTATGTTGAATAGGAATAGTGACAGAGGGCACCCTTGTCTTGTGCAGGTATTTAAAGAGAATGCTTCCAGCTTTTGCCCATTCAGTATGATATTGGCTGTGGGTTTGTCATAAATAGCTCTTATTATTTTGAGATATGTTCCATCAATACTGAGTTTATTGAGAGTTTTTAGCATGAAGTGGTGTTGAATTTTATTGAAGTCCTTTTCTGCATCTATTGATATAGTCATGAGGTTTTTGTTTTTGGTTCTGTTTATGTGACACATTATGTTTATTAATTTGTGTATGTTGAACGAGCCTTGCATCCCAGGTATTATGCTGTCTTGATCATGGTGGATAAGCTTTGTGATGTGCTGCTGGATTCAGCCAGCCAATATTTTATTGAGGAGTTTTGCATCAATATTCATCAGGGATATTGGCCTGAAATTTTCTTTTTTTGTTGTGTCTCTGCCAGGTTTTTGTATCAGGATGATGCTGGCCTCATAAAATGAATTAGAGAGGAGTCTCTCTTTTTCAACTGTTTGGAATAGTTTCATAAGAAATGATACCAACACCTCTTTGTACTTCTGGTAGAAAAAAGAATGAAAAGGAACAAACAAAGCCTCCAGGAAATATGGGACTCTGTGAAAACACGAAAACTACTTTGATTGGTGCCTGAAAGTGACAGTCAGAATGGATCCAAATTGGAAAATATTCTTCAGGATATTATGCAGGAGAACTTCCCCAACCTAGCAAGGCAGGCCAACATTCAAATACAGGAAATACAGAGAACACCACAAAGATACTCCTCAAGAAGAGCAACCCTAAGACACATAATTGCCAGATTCACCGAAGTTGTAATGAAGGACAAAATGTTAAGGGCAGCCAGAGAGAAAGGTCGGGTTACCCACAAAGGGAAGCCCATCAGGCTAACAGTGGATCTCTCATCTCTCTGCAGAAACCTTAGAAGACTGAAGAGAATGGGGGCCAATATTCTACATTCTTAAAGAAAATAGTTTTCAACCCAGAATTTCACATCCAGCCAAACTAAGCTTCATAAGCGAAGGAGAAATAAAATCCTTTACAGACAAGCAAATGCTGAGAGTTTTTGCCACCACAGGTCTGCCTTACAAGAGTTTTTGAAGGAAGCACTAAATATGGAAAGGAAAAACCAGTGCCAGCCACTACAAAAACATAAATTGTAAAGATCATCAAGAATATAAAGAAACTGCATCAAGTAACAGGCAAAATAGCCAGCTAGCATAATAATAACAGCATCAAATTGACACATAACAATATTAACCTTAAATGTAAATCAGCGAAATGCCCAAATTAAAAGGCACAGATTGGAAAATTGGATAAAGAATCAAGACCCATCAGTGTGCTGTATTCAGGAGACCCATCTCATGTGCAAAGACACACATAGGTTCAAAATAAATGGATGAAGGAATATTTACCAAGCAAATGGAAAACAAAACAAAGCAGGGGTTGCAATCCTAGTCTCTGATAAGACAGACTTTAAACCAACAAAGATAAAAGAACAAAAAAGAAAGGCATTACATAATGGTAAAGAGATCAATGCAACAAGAAGAGCTAACTATCCTAAATATATATGCAATTATTACAGGAGCACCCCGGTTCATAAAGTAAGTTCTTAGAGAACTACAAAGAGACTTAGATTCTCACACAATAATAGTGGGAGACTTTAACACTCTACTGTCAATATTAGACAGATCAACGAGAGAGAAAATTAACAAGGATAGTCAGGACTTGAACACAGCTCTGGACCAAGTAGACCTAATAGACATCTACGGAGCTCTCCACCCCAATTCAACAGAATATACATTCTTCTCAGCACCACATCACACTTATTCTAAAATTGACCACATAATTGGAAGTAAAACACTCCTCAGCAAATGCAAAATAACGGAAATCATAACAAACAGTGTCTTAGATGATAGTGCAATCCAATTAGAACTCAGGATTAAGAAACTCACTCAAAACTGCACAACTACATGGAAACTGAACAACCTGCTCCTGAATGACTACTGGGTAAATAATGAAATTAAGGCAGAAGGAAATAAGGTCTTTGAAACCAATGTGAACAAAGACACAACATACCAGAATCTCTGGGACACAGCTAAAGCAATGTGTAGAGGGAAATTTATACACTAAATGCCCACAGGAGAAAGCGAGAAAGATCTAAAAATCAACACCCTAACATCACAATTAAAAGAACCAGAGAAGCAAGAGCAAACAAATTCAAAAGCTAGCAGAAGACAAGAAATAAGTAAAATCAGAGCAGAACTGAAGGAGATAGAGACACGCAAAATACTTCAAAAAATTATGAATCCAGGAGCTGTTTTTTTGAAAAGATTAACAAAATAAATAGACTGCTAGCCAAATAATAAAAAAGAAAAGAGAAGAAAAAAACAGACACAATAAAAAATGATAAAGGGGATATCATCATTGATCCCACAGAAATACAAACTACCACCAGAGAATACTGTGAACACCTCTACACAAATAAACTAGAAAATCTAGAAGAAATGGATAAATTCCTGGACACATACATCCTCCCAAGACTAAACCAGGAAGAAGTTGAATCCCTGAAGAGACCAATAACAAGTTCTGAAATTGAGGCAGTAATTAATAGCCTACCAACCAAAAAAAGCCCAGGACCAGACAAATTCACAGCTGAATTCAACCAGAGGTAATTCGTTTTATTTGTAGCTATTTTAAATGAGATTACTTTCTTGATTTCTTTTTCAGATTGTTCACAGTTGACATATAGAAATGCTAATAATTTTTGTATGTTGATTTTATTTACTGCCACTATGCTACACTTTGTTTTTGAGTTTCGATAGACTTTTGGTGGTCTGTAGGTTTTTACAAATACAAGATTATGTCATCTGCAAACAAGAATAATTTGACTTCTTCCTTTTCGGTTTAATTGCCCTGTATTTCTTTCTCTGATATGATTGTTCTAGCTAGGACTTCCAGTACTGTGCCGAATAACAGTGGAGAAAGTGGCCATCCTTGTTGTGTTCCTAATCTTAGAGGAAGTATTTTCAGTTTTTCCCATTCAGTATCATACTAGCTGTGGGACTGTTGTATATGACTTTTATTGTGTTGAGGTAAATTTCCTCTATACCCAGTTCTTTGAGGGTTTTTTTTTAATCATGGAGGGATGTTGCGTTTTATCAAATGCTTTTCAGCAGCAGTTGAAATGATCATGTGGTTTGTTTCCTTCATGCTGTTGATATGATGTTCACACTGTTTGATCTGCCTATGTTGAATCATCATTGCATTCCTGGGACAAATCCCACTTGGTCATAACAAATGATCTTTGTAATGTGTTGTTGGATTCAGTTTGGTATTTTGTAGAAGATTTTTGCATCAATATTCATCAGGGATATTGGTCTATAGCGTTCTTTCTTTGATATGTCTTTTTCTGGTTTTGGTATAAGGGCTTAGGGCAAGGGACTAGGGTTCTAACATATGAAAGTGTCTTAAAAGGAGGTGGTTGGGGGTACAAGCTCTGGACTGATTAGCTTATGTATAAAAATTGTGCTCACAGGCAAGTAATTTTATATACTAGGAATCAGCTAATTTTAGGAGGCACAATCCCTCCTGGGTCAGCAAGGCACCAGATATCAGAGCCTCAAGATTTAAGAAAATATAGTTAATACATATTTTTTAAAAAATTCCTGTAAGCTTATTTTTATGTTTGTCTCTGTTTTCTGTCTCTGTCACAACACCATAGTCTCCTTGAAGGTGGGGATCATATTTCTTGTTATATCTGTCTTCTCACATATGGCCTATGCACAACAATGCCCAACTTGTACATACATTCATGTACTTGTTGAATACGTGAATAAATGAAGAAATAGCATTTTGGTTTTTTTCTATATCTTTTTAATTTCCATTTTAGCCTGTTATTTAATATAATTAATTTTATTTTTGTGACATAAATTGTTTATGCTCTTTTTTTCAATTTTCTGAAAACTGACAAATGCTGGATTTAAGAATGTCTCTTTTTAACAATTTAACTAAATGACACTTTGAATTCTCTCTTTTGAAACTGAAACATATTTTGCTAAGCCAACACTGTCTATAAAACTTGCATTTGAGGATAAAACTGAAAGAAAAAATAATAAATATATTAAACCCTTTCCCAAAATGCCTCTTTTCTTGAGAGGAACTAGTATGAATTTTTTTTTTTTAACTGAGGGAAAGAGTATATATCTCTTTTTATTTCCAAGCTCCCATCCTCAAATGTAAGTTTAAAGGCAGGATTGAAATCATGTTTCTCAAATCAGCGCTTCTTGCATTGTATAGTGTTAGATGTCTTTGTTCCTATAAAAACCTTGCCTTCTTTCCAGGGCCTCATAAGAATAATGTAGTATTATTCTTGTCACTGCCAATTAAGTGTATTGCTTCAGTTTTAATAGGAAAATCTCTAGATTTGTGTAGTGTAGTACAAACCATGATATTTTACATTATTGACGTTTTTATAATTATTGCTTTTGTTGTATTTTTTCTTTAAAAAGTCTGTTTTTTAGAAATTATAACTAAGCATTTGTTGACAATATAAGATGCCTTTTGCATTTCTTTTAAACTACAAACTTTATTTTTAAGACATGGAGTTACCTAGCAGACAAAATAGCCCTGTCCTTCAGGGTAGAGGTAACCTTAAAAAGTAGCTGATTGATAAGCTATAGAGTCTTGATGGCAAATGAGTATGATTCTTCCTAACCTATGAAATTATAAATAATTTTCATTTTCAGAAGAAAAGTTTGCAAATGGAAAGTGTGAAACTTGGTATGCCTGAAAGAATAATAGTTTCCCCTGTTGCATAAGCCTTACTGTGCATTTTATTAATGGCCTTGTTTTATTAGTTCCTGTATTAAGTCTGTTCTCATGCTAAGACATGCCTGAGACTGGGTAATTTATTTTAAAAAAAGTTTTAATTGACTCACAGTTTCACAGAGCTAGGCGGGCCTCAGTAAGCTTGCAATCATGGCAGAAGGAGAAGCAAACACATACTTCTTCACATGGGAGTAGAAAAGAGCAGAATGAGAGTGCAAGCAGGGGAAATGCATCAGATCTCATAAAACTCACTCATTATCATGAGAACATCATGGAGGAAAGTGCCGCCATGATTCAATTACCTCCATCTGGTCCCACCCTTGACACATGGGGATTACAATTCAAAGTGAGATTTGGGTGGGGACACAGAACCAGACCATATCAGTTCCCGATGCAATTATACTTGTAAGAGGAAAAAAGAATCCCTATGGACAAGTCAGGGTAGTTAAAGGGAACAATCCACTCTTCTTTAAAATGGGGAAGACACTGAGATCTTTTATAGAAATATTGTCTTATTATTCTATTATCTATCTCATCATACACCATACATGATGGTGCTAAGAATAGATCTTAGTTGAAGTAATTTACAAATGTCAGCAAGCATATACACTTCCTTTTTTGCAAGTATCTTTGCAATTACACTAGTCTTTAAGATTCTCAGAATATTTGAAGTTTAGCAAGTTAGCACATATCATTACTTTTTATTTCTTTTTGGAGTAAATGTATGCAATAAACTCTCCTTTCATATTCAGCTCTTTACTGTGTTGTAAATGCAGCAGATTAAATACATTTTTGGAGGAATGGAAAGTGAAGGGGTTAGCCAAATTTAAGTCATTTCTTCACCACTGAATTTTTCAAGCATTTCTAATTTATATCACCTGCAGTGAGTTTTTCAACATGTAAATTTGGACTCAAAAGGCTAAAGAAGCATATGCCACCAAGACATAACTCTGGAGAACTACAGGATTAATTGCATGAATTTAATATAAGCAGGATAGTTGTTTATCTACCAAATTTTACAGCAGGGGTTAGCGAAACTGTATAGTCAATAAATATTTGGAAAACATCTTTCCTCTTCCTAGGTATCTTCTTTTAATTTATGTTTAAACTTTAAAATGAATTCACATGTTTGCCCATTTCTTTGGCTATGTCTCTAAAAATATGCTCACTAAAGACATCTTGGAACTTTTTCTATACTTGGATTTATCACTTTCCTGACTACCTGATGTTGATTCCTCAAAGACATCTTTCTATTCTTTCATCACTAGCCCAACTGTTACTGTGTTATGAATTAATCTAATAGCTTTCTCTTCCTGCCCATGTCTTCCACACACTTAAAAATTTGGTAATTTAATGCATTCTTGTTATCAGATTTACGTTCTTCTTGAAACATAATTCCTCCCTTTCATTGTTTCTCAAACTGGGGTATTGTATACCTTAAAATAGACCAGTAGGCCCTTGAAACCAAAGGAAAGATACACATGGTACATGGATATTGAGTGTCCAGGGGTTTTGTTGTTTGCTTTTTAATATCTGTGGGGAAAAACATTGGTAGGTTTTGAAATTATACCAATTAATGTAAAATACAATATAAAATTGGGATTTATTTAAAGGTGATTATAAACCTGTAATTTACACTTGACTTACAATGTATATGATGGATTTCCATATCCTTATTATTCATTAAAGAACTTCCATATTTTAGCTGCTACTATTTTACTCATGTAATAAACAAGGCATGGAAAAATAAAATCCCTCAAGGACATACTTTCAATAAACTATGGATTCAGGATTGTAATACAGGCATTAGGGCCAAGGAAGCTCAGCTTTTAAGCAGTGATATATTACCTCATGGAAATTTTATTCTTTCTTTATAGTGGTGTGCAGTAGACATTTGAAAGCACTACTTCATTGCATGACATAAAAAAGATTTATTAAATGGTCCTATACATGTCCAATATCATCTTCAATCTCCCATGTTTATGCACTCGAATTCTACTGTCTTCTTGCCATCTTTTCTTCTACTTCTGTATCATTGCCCATACTGTTTCTGTTGCTTGAAACCTCTCCTTTTCTCCTTTGTTTTCTTTTTCATTGCCCAACTTTCAAATCAAATAGTACCATTTTTATGAATCTCTGACTCTTGAAAAACAATTTTTTATTTCATTTTCATTTTTATTTTACTTTTATTTTTTTGAGATGCAGTCTCACTCTGTAGCCCAGGCTGCAGTGCAGTGGCACTATCTTGGCTCACTGCAATCTCTGTTTCCCAAGTTCAGGTGATTCTCCTGCCTCAGCCTCCTGAGTAGCTGAGACTACAGGTACAGTGTGCCAACATGCCTGCCTAATTTTTATATTTTTAGTAGAGACAGGGTTTCACCACGTTGGCCAGGCTGGTTTCAAACTCCTGACCTCAAGTGATCCACCCGCCTCAGCCTCCCAAAGTGCTGAGATTACAGGAGTGAGGCACTGCGCCCAGTCAATTTTCTATTTCATCTTTAATCCATGGCATCTCATATATACTTTCATTATACCACTTGTCATATATTAATATGTTATTTTTTCTGCAAAGGCTGAAACTTTCGGAAAGAAAAAAGCAAAGCATGTTCTCTTTTTAAATTCTAGTGCTAATACAGTATCTACTTCAGAGAAAGTGTTAAATGAAAATTAGATGAGTTAATGAAGGATTTTATTCAGCTACTGGAACTTTCTTGGTATCCGACACAAAGTTCTTCATCTCAAACTGCATTTTTAAATTTGGTTTCCATATCCAAGGATATAATTCAAGATTTATGGCCCTTTTAGAAACCCAATCTTTGATTATATGGTACATTTAGTGACTTAATTATTATGTCATAGAAATTATTTCACTGACTCAAGTTGTACTGAAGTACTTCTCAGGCAGGCTCTCATGCTCAGAACTACGTACTGGTTATTTTCTCCCTCTGAATTGATGTTTCTCTTGATTTCTCTAACGGTGACACCTTCTTTTTTTTGTGGAATGATTTTGTGATTTTATTTTTATTATTTATTTATTTATTTATTTATTTATTTTTATTATACTTTAAGTTCTAGGGTACATGTGCACAACGTGCAGGTTTGTTACATATGTATACATGTGCCATGTTGGTGTGCTGCACCCAGTAACTCGTCATTTAACATTAGGTATATCTCCTAATGCTATCCCTCCCCCCTCCCCCCACCCTACAACAGGCCCTGGGGTGTGATGTTCCCCTTCCTGTGTCCATGTGTTCTCATTGTTCAATTCCCACCTGTGAGTGAGAACATGTGGTGTTTGTTTTTTTGTCCTTGCGGTAGTTTGCTGAGAATGATGGTTTCCAGCTTCATCCATGTCCCTACAAAGGACGTGAACTCATCATTTAGTATTCCGTGTTTGAGAATCTTTGCTCAAATGTCACCTACTTACTGAGGTCAAAATGACTACCTCCACTTACAATTACAGACTATGTCTCCCACCTAGGAACTTCTATACTGCTCTACTTTGTTTTTCTGTAGAGCTCTCAAATTTTTACATCTTATATAATTTAATTATTGATATCTATGGTTTAATTCATCTCTTCTCCCAATCATAATATAAGTCCCACAAGGGAAGAAATCTCTGTTTTGTTCAGTCACTTATTCTATACCCCTAGAAAAATTTCTGGAACAATGTGGCAGCTTATTAAGCATTGGATGAATGAATGAGTGACTGTATGCATGCATTTTCTGTCCTTTTTTGTCTACCCCAACCCAAAGCCATGTAATTATCTTCTCTTCCTCAAGGAATTTTTATGATGGTTCTGGTAAAACATTTGGCTTTACTTGTCATAGGATCAGTGCATTCAGAAAATACATCAAGAATTGTAAATGTACTAGAAAAAAATTTGGTCTAGGTCTCAGTAATAAGTAATTAATTGCGTACATTTCGTTCTTATGTTTTTGTGGAGAAGACATGATTTAGTTTGTCCCAAAAAAGTAATGCTTCCTCTAGTTAATGATGAATTTTACTCTTGTTTAGGTTACATTTTGGGGAAAACCATATTTTTAAGTAACTCTCATTTTTTATAAATATATGCAATTTTAAATCATCCTAACAAGAGATTGCTTAATTTGTCTTTGTCATTACCATATTTTACAACATGTTTAATCCTAACAATACTATATGAGGTAGATATTAGTTTTTTGCATTTTACCTGTAAGAGAAATATGAAGCTTATATTGTTGGTTTCTCAAGGTCACTTGCTTAATTATGTGCCTTTTCCTCTGGATGTGTTTGAGATTTTCTCTTTATCACTGGTTTAAGCAACTTGATTATGATGTGCTCTGGATGGTTTTCTTCGTGATTCTTCTGCTTGTTTCTCTAGGTATTTGGGTCTCTGGAAATATAGTTTTTAATTAAATTCTATCACATTTGTTCTGTTTGGATTCATTGATACCTACAAATTTTTCTTTCTGTATGGTTTGAATTTTCTTGATTTTGTGCATGTTATACAATTTTTGATATATTTTGGGTATTACACATTTTGTGTCTTTGAATGATATAATCTGTATTTTGTTTTTTCCTCCTTAAAGGAATTTTGTTTTGATTTGCAGTTAAGTTACTTGATGATCTGCTCCACTGCTTTTTGCTTATCTTAACTTTGTTAGAGAGGGATAGATTAGGCTTACTGTGGGGATTTCCTACTCTTCATAGCTTTCTTCTCTTCCATAATCTTCTCCGTGGATTCATTTCCCAACTTCTCTCTAAACTCCATATTCTTTCTCTTAAATTCACTAAATCTGCTGGTCACACTTTGGGATTCTTTTTCTTGCCTCATAGCCTTGCAGGTGCCACCAAGCAGAAAGGGAGAGTGATTGTAGGACTCAGCTCATTACATTCTTTTTTTCCTCAGGAGATTTCAGTTCTGTTCTGCTTGTTTTATTATGCCTGAAAATCATTGTTGTATATTTGGTATAATTTTCTGTGTTACTTATTTTGAGAGAGTAAGTTTGGATCCAGTTACTACATCATGACTGAAAATATAATTCCTCCTTTTTTCTCTTAAAACATACTTCCTCAAGTATCTACTGTCTCTAATGCAGTTTCTTTCACAGTATAAAGGGTGGTTATTTCCTTCACATATTTTTGTTTATTTGAGAGACAAGGCATGCATAAATGAAAAATAAAATCACCTCAAAAGTCTTTCCCTTTTATTATTTCTTTTGTTTTTACTTTTTAATTAAAATATAATGAACAGGTTGGCAACGATATGAATTGGAAAGCATAAATGGCACATATTTGAGAGGAATCTATAAAATATCTGTAAATTTTAGCTAATCACAATACACTATAATAGAAATTTGAACTTTGAAATCTTGTTAACTTCCAAAGGATGCCAGTGGAAAGCATCTGGAATAATGGAATAATGAAGAAGATTTAATGATATTTTTATCAAGAACATTTCCAAGAAGTACAACTGCTTTGTTTGGGTAGGTCAGAATGGGATAAAGAAAGTTCAATAAGTTTTTATCTTGAGTCAACCTAAGAATTTTGCACAATTATTAAAGAAAGGGGTCTAGAATTAGGCATGATCGAAATAACAATGAAAGAAAAAAGGTGTGAGATGCTGTAGGATAGAGAAAGTGATCTCAGAAGAGAACCAAAATAACTCAATATAGGAAAAATTAACTATAATGTACCTCCTGATGATAGGATGCAATATCGTCCATAATCTTGCCAAAATAATTAAACCATAGTATGATAAAAGGCTCTGGATCTAGCTGATTATTTTCAGGTGAAAGAGAGAAGATGAAATTATGTAAAACTCTACTGCTGGTATGAAATCAGCAAAAGTTAGACTGTGGAAAACTCTACAGGTCGAATAGCCCAGTTTTTCAACACATACATTCTGAGGAAAATAAAGGAATAAAGGGGAAAACTGTAGATTATAAGAAACCTGCAATACATATTGAGTTTAGATTGAGCAAAACTAAACTACAGTGTCCTAGAATGCACATTTGTATAATAAAACCATAAAAAAAGGAAATAATTACTAAAATAGTGAAGATAGTGGATACTTTGGCAGTGGGGGTCGGCAGAGAAAGAAGCTGACATTGAGGATAAGCACATGAAGGGTATTAAACATATAATAATTTAATAAGATGCATTTGCTTTCTGTGGTTTTCTGGCTAGGAGAATGTCAGTTCCAATTCTTGAGCAGATGATTAACTTCACACTCAAACCATTTACCTTATCTGGCTCCTACACTATGAGGCCACTATGCACCTGCCTTCATCATCCAGAGCCAGGTACCAGATAACTAGAGAGAGCTCCTATTCCCCAGAGCCTGGGAAATTATTCAAATTAGCCAGTCCACAGGGAGTTGGATGGTTAGCTAAGTAAAATTTAGCTAACCACCTCTTGCACATATAAACTGCCCCCTACAGCCCCAGCTCACTGGTATTCTATCTCTAGATGCAACCCCTGTGTGTGGCCTCTGCATGGTAGCCTTCACCTTTTCAGAGCTGTAAATAACAACGTGTCTTCCTTTTCCTTTATTCAAGTGTAATTGTATTGTGTCCTGTAATCAAGAGAATCTTTGTATCTATGAAACAATATGTAAGCTTATAAGCTTTACCTATGTGCATTCTTCCTTAGGAAGAAGGTAGAGGATATATGTCACACGGTGAGGACAAACACTAAGATGGAAAAGCAAAGCCTAACCCAAGAGAGAGGTGAAGAGAAGAGCGAGGTATCATTTATAAAATAAGATTACAGAGCTCTTGTCAAGATGGTAGAAGAATCAAGAGCTATATAGGATGTTAATTGTTTGGGCAAAAGTAGGTAAAGTAATAATACAACATAATATTTTGAAAATATATTGATAGTTTCTTTACAGATCTGTTGAAGTGGAGAGCATCAGGAAGAAGTGAGAAAAAGTAAATCAAATGAAACAATTATTAACTGTGAGGGAAAAATATAGAAAAGAAAAAACAAATTATAATTCTTGTTTCAGTTGTAACAATATTTAGATATAAAGCATAATATAACAGTGACTATCTCATAGCCAACAGGTATAGTTACACTGGGAAGATGGAAGTAAGGGAGGTAATGGTGTAAGAATAGGAACCTCAAACATAGTAAAAGGAATTCAATAGAAAATTTAATCAAGAAAAAGAATTCTATTGCCATTATGTAGAATTAGGGAGGCAAATACTGTACTAGAGAAAACAACTAAAATAAAGTGTTTGACTCCAAGAGTAGGAATACAAACTCAAAAACAAAACATTTTCACTTGCATTAAAACAGCAACATATTTAGGAAGTAATAGCCAAGCCACTATTTCAAGTCATTGAGATATTTTTCTAATATTTTGACTCCTAAACTTCCTAATCAATAACTGGCTTATATATGACTTTTTTTTCATATTTAGTTTTAACTCACTTTTTGTGCTATAGACCCTATAGTCAGGCCTGGACCAGCCCACACTGAAGCCATGATACAAGCCTACATAATGTGACCTAATTGGAAAATATAAAGAAGATTTTCACTTTTGAACTTGTATCAGTGTTTCATATTTCTGCTTTCTGAATAAAAAGAAAGTAAATATATTTGTGTGTGTGTGTGTGTGGGACCAAATAAATCCTAAACACTACTTTCTCCTATCAGTTTGGTCAGTAGAAGTAGACTCTTTCAATTGAGCAAAACTATCTAAATTTAGGCTTGTTATTAGCAGTGAATCCATATGGATCTGCAGCAACCTCAATTCTTGCTTCTGTACAAGAAAGAATTCAACTCGTGGACATAAGGCAGAGTGAGAGACTGAGCCAAGTTTTAGAGCAGGTGTGAAAATTTATTAAAAAGTTTTAGAGCAGGAATAAAAAAAGTACACTTGCAACAGGGCCAAGTTGGTGACTTGAGAGATCAAGTGCACAGTTTGACCTTTAATTTGGGGTCATAAGACCCCATTAAGGCATTGGCATGCTTCCAGGGTTGTGTTAATTTTCCCCTGATTCTTTACTTCGGGTGGGCCCTCCACATGCACAGTGTTTATTGGAGTTGGACTCATGCCCACTTGAGGTGTTCTTCCCTTACCAGCCAAGTATTCCTATAAAGTCATGCACGAGTTAAACTCCACCATTTTGCCATTTAGTGCATGTGCTTGCGCCCACACTTGCCCAACTCTTAAGATCTTATCAGGAAGCCGCTGATCATCAGCTTTAGGTGCTTCCATCTATTGAGAGTCTGCCTTTCCTTGGTGCAGGCTGTGACTGATTACTATTTTAGAGAGATAGTTAGCAAGCACATGATTATCACCTGATGGTCCCCTAACATTCCTGGTAAAGAGAAGTCCCTCTACTGCCCTGCTTATATCTGCCTAACTACCTACCATAATAGGCTTAAGAATCACAATAAACCATAGGTTTACAAACCAACACAAATATTTTAGAAATGCCCATTCTCTGGTTGCACCATCCTGAGAGGAGAGCTGAGGGCTGACTTTTTCCATTACCAACAAATAAGATGTTTGTGCTTAAAATATTGAATGTGTATTTTGTCCATAGACTGAGAGCCCAAGAGGCAATGAATACATTTTAAGAAAATCAAATCAAATAAATAGAAGTATGGTATCTCATAATTGGAAATAGCACACCATCCTCTGCCAAAAAAAAAAAAAAAAGATTAGACAAAGAGAAAGAAAAAAGAGGCTAAAAGCATGGAATATAATTATTCCTAATATTCTATTCACTTTATTTTTAGCCAACAACCCAAAACAGATCTTCAAGGCTGAAATCTCTATTTTCTAGTATGCTCATAAAACAAAAGCTAATAATAATATATATTATATATAGTATATAATACATATATTAATTTATTTGGATAAGCTCAAAATATCCATAAGCTGGAACAATAATCTAGGAACACAGTTGAAGCATTCAGTTGTAAACATTCTACGTACCAGTATCTGAAGTCACAGGCAGTATCTCAATTACCTAATTCTCCAGAAAAAAATTTGCTTATGAATCTGATTTGGACATAGAGATGGATGGGAAAATATCATTACCTGATGGTTGTCTGACAACGATGGTAACTGAGGAGTAGGAGAAATATAATTCAAAAGTATTAGCAGTGTCAGAATAAAGGTTCTTCAGCCAAACATGATGAGGTCTTAGAAACTACATAATAGTTACAGGAGACTAGAACCCATTTATAGAGAAAGGAGAACTGCAAGGAGAGGGTAAAGGAGCAGGGGGGAAGAAATCATCTGCAAAATGTTGAAACATACCAGACAGCCAAATGAATGGGCAGGACTGGAAGGCAAAGCCTAATGCTATCGTTCTCAAACTTTAGCGTACATGAGAATCCCCTGTATGGCTTATTAAACCACACTTGCTGTATTTTTACCCCAGAGTTTCTAATTCAGTAAGCCTAAAGTAGGATTAGAAAATGTTGAACTTTGGTGAGATCTTGGGCTCCTGGAAAACAGTAATGGTTAAGAAATACCTTTTGTTTCCCAAATTACTCCCAACCTTCTGTGTCCCAGGAAATGGCTTCTTGTATTTCTAAGTACCCAGGTGATGCTCAAGCTATTTCTGTAAGAACTCCCATCCCTGTGCTATTACAGTAGTTGCCCCTAATCTGTGGTTTTGCTTTCCATAGTTTCCAATAGCCATGGTCAACTGCAGTCAGAAATATTAAAAGGAACACAATTGTAAATAAACAATTTATAATTTTAAATCGTGTTCCATTCTGAGTAGCATGATGAAGCTTTGCACCATACTGCTTTATTATATGCAGGACTTCAATCATTGCTCTGTCTATCATATCCACACTTTGTATGCTACCTGCTTGTTAGTCACTTAGTAGCCATCTGGGTTATTATCCCACATTATCACAAGAAGAAGGATGAGTACAGTACAATAAGAAATTTTGAAAGAGACCACATTCACATAAGTTTTATTATAGTACATTGTTATAGTTGTTACATTGTATTATTAGTTGTTAATCTTACTATGCCTAATTTATAAATTAAACTTTATTATAGGTATGTATGTATGTATAGGAAAAAAACATAATATATTTAGGGCATAACATATGAAGGGCTCCATGGTTTCAGGCATCCACTAGTGGTCTTAAAATACATATCCCGTGGATAAGAGGGGACCTACTGTACAGCTGACCCTTGAACAACACAGATTTGAACTTCACGGGTTCACTTATATATGGATTTTTTTCAACAAAAGTTACTCCAAGTGTGCCTGCCTCTCCTGCCTCCCCTTCTATCTCCTTTACCTCTTCCAACTCTGCCACCCCTGAGACAGCAAGACCAACCCCTCCTCTTGTTCTTTCTCCACAGCCTACTCAACAGGAAGACAAAGAGGATAAAGACCTTTATGATGACCCACTTCCACCTAATGAATAGTAAGTATATATTTCCCCCTTATGATTTTCTTTATCTAGCTTACTTTATTATAATGATACACTATATAACACAGAATATACATTAATCAACTGTTTATGTTATGGGTAAGGCTTCTGGTCAACAGTAGGCTATTTATTAGTAGTAAACTTTTTAAAGAGTCAAAAGTTTTTCATGTATTTTTGACTGTTGAAGCAGTCAGCTTTCCTAATCCTTGCATTGTTCAAGGGTCAACTGTATAGGCAACTGGGAGAATATCTGATACAGGCCGTAGGGAAGCTGTTAAGTATGTGAAGCTGGTAAGTAAGTGAGCTAAGTTACAATCTTCTCAGGTGAAAATTAGGGCATTAATTCAGAAGGAAGGAAAACCATATCCTAAATATTGGTGGTGGAAAGGTAAGGTTACTTTGCCGACTATAACTTTAGAGCCTATTGCTTAGTGAGGAGTCATCCTAAAAAGTAGTGTGATCCCTGCACATTAAGAATTCTATAGGCCTATAGACTTGGAGAAAGTGAAGAACAAAAGGAGTTCTTCAAGATGTTCTCAGTGATCCCAGACCTGGAGAATTCAACTTTTTGCCTCCTGTATTATTATTGCTGCCAAAGTAGTAAAGGCACAGAGATATTTCCTTTGTTCATGAAGGCATTATTAATTAATTCTCAGATTTGAACCTCATCCTCTCAGTTAAAAACTAAAGAAGCCCAAACTCTATTTTAACTTGAGAAAGGAAAAACGAAAATGCCTAACAGAATTCATGCTCAAATAAACACTCAATGTTTTAAACACTGCCTCTGCACTCATCTTTCATGTCAGCAAAGTTAACAATGTGGGTGCTATATCTTAGAACAGCAGCGTGGGCATTCTCTCGCATTACAAACCTTGTGGCATGACATTTCTCTCTCTAGCCCAATGTTAATGATGTTCCATGTTGACCCTCTTGTGTGAAGACAGAGCTGGAGAGTACAGCTTTGATAGCAGTGTTTACATGAATGTTTGATAAGCATCTGTCAGCTCCTAGCACTCTACAAGCCTAGGAACACAAAAGAAGCCAGGGAACCTTGGAGCTTTTGCCACCTGAAAGCATAAGCTGGCGTGTTTGCTGAATTTCAAATCAGCACTGAGATAGTTCTCTTTGTAGCTCCGATTGTAATTTATGTATTATTTACTCAAAAAATAGAATAAACTATAAATGACAATTACCTTTTCTATAAAGGGTTGTGAATGTGGAGGTCGGAATTCTTTTAATGAATATTACCTTGCTATACTTTGTTTGATCCCACTGGACACAAGATATCATACAGATCACAATGAATTTGACAGGCTAAACTCAATTTTAAGAATACTGACTGTGGGCCGGGCGCGGTGGCTCACGCCTGTAATCCCAGCACTTTGGGAGGCCGAGGCGGGTGGATCATGAGGTCGGGAGATAGAGACCATCCTGGCTTACAAGGTGAAACCCCGTCTCTACTAAAAATACAAAAAATTAGCCGGGCGCGGTGGCGGGCGCCTGTAGTCCCAGCTACTCGGGAGGCTGAGGCAGGAGAATGGCGTGAACCCGGGAAGCGGAGCTTGCAGTGAGCCGAGATTGCGCCACTGCAGTCCGCAGTCCGGCCTGGGCGACAGAGCGAGACTGTCTCAAAAAAAAAAAAAAAAAAAAAAAAAAAAAGAATACTGACTGTGATCCTATTCCTCCACCCCACCAAAATCATTATGCATTCATCCCTTGAAAGAAAAGATAATGCTCAAGAAAGACTCAGTATGTACTGTATAGAAACAGAGCAATCTATATTTTGTGTATCTTCATATTGGTAATAGGGAAAACAAATCCACAATTTGTACATTAACTGGCTTTGATTTTTTTTGAGACTTTCATACCTTTATTTTGGCAATGCTTTTTGTGCTCATTATTCAATACTTTATGACCCTTGAAATAGGACGGGACCATTTTTTTTTGTTTTATGACAGTTTAGAGATATAATAAGTTAAAATTTTTGGTGGAAAAAATATCAACTCCATCATCTTAAAATAATGTCTATTCAAATGTACTGTTATTTCTGCCACAGAAAAGATGGACAAAATAGCTTTCCGGTGTCTGATGTTATATAAATATCAGATACGATTATAAAAATACTACAATTAGTATTTTGGTGGTCTGCATATTATAGTCCTAATAAAATTGCATATGTAAATATGTTTTTATTAATATGGAATCCCTCAAAAATAAAAATAAAATAAAGGACGTACTGAAAATAGAGAATAAAGCAAGAAATCTAATGACTTGGAGAGGCCTTTCATCTTTCCTGCTGACTGGTTGTGTTAAATTGACTGAGTTCTGTGATCTCTCTCAGCATGATAAAATTGTTAGAATTTCCAGATCAAGCTATTCTTGAAGCTAGTTCCATCGCTTAGTTTTCTAATTTTCATGAGGCAATACATTCTTTAAAAACAACAACAAAAAACACTGAAGCTAGTTTGAGACTTTTAATTTGCAACAGAAAGACTTTTGAATAATATATCATTACCATTTTTAGGAAGAATTCACCAACTTAATATGTATTAGATATTTTAATTTGTCTTGTTTCTTTTGTACTAATCCATTCCCTCCTCCTATTATGATTTGGATTTTCTTATAGATGTATGTTAAGATTGGTCATTTATATTTTTTACAAATATATTCAGCATTATCTTTGTAAATTATTAAACTGGCATTCTGCATCTCTATTGACTTTTTTAGTGATTTTACCTAAGAAAGGAGATATGCTGGCTATGGTATCACACACATTCACACATATTCTGGAACACAAGAGAGCTATCATAGAAAATTAATAAATTCGTTCCAATTAATAAATTTAATTATGTTTTTATAAATTACTCTTATTAGCAAGACCAAAGGATATATGCCATTGGGAAATACCTTCCTGTTGGTCTACATACGACTTCAGGTTTCTGATCAATCTTAAGGGTCAACACTGTAAATGGTAGGTTCACTACATAATGATTGCCTTGCTAGCTCCCTTCTTGACTGTGGCTCCCATTTGAATATGATCTTACAAACTTTAATTTTAAAAAATTGATATGACTGAGATATCTGAGCTGGATAGAAGGATCCTTAGTACGATGTTTTTTTCTTCTATATTTTTACGCCAAAGATATGGAAAAACAGAAAATGCATGTGGTTTTGCAAAATTTGTTTCTTGGATGTAACACAAAGAAGGGTCAAAAGTGTCAAGAAAATAAATAAGCTTCAGAAATGCTGGGTTATTCACTAAACAGGTTGCTTTACTAAATTACATCTGAAAATGGTTAAGACTGTGAACATCCAAGGACTAATTTGACCACAGCAGTTTTTGCTTTGTTTTGTTATCTTAAGGGTATACTTAGGGAAACTTGACTATTGTGAATGTTGCATAAAATACTGCAGTGGGCCTTAGGACAAGGAGAATACTGCTCGGCCAAATCACGGCAGCCTTGATTGCAAGCCACATAGTTTATGTTTAATTTCTTTGGAAAAGAAGTGCATTAATGGCTTTAGGAGTGGGTGTGATATTTTCAGATTTGTACTAAGGATGATTATTCTGAGAAGCCTTATACAATTAGATATATGACATGGTAATATGCACATGAGAGTCAAATGCTTTTTCCTTAGATGATAAAAGCATACTTGGTAATTTTTAAAATACTATATTTTTCAATTTTACATAATAAGCACATTTAATATCGTAAAAAGTAATAACTCTGCATTACTTTTAAGTAGTACTTTTAAGGTCTGCATTACTTTTAAGAAAGATAAAAACTTAGTTTGAGAATAATGTATTAAATATTAAGAAAGCATAATGTAATGGATGCAAACATAACAGGAGAAATTATAACAATATAATTCTATTAAATCACGAAAATAATGTAGAGGGACTGTTTAAGCATATTGGAAATGTATATCTGTATTAAGACCAGATAAATATTTAAGATTTGGAGAATGACAGAATGAATATATTCTTTGGATTGTGTAGAGATGAAAATAAATAATTGCTATCAAAGCACTTTTTTGGGGGAAAGTAAACTAATTTATGGAAATCCACTGAAAATAATTAAGTGCTACATTGAGTAGAATTTACTAGAAGAGGAAATAGAATTTACAGAAAGATTATTGATATTCAGAAAGAGCCTTAAGATAAAGAAAACAAAATCAGGTCCAACAGGAAAATTTAGACAAGTAAAAGTGAAATGCAAGTGGAACCAAATGTAAGAGCTGAAGAAAGCATAGGGGTCTGAATGAGTGTGGCACACAGAAAAGCAAATGAGAAGTCACATCTCATTGAGGTTGCTGCCATACAAGCTGGCATAAGGAACTAGGAAACAAACATAATCACCCTTTTGTTTACTTGGAGTAAAATATCTTGGTTCATTTATTCACCTTGAAAATTTCACCCTATTAATGAAAACCTTAAATGTTACATGGGAGTCCTGAATGAGTCACTTTGAAGAATGAATCGAAGCTGATCTATAAATCAAACTAAAGAAAAAGGGCTTGGGAGTGATTCGTGACATCACATAGTAATATAACCAGAGAAGAATGAGGAGGAAAAATTGGGAGCAGAAGAAAGTTTTGGAGAGAAAATCAAGGGAGAAATCAAGCAGAATTATAGGTATGATAAGATTTGAGGTGCCATTTTAAGTGCAATAGAAAGGTATTGGAGAGTATTAAGCAAGTTTGAAGATCATTCACATGATCTTATTTACATTTCAAAAAATTTACTTTAGCTACTGAATAAATGTGGGAAATGTAGGAAAGAGTGGAAATGGTGTCAGCTTGAAGGGCAGTGCTATATTCCTGGGAAACCATGCAAATGAGCTGGTCACAAGCCCCGGCAATGTCTAAGAAAAACTAGATAGACTGATGATAGATCTTATAGGTAAATCAACAGTGCCCAATGATATGGATGTAGGATGTAAAAAATTAAATCATCAAGAGCAATTTGCAGGTCTTTTAATTCAGTGTTAACATTTACTGCAAATGGGGAAGATACATTATGGTAAATTATTTTGAACAACTCTATATCTTTGAAAAGAAATTAAAAGTACATACCAAAGAAGATGTTACCAAAGGTAGTATACAAGATATTGAAGGAAGAGAGTAAATATTCAGAAAAACTTTAAAAAGAAACTTGTTACAGCAAAAACATTTGGGAATATGGACCTGGATCAAGATTGTGGATGGAAATGGAAATACTGTAGAAAGCATAGCTCTTAGAGGTGTATCTCAGTGAGAATTTCAGGAAAATTATCAATACTTTATTTTCTATCATTCACTCAGAGGACTTATGATTTACCTACAGTCATTCAGCAAGTTTAACCTTTGGAAAGTCATTCCCCTTCAGCTAACTGTCTGTTTCCTTAATCTTAAAAGAGGATAAATAAGAAGATACACCTCATCAAGCACTAGACAGATTTAGTTTCTGAACCGAATGATAAATTTAGTCTTTCTTTGTGTTAGTGGAAAGAAATCACACAACTTGAGCAACTCTGTGAAAGATTCAAGATTGGCAGGTGAGATTTACTCTCCAATAGTAAATTGAGGATTTGTGGAGACAATTTCTAAAGGCAATTAACACTATATATATATATATAATTGATAAATTGGCAAATAACACTTCAGTGAGCTTGAAGAGAAATTTTTTACAAAATACTAAAATTGTTGCTAGAAAGAAAAATGTACACTTTTGCAATATGGTTGTATATATGCTTAAAAATGTAGTAATTATAATTATTAATATCTCTAGTTTGACTTGAGCGAAAATTGATCTGAATTAATAAAAGTCTACAGAAATTAATACTTCTTAAAGTGAAGCTGCTTTAATTTTCATACGATACTCAAAATAATAATAAAAATAATGCTATAAACTCTACCCCCAAATTGTGTTAAATAAATTGGGAAGGATATTAAATTAGTATATAGCATTATTTGGAAAAGTTTTTGAATTATTTTAAATTATTTCTAAGACCTTGATGAAAATAGTTTTCATGTAAGTGATACCCCAAAGTAAATACACAACTTAACAATAATTGTGTTTATCATAAAAATATATAAACTTTTTTTTCTCAGCTTCCTGAGTTAAAATCAATTTCAAGTCACTGAAATTTCTATTTATCCACTACTATATAAAAGATCATTTAATAAGATTTTACTAAATATACATAATTTAGAAAGCAGATAAAATATAGAGTTTTTCTTAATGAGGCCTTTTCTAGTGAGATATATTAAAGCTTAAAATACAAATCAGCTTTAAAATTGGCATTAAAATAAAGTGTTAAAATTAGAAACTATGTAGACCCTTCATTTGACATATTTCTTTATAATTAGCTAAAATTATCTTTATTTTCACACTCAAGGGTAATAATTTACGTATAAAGTGTACATTTTTCTAATATCAGTTCAATGTTTTGTGTGTGCCAGTTCATTAGAATGCACATAGACAAACCCAGGAGGAAACTTTAATTAGTCTATATTATTTTTCCTGAAAGAGTAAAGAGTAAAATGCTAATTGATATTTGTTCTGTTTTTCTGCAAGCTGTGAAACAAATTGTGCGTTATATACTGTACAACTAGCTTACAGAAACAAAATTCAGGAGGGGGTAAGTTCTAATTGCCATATGGAGAAATATTTTTTCTGTGTAGATGTATACATAATATTTATAGTCATATGTTTGTAAACATATTTGTTTGGTGAAAAAGTAATTGCGGTTTTTGCCATTGAATGTAATGACAAAATCCACATTGATATTTATGCTACTATTCATGAGTATTAGGAAATGTCTTTCTCTGATTATCTATTATTTCTATTACAAATTTTAATTTATGAAAATTCAAGCCTTTTCATAGTATCATATTCTATACTACTTTAGAATGCTACAGAACAAAAGCAATGCAGAAATGCATTCAACAAAAATCCAGTATGTAGCCCTCAAAAGATTCTGTACTTTATATTTGGTAGTGCAGATCCCTAGAAATTCCTTACCTCATTACTGTCTTCCTTATACCTGTGATCGCATTTAAAAAATATTAACCTAAGAATTCTTCAGCAATCCTGGTATGGGCTGACATTAACTCCAGGCCTTCAATATACCATGCCACCTCCCTGAACAAACTCAGCCATAGCCTCCAGTATCTATCTACAGGAGCTTAGGCTTCTCCAAGGCAAGTAAGTTCTTCAGATAGTGGTCTCTGTCAACGTATCCAAGCATAGTTCTCACCACTCTGCTTCATGCCACACTACAGTAAAACTAGTCATTGGAATAATTTTATCTATCTATCCTTGCTCATACGGTTCACCCTATCTGGAATGTCCTTTCCATGGATAAACTCATTTTATTGTTGTGAATAAATTCAGGTACCATCTCCTCTGGAGACATTTGCTAATGTCACATCTGTGTTTGCTTTCTCCTCTGCTCCCATGATGTCCAGTATATGTTACTAACATTCCACTAGTCAAAATATAGTGCATGCATTATTTTTACTTAGTTAATAGACTCTATTTTAACAGTTTTAGGTTTACCAAAAGAGTTGGGTAAAAAGTACAGAGTTCCCATCTACCGCCTCATTCCCCCTTCCCAGATTCTCCTGTTATTAATATCTTACATTGGTAAGGCACATTTTTTACAATTGATGAGCCAATATTAATATATTTTTAATTTTTAAAAGACCATAATTTACACTAGGGCTCACTCTTTGTACATTCTGTGGGTTTTGACAAATGTATAATGATATGTATCCACAGTATTATGCAGAATAATATCACTGCTCTAAAAATCACCTATGCTCTATGAATTCACTTTACCTCCCTCTCTATAAACATCTGGCAACCACTTACCTTTCCACTGTGTCCATAGTTTTGTTTTTTCCAGAATGTCATGCATTTGGAATCATGTAGTAGGTACCTTTTTTATATTGGCTTTTTTCATTTAACAATGTATATTTAGGCTTTTTTCATGCCTTTTCGAGGTTTGATAGCTCATTTATTTTTAGTGCTGAATAATATACTATTGTATGAATATCTCACCGTTTGTTTATCCATTCATCTGTTGAAAGACATTTTGATTGCTTCCAAGTTTTGGTAATTATGAATAATGCTGTAATAAATATTTCTGCAAAGGTTTTTGTGCAGATATAAGTTTCCAACTAATTTGGGTAAATTCCAAGGAATGTAATGTTGGACCATATGCTAAGATTATGTTTAGTTTTGTAAAAAATTGCCAAATTGTCTTCCAAAGTGGCTGTACCATTTTGCATTTCTACCAAAAATAAATGAGAGTTTCTGTTGTTTCACATCCTCACCGACATTTGGTGTTGTCAGGGATTTGGATTTTAGCCATTCTAATATGTATGTAGTTGTCACCTCATTGATCCTTCAATTCTCAATTCCCTAATGACATATGATCTTGAGCATATTCTCATATGCTTGTTTGCCATCTGCGTACCTTCTTGCATGAGTTATTCATTCATATACTTTGTTCATTTTTTAATTGGTTTGTTTTCTTATTGACAAGTTTTAAGTGTTCTCCATGTATTTTGGATACCTGTCTTTTATAAGATATGTGCTTGTAAATATTTTTCTTCCAGTTTGTGGCTTGTTTCTTCAGTCTCTTAACAGTATCTTTCTTAATAAAGTCTTTACAAATAATTTTTTTTTGATGGAGTTTCACTCTTGTTGCCCAAGCTGGAGTGCAGTGGCACAATCTCAGCTCACTGCAACCTCCACCTCCCAGGTTCAAGTGATTCTCCTCCCTCAGCCTCCCGAGTAGCTGGGATTAAAGTCTCCCACCACCATGTCCGAGTAATTTTTGAATATTTAGTAGAGACCGAGTTTCACCACATTGGCCAGGCTGGTCTCAAACTCCTGACCTGAGGTGATCCACCCGCCTCGGCCTCCCAAGTGCTGGGATTACAGGCATGAGCCACTGTGCCCGGCTTACAAATAACCTTTCAAAAGATCATTATTTACTCATTTGCTTTAGAAGAGAGGCCTATTCAGATTTTGTAATTGTTGTGTGAGTTTTGTTAGATCGTATCTTTCAATAGCTTGGTCTATTTCATCTAGGATATCAAAATTGTAGAGATAGAGTTGTTTACTCTATTCCTTTATTATCTTTTTAACGTCTATGGTATTAGAAGTAATGGCTCATCTTCATTTCTGAAGTTAGTAATTTGTGTCTTCTCTCTTTTCATAGATAACCTAGCTAGATTATTACCAATTTTATTGATTTTTTTCCTAAGTGCCAGCTTTTGGTTTTATTGATTTTTCTCTGTTTTACTTTTTATTTTCAATTTTATTTATTTGTGTTCCACTTTTCCTTATTCTGCCTATTTTGGATTTATTTGCCTTTTCTTACAGTTTCCTAAGGTGAAAGCTTACATGATTTTTATATCTTTCAACTTTCCTAGTAGATAGATGTATCTGTGGTTGTTTATTTTCCTGTAAGCATTGGTTTTCTACAATTTTTTCCACAAATTTTGATAAGCTGTATTATTTTAATTTACTTTAAAATATTTTTAAACGTCTCTTGAAAATTTTCTCTGAATTTTCACACTGTTGTTTTGTTTAATCTTCAAGTATTTTTAGAGTTACCTAGCTATCTGTCTATTACTCCTAATTTAATTCCATTGTGGTCTCTAAGCATACTTTGTATTATTTCTATTTTTAAAAATACCTTAAAGTGTATCTTTGGCTCAGACTGTAGACCATATTGGTGAATGTCTAGTGCGAGCTTGAAAAGAATGTCTATTCTGCTGTTTTCAGAGGAATTATTTTATAGATGTTTGGATTCAGTTGATTGATGTGTTGTCTAGTTGAACTCTACCTTGTCTTACTGACTTTCTATTGCCAGATCTCTTATGATAGAAGGTATTGAAGTCTGCAACTAAACTGATTGATTAATCTATTTTTCCTTATAGTTTCATCAGTTTTTCACCACATATTTTTATGCTCTGTTGTCGGGTGCATACACATTAAGGATTGCTTATTCTTTTGTAGAACTGACCCTTTTATCATTTTAAAATGCCCCACTTTATCTCTGATGACTTTCTTTACTCTGAATTCTACTTTGTTTGAAGTTAATATAGCCACTTCAGTTTTTTTTTTCTTTAAAGAAGTTAGCATGGTATATTATTTTCTGGCCCCTTACTTTTAATCTATTTGTGTCTTTATAGTTAAAGTAGATTTCTTATAGACAGAATATGGTTGGATCTTCTCTTTTAATTAATTATTTTAAAACTTTGATATTTAAAATGATCATTACTATAGTTGGATTAATACCTACCATATTTATGTACTGTTCTCTATTGCTTTTCTTGTGTGTCTTACATTCTTTTTCTGCCTTCTCTGGTTTTAAGTAGGCATTTTAAATGATTCCATCAGTGTCTCTCCTCTCAGCATATATGATTCTTCTTTTACATTTTTTAGCAGTTGCTATTGAGTTCACAATACACATTTACAAATAATTCAAGTCCTCTTTCAAGTTATACTATATGCTTCACAAGTAGTGTGAGTAACTTACAACAGAATATTCCTAATCTCTTTCATTCATTACTTATATCATTATTGTCACATATTTCACTTATTCAAAAGTTGTAATTACCAAATATATTGTTGCTATTATTATTTCTATGAATAAAATGGTATGTTAAGAAAACAAAATATTTCATTGTACTTGAATTCATTCCTTCTCTAATGTTCTTCCTTTCTTTAAGTAGATCTGAGTTTCTGATCCATATCATTTTTTTTTTATTCTGAAGAATTTCTTTTAACATTTCTTGCCACACAGATCTACTGGTGACAAATTTCTGCAATTTTTGTTTGTCTGAGAAAATCTTTATTTCTCCTTGACTTTTGAAGCTTAATTTGGCTGAATACAGAATTCTAGTTTGATGGGACTTTTTTCTTTCAACACGTTTAATATTTCACTTCATATTCTTGCTTATATAGTTTCTAACAGAAGTTAAATATAATTCTGAACCTCAATCCTCTTTAGGTAAGGGTCCCCCAACACCACCCTAGCTTCTTTAAGATTTTTCTTTAACTTTCTTAAGTTTGAATGAGATATGCCCACAGATAAATTTTTTTTGGTGTTTACTCCGCTTGGTGTTCTCTGAGATTTCTGAGTCAGTTGCTTGGTGTCATTAATTTTGGAAAATTTTCAGTGATTATGGCTTCAAATATTTATTTTGTTCCTTTTTCTCTTCTCCTTCCTGGTATTCCAATTACGTTTGTTACACCTTTATTATCTTGTTTTTTGGAAATTCTGTTCTGTCTTTCTTGTTTTATTATTATTGTTATTATTATTTTGCATTTACATTTTTGGGAGTTTCTACTGACATTTCTTCAGATTCACTGATTTTTTTCCTTTGCTGTTTCCAATATATTGAGTCCTCCTGAGCCCTTCCAGAATGTTTAACCTCAAACTTGTCCACATAAAGTCTCCAGTCATCTGTTAATTACCATTTATGTTTTTCTATCCCGGTGCTTGACCCTGGAGAGGTATCTGCTTCAGTAATTGTATGTCGCTGTATCTGCCTTTCTATCTCTCTAATTTTGGGGGCGGCAGTTTGGCCTGTGACCTTAATTTTCTATTGGGTCAAAGATGAGTTGTTGATTTTCAATTTAGCTTTTTTCTCATTGTGAGGATGGGAATGATGACTTCCAAACTCTTTACATGCCAGGCCAGTAGCCAGAATTCTGTATGTATCCTTTTATGTGCTTCTCTTATAACTGTTTGTAACACTTGGCATTGTTACCTTTGAAGGACCATAAAATCATAAAATGTACATAGGATGAAAAAATAAGTTATCTGTGGCTGCTAATCACTAAATTCATGTTAAATTCCTTGAGATAGGAGCATTTTTTGTATCCTTAACATGGAAGTGCCTAGTAGATAAAGATATTCTCAGTGAATAAAGAATTCGACTTACTTTCAAAAGCATAGCTTTGTGGACTCACTCAATGTCCCTAGATATGCTCAGACTTTCTGTGTAAAAGCACAGAATGCACTATAAAAAAAAATCTCATTTTAATTTACTTCACATCATGCCTAATAGTAAGATAGGTAATAAAGAATAATTAATGACTACCACAAAAATGATGAGACAATTAAATGTGTCCTGATAAGCAAATAACTTTTCCATTTTGAGATGTCTTTACTTAGCATTTTGCACACAAGTTTGCCGAAAATAATCAAAATGAAATTCATAAATACAAATTAAAATGGATGGATACAGAGTTATATTTTATCAAGAAACAGTTAGATGGTTCCAGTTACTTTGCAGTCTTTCATTTGCTGCCTAGTCTCAATCTATAAAGACCAAATACCTGGGGTACAAAATGTCTCTCTTTATGCTTCCTCACCATTTAGCATCCTTATGAGGAGATTCACCACAGAGTTCTTCAAAGGGGAGCAATTCAGCACCCCAGGGCCAGGCCAACAGCAGTGCTTCCCAAACCGTCATCAGGCACTTCTAAGGATGAACAACAGCTCCCCAGGAGGTGTAGTGCAAATCCAGTCCTTTAAACTCATTTACTTTAATTGCGTAACATTTTAAATACTGCACGCCAGTGAGAGGCAGGTGGATCAGCAGGTGCAATGTGGCGATCTGCCAATAATGGCATCAGAAAAACAGTCCCTCACAGAGGCAAGAAGCAAAAGAGACTGAGTGAAGAACTCCTCTGAGCTTAATGTCTATTTCATCCGGTAATTGCAGCAGAGGGGAGGATTTCCAAGCAATCTAAACCAAAGCTGTTTTATTCATTTTTAGCAATGCCTTTTTTTTAAAACAGTGGAGAAGGTCTCAGAAATAGAATTTGAGTCCCAATTCAGCCAAGTCCTTTCTACATTCACCCTACTAAGGCTCATTTATGGGTAAAGATGTAAAAAAAAAAAAAAACACAACAACAAAAAAGAAATTGTGAAAGCAAATGCTTTCTTTCTAAACGTTTTTTCATGAAAAATCTGAAGCATATCATGCCAAGTTTTTGTATTTGGGTTCTGATTTAACCTGAGTAATGATATGAAGGAAAATTATTAAAATAACTCATGAGATTAATTTCTAAATGAGTAACTCCAAACTACATTAAATTCCTATTTCTCCTTTCATTGACACTCTTTATATATAAGGAAGAGAGAGTGCAGATAATGTACAAAAAGAAAGAGTATGCTATATAGAAATAAAACTGTCAAAAAGTACATGGTTGTGGAAATACCCAAATAAGAAATTGGAGATAGATAAATAAGTACAAATTTGTTAACTGTCATTTTTGTTTGTTTCTGGAAAAAGTTAAATCATGATAAATACTGTTTGGTTGGTTCGATTTTTAATCACAAACATCATTGACTAATTATTTATATTTTGGCCAAATTGAGCTCTGAAGACAAAGTCGTAGTGATTGGAGAGATGTGAATTTTTATTGACTGATTACCTTCTCAGTTTCAGGCTTCCTCTCCACTGAAGTGCCACTCTTTCAAAGTTCAAACAGAACTGGTGGTTAGCAAAGCAGCGTCACACACCATATCTTCATCAGCTGCTCAAAATATTCCAGAGTAAAGCAGAAGGGAAAATAAAAGGGAATGGTTGCTTTGTTTTAAGATGTACTATTAGCCAGGCCCTATGATAGCTGGTTTATCTGTTTAATCCACATATTCAAAAGGCAGATGTGATTCCTTCTACTTTTCATTTGTGTTAACTAAGGCTCAGAGGTGTTAGCTAGCTCCAGCCATATAGCTATTGGGTGGTGCAGAACAGTTTCAAATGATTTTATCTTTCTGCCACAGTGAGTTCTTTGCTTGGAACATATGCTTTTCAAGATATATCAATAATTGAATTTAGGGATTACATGATAGGAAATGAGGTTTTTCCCTCCTATATGTTTTACTATCAAGATAATGGTAGTAATGAAAACCCCAAGAAGAGACAGGTCTAGAAAACTAGCAACAGTCATTTTAAGAGTTCTGCCTACATGTAAGATATAAAAATGATGTAAGTGGCTATACCTTCTCTAGTTTCTGCCTTTTATTTCTACAATGTTCATTAATAAAAGTGCCTGATCCAACTGATAAATCAGAAAACACCTCTCATTTAAATACATCCGGTCTCTAATATTGTAGCAGCTTCTCAAGAAATTTTCTGTTCACTGTACCATTTAATATTTTAAATTAACCTATAGTCACCCTTTTTATAATTCACTATTTTCATAACATAATTTTATGTATATTTTCAGTCATGTTAGTACACTGGGAAAAGCATGCAAAACAGGGACATAAGGATATACCTATTTCAAAGCAAAATCATGCTGATGCTAAAAGGGAGGTCGGAAAAGGAACTTGGATAATAGAAAAAAAATACACAGCATAACTGTCCCACTTAGCATATCTTAGTAACCAGTAATTAGAATAGAAGTTTGCATCATTCTTTTTAAAAATATGTGGAATGAGTTACTTCTTTGTTCTGTTGTTTAAAACTTGCTCCGGTGATGTTAAAGAATTTCTCCTCTCCACCCTGGCACTCATAGTGCCTTGACTAATCTTCCCAGTCAGCAGCAGGAGTCCTAAGGCAAAGTCAGGCAGATGCGGGAAGGAACACTCATGATCGCTGATGAGGCCTCCTAGGAACCACAAATCTGTTATGGGGGGATTTGATGCTGCTTATCAAGTATCTAGTGAGAATAAATGACTGGCTTCAAGTTAGCAACGCTCTGTCATTTGAGGAGTGAGAGGTTGGGCAAAAGATTATCCAGTTTGCGGATTACCCAGATTCTAACTCTCATCCCAACCTTAGGGAGTTTAAAAGTCATTTGATTCCTTCAAGAAGATAAAAAAAAAAAAAAAAAAAAAAAAAAAAAAGGAGAGGAGACAAAATCAGCCTATCTTTATGTTCATTAGTAGAAGTGCTGGGTTAAAAAAGAAGCTGAAACCAACAGCAAAATTCATATTGATGTGAAATATGGATTTGATATACCAGATTCTTAATTACATAAAATGACAGTGTGCTGAAATATTTATATGGTGAAAATGATTAGATACAATGTCTAATAGGTAAGATAAGTGGTGCAGCATAACCTTTACTTTTAGTCTTGTTTACAGTAAGATAATTTGTTTTAACACAGAAGATATATAAAAGAAGTCAGAAAGACTAAGATAATTTCTGTCACTAGGGGCAGAAAGTTATCAGGAACATGGCAGAGATAAATCTAGGAATGCAAAAAGAAAGGTTACGATGGAAATGGAAACAATAAGCTTTGAGAAGTTCAGGGGCATTTTGAAGACAGTATTACCAGAGCTGAAGAGTAAATCAATAAAATAAGTTTACCATTCATAGACTATGGCTGAAATAATTACCCAATGTTATGCTTTTGTAAGAAAGATGATAAGTCCAGAGGGAAGAATTGAGATAAAAGAATCAATAATGAGCAAATTAATTGTTACTTACATGGAGTAAATTAAAATAGGCACTAAATATAAATATTTGCAATAAAATTTGAGGGTAAAAATATAGGAAGAATTATAATGATGTAAAATGTCATTATGATTTGGGAGAGAGAAATTTTAAAAGCATTTAGAATCATCAGCATGAGGATTTTATCTTTATATACTTGGAAGTTTTAAGTTTAGTTTCATTTGATAAAAGGAAAAAAGCTAATAATGTAAACCTTTCAAATGAGTCATTGGGATGTAAGGTTAAGAAAATGTAATAAATTCAGTTGAAGTTCAGAAAACAACATAGAAAAACAAAATAAATAAAAAAGTAATTTATAAATGAGAAAAACAAAAAAATTGTAGAAATAAACACAATCAGTTCCATAATTCCATTAACTGTAAATGAATTAACATCATAATTTCAAATATCAAGATTAACTGACAAGAAAAAAATACAAGGCCAATATGCTTACAGTTAATATATCTCAAACATATTAACACAGAAGAGTTGATCATAAATGGATAGAAAAAATATGTTAGGAAAATATAATGAGAAAAAACTTGGAGATAATCAATATGATTACTGAAAATAGACTAGTTTATATGCTTAGTTTGAGATGAAAAGAGTCCTTCATAAGATTAATCCTTGATAAGGATTAGTAAGTCCTTGATAAGTTTAATCTAAGTACATCTATTAGAAAGCACAGTAATCCCCCCTTATCCATGGTTTTACTTTCTGCAGTTTCACTTACCTGTAGTCTGGAAATATTAAGTGGTGTTCCTTTGGCCGTAACAATCAGCAGAGCCTTCTATTTGGCCATCCTGTTCCCGATTTCTGTCTGTCTTTTTAGGTTTTAAGTTATGTTTGGTTATATTCATTTTTCATAACTTATATTTTCATAGATGTCTTAGAAATTTAAGCTGTATGTTTACCAAAAAAATGAAGTGACATTTCAAAAGCCTGTTGTAACTAGAGGTACAGTTCTATATTGTAATTACTATAGCCTTAAGTTTCTTCTTTATTTTTTATGATAAATATTGTTAAGGGTCTACTTATTTGATCAGCACTATTGTTTCCTCACTTCCCATTTTTTTAAGCTTTTATGTTGCTTATTTCCTTATGTGTTATTAGGTTTATTCAATTGTAATTGTCCTAACTTCTTTTTTTTATTTTTTTGAGATAGAGTTTCGCTCTTGTTGCCCAGGCTGGAGTGCAATGGCGCGATCTCGGCTCTCTGCAACATCCCCCTCCTGGGTACAAGCGATTCTCCTGCCTCAGCCTCCCAAGTAGCTGAGATCACAGGCGCCTGCCACCACGTCCGGCTAATTTTTTGTATTTTTAGTAGAGACGGGGTTTCACCATGTTGTTCAGGCTGGTCGCGAACTCCTGACCTCAGGTGATCCACTCGCCTCGGCCTGCCAAAGTGCTGGGATTACAGGCGTGAGCCACTGCGCCTGGCCCCTAACTTCCTTATTTAGATAATTCTAATACATGTCCACATGTACACAAGTCTATACATTTATCTAAATCACTTAAACTGCAAACCACTAGTTTGATACATTGTGTATATTTGCCATTTAGTAATATGTATTTGCTAATTTCTACATAATTTTTCTTTGGCCAGTTGTTATTTAGAATTGTTTCAAAAGGTATAGGGTAGGGGTGTGCCTGCGTGTGTATGTGTGTGTCTGTGTGTGTTTACTCCTTTTTTGTTGGGGAGATGGAAATAATAGTATGCAGTTTGTAAAGTAAAAACTTTCTATTTTGTCCTATTTCTTTGTAGGTTTCTGTTTTAAAGCTATTAAAATATTACTGTCTCATTTCGTTTGTTTTATATATGGACTTTTAAAAAATAAATGATCTATGTGTGCTTGAACAGAAAGTCTTATCTCTAACTTTTTTCTGGAACACCAAATTTAACAACTATCTACACACACAATAAGCACATTCATAAGACCAAAAATCAGATGAGCACTCACAGCACCTGGTTTTAACTTCACTTCACTGAATAGGCACCAGAGAAGGTAGGAAAGAGACTTGAACTGCCGATGCCACCCCTCCTCCAAGCCACAACAGCAGCCATATGACACAGAAAATCTGTGCTCTTGGGAGGGGGAGAGCATGGTGACTGTGAGACTTTGCATTAAACTCAGTGCTGCCCTGTCGCAGTAGAAAGCAAAACTGGGCTAACTCAACTGATGCCTGCCTGTGGAGAGAACGTTTAGACCAGCCCTAACCAGAGGAGAATTGCACATGCCAGTGGTTGGAACTTGAGTTCTAACAAACCTTGCCACCATGGCTAAAGGCTCTTGGGGTTCTAAATAAACTTGAAAGGCCGTTTAGGTCACGAGGACTGCAACTCCTAGACAAGCCCTAGTGTTGAGCTGGGCTCACAGTCAGTGCACCTGGGGGCACCTGACTTATTGAGACAGCAGTCTGGGTGGCTAAGGGACTGCCTATGCCACCTGTCTGCAAACCCCAAGCAGTACAGCTCTTGGCTTCAAAAGAGACTTCTTCCATTCCACGTGAGGAGAGAAGAGGAAAAAGTAAAGAGTAATTCCTTTTGCATCTTGGATAATAGCTCAGCGACAGTAAGATAGGGCAGTAGGTAGGCTTGTAAGGTTCCCCGCTGCAGGCTTTAGCTGCCAGATGACATTTGTAGACACACCTGGTTCAGGAAAGAGATGGCCACATTGAAGGGAAAGACCCAGTTGCGACAGGACCCATTACCTGCTGAATTAAGGGCCCTTGGGTCCTGTATAATCAGCAGCAATATCCAGGAAATACGCTGTGGACCTTGTGTTAGATTCAGAGATGCTCTGGCTTCAGACAAGACTTAGCATATTTCCAGCTGTGGTGGCTATGGTGAGAGACTCCCTCTGCTTGAGAAAAGTGGGGCACAAAGTAAAGGGGACTTTGCTTATACCTTAAGTGCAGGTAGAGCACAAAGTGGGCTCTTGGCTTGCCCAGTTCTAGGTGTTGGCCCTTGGACAGCATTTCTGGACCTGCCCTGGGCAGAGGGGAACCCGCTGCCCTGAAGGGTGAGTTCCAGGCCAGGTAGCATTTACCACAAACTGACTGAAGAGCACTTGGGCCTTAAATCAATGGCCATGATAGACTGGTGTTACTCCCTAAGGGCCTGTGGTGGTGGTGGTGGCCATGGGGCTAGGGTCCTCTGCCTGTGGAAAGGGGAGGAAAGAGTGGGAAGGTGTATCTTGTGGTTTGAGTGCGTATCTTCGTTTGAGAAGTGCCTGTTCACGTCCTTTGCCCATTTTTAAAATTTTTTTAAAATTTTACTTTAAGATCTGGGATACATGTGCTGAACCTGCAGGTTTGTTACGTAGGTATACTTGTGCCATGGTGGTTTTTTGCACCTATCAACCCATCATCTAGGTTTTAAGCTCCACATGCATTAGGTATTTGTCCTAATGCTCTCCCCTTTCCCCCAACTCCCTGTCAGGCCCCGGTTTGTGATGTTCCCCTCATGTGTCCATGTGTTTTCATTGTTCAGCTCCCACTTATGAGTAAGAACATGCAGTGTTTGGTTTTTTGTTACTGTGTTAGTTTGCTGAGGATGGTGGTTTCCAGCTTCATCCATGTACCTGCAAAGGACATGAACTCATTCTTTTTATGGCTGCATAGTATTTCATGGTGCATATGTGCCACATTTTCTTTACCCAGTCTTTCATTGATGGCTTTGCCCATTTTTTAATAAGGTTGTTTGTTTTTGCCTGTTGATTTAAGTACATTATAGATTGTGGATATTAAACCTTGCACAGTTCACAAATATTTTTTCCCATTCTGTAGGTTGCCTGTTTGCTTTATTAATAGCTAGCATTTTGTTGAGGATTGATTGTTACCTTTATGTTCATCAGTGATATTAGCCTGAAGTTGTGTCTCTGCCAGATTTTGGTATCAGAATGATACTGGCCTCATACAATGAGTTAGGAAGAGTCCCTCCTTCTTGACTTTTTGAAATATTTTTTAGTATGTTGGTACCAGCTCTCCTTTATTTGTCTGGTAGAATTCAGTAATGAATCTGTCTGGTCCAGGACTTTTTGTGTTTGGTAGGCTTTTTATTACTGATTCAATTTTGGAACTTATTATTGATCTGTTCATGCATTCAATGCCTTCCTGGTTCAATTTTGGGAGGTTATGTTTCCAGGAACTTATTTATTTCTTCTAAGTTTTCTAGTTTGTGTACACAGAGGAGTTTGTAATCATCTCTGAGGTGTTTTGTTTTGTTTTGTTTTGTTTTCCCTGTGGGATTGGCAGTAATGTCACCTTTGTCATTTCTGATTGTGTTTATTTGGACCTTCTCTCATTTTTTCCTTATTTGTCTAGCTAGTGGTCTATAAATTGTATTTGTTCTTTTAAAGAACCAAATGTTATTTTTGCTGATGTTTTGTATAGATTTTCACATCTCAAGTTCATTCAGTTCAGCTCTGGTTTTGTGTTATCTTTTGTCTTCTAGCTTAGGAGTTAGTTTGCTCTTCTTTCTCCAGTTCTTGTCAGTGTGATGTTAGGTTGCTTATTTTTTCTAATTTTTTGATGTAGGCATTTAGCACTGTAAACTTTCCTCTTAACACTGCTTTAGCTGTGTCTCAGAGATTCAGGAATGTTGTGTCTCTGTTTTCATTAGTTTAAAAAATTTCATGATTTCTGCCTTAATTTCATTCTTTACCCAAAAGTCATTCAGGATCAGGTTGTGTAATTTCCATATAATTGTATGGTTTTGAGAAATCTTAGAATTGAGTTCTATCGTTATTGCGCTATGAGTGTGATTGATGTGGTTCTGTTTTTATTATTATTATTATTTTTTGAGAATTGCTTTAGGGCCAAGCATGAGGTTGATCTTAGAGTATGTGGTATGTGCAGATGAGAAGAATGTATGTTCTATTGTTGAGTGTAGTGTTCTGTAAAAGTCTATTAGGTCCATTTGGACAAGTGTCAAGTTTAGGTACTGAATATCTTTGTTAGTTTTCTGCCTTGATGATCTGTCTAAAATTGTCAGTGTAGTGTTGAAATCTTCCACTATTATTGTGTGGTTATATATGTCTCTTCATGAGTCTCTAAGAACTTGTTTAAGAACTTTGGTGCTCCAGTGTTGGGTGCATATATATTTACAATAGTTAAGTTTTCTTGTTGCATTAAACCTTCTGTCATTATGTAATGCCCTTCTTTGTCCTTTTTGGTCATTGTTGTTTTAAAGTATCTTTTTTTCTGAAATAAGAATAGCAACCACTGTTCTTTTTTGTTTTCCATTTGCTTGATAGATCTTTCTCTATCCTTTTACTATGAGCCTGTAGGTACCCTTTCATGTGAGATGGATCTGTCAAAGACAGCATTACAGTTGGGTCTTGCTTCTTTATCCAACTCGCCACTGTGTCTTTTAAGCAAGGCATTTAGCCCATTTACCTTTAAGGTTATTTATTGATATGCAAGCTTTTGATCCTGTTATCATGTTGTTACTTGGTTATGTAGACTAGATTATGCTTTACAGTGACAGTGGGCTATGCACTTAAGTGTGTTTTTGTGGTGGTAGGTAATGGTTTTTCATTTCAACGTTTAGCACTCCCTTAAGGACTTCTTATAAGGCAGGTCTCATGATAATTCCCCCAGTGTTTGCTTATGAAAAAAGTATTTTATTTCTCCCTTTGTTATGAAGATCGATTTGGCTGAATATGAAATTCTTGGTTGGGATTTCTTTTCTTTAAGGATGCTGAATATAGGTCCTCAATCTCTTCTAGCTTCTAAAATTTCTGCTAGTAGGTCCACTGTTTGCCTGATGAAGTTCTCTTGGTATGAGACCTGCCCATTCTCTCTAGCTACCATTACTATTTTTTCTTTTTTGTTGCCCTTGGAAAATCTGATGCCTATGTATCTTGCTTGTTCTCTCTCCCTCTCTTTCTGGGATGCCAATGTGTTTTAGGCTTGGTCTCTTTACATAATTCCATATTTCTCAGAAGATTTGTTCATTTGTTAAAATTCTCCTCTTTAAATTTTTGTCTTACTAAGTTACTATGAAGAACTGGTCTTTGAGCTGTAAGATTCTCTTCTCAGCTTAGACTCTTCTCGTGTTGATACTTCTGATTGTATTTTGGTATTCTTGTAGTGAGTTTTTCAGCTCTAGAAATCATTTTGGTTCTTTCCTAAAATGGCTATTTCATCTTTTAGTTCTTATGTATTTTATAGGATTCCTTGGGTTCCATGGATTGTGTTTCTACTTTCTTTTGAATCTCAGTGATCCTCATTTCCATCCAGATTATGAATTCAGTATCTGTCGTTTCACCTATTTCAGTCTGGTTTAAAACCATTTTCGGGGAGCTAGTGTGATCATTTGGAGGTAAGCAGCCATTCTAGCTTTTAGAGTTGCCAGAGTTCTTGTGCTGGTTCTTTCTCATCTGTGTGAGCTAATGCTCCTTTAATGTTTGAAGTTGCTGTCCTTTGGATGAGGCTTTTTGCTTTTATACTTTTTGATGCCCTTGAGGACTTGACTGTGGTATAAGTTGGGTTTGGTCAATTGGCTTTGTTTCTGGATGATTCAGGAGGCCAAGGCTTAGCTCAGCACTCCCGGGCTGCATGCCATTACCCTATGGGGCTGGAACCAGGCATGTGGCTTTGTTTTCTGGTTCTTTGAGCTTAAGCACCTGTTGTACTGGAGGGGCTGAGGTGTTCCCAGTCCACTGGTAACAGCATTCTGATATGTCTGATATTGGGTACCCACACATGTGCTTCAGCAGGGCAGTAGCAGGATGACTGGGGTTCCCTCCCACACATGTGCGTACTGACATCAGGGCAGAGATGTGTCCTGTGTTCACATATGTGTGCACCAGTGACAGGGTGGTGATGGGGTGAGCATACACATGCATACCAGTGAAGCTGTGGCCTGGGTGTTGGGGGAGCCTGCTAGTGGGTGCATGCCAGCAAAGGCCTACCTGCAGAAGCTCTTTGACTTTTAGGCAGGGTCTTCTGGTGAAAGGGCTATGGCAGTGGCCATTGGCAAAGACGTTGGCTGGTCAGCCAAGGCTGTGCTCCAAGCAGGTGTGGCTAGGAAGGGAGCCTGGGACAGGCAAGGACATGGTGGGGTGTTCAGATCAGACTGGCCCTGTTCTACAGGCAAGAAAGCCTGGCTCTGTCCATGTCCAGCAGCCAACAAATGCTAAAGCCACCTAGAGAATTGTGAGCCTTCAAGAATGGACTCCCATGGCCATGCTCCACTGCAGCCACTCCTACACCCAACTCTGTGGGCTCCATGCAGGCTGGCGTTCTGTCTGAAAACTCTCTGGGAAGTTCTCCCTACCTGCTCAAATGTCTGTGGGGATCATGAGGTCTCCTGCAGCTATGATTCCAGAGGTCTGTGGCAAGAGTGGACCACTCTATACCTCCTTTACTCACCCCTTCCCTAGGATGTGCTCAGGGCCAGGAATACATTCTGGTGCTCAGCAACCCCATACAGGGTTCCCAGCTTCCTCTCCTTTCAGCCTGGGGTCTGCACCTTCCCTCTGTCCACTTTCAATTCCATCTTTCCAAAGACATGTTTCGAGTGTGCTGGTTCTCTTGATGATGTGGTCTCATGGTGGGAGAAGTTCTTTCTGTCCTCATGTATTCAGCCATCTAGGCTCTTCTCTCTTGAATATATATTTGATAACATTTTAGAATGAAATTCTTCCATTGAAAAGCAATTTGGAAAATATAGTTAGGTTGAAATATATATCTTAAAACATAGCAATTTCACTTTCAGATATATTACCTACAGAAACATGTATATTGTATGAGATGTGTAAAAAACGATTCAGGCAAATTTTGTATAATCACCTTAGGGAGAAGAAAAATGGCATTAAGTAGGATTATTCAGCATCCTCAAATATATCCATATTTTTTTAAATATAAGTACATTATGCAAATATGGTAAAATTCTATGATTTGTTAAAATTTGTTTAGGAGTAACTGTTGTTCATTATGTTTCTATTCCTGTATATTTGAAGTAATATATTACTAAAGATAATTTGAAAGGATAAAAGCATGCTTCTTTGAGCGAGGTTATAATATATTATACATAACATATTAACTCATCCTCATTTCTAAGTGTTTTGCAAAACAGAAATATATGGGAGTAGGATTCCAGAATCTGGAGCGGACTTTAGGGTAATGAACAAAGTGAGTTGATTCTGCAGTGGGAGAAGACAGCGAGTTGACCTTTGTCCATCTGTCACCTCATATGTGCCTTGTATCCGAAACGAGATTCTCGTGTTCCATGTCCTACATTCTGGGCAGGCCACGATTCATGTTCCAGAATGTAGGAACTTGGGAAATGCTAGGAGTCATGGAGAACACCAAGTAAGGGTGGACACCGGTCCACCCCAGAACACCAGTTGCTGAGGTACCCTGTCTAGTAGATTGACCCATGCTTCTCCTTTTCTCACCAAAAAGAAAGGAAGGAAGAGAGGAAGGGAGAAAGAGATCACATGAAATTAAAAAAAAACATATCAAGCCCTGTGATAATTTTCCTTCCCACCCCAGTACAAAAAGAAGCACGGGACATCTGACAATTAATCTCACCTATTATGATAAGCACCCAGTAGAGAATACAAAATATCTAAGAAGTTATGCACTAGAAGAAAAAGTGAAAGTAGAAAAAGTAAAGAACTTGCACCAGAAGAATTAAATCCTTTAGAACAAACAGGATTCAGAAGTAATTATATCAATATGTTCAGAAAAATGGAGATATCACCTTTAAAAGCATTCAGATGTGAAGGAGGAAGAGATTATTATGAAATGATTATCAAGAAGAAATTCTAGAAATTGTATGTGTGTGTGGGTACCTGACCATATATGCAGACTTTTCAAAATGATACATTTAGCAGATGGGAAGAATTGCAGTGCAGTATAGACATAGCTGAAGAGGGGATTAGCAAGCAGAAAGATAGAGCTGAAAATATTTTAGAATGGATCACAAACCTATAAATGGAGGAAATTAAGAAAAAAAAACCCACCACGGTAAGAAGTATGATTTAGAATTTCTGATTATTCTCTTTTAGGAATAGGCATTCCAGAGGGAGAAAACACAGCAAGTAGAAGGCAGAAAGTATTTATAAAAAAACAATTGGGAAATCATTTTAATTGACTTATGGAAGATATAAACATTTAGACTAAGATGACTCACTGAATGCAAAGCAAAATGAATAAGAAAGTAACAGAAAAAATACACCTATGCCATTGTGGTGAAATTTCAGAAAATTAACAGAAATGCCTGGAGAGAAAAATATGAAACCCTGCAAAGAAATAAGCATCACAGTGAAGTCAGATTTCTCATTCCAAACTTAAGAAAAGGAGACAATGGAGCAAATTACATTCAAAATGAGAAATGATGAACATTGAAGAGGAGTAGATTAGGGACAATAAATATTCACAAATCCATTGCTATTTTTCAGTAATATTGGTAGAGGCAGATGAATCTTGTTAAGAAAACAATCTAAATGTCTTAGAATCTGCACTAATTTCCTCTGTATTAAAAAAAATCCATATCTCCTGTTAAAGTCATAAACTACTAAATTTATTTAGATAAGGGAAAGAATATTTTTCATTTTTAAAACACAATTCTATGAGCTTAATGATCAGTCTTACCAGAAGCTGGATAGAAATCTCATGCATTTTGCATGATTACATTCAAAACACAGTTTGGATAATTGGACCATTCAAAATGATTTAAAGTGGCTTGACAAATTCTGTCTTAAGTTTTATAGGAGCAAACTATTCCTTATTCATGATAGACTTACTAATTAGAATGCTTCTGAGACAGAAAATCATCTGGAAATACTCTTTCTATATCTGCAAATGTATTTCTGCCATTTTTACTTTGGAACAAAGTAAATAATTTGCTATTAATTATGACCAATTTCAAATTCTGGAAATTCACATGATTTTATTCAATGATCTAATTTGCATGTTTTGGCCAAAGACAAGAAGCCTCCGCCAGATTTAAAACAAGGACAAAAGCAGAGTCTAATATCATCAACTCCACAAAACACAAGCAATATTGTTTGGATAAAGCATAAAGTTGCCTTTGATCTTTAGTGGGCATATTAAGCAATTTCCTTGCATTCAAAATAGGTAATTTTGCATTATTTCCTGTACTAAATATAAATTTCTAAACCATTTGCTTGCATGTATAGAATCATATTATTAATAATATTTATACTTGGAAAGCCAGGGAAGAGCCCTTAAATTTTCATTTTTATGTTTGGTAAATCAGTAGTATGACTACAGTAAACAATAATTTATTGAATATTTTAAAATAGCTAGTAGAGATTAATTTCAATGTTTGTAGCATAAAGGAAAGATAAACATTTAAGGTGATGAATATTTAAATTATCATCATTTGATTATTGCACATTATACAAACATATCAAAATATTACATGCACCCCTCCAAAATATCCACATTTATTATGTATCAATAAAAACAAAATATAAACAAGGAAACCTTTTATGTTGAACTTCATGTTTCAGTAAGTCTATGAGAGAATGTACTATATCTTAATAAGAAGAAATTATATGCCATGTTAAAAATAAATACACTTTAGACAAGTTGCCTCCTTTTGAGTGGAGAGTACATTATTTATACAAAAAAAACTCTTAATGTTTACTAAGCTATGGAAATAACATTTAGAGAAACTAAAAGCTAGTTTTAATAAGGGTTTATGGCTTCTTTCTGCTGGTCGATGAATCATACATTTACTTATATTAGAACATGTGAATCTTTATTGATTATGCTATGGCACTAATTTCAAAATAGGGATTTCAATTTGCATTTGTTTTTGAAAGTAATACAGGTATATTATATAAATAAGTAGAAAAAATCCCATTCTAAATCATCCAACATTCTTATTGAAAATGAATTTACTAAGAATTTAAAATACTGGGATTTCAGATATCCTATATTTTCTCATCATGTTAAATCATAAGCCATTCATTTTGTTCTTGAAGATACTTTTAAGTAGGTAAGCAGTAAATTTTATCAAATGTCTTTTTTGCATCTAACAAAAGAAGATCTAGTCATTTTTAAAAACTTGGTATGCATTCTATATTAATAGTTTTTAAATATTGAATTATTCTTTCCTGTTTATAATAAATAGAACTTAGCAATAGTTTTTTGTTCTTTTAATTTGTTGCTATTCTTGACTTTAAGAACTTTGTAGTCAGTTTATGAGACGCACACATACAACCAAATGCAATTTAATGTTCTGGTTGCTATGATAGTATTTTGTAAAAGCCAATATGAAAGATAAAAGGGAGAGGAGGCTGACAACACCCAAACCTAATTATCAATCAATGGGATGGCTAGACATAACCTGCCTTGTGACATGGTGGAATAGAAAGTACATAGCAATGTCTGTGTAGTAGTCTTAGTTTAAAGAATAAAGCAGAAAAAAGAACTTCATCCTCACCACCCCTTCAATGATAGAGTGCATGGGGGATAAATGGACAATTTAGACAACACGAGAAGCAACCATTCGGTCAAATTCAGAATATGAACATTAAGTCCAAATGATATTTAAATTGAGTTGTTTAAAAACACACCTTGAAGAAAGACATGGCATGAACCATGGAGGGTTGTTAAGGAATAAAGATTTACAAAACTACAAGTAAGACATTATGTATGTACCTTGTCTGATGCTAATTTAAACAAATCAACCATAAAGAGGCATTTAGAAGTCAGTCTTGAAAATCTGAATGGAGTCTAGGCATTAAGAAATTAATTGTGATGTGTAATAATAGCACCTGGGATGTATTTTTTAAAGTTGCTATAAAAATACTTAAGAATGAAAGGTAAAAGAATGGTTGTATTAGATTTGTTTTAAAACATCAAGCTATAACACTGATATAGAAAATATTGATAAAATAAAATTGGCAAAATGTTATATTTATTGGAACCACGTTATGAGTACATTGGGTTTCATTATACTGTTTTCTCTCATTTTTTGGATATTTAAAAATTTTTCAGGATAAAATTTTCAAAATAAATATAAACTAACAGACCTGAGGGAGGGGTAAGCATCTGCACTCAAAGAATAAGGAAACATTTTCTCATAGTGTTAAAAATATTGTTTATTTAAATGGACATTATTTTGTAATCTGCTGCTAAAACCCATGCCATGCTATATAGAATCACTGCTATGTGCTATATGAAAATAAATTTTGAAAAGATACTATCCAGACTTTATACAAATAGCATTCAAAAGATCTCACTCAGAACTCTTGTCTTGATTATAAAATGCAATTTTGTTCTATTTATTATGCACTATGGAGAAAAGACATAACAATTGGAGAGCTGTTTTCTCCCCATTAGTGTTAACACAGATACAATATTTATTTTTTATGTTTTAATAAAAAGTATATATAAAATAACAACTAAACATTATTATGTTTTTTTGGTAGCAAATATAACTCCATCTGAAACAATGTAGGCAAGAAAAAGTAAACTTCACATGTAAAGGAATATATTCAATATTAAAAATGGATTTACACTTATCTTTTAAAAAAATTAGGTTTTCAGGTCCAGGAGAAAAAACAGACCCAGCAATTGTGCTAAAATAAAACTTTTTCTAGGAAACAACTTCAAAAAGATGTATTTCTATGACTTGTTTTCTCTGTCTAATCAGTGAATTTATAAGACGTTCTTCTGCTATCACCTGATGAAGAGAGCATTATAAACTTTCCCGATATGAGGCAGAGGTTTTCTGTACCATGACGCCGTCTGTGTTGAGCGAACCATTGGAAAGTGTGAGAGAGCTAGAGAATGGCCATCTATCTTGTTTGCCATCCTTTTTTTTTTTTAGAAAGTTGGCACTGCTAGAACAGCAAGAGAAGAGAAAGAGGCAAGAAGGAAGGTATAAGAAATAATCCATCAAATAAAAAGAACGAATGAACCAGGTAGATTTTTCAGATAGATGAGAATATGCCATTTGTAGCCCAATGCACGATTGAAACAAGTAAAATTTGTTACTCTTTTTTTTTTTTTTTGGAGACGGAGTCTTGCTCTGTCTCCCAGGCTGGAGTGCAGTGGTGTGATCTCGGCTCAATGCAGGCTCTGCCTCCCGGGTTCATGCCATTCTCCTGCCTCAGCCTCCCGAGTAGCTGGGACTACAGGCGCCCGCCACCATGCCCGGTTAACTTTTTGTATTTTTAGTAGAGACGAGGTTTCACCGTGTTTGCCAGGATTGGTCTCGATCTACTGACCTCGTGATTGGCCCTCCTCGGCCTCCCAAAGTGCTGGGATTACATGCGTGACCACCGCACCCGGCTTTATTCCCCTTAAAAAAAAATTTTTTTTTTTGCCACTTCTATCAGAACTAATTTTTCTATATGAAATTGCCCTAGTTTCAGAAAATATTATGTTAACCTATTTATCATTACAAAAATTCTAGAAAATGTGTGTAATACCAGGTAAGTTTTTCTGACATATAATTGTGTCAAAAAGCTTAATGAAAATAGTCTAATTAATAGTGTCTGATTATCCTATCCCAATTATTCATTGGAATAACCACAGAGGCCTCCGAGATACAAAGATGAACAGGAACACAAAGAATGCTTAGTCCAGCTTCTGGAAGCTCCCTCCCAGCTTCGAGTCTTCCTGCCTTTGCTTCAAGTTGTCCCACCTTTCCAGACCGAACTAATGTACCGATTGATGTCTCATGTGTCCCTAAATGTATAAAATAAAGCTTTGCCCTGACCACCCTGGGCACATGTTGTCAGGACTTCCAGAGGCTGTGTCACAGGCGCGTCCTCAACCTTGGCAAAATAAACTTTCTAAATTAACTGAGACCTGTCTCAGATTTTCTGGGTTCACGCTATCGTTTTAATCCCGGAAACACTAAATCCAGGGCAAATAAGACTAAAAGGAAGAGGTTTCCACCACTGAAACACAAATAAAAACTTCAGTGTCTCTACCTCCTTCCACTGAGAAAGAGAGCCTTTTAACGGGGTGAGAGCTCCACCCACCCAACCTCTTTGTGCATTCAACTGCAATGTGCCACTCAGTCATCTCACAAAGGCGGGGTGAAAAGCAGAGTTCACAGGGCATGAAGTAGCCCACAGGCAGCTGCCCTCCAGTGGGCAGCCTGTGGTTTTGCTTTTTGCCAACCTCACAGCAGAGCCCAGCACTTTTTCTCCTGAAAAAGAAAATCCACTCCAAAAAAGCACTGGGGAGAAAAGTAGATTTTACAGAAGATTCTGTGGGGACACAGCAAAGAGGATTTATGTCACAGTAGAAAGTAAACAACCTAACGCAGAGTCTCACATTATTTTTCCCCACATTCCTCTTTTGCTAGTGGCCATTAGCCCCTGTCTTTCTTTCCAGAGTCTTTCCCACAAGAAATTACCCTCCCAGCTTTCCTCCTTCTGACTAGACCTGTTTGAGGACTCACAGGCCCTGCAGGCCCAATTTAGTATAGCCTTATCTAATCATTCATTTAATGAACTACTCTAGCTGTCTAGGGGGAATCTGCTGCTAAGAAAACAGTTTTGTGTCATTATCACCGCATCCTGGATGTGAAATAAGCAACTATTAAGACAGAGTCTAGAAGGACCCTCAATGAAGCGTATGAATATGTGTGAATGCTTTCCTGTATTGCATAGAACCAGTGCAGAACATCTAAATGTTGTTCATTACTAAGTGAGCCAAGTTATTTTATCCTTACTGCAAAGCTGATTTCAAAAAAAGCCTGCTTCATTAGATTTCAGGCCCCTCACTTGCAGAGTCTATTTAGGTGCTGTAAGTAGGTGGAGCTATGCAGTGTTCACCAACCTTTCATGTGCACATAAATCACCTGAGGACCTTGTCAAAATTTGCAGATTTGGATTTAGTAGGTCATAGCTGGGACCTAAGATTTTGCATTTTTAACAACTTCCCATGCTTTTGATCCATGGACCCTACTTTGAGTAGCAGGGAGGTTTTAGGGGGTTAGTGGTAAACGAATGGGAGCGGGAGAGATACCAAATTGTAATCAGAAAGTACTTCTATGTAATATTTCTGGTAAAGGAATTATAGAGAAAGAGACTCAGATTTCTAAGATGCAAGTCATTTGTATGGATTTACTTTTTCATTCTAAATACTCTGTATATCAATTTTGTTGCTAATTCTATATTCCCAATTCCATACTCTTTTTCTTAAACAGAACCCCTAGAATTATATAAACTTCAGGCTCCAGAAAGCCTGGATCTGTCACTGCCAGTTGAACCAAAAATTTGGTTTGGGTTGTGCATATCCCCTTAGCCACATAATCAACATCTGAAAAAAAGAGTCTATCATTAGGAAGTAAGGCAATGAGGAGAAAATAATACAATCTCTGTATTTGATTGCTGCCAAAAACAAGGTCTAGAAACATCGCTTTTCAATCAAGGCTGAGTAAAAACTGAGGGGAAAAAAAGGAATACATGGCTTTACTAAATATGGCTCTACAACATAAAGAGGCATGTTACTATAATGATGGAAGAAAAACATTAATTTCTATTAGAATGAAAACAAACCCTATTAAAGTATAATTTTTTTAGTTTTCAACAATATAACAGAGAAAATTATGAAGTCTTAGAAAAAAAGAAAAGAGGTACTCATAATGAAGTTTGAAATATAAAACATCAAAACTATAGAAGTCCAGGTTTAGTCCATTCAATGGAAAGAAAAAAAAATCCACACTTCAAAAGAATGAAAAAGAACTAACAAAGAACCATATGTATACTCATAAAATAAGATTAGGTGATGTCAAGTAATATTATGAATTATGACCTAAAATATCAACTCTAAAGCCTTATGTAAGAGACATCAGAACAGAAGGGAGATTATTTTGCTACAGGATGTCACTTACATGAAAGACAACTGAAACAAAATTCGAAATGAACTGACAGGAAATAAATCATTGGAAAAAATATCAGCATACCGGTATTAGTCTATGGAATCTTAAGTAGACAAACTTACAAAAGGGAAATAGTGGCCATAAAAAAACATAATTTATAGAAGGGATTGATTATATATTAAATAAATTATTCCATGGATTAAGAATAGAGCTCTTTTCAAGAAGTCATAGCTTTATTTTGAACATGTGCATGTTCTTAGATTAAAATCAATTACATATAAAAACAAATGCATACAATTCACATATTTTGAAAACATAGTATGAAAATAATTGTACAAACTTAAAAAATGTCAAGCTTATAAATTAAAAAATGCCTTTCTGAACATATCAAGCAATCAGGTATGCAATGAAAGATATTTTGAAAAGAAGCAATTATATCAAAATTAAGTTTCACAACCTAAGTTGCACTGAGAAATAATATCACAATCATACATGCTCTAGTTTTTTTTTAAAAAGGAGACTAAACTTTAAGCTTTAGTAATTAGAAAAGAACAAATGTATAGAGAAAAATAAAACACAAGTATATTTTTTAAACTACAGTACAGGACAAAAATAAAGGGAAGAATTAGAATTGATAAGTCGGAGAGCCACTTTAAGGAAATCTAATATAGTCGGCAAAATTCTAGTGAATATACATTTAATAAAGAAAACACTCAAATAAACATTATAAATAGAGTACATTAAGGCTTCTTTAGCAGAAGAAGAATAAAATCTGTCTTCAACATTTTTAAAGGAAAACAAGTGAATTTAACTGCTGATGCTGGAGTATCTCATAGAAAATTACAAAAATAAACAAGATTTTGAAAGGGTAGGGATGAAGCTAGGCTTCAAGATGAACTAAAGCAAGGGCCATTCAGATCAGAATTCCTTTCCCAGGAATTATTTATGTTAACAGAAGTAGCCTATTTACCAGGGCTGATTTTTATATATTTATTTATTTTACATTATACCTCCTGTAAAACTCAGTTGCCTATGATTTTCATTTTTGACAATTCTGAGTGGAAAACAAAATTGAAAATCTTGTAGGATCACACTGACTTTCTGTTTTGTTTCTTAACACCTCATTGGGGCTGTACCCACTTAATCTAAGTTTCCAGTGTTCACTCTCTCTGGGCATAACTGAACATTTGTGTCTACTAAAGTCCAGCATTTTTAGGTTAACATGCCCCATAATGTTAACTCAGACCCCCTTGCATGCATTAGATTTGATTTTAACTTTACAAAGGTACACATTATTCCAAAATTATGAGAATAGCAATAGTTGATGAGTGGGGATCAATCAGATTTCACTGAAAATTTTAGCTAATCCACAATATTTTGGCTAATCCGATGGCCAAGTGACCATCAGCTGACAGTTTGGTTATTATACATTAACTAGAGTTTATAAGGAAATCTGGCCTAATACATGATGATTTGTTTCTCATGAATTTGTGTCAAATCTTATACCACAAAAGAAAACATGTTTTTTGACAAAGTTAAAATTATTCCATTATTTCCTCCTCATACACGTGAGCCAGTGAGTATTTGAGTTTATCAATCTCATGATACCTTTATTTAGGCGAGAAGAAAATAGTCAACAGACTTTATATTCTCTTATCTGCAATATGCAAGGGTGTTCCGGTCACAGGAGGCACAGCCCCAAGACACACCTAGTAGTAGCTTATTATTTTACTGTATAAATGTCTGCCAGGCCGGGCATGGTGGCTCAAGCCTGTAATCCTAGCACTTTGGGAGGCCAAGGCTGGCAGATCATCTGAGGTCAGGAGTCTGAAAACAGCCTGGCCAACATGGTAAAACCCTGTGTCTACTAAAAATACAAAAAAAATAGCTGGGCGTGGTGGCGGGAGCCTGTAATCCCAGCTACTCAGGAGGATGAGGCAGGAGAATCGCTTGAACCCGAGATGGGGAGGTCGCAGTGAGCCCAGATCACACTACTGCACTCTAGCCTGGGTGACAGAGCAGGACTCTGTGTCAAAAAAGGAAACAAAATAAAATAAAACAAAACATAATAAAATAAAATATCTGCCAATTGCCCAACCTAAGATCAGGGAAACTCACTATCCCTATCGTGCTAAGGGAGGAAATAAAAAACTAATAAGACAATTAGGAATCAAATAGAAAGATGGTAGTCTTATTGTGTTAAATGGGACCTCCATTTCTGGGCAATACGCAGCCACAGGAACTGGATGTACTTTCATAGGGGAAACAACTAAAAATAGACAAAATATATAAAATTTATATATATATATGAAATACATAAAAATGTTTATAAATTTTATACAGTGAAATTACCGGGAACCCAGGTAGAGCTGAAGAGTGTCCCTCAGTTGAGGGTATAGTTGGAAATCTGAGCAGACCAAAGTGACTAGGGGTCACAGGCCAAATAGTGTATGTAGTGTTTGTGCCTGTTACCCTATGTAAATTTTGCCTCAACTGGATAAAAAAAAATCTGAAAAAGTGTAATGCTATATCAAAGTTATCAGTTATCTAGGGGAAAATAAGATCATGACCATATAACAATATTATCAATTAAAGCACTAAATTGAGTAATGTATTTAACCAGTAGGTACTGAGGGCCTGTGGTATACTAGATGTCATAATAGATGATGAGCATCAAATGTGGAACAAGAGAAACTAGTTTCTGGATCAGAAATCGCATCATCAGGATACTACAGTGAGACTGAGGGTTATAAGTGTGAGAATGATGTAGGAAGAGAAAGTATGAGGTCCACTAATAATGCATTTAGGTAAGCCTAGCCTCATTTTGGGGTCAATAAGGTCTTTTTGTAGTGATTTGTCTAAATCAAAACATGGAGGAGTTAATGAAAGTGAGAGTAATGAGGTTGGGAGAGTGTCCTAGTCAGGAATAAGTTCATGCATGAAGACCCATAGGCAAGAGAAAATACTGCATTTTAGAATTTTAAAAAATTAAATAAAATCAAATTTACAAGTTCATATTTTTAAAATAAAGATTATATATCTGAAGCTGAAAGGCCAGGAGAAAGTGCCATAAAATGAGGTTTAACAACATACTGTTGGGAATGTTTTTATAGCAAATAACATTTAAAATCTTTTATTAAAAGAGGCTCTTCCAGCTCCATCCATGTCCCTGCAAAGGACATGATCTCATTCCTTTTTATGGCTGCATAGTATTCCATAGAGTATATGTACTACATTTTCTTTATCAAATCTGTCATTGATGGGCACTTGAGTTGATTCCGTGTCTTTGCGATTGTGAGTAATGCTGCAATGAACATATATGTGTATGTATCTTTATAACAGAAGGACTAAGTGAGGGGTTCATCTGCGCAGCAAACCACCATGGCACACATTTACCTATGTAACAAAACTGCAAATCCTACACATGTACCCCAGAACTTAAAATGAAAGTTGATATATTTCTTTTAAAAAAGCTCTTTTTTCACATGAAAAGAAATTACTCTGATTCGTTCATCTGTTTAACTATGTAATGGGGTACCCAGACTTTGTGTCTTTCTGATGTGGCTGTTCTTAATGTTTGACTTTTGGTTTCCTTTTGACACTTATAGTCTCAGGATGGCCACTGTAGCACCAACTATTATTTTCACATTCAAGGCAAAAAGAAGGGAGTGACAACTTTTTATTCAGAGAAAAATACATTTTTAAAAATCCACCCCTACAAAGAGTATAAGCTACTTTGATACGTTGTTTCACCTCACAACCTATATGTGTAAGCAAATGTATATATTGAAAAGCTTTCCAGCTGCAAGAGAGGCTAATAAAATGAGTAGATTTTCCAAAAAAGAAAAATTATTTTGGAATGAGTTGTGGGTCTGCCACAAAGCAGACTGAAGCTTCATCTTCAAGGGCTTGTATACCCTGTTTAGGACTTGTCTTTACCTTTAAGAGAAATAAAAAAGATATCAAAAAGCTTTAGGCATGCATCACATGCTTTTGGAAAGGTTGCTATTGCAGGTGTTCAGAGAAATGATAAAGTGACTTGCAGTAGATGAAAAGAGTAGTGGAAACAAATATAACTTGATGATTGAAGAGATAGAAAAAGCACCCCCAAAGTATGAAGATTGATTGGATTTTAGGAGAAAAAGAGATGGAGTATCAGGAAAGGTTTTCATATTTTCTACCCAAACATTTGAGTGAACTTTAATGCTGTGGATTTAGATGGGGGCCAGAGCTGGATGGAAAATAGATTTGATGGGTAAAGAACATGGACTTCTTCTCAGTAATTGAGTTTAAGTGTCTGAGAGACATCTACCTGTAAACGATTGGACAGACAGATATTTGGAATTGAAATGAAAAAGAAAATGTTAAACATTTATATATATACATGCCTTAAACAATGTTGCATGCCATGCATGAGAAGAGAGCTTCAGAAGGAGCCTCAAGAAATACCAACAATGAAAAATTGATTAGGGTAACAAAATAAATTGAGAGAGACTTCATGGAGTGGAAGAAAACCAGGACGATGGACTTCCACAGAATCAAAAAAAAAAAAAAGTGAGTTGAAAAGTGATCCAGCATGCCAAAGGCTTTCCATATGTCAAAAATTAATGGAAGACCGTAGATACAAAAGTGTACCTTAGAATTAGTGACATCTTAGCAGGAGAGATTTTTTGTTGAATGGTGGTGATTTATATTGTGTTATGATGTGTCTCTGGAGGAGTGCAGAGAAGTAAACAATGGAAATTTGGGGTAAAGGCACGTTTCAATACATTTGACTGTAAATGCAAGAAAAGAGTAGAAGGAAAAGGTGTGAACTTGAGGAAAATGTATGTATGTATTATTTCTGAGTTGAGAGAATTAAGTACGTGTAAATGTTAAGGATGGCCAGTCAGAAGGTCAAGGGACAACCCAGATGTGGGCATGGCAAGAGAAAGATACAAGAGGATAGGATGAGGGCAGAAGTAGGCTGACTTGCAAATATGGGTATGAGAGGCTATGAGTCCTCAGCATACTTTTTGGCTTCTTTTTTCTCTTTGAAGTGAGAAGTAATGTCGTTATTCGAATAGGAGAGGAGGTGGAGGGTTGAAGAATGTAGGAGAGTTTTGAAATATTTATTTTAAAGAATGTGAGAAGCAACTAACTAGAAGAGACAGCATTGCCAGAAAGTTTTGGAAAAGTGGTTGATGTTGAACCATAAATTTATAGTGGCAGCTGGGTTTAACTATCCAGGTGCAAGCTCAGAGAAGGCAGTTAATTGGATTCATCCAGCACTCTAGGGTTTTGCCAGGCAAGTGTGCTGAAAGGACAAAGTGACAACAAGGCTTTATAGATTTTTCAGACCATGGTGAAATAATGAAGCATTCATGATCATTCTGAAATTTCTGAGGAAAGGGTGGTATGATAATGATTGTATTTAATTTACAAAGTTCCCAAACTTTGTATGGTTGATAGATATCATTTCTTTTAAGTGAAGCACATCAAATAATTAACTTTCAATAGTTTGGAAATTCTAGATAACCTAAAACAATAGGCAACATATATCAAACATTATTATCATACAAGCCCATAGAACTGTGAATTTGTAAATATCATCAATAGTCATAATATCATGCCCCTCACTCTCACTTATAGCAAAGATTTGATCACTTCCTTGGAGCACATGTGAAGCTTGTGCTGCACTGCCTTTCCTGTCTGAGTCATATACTTGCAGCTTGTCCTAGCCATCATTTTCATATACAGCTCATCATCCATCTTCAAGCTGTCCTCAAGGTAGCTTCAGTTGTCTCTGTAGCTTTTCCTTCCCTCCTTTTAGCCCTGACAAGCATTCATCAGCGAGAAAAACATACACAGCCCTCTTCTCAAAAAGTTGTCATCAACTCCTCTCAACGATGCCTCTGTTTCTATATCCTAACTGTATTGGACTGTGTTCTATTTCCATCTTCATAGAATGCATATGCCAGTTAATGATTGCTACTTCCATGTACTCAAAGTCTCTGATTTCTCCAAAGACATTAGAAATGCAACTCATTTTACATCAGTGACCCTCTTTTTTTTCTGTACTTCTATATCTTCCTATTTATAACCCAGAAAAAATTATTATTTTCCTCTTCTCATCAGAATTAGAGCTCCAACAGTCTCTCTGACAATTTCCCGATTTCTAATTTTCTCTATTTCCATTTTTTATATAATAATTTTATTTCATAAATTCAATTGTTTCTATAATTTTAAATTTTTCTTTGCTGATTTCTTAGTACTTATTAATAGCTGAACAAGTTTATTTCAAAAATGATAGTTTGTATCTATAATTCTGAGAACTAACAAAACCTTTCTTTAAATCAATAGTTGGTAGGGTGCAGTGGCTCACACCTGTAATTCTAGCACTTTGGGAGGCCAAGGCAGGTGGATTCCCTGAGCTCAGGAGTTTGCAGACCAGCCTGGGCAAATTGATGAAACCCCGTCTCTACTAAAATATAAAAAAATAGCTGGGCGTAGCAGCGTGCGCCTGTAATCCCAGTTACTTGGGAGGCTGAAGCAGGAGAATTACTTGAACCCGGGAGGCGGAGGTTGCAGTGAACCGAGATTGTGCCATTGCACTCCCGCTCCCGCCTGGGTGACAGATTGAGACTCAATCTCAAAAAAAAAGAAAAGAAAAGAAAAAGAAACTATAAAGAAGTCGTTAAGTTAGTTTATGTATTTATTTACATATATTTATTTTTTTAAAACAAAGCGAATGACAATCACCCACGTGTCTAACAGCAAAGAGAGTGGAACAATTCAAAATAAAATTTTATTGATGCAAGTGAAAAGAGACATAATAAAAGAAATTTAAATGTACTTTTAAAATTAATTCCCATAATGCCAATATTTCAGAATGATCATGACTGTAATTCTCTCTCCTGTTTGTCAGAAGTGTTTCGTGACTTAGACCATAATTTTCAAGGTTGCATAGTTTTCTATTATATCCATATGGCATGTATAGCCATCTATTTAGAACATTTATATTTTTCTGATTAACTTTGCTATTATAAATAGTATAATGTGCATAATTATAGTTCATTATTTTCATAGACCTCAGATAATTTTATTAGGGTGAATTTCTAAAAATAAAATTGCAAGGTTAAGTGACATGCACATTAAAAGTCTTGTGACCTAACTTACCAATTAATCTCTGAAAAACATTTCCAGTTTTATTGCCATAAGCAGTACATAATTTCAATGAAAAATTAATAAACAAAACATTTATTTTTACCAAGCATCATGATGATCACTATTAGGGAAACTCAAGAGTAATAAAAAACCAGGAAGAATGAATCTAATCCATTTCTACAGTTATCCTTATCTGAAAATCCTTCTACTGATTCTCTTTTCTTTTAAAACCTACAAAGGGAATGTGGCATATTTTGTTGTTGATGTTGATAATTATATCATTTATAACATGAAAATTTTGTATATCTAAAATGAGAAAGGATTTCATCTTTCACAGTCCATTTTCTTTGTTTTCAGCTTTGACAACTCTTTTCTACCTGATAGAGCTTTTTAATATTTGTTTCTTTCCTTTTCCCTTTTTTTTTTCCTTAGGCCATATGTAAATTGATGTAAGTGTGAAGAAATTTCAGGAAACTATGTTACTTGATTTCAGGAAGCAACAGATAGACGTGTCTGGCGTGTGTCTGAGCAAGGATTTAGATAACAGCAGAAAGAGTCTTAGCAGTTGTGTGGCACGAGCATTATTTGGATCATTAGCAATATGTGTTGAGATAAGAATAAAAGCACCTACACTAAGTGTCTAATGCTATATTTACTATTATATTCACCTGCAAACCAGACAACGTCAGTACAGGTGGAACAAGAAGATGTCTTTTATCCAAATCTCTTACCTGTGGACAATCTCAACCTTGCAAATTAAATTAACATTTTAAGGGATTCTAAAGAAGGATATTTTACAGTTTCTCTCAGGAGTTTATTAGAAAGTTTTCTCCTATAATTAAATTAAATTCACTGTCTATAGAGATTTCTTAAGTATCTTTCCATTTTATTTTGCTCTGGATTTGAAATAATGCGTTCTCTACTCTTAAGGTTTTCTCTCATTTAAACTATTCCATTTTAAAAAATCTATTTTAAAGTGCAAAAATAGGGAAAGCATTTCCCCCCTGTACAAAGAATAACATGAGTTAAAATATGATCTTTTGTTTCTTTATAATCAAAGCTATTTAATACCTCTTTTGAATGAAATTTTACTTGTTAATTCTCATGTTCAATTTCCTCTGCAACTCAAAGTAGTTGTTTAAGTTTGAATAATTTACTTGAATGTTAATTATAATTCAAAGCTAATGGATATGAAATATGTTTGCTTTGGTGAATGTACAAATAAATATGTCTCGAAGTATTTTATATGCAGAAGAGAATATTAATTTATTATAAAACATTGCCATGTTGTATTAAAATAATATAGGAACAAATAAGACTGTGTACAAGAGGAAGGCATCAGTTAGATGTTTAATTAAAATTAAAGTTGAAATTTAGATATATTTACTTTAATATCTATATTTGTATATTCTTGCTCTGTATTACAGAGGTTGAATAAAACATACTTTGTCTGTAACAAACTATTGTGATGAGTCATTTGGAACCTAAAATGACAGTTTTAATTTAGCTTTCTTTGCAAATCTGAAAATAGTTTTAGGCACTGTAAATAGCTCTGTATTAGAAAACTATTTACTTTCATGATTTTTCTGAGCATAAACACTCATAACCACAATTTTTGAAAAGTTTTATTCAGTTATTTTGTACTATTAGTTTGCTAGAAAGCCACTGAATATTTACCAGTAAAGAAAGATTGAATATTAGCATTGTCTTAAAAATATTATTTTAGTATTATAGATTTAATTTGGTTCAAAATGAAGAAAAAAAAAGAGGCATAACACTTGATGATGTGAAGGCTGATTATTGTTATTCATATTCTCCTTACCACTTATTTATCTTTTGTGTTAAAGTTACTAGGATACACAAAAATGAAAAAAGGAACCCTCAAAATTAGTATTGGCTCTTTTTTTGTATATAGTAACTGATACAATTAAAACTCTTTATAAAAGTAAGAAAATAGGATTTAATTTTGAAGTCATTTTTTTCTGTTTTCACTTTTTATTACCACAGTTGATTGAGAGCTGATTATACATCTCGTATAAATAACTAACATAACATTGTCACACAATCTCTAAATTGTCACATTCTGTGTACTACTTGTACTCTGTAACTCTCTGTGATGATATCAGGTGTCATCTCTTTCTCTTATTTTCAGTCTTTCTGACTAAAACCTACCTTAGTATATAGTGTACACAGTTTCTTTCCATGGGCAAAGCTAGTGTTCTTAGTGAATACGTCTTTTGAAAAATGTCAAAATTTTGATGGGGTGGAAAATGCTTAATGCTTTTTCCCATGCTGTCAAAATGGTGACATTTGACAGTGTGGGATAATGTTTAATGTTATTCCTGGGAAATGTTCATAATTCTTGTCTATAAAAACTCTTCATTTTGTTTTTCTATAACTCCATTTTTATCTCACAAAATTTAACTCTAAAGTAACAGGCCAGGAGTAATAGTTTTGAATCTAGGGTACTAAAAAGTGTAATTCTGGACCACTCCTTCTGAAACTCCATAGTTATAGGACATTTATGATCTAATGAGATAGTAGGATGCAAAAAATGATCATTCAGTGGCATTTTAGTGCATAATAGTTAATATAATTGTGTTGTAATTATCAATAGTGCGAGCCTATGGAATAATTCTGCATTTGTATAAGATTATTATTCTCTTTTCAGAGACATTTATCCAAGGAAACATGTCTAGAGGATAATAGTACTTATCTAAGCAACTTATCATGAATATTAAAATGAGTGTGTGTGGCTAAAGAGACTGGCAAAAAGAGATACAAGTTACCACAAGTCATTTTTTGAATGAGGTAGAATATAAAGTTTTCCACAATTTTAAAGAAATGGAAGATATTTTAACAAACAGTCATAAAGATATAAACATCTGCAACAAACAGTGGTAAAATAGATGGTTTGCAATTGTAGTTCTGTATGATGAAGCAGTACAAAATGACAAATGTTTGATTTTGATGTGGTTTGTTGTTTTGTTCATTTCCTCACCAAGTTTAAAAAAGCCAGGGAAAACTTTCTATGCATAGTAAAATAAATTTTGATCTTCTAAATATGGAGAATTGTGTCTTAGAGAAAAACTTTTTCCTATTGCATAGTTGTACAGAGCTTCCCGGGTTCTGCAGAAGTACAAGTACTGCTGCAGGGTCCAGTGATGATTAGGTGGGGATATGAGCCATCAGCCTCAGCTAAACTCTGGCAGCTCTATACGAAAAGAGGATGCAAACAATACCAAATCGTATTCTATTTAAAAATTGTTGAAAGACACTAATCTAAGGCAGTTTGTTAATTAACTAGTAAAAGAAAAAATATGGGCTGGGCACAGTGGTGGCTCATGCCTGTAATCCTAGCTCTTTGGGAGGCCGAGGTAGGTGGATCACCTAAGGTCAGGAGTTCAAGACCAGTCTGGCCAACATGGCAAAACCCTGGCTCTACCAAAAATACAAAAATTAGCTGGGCGTGGTGCCACATGCCTGTAATCCCAGCTACTTGGGAGGCTGAGGCAAGAGAATCACTTGAACCCAGGAGGCAGAAGTTGCAGTGAGCCGAGATCATGCCACTGCACTCCAGCCTGGGCAACAGGGCAAGACCCTGTCTCAAAAACAAAACAAAACAAAACAAAACAGAAAAATAATTGTGTATCCCAATATTCTATATAATACAATAGACATCATTGAATGGCCAGCCCATCTCCCAGGACTGTGCAGCATAATGGAAGAGAAAACTTGTAGCTAATGAATGTGATAAATGGATTTTTGAAAATTAGATAGAGTTTTTGGAAGTCCAGATGTAATTAATTTTGTCTTGGGAGAAAGGAGAGGAAATAACACTAACTTGATGTATCAAGAGGGAAAAGTAATATATTTCAGCTAACTTTGATGCTGCAGGGAGGGGAACATTAGAACCAAAATGAAGAAGGATGATGATTATTATTGGTGAAATTACTGTAAATATATAATTAACATAATATAACAAATATACCTATATTAATACTACATATTAATAACAATGATTATTATATTTTATTATATTAATGGACCACTTATGTACCAGGACTATGCTACAACGTATTTTACATGTATTACGCATCTAACCTTCAACCAATCCTGTGTGATAGGCACTATAATTATCTTCATTTTAATGATGAAAAATTGAGTTGCAAAGAAGTTATAAAACTTTCCCAAGGTCACATAGTGGGAAGGAATAGAGCCAAGACAGAAATGTGGACAGCCAATTTCAGCTTTTATAATCTGAATATACCACATCAATGGAATAACAGTTTGAGATAATATAATATGAATATGTTAATGAAATATTTATCAATCACCTCCTATAATCTTGTTATTGTGCTAGGCACTGGCAATACAAATAAAATATCTGTTCTTAAAAAGTATGCATTCATGTGAAAGGAAGGCAATAAAATAAAAGTTAAAAAATATGCATTCTACCTAACATATATAAATAGGCAATGATATTAAAATATAGTAACTAATAATAGCTAACATTTATACAGCCTTTACTACTCAAAGTGCCTCACTTACATTTATTTAATGCTCATAACATTTCTATGTCAGAAGAACTATTCTAATACCATCTTTGCACTTCAGGAAACTAAGACCCAGTGACATTCGGTGACCTGACTATGGTCGCAGTTGGTAAATAGTGGAGACTTGTTAGAAACCAAGGCAAACTGGATGTGAAGTCATTGTGATAAGGAGGGACCAGTTCTTTCTTTCTTTCTTTTTTATTTTTTATTTTATTTATTTATATATTTTTTGAGACAGAGTCTTGCTCTGTCGCCCAGGCCGGAGTGCAGTGCTGCGATCTCGGCCACTCCCGGGATCTCGCCGCCTCCCGGGTTCACCCCATTCTCCTGCCTCAGCCTCCTGAGTAGCTGGGACTACAGGCGCCTGCCACCACGCCCGGCTAATTTTTTTGTGTTTTTTAGTAGAGACGGGGTTTCACCGTGTTAGCCAGGATGGTCTCGATCTCTTGACCTCGTGATCTGCCCACCTCAGCCTCCCAAAATGCTGGGATTACAGGCGTGAGCCACTGTGCCCGGCCAAGGAGGGACCAGTTCTATGACAGCATCCTCAAATAGAGAAACAAAAACAGTCTTAAAATCAAGAAGTTGCCTTCAGCTTGGAGAGGAAGAAAACTGTAAAGAGTTTGGCTTGCAGCCTAATAATAATAAAAGAAGGAAAACAGAAGAGAGAAGGAAGGAGGAGAGAGAAGAGGAGGGAAAAGGAGGAGGAAGAAGAGTAGAAGGAAGACAAACTCCTAGTGCACAACTTTCTCAAACCCATCACAGAGTTCTGGGGTCATAAAATAATTAACTAGCCCCAAATCTAAGGAGATACAAGATCCTACAGGGAGAAACTAGACATAAGCACTGAGTTACCTATGAAAGACACAGCCAGAAACCAGTGACAGGAGCTCAGGTAAAGTGATTAGCAAATCGGTGGAGGGCAACCAACTGTGAAATGAAAGAGATGGAGGAGATCCTGGTGATGGCAAATATGGGTGATGGGATTTCTTTTCCATGGCCTCTTCCAGCTTCCATGAACCCTACCACAAATAATAACAACAGTAATATCCACATATAAGCTAACAAAATAAATAAATACATGAATTAAATATTATATGATTATACATTATCAACATATTATTAATATATTATGTTATATGTATGAGTCTATGAAGACAAGAGCATACTGAGAAAGTCTCTTTTCAAACGCAGTGTTTGATGAGGGGAACAGCTTCTGTGAAGGGACTAGGGAGAGTGTCAAGAAGCTTCATTTGGGATTAGTCACCACTATCTCCACTCTCTCTTGTGGAACAAAAGCCTTAATCTATGGAGGTAAGGGCCACAAATACTTTTACCTTTTAGGACATGAATGAAATCCCATTGCAGCTGATGAGAAGGTACAAAAACCAAAATTTGTGTTCCATTGTGGGCTAAGAACTATGGCAGGGGTGTGGCAGGAGTATTGAGAATGCCAACCCTCAAAACCAGGGAATATGGTTCCTGCTTACAACAGGGACATGATAAAAACAACAGAGAATACACTGTCGAAACCCACACTCATCTTCAAGCTGAAAATCACCTAGCACAAAATACCTTGCCAGAGATCTCTCTGGTATGTAGCACAAAGAAAGATCTCAAGCTAACAGTATAGCAGACACTTGGGGAAAAAAAATTAGACAAATCAGATCCTACCATACCTGGTATAGCTAAATGAATTTAAAACATGTCGTATAATGACGGTAAACATAGTTAACAACTTCAACTCCCAATTAGATTAACTCTAACCTCTCACACTAAAGGCCTAGCAGAAGATAAAGTGTGCCCATTTCCAGTGATAAAAATTGTTTGCCTCAGTCTCTGCCATGCTATACAAGATGCTCATCTTTCAACAAAAAAATGGCAAAGCACTCAAAAACAATCTCAAGAGATGAAACAATTATCAAAACTAGACTCAGATATGGCAAACATATTAGAACTAATTTATAGGGAATTTTAAATAACTATGATTAATATGTTGAAGGTTTTAAAGGGAATGTGGACAACATGAAAGATCATATAGGCAATTTCAGCAGACAGAAGCAAACTAGTAAAAATAAATGATAAGACAATAAATGAAAATCATAATAACAGAGATCAGAGTTGAAGGATACATTTGAAGACATCATTTGACTCAGCAGAGGAAAGTCAATGAAATTAAGTCTGTAGAAATTATATGAACAGAAACATATTGAGAGAGAGAGAAAAAGAGAGGTGGAGGAAGTAGATCCAAAGCTTCTGGGACAATATCAAATGATGTCTCATTTGATGAGGGAAAAAATAGGGAAGATTAAATACTTGAAGAAACGATGAGAATTTTCCAAAAATAATGACAAATCCAAATATAGATGTGTCGTTATGCAAACATAATTCCCAAAACACAGAAAGCCAAAAAAGGATTTAAACTTATCTCGGAATACTATACTCAAACCAAAATTAAAAAAAAAAAAGAACAGGAAACAAACAAACAAACAAACAAAAAACAAACAAAAAAAAACACCACCACACACAAAAAAACCTTAAAGGCACTCAAGATTAAAAAATAAATAAATAAATAAATAAATAAATAAGACACACTACATTGAAGAAACAAAGAATTACCATAGAATTATCTTTTCTGTTTTGTTTTGTTTTGTTTTGTTTTTCTTGAGACAGAGTCTTGCTCTGCTGCCCAAGCTGTAGTGCAGTGGCGCAATCTCAGTTCACCACAACCTCTGCCTCCTGGGCTGAAGGGATTCTCCTGCCTCAGCCTCAGAAATAGCTGAGATTACAGGCGTGCACCACCACGCCTGGCTTATTTTGCATTTTTAGTAGAGACAGGGTTTTACCATGTTGGTCAGGCTGGTCTCAAACTACAGATCTCAGGTGTTCCACCCACCTCGGTCTCCCAAAGTGCTGGGATTATAGGCATGAGCCATTGCACCCAGCCTAGAACTATATTTAGCAAACACATTCTACAAAAGAAGATATACTGATGACATATACACCTATGAAGAACTACATATCATTAGACATTGTGTACATGGAATGAAAAGCCACACTTATTGGAATGAATAGGAAATAAACAATTCCAAGTGCTAGAGAAGATGTGGTCCAACTAGAGTTGTTATACATTGCTCATGAGAATGCAAAATGGGACGGCCCCTCTAAAACACAGCTTGTCTGTTTCTTTAAACACACATTTACCATAGTATCTAAGAATTTTACTTAAAGACATTTACACAGTAAAGTCAATACATATATTCACATAAAAAGTTGTACACATTTGTGTGACCACTTTATTGATTATTGCCAACAAACAGAAACAACCTAGATTTCATTCATGGTGGGGGTGGGGGGTGGGTAAATGGATAAACAAACCATGTTATGTCCATGCAATGGAATACCACTTATTAATAAAAAAGAACAGACTATTGTTTAATATGACAACATAAATGACTCTTAAATGCATTTTGCTGAGTGAAATGACTCAAGCATAAAGGGTATGTATTATGTGATTCCACCTGTGTGGCATTCTGGAAAAGCAAAAATATAAGAATGGAAATCAAATCAAAGGTTGTGTTGCAGGGGTATAGAGTGGAGGAGGGGTTTTCTACAAGGAGTTAGCATGGGGAAAACTTTGGATTTCTGGAACTGTTTTGTATATTACTGTGGTGGCCTATACATGACTCTAACATATGTCAAATCTCTGAGAATTGAATACCATGAGTTTTATGGTATTGAGATTTTTAAAAATCAGCAAGGATGTTAGGGGAATGCAAGAGAGAATGTGGATTAGGACAAAACAATCTACTTGTATTACAAATGAATTAAGAACCATAATGAAGAAGCTGTGTGGGAGAATAGAGCTGAACTGATTAACTTTGGAACACATTTGTTTTGCGTGGATTCTTCAAGGCTAAAGACAAAAAGAAATGTAAATAAACATTCTATTTGCTTTTTCCCCTCAAAGACTTGTATGCATAAATAATTTTGAAGGTACTTGAATAACAACCACAAAGTGATAGGGAATAGAGGGTTTGAGAGTGTGGGTTTTGTTGGATTTTGTTTGTCTATTAGTTTTAAAATGGTGGGTCATGTCCTTTTTTAGAGAACCAGTACAGAAGAGGTCTCAGATAGGAAAAGAGGGGAACTGAGAGCTAAGGAGTTCCAGAGGGGTGAAGGGAAAACAAGCAAGAAATTTAGTTCCAGGGTTGGTCTTGAACAGATATAGAAGCTTGTCATACTCTAAAGCTGTGACACATTGAAGGTAAGTATGAGAGAGAAGGCAAAATGCTTCAAGAGGCAAAAACCAGGAAGTTCATGCTTACTGATCTCAATTCACTGAATAAAATAGTGAAGAAATATTTCTGAGAATGAAGAGAGTGATGAACTAGGAGCAGTCCAGTATAGCACAATCTTCATTGAAAAAAATATGTATATATATCCCATGAGAGACGACTATAATAGTCTTCTCTTGAATATCTGGAAAAGTGAATGCATTTAATTTTAATATCTTTGAAAGTATTTACCCACTACAGCAAAAACCAAGACCTTTTTATTGTTTAACAGAAACAAAAATTTAATCTATTCAGTGACTTGTCTTGCTTGACATTTTTAACACAAGTGTTTAAATGGGCTTTGAATTTTAAAAGCAAAGAAGCAACACTGGAATGTGTATGCCTGCCATGCTGGGGAACATGAAATAAAACAGGGCATCAGCTAAGTCTGAATATCCATGAAGTCAAATTATGTTTTTCTTAAGTAAATATTTTAATCCTGAATACTCAGCATTTGCAAATGGTGAATTTCTTAAAGAGAATCCAAAGGGTTCATTTGTTAAAAAACAAAAACAAAAACAGAACCTTAGTGTACCAATGCTGAACAGCTAACTTCACCCAAGGTTCCCAAAAACTACCTATTTTAAAATGGAAAGGAATAGTATAGTTACATGCATATAACACAAGTACCCCAAATTTGGAAAGAGATAGTACCCTCTTAAAACAACAACAGCAACAAAACAGAAACTCCCATGACAGCAATCTAAATCTGTTGGCCACCCAATGCAGTACAAAACACTAATAGGATGTCAGCAAAATTTCATCCTCCTTCCTCCATTAGTTAATTAATAACCAGTTGATATCCCTATCACGGAAGCATCTCTCAGCCAATTTTGGTAGAATTCTCCATGGACAGCAGTGTTAAATGATTGGAACTATTGTAGGGGTGAGTTCTGCTAAACAGCTTGCTCAAGTTTATGTAACACAAAAGTAGAATTCAAAGAGCATTTTAATTTCCTTTTATTTTCTGGTCAATGTTAAGCCTATTTTATACGAAAATATTTTATTAAGCCCAATTACAGAGCAGAGAATTCCACTATATTTAGATTATATTTTAATTTTATATAACACTATAAACTGCAATAATAATAGTTTACTTATCAATTACGCATCAGTGGCTAAATTAATTATTCTTCAGAAATACTCATTTACTTTCATGAATCTAGATCTCTTTAAATAAAATTGAGGCAAATTTTCTATTTTACAAAATACTAAAAATTAATATCACTCAATCCGTCTTTCCAAGAATTTCTTATTTTTAAGTGTTGCATTCTCAACATACATGATTAAATTAACATCTTTAAGGATTTAAGATAATTTGTATACGAACAATTACTGGCTTGGAATTGTTAATATGACATAATTTTGATACAATGTCTAAATAACATTTCGCTCAATTAATTGTAAAGAACAATAGCTCAATATTTTAGATACATGCTCGTATTTTCAAGGACTGACAGACATATAAAGCAATCAGTTGGCTGTTTTCCCAACATACATGCAAATATTATCCCAATCTATTTCTGAATAGTTTTCAACACAAAATTATGTTCGTTCCCTAGATACTAAATGATTTTTTAAAAAGAAAGTCAAATTAAAAAGGCCATACCATCTCATCTCTCTTTTCGTCCAACAGCCAGATGATGATCTGACTCCTTCCAAAGATGGAGTCTAACCTCTGAATTCCTGCCATTTTGGAGTGAATTTATATTATCAGTTGTGCTCTGCCACAGCACACACACTGCAACGTCTGGTTACATGGTGCCTAGCAAGTCTAGCCATGCTCCAATGAATCTGGTTGGTCTCAAGAGCTCCCACTGATCTGGTACTCTATGCTACCAACCAAATCTAAACTGACAAGTGTTTTTTGTTCTCCTCAGCTTAAGTCGTGGGAAAATTCTTTAGTTATCTAAGTGAAACCAAATAAACCAAATGTTAATGAATTATAAGATTGCATCAGGATCTTAACACTCATGGAAAATGATAAAGAAATAACTTAGCAACTAGGGTTTCAGTTATTCAGCCACTGTGGAAGGATAAAGACAATTATTTTGGAAAAGCACAAGAAGTTACAAACTATTGTCTAAAGATACCTTTGATTAGCCAGGCGTGGTGTTGCATGCATGTCATTCTACTTACTTGGGATACTAAGGTAGGAGGATCCTTTGAGCCCAAGAGCTCTAGGCTGCAATGAGCCCTAATTGTACCAATGTACTCCACTTTAATGCAAGTGTTTAAATGGGCTTTGAGTTTCAAGAAGAAAGAAGAAACACTGGAATGCTTAAGTCTGCCATACTTGGGGAAGATTAAATAAAACAAGGAATTAGTTAAGTCTGCGTATCCATGATGTCAAGTTATGCTTTTCTGAAGTAAATATTTTAATCATGAATACTCAGCATTTTCAAATGGTGAATTTCTTAAAGAAAACCCAAAGGGTTCATTAGAACCCTCCAAAGAACAAGACCTCATCTCAAAAAAAAAAAAAACTAAAAAATAAAGAAGCCTTTGAGATTTCTTGCTGGTAGTGCTTCAAAAATTACCTAATAGCTTGTAATTATTTGTAAAGCTGAAACCAAAATTTACTAAAATAAACGCTTCTTAAGATTTTCCATCAAATATCAAAAGTGATAATTATTCCTAATGGTTAAAAAATATAAAATTTTGCACGTTGAACTAACTAACATTGTATCCTGGGGATGAAGCCAACTTGATCGTGGTGGATCAACTTTTTGATGTGCTACTGGATTCAGTTTGCCAGTATTTTATTGAGGATTTTTGCATTGATGTTTATCAGGGATATTGGCCTGAAGTTTTCTTCTTTTGTTGTATCTCTGCCAGGTTTTTGTATCAGGATGATGCTGACTTAGTAAAATGAGTTAGGAAGGGCTCCCTCCTTTTCAATTGCTTGGAATAGTTTCAGAAGAAATGGTACTGGTTCCTCTTTTACTTCTGGTAAAATTTAGTTGTAAATCCATCTGGTCCTGGGCTTTTTTTGGTTGGTAGGCTATATATTACTGCCTAAATTTCAGAACTTGTTATTGGTCTATTCAGGGATTGAATTTCTTCTCAGTTCATTCTTCAGAGGATAAATGTACCCAGGAATTTACACATTTATTCTAGATTTCCTAGTTTATGTATATAGACCTGTTAATATATTCTCTGAAGGTTGTTTGTATTTCTGTGGAGTCAGTCGTTATACTCCCCTTATCTTTTCTGATTGTGTCTATTTGGTTCTTCTCTCTTTTTTTCTTTACTAGTCTAGCTAGTGGTCTATGTAATTTAGTAATTTTTTTTTCAAAAAACCAGCTCCTTGATTCATTGATTTTTTGTTTTTTTCATTTATCTATCTCCTTTAGGTGCACTCTGATCTTGGTTATTTCTTGCCTTCTGCTAGCTTTGGGGTTTGTTTGCTTTTGGTTCTCTAGTAATCTTTTAGCCGTGATGTCAGGCTATTGATTTGAAATCTTTCTAGCTTTTTGATGTGAGCATTTGATGCTATAAATTTCCCTCTTAACACTACTTTAGCTGTGTCCCAGAGATTCTGATACATTGTCTCTTTGTTTGAGTTAGTTTCAAATAACGTCTTTGTTTCTGTCTTAATTTTATTATTTACCCAGGAGTCGGTCAGGAGCAGGTTGTTCAATTTCCAAGTACTGGTGTGGTTTTGAGTGAGTTTTTAAATCTTCAGTTCTAATTTGACTGTGCTGTCGTCTGAGAGACTGTTGTGATTTCAGTTCTTTTGCATTTGCTGAGGAGTGTTTTGCTTCCAATTATGTGATCCGTTTTAGAGTAAGTACCATGTGGTGATGAGAAGAATGTATATTATATTTTTGGGTGGAGACTTCTGTATCTATCAGGTCCGCTTGAGCCAGAGCTCAATTTATTCAACATATGCAAATCAGTAAATGTAAATTCATCACATAAACAGAACTAAAGAAAAAAAATCACATTATTATCTCAATAGACAGACAAAATGCATTTGATAAAATTCAACATCTCTTTATGTTAAAAACTCTCAATAAACTAGGTACTAGGTATTAATGAAACATACCTCAAAATAATAAGAGCCATGTATAACAAACCCACAGCCAATATCACACTGAATGGGCAAAAGCTGGAAACATTCCCCTCGAAAACCAGCACAAGACAGGGATGCCCTCTTTCACCATTCTTATTCAACACAGTATTGGATGTTCTGGCCAGGGCAATCCGGCAACAGAAGAAAATAAAGGTATTCAAATAGGAAGAGAGGAAGTCAAATTTGTTTGCAGATTATATGATCCCATATCTAGAAAACCCCATCGTCTCAGCCCAGAACCTTCTTAAGCTGATAAGCAACTTCAGCAAAGTGTCAGGATGCAAAATCAATGTGCAAAAAGTGCTAGCATTTTTATACACCAAAAACAGGCAAGCAGAGAACCACATCACAAATGAACTCCAATTCACAATTTTTACAGAGAGAATAAAATACCTAGGAATACAGCTAACAAGGCAAGTGAAGGACCTCTTCAAGGAGAACTACAAACCACTGCTCCAAGAAATTAGAGAGGGCACAAACAAATGGACAAACATCCCATGCTCATGAATAGGGAGAATCAATATCATGAAAATGGCCATTCTGCCCAAAGTAATTTATGGGTTCAATGCTATTCCCACTAAACTACCATTGACATTCTTTACAGAATTAGAAGAAACTGTTTTAAAATCCATGTGTAACCAAAAAGAGTTTGAATAGCCAAGACAATCCTAAGCAAAAAGAACAAAGCTGGAGCCATCATCCTACCTGACTTCAAACTATACTACAAGGTTACAATAACCAAAACAGCATGATACTGGTTCAAAAACAGACACATAGACAAATGGAATAGAATAGAGAACTTAGAAATAAGACTGCAAACCTACAACCATTTGATATTCAACAAACTTGACAAAAACAAGCAATGGGGAAAGGATTCCCTATTTAATAAATGGTGCTGGGAAAACTGGCTAGCCATATGCAGAAAATTGAAACTGGACCCCTTTCTTATATCTTAGACAAAAATCCACTAAAGATGGATTAAAGACTTAAATGTAAAACCCAAAACTATAAAAATCCCAGAAAAAATCTAGGCAATATCATTCAGGACATAGGCACGAGCAAAGATTTCATGACAAAAATGCCAAAAACAATAGCAACAAATGCAAAAATTGACAAATTAGAACTAATTAAACTAAAGAGCTTCTGCACACCAAAAAAGAAACTGCCATCAGAGTGAACAGACAATCTGTGGAATGGGAGAAAATTTTTGCAATCTATCCATCTGACAAAGGTCTAATATTCAGAATCTATAAGAAACTTAAAAAAACTTAAAAGAAAAATAAAACCTTTAAAAAGTGGGCAAAAGACATGAACAGACACTTCTCAAAACAAGTCGTTCATGCAGCCAACAAACAAATGAAAAAAAGCTCAACATCACTGATCATTAGAGAAATGCAAATCAAAACCGCAGTGAGATACCATCTCACACCAGTCAGAATGGTAATTATTAAAAGGTCAAAAAATAACAGATACTGGCAAGGTTGCAGAGAAAAAGAAACATTTTACACTGTTGGTGGGAGGGTAAATTAGTTCAACCATTGTGGAGGATCAAAGAGCTAAAGACAGTAATACCATTCCACACAACAATCCAAGTTGTGTGGAATTGAGTATATGTCCAAAGGAATATAAATCATTCTATTATAAAGATACTTGCACATGTGTGTTCATTGCAGCACTATTCACAATAGCAAAAAATTATGGAATCAACCCAAATACCCATCAATGATAGACTGAATAAAGAAAATGTGGTACATATACACCTATGCAGCCATAAAAAGGAACAAGATTATGTCCTTTGTTGGGACACGGTTATAGCTGGAAGCCATTATTTTCAGCAAACTAACACAAGAACAGAAAACAAAGCACTGCATATTCTCACTTATAAGTGGAAGCTGATCGATGGGACCACATGGGAACACTGGGGGGAACAACACTGACTAGGGCCTATCTCAGTGGGAGCGGGTGGGAGGAAGAGCATCAGGAAGAATAGCTAATTGATGCTGGGTTTAATACCTAGGTAATGGGTGGATTTGTGCAGCAAACCATTGTGGCACATGTTTACCTATATAACAAACCTGCACATCCTGCACAATTACCCCAGAATTTAAAAGTTAAAGGAAAAAAAATTTTTTTAAATTCAAGGTTTTTACATAGTTGTGATTATGTGATCATATTATTTGAGGCTATATATCCTAAAGTGTAGCAGCAATTGTCAAATGGAGAAATGGAGAAAAAATTACTGGCTCGCATATATGTTTCCCATATATTTCCCATGTGGTTCACATATATTTCCCAGTGCAAAATTTTGTGGTACAGAGAAGTTTGTTTGAGGTAATGTACCTCTTTGGAAAAAAATGGCTGTCTATGTTGTAAAAGATAGTATGGAGATTTGTTTCTATTGAACTGAAATTCAAGGTGTCAACCATAATATATAGAACATGCATCTCAAGGTCTAATTCATGTGATCAAAATCAACTGAATCTGTGTAAGACACAAAGGAACTCATACGAAATTATGATTTCATAAAATCTATATGAGTAAGATCAGGATGAAAACTTTTACAGGGCAAAATCCTATGTAAATGGCAACTTCAGAGGTTTTGCTCTCCGGGCTATAAAAGTCAATCTTTGTGGCTTTTTAAATGTGTTTAACCTCATTTTGAAAATAAAAATAACACTTGGCATCTTGTTCTACACCATGGCAATAATATCTGTGAAGATTAAGAACATAAACATCTATTTAATTGAATTCTCAATTTATTTGTTGTTAATTATTGTTATTTTCTCTACAAATTTCAGTAAGTGGCTATAGACAATAGAAATTTTCAGGATGAAATGAGTATATCTGTTTCATAACCTTATATTTTTGCATTTGTTTTTAGTACTTGTGAACACTAGTTTAGCATGGACTGCATGTGATATGGCTGTGATCATAGCCTACGAAGGAAAAAAAGGCATAAAATCAATACTTCAGAGAAGGGAGGAGAAAAAGTGAAAAGATATTTTGACCTCTATAAGAGATGGTAAAAGCATGCAAATAAAGAACAACATATGTTGTAAAAGAATAGCCTCATAGAGATCTGAGAATGTGGATAAGACAAAAAAATACACATCTCAAACATTTAGCATATTAACGTAAAATAGAGGTATAGACTCAGTGCTTTATGCTGGACTAGTTATGTATGATCATGTGTACATTTTCATCAATTTGTGAGACCAAGTTCTTTCTCACAATAGGATACTTCAATGGCATTTTGATACATCATGTCTCTTCAATCTGCAAGCCTGTACTAGGCCTTATTCTCATAGTTGATTTTTCCTTGATCAGCATAGTTTTTGCACTTAATAGATTGTTTCTTACAACTGTTGTATGCCATGAATAACAGTTTACATTATTTTATAATTTTTCACCAAGACCCTTTTTAACCTGCCTTATTACAGAATCCACAGTACTGAGGAACTTATCTTGAGAAATCAAAATAGAAAAAAAGGAAATTAAAAAATTATTTTAGAAGTGAGAGTGTTGACAGAAGACTGATGTAACATCTCTCATGATGTTTCTTTCTTTGTAATTGAACAAATATCATTGTCCTACATTTTGAACATAGGAAAATAAAATTCCAGATTATTACTATCTTTTATTTAAAAAATAATATCCCATGGGTCATTAAGAAATTGAGAAAAGTTAAGCAGTCAGGATGGCCGAGTGGTCTAGGCGCTGCGTTCAAGAAATTGAGAAAGGTTGGCTTTTATTTCCTTGCTGTGTTTCAGAAAAGTATGACATGTATTCATTAATATGAGTATCATAATAATAACCATGATCGTGAGACCACCTTTGTAAATGATTTACCATTGACAAATATTTTATCTATGTGCTTGCCCCTGTTGTAACCAGCAGGTGGGTACAGTATTGACCACAAAGCCCAATGTCTTCTCTGATAGTTCAATTTTACCTCATGTAAATTCCTAAGCAGTTGGTCTGTCTCATGACGTTTTGGTAAAAGGGCACTTTTGCTCCTCTCTCACAATGTTAATTTGCTCACAGAAACATTTTTTTTTGTGTGTGTGCATTATGTAATTTCTCTACTATTGATTCTGAGGGCACTTATTACCTAATTAATGTTATTATTTCTGTGTCAGTGTGTCCAGTGGCTAAAATATTGTTGGTGCTTAACAAATATGTGTTGAATTCAGTTTAAACAAATAGTAGCATTATCTTTCATGGTAAGATTTTGGATATTTCAACAAGAGCTTTTCTGTTACTTTCTCTTTAGGGTAAACTGACTCCATAGGTAAATTTTATAAGTCTTTAAGCAAGATACTTAATTGTCTAAGTCAGCTGAGAAAATAGTATCTAAAATGAATTATTTTGCGCATTCAAAGACTCTATAAATAAGAAGAAACATGATATACTTTTTTTCTTCAGATAACCACATGATGTGAACAAGGGGCCTCTCATAAAGTATTCCAACGGAGCAAAATTCTAATACTTTGAAATAGTCTTCACCTGGTGAAACATTATTGCAAGACAGGCGTCCTTCTGAGAATAATAAAGTACTGTTTTCAAGTGTGTTAATAAGGTCAGCTGGTACTTATAATATGCTAAGACAGATTATTATTTAACATCACTTGCTAACTCAAAGAACTTCCTTGTCATTCAAATATAAACATTTAATTACATCATATTTACATTTTAACTATTATCATTCCTCAAAGAACATTTTTAAAAATAATTACCATTCTAAATTGCTTGATTTATCCTGAGAGTTGTCAGTGATGGTGATGCTGAGGGATTATGAGTACTCACACAGGTATTATGAGGTGTGTGTTTAGTTTGTACACACACAAACTAAAGTTTGTGAAAATATGAAACTAAGAAATCATGTTGATAACAGTGATTAGGTGTGGGTTTCCATAGTATTACATTATGGTTACCCTCCAGTTGGTGTATTATCTATCCAGATTCACAGAGATTTTAACAAAGGTGAAAAATGCTTTCCTCTAAAGTATAAATCTGTCCTTAGGAACTAAGATGAATTTCGGTGTGCCCAAGGACGGCTCAGCAAGTGCAATATGTGTACACTGTGAGGCTGGGATGCTATGTTTTACTGAAGTGTGTCTTTTACACTGAGAACTATTTCTAATTTGAGGGAAAAACAAGTATATCCTCTAAATAACTTGTATAATGCCAAATAAACTATGAAGATAGGCATTTAGAAAATGTATTCTAAGGCATGATGCTAGATGCTTATATAACAGCTATCTGAAATTTGCTTTACTGCAGTCCTTGAGCTTTGAGAGACCTTGGTCCCATGGGGCTAATGACTTCATCTGTGTGCTAACTACTATCCTAATTCAGTTTGTTTATTATCATAGACTCAGATGATTATATTTCACTAAAGACTACAGTATTTAAAAAAGTATTATTTCAGAGATTGAAAACTTTTTCTCTAAGATCAGGGACAGCCCACTTTTGACACTTCTATTCAACATAGTACTGGAAGTCCTAGACAGAACACTAGGTGAAATTAAAAAAAAAATACAAATAGGAAAGGAAGAAGTAAAATTATCTCTGTTAGAAGAAGACATGATCTTCTTATATGTAGAAAACTCTAAAGATTTCACCAAAAAGTTAGAATGAATTCAGCAAAACTGTAAGATAAGAAATCAATAGAAATAAATCATGTTTCTGTACACTAACTGTGGACAATTTTGACGATAAAATTAGAAGACAAATCCATTTAAATCGTGTTAAAAATAATATAATACTTAAGAATACACTAAACCGAAGAGTCAAATATTTGTACCATGAAAACCAGAAAACATTACTGAAAGGAATTAAAGAAGATGAATAAATGGAATCATGCACATGGATTGGAAGCTTTAATATTGTTAAATTGTTTTAATATTGTTAAATTGTTGATATTATCCGATGAAAACTTTTTCAATACACCAACTTTTTTTGCAGAAATAGAAAAATTCATCCTGAAATTTGCAAGAATCTCAAGGAATCTCAAGTAGCTAAAATTATCTTAAAAAAGAACAAAGTTTTCCCAACACCACTTATTAAACAGGGAATCCTTTTTCCACTGCTTGTTTTTGTCAGGTTTGTCAAAGATCAGATGGTTGTAGATGTGTGGTGTTATTCCTGAGGCCTCTGTTCTGCTCCATTGGTCTATACATCTGTTTTGTTACCAGTATCATGCTGTTTTGGTTACTATAGACTTGTAGTATACTTTGAAGTCAGGTAGAGTGATGCCTCCAGCTATGTTCTTTTTCTTTAGGATTGTCTTGGCTATATGGGCTCTTTTTTGGTTCTATATGAAATTTAAAGTAGCTGTTTCCAATTCTGTGAAGAAAGTCAATGGTAGCTTGATGAGGATAGCATTGAATCTATAAATTACTTTGGGTAGTATGGTCATTTTCACAATATTGATTCTTCCTATCTATGAGCATGGAATGTTTTTCCATTTGTTTGTGTCCTCTCTTATTTCCTTGAGCAGTTGTCAGTAGTTCTCCTTGAAGAGGTCCTTCACATCCCTTTTAAGTTGTATTCCTAAGTATTTTATTCTCTTTGTAGCAATTGTGAATAGGAATTCACTCATGATTTGGCTTTTCATGAATAAAACACCAAAAGCAATGGCAACAAAAGCCAAAATTGATCAATGGGATCTAATTAAACTAAAGAGATTCTGCATAGCAAAATAAACTATCATCAGAGTGAACAGGCAACTTATAGAATGGGAGAAAATTTTTGCAATCTATCCATCTGACAAAGGGCTAATATCCAGAATCCACAAGGAACTTAAACAAATTTACAAGAAAAAAAACCAAACAACCCCATCAAAAAGTGGGCAAAGCATATGAACAGACACTTCTCAAAAGAAGACATTTATGTGGCCGAGAAACATATGCAAAAAAGCTCATCATCGCTTATCATTAGAGAAATGCAAATCAAAACCACAATGAGGTACCATCTCACACCAGTTAGAATGGCAATCATTAAATAGTCAGAAACAGCAGATGCTGGAGAGGATGTGGAGAAATAGGAATGCTTGTACACTGTTGGTGGGAGTGTAAATCAATTCAACCATTGTGGAAGACAGTGTGGTGATTCCTCCAGGATCTAGAACCAGAAGTACCATTTGACACAGCAATCCCATTACTGGGTATATACCCAAAGGATTATAAATCATTCTACTATAAAGACACATGCACACGCATGTTTATTGCAGCACTATTCACAGGAGCAGAGACTTGGAACCAACCAAAATGCCCATCAGTGACAGACTGGATAAAGTAAATGTGGCACATATACACCCTGGAATACTAAGCAGCCATAAAAATGGTTGAGTTCATGTTCTTTGCAGGGACATGCATGAAGCTGGAAACCATCATTCTCAGCAAACTGACACAGGAACAGAAAACCAGACACCACATGTTCTCAATCACAAGTGGGAGTTGAACAATGAGAACACATGGACACAGGGAGGGGAACAATCACACACTGGGGCCTGTTGGGGTGTGGGGGGCTAGGGGAGGAATAGCATTAGGAGAAATACCTAATGTAGATGATGTGTGCAGCAAACCACCATGGCACATGTATACCTATGTAACAAACCTGCACATTCTGCACATGTATCCCAGAACTTAAAGCATAATTAAAAAAAAAAAGGACATAGTTGAAGGTCTCACACTTCATGATTTCAGAACTTACAACAAAGCTACAGTAATAGAAACAGTATGATACTAGTATAAGGACAAAGGGATAGACCAATGGACTAGAATAGAGATCTCAGAAATAAATTCTCACATATATGATCAAATGATTTTCGACAAAAGTTCAATGGAGAAAGAGTCTTTTCAAAAAATGGTATTGGTGAAGCAGGATAAGAAGGTGTACATTTTACCATACACAGAAATTAACTCAAAATGGATCAAAGAACTAAATGTGAGCTAAAATTATAAAATTCTTAGAACACAAGTGAGAAAAAGCTTATGACATTGGATTTGGCGATTATTTTTTGGAAAGGACCCAAAAAGCATAGCCACCAAAAGAAAAAAAATGAATAAATAGGACTGTATGAAAATTAAAAACTTTTGGGCATCTGGAGACACAATCAACAAAGTGAAAGGCAATCCAAGAAATGGAAGAAAATATTTACAAATCATATATCTGATAAAGGCTTCATATCCGGAATATATAAAGAACTCTTACAACTCAACAATAGCAACAAAAACTTGATAAACAATTGACAAAACAGCTTAACCATACATTTCTCCAAAGATATACAAATGGTCAATAAGCACATGGAAAGGTTTTCAACATCACTAATCACCGGATAAATGCAAACCCAAACCACAGTGCGACAACCACCTCACATCCATTGGCGTGATTACCATCAAACAACAAAGCAATATAAAACAAAACAAAAAACAACAGAAAATAACAAGTGTTGAAGAGGTTGTGAAAATGTTGGAACACATAAACTGTTGTTAGGATTGTAAAATGGCACAGTCACTATGGAAACCACAAAAGACGTTCCTCAACAAAGTAATTATGGTCTAACAATTTCACTTCTGGGTATGTGCCCAAAAGAATATATCTTGAGGAGATATTTTTACATCCATATTCATGGTAGCATTATTCACTATGGACAAAAGGTGGAAGCACCCCAAATGTTCATTGACAGATGAATGGGTAAACAAATGTGACATATACATACAGTGCAATATTATTCAGACTTAAATAGAAAGGTTTGCTGTGTGTTACAACATGGATGAAATTTTAAAACATTATATTAAGTGAAATAAGATATTCACAAAAAGACAAATACTGTATTATTCCACTTATATGATGTTCTTAGAGTAGTCAAATTCACTGAGAAAGTAGAATGGTGTTTGCCAGGTACTTGGTGAAAGGGGAATGAAGAGTCATTCTATAATGGATACAGAGTTTTAGCTATGCAAGAAAACAGCTGGATGTTTTCTTGGAGATGGATGATGGTGATGGTTGATGGTTGCACAACAAGCAAATGTACTTAATACCACTAAACTATAGACTTAAAAATAACTAAGATGGTAAATTTTGTACTGTGTGTATTTTACCACAATTTAAAATTTGTTAAAAATAAATATTTTTCAGGCTAGTAAATTTGTAATTAAAAAAACCCTGAAATTGCAATTTCTTTGTTAGAAGTAATGTGCAATTGTAATTTTGATGAATATGACCAAGATGTTTTAAATGTGTTATATGTCATGCCTGTTTATGCATAGGGCAAAAATGTACTAGAATGTTTCTTAACCTACATCTTTACCAATAAATTATATTGTATAAGTTGTATGATACTTTCCAGTATAATAAATGAAATATAATAGCTCATCAGTTTTTAATATGCATATCTCTTACTACAAATGACACTTTGTAAATTTTGTCATTTTCATTTACCTTTTTCTGCACTAATTTTATGCATTAATATCTTGAATGCTGGTTAAGTAATTTTCCTTTTATTGTCTATTCATAAACCTCTGTATATTAATATTTTGAAAGGTTTTTTCTATTTTCATTTGAATTATGTTGTTTTCTTTTTAGCCGAATATTTCTTTTTATTTTATTTAAATAAATTCATCAATGTCTGGAGACTGTTTTGGGTTTTGCATCCCAGATATCCCAGCTACTCCCAAATACAATTTTCTTTTAATTCTCAGTTTTTATGTGCTAGAATTTTATATCATTACTTAGGTGAAAAGCTTCGCTGTTTGGGAACTGGTTTGATTAAAGGAGTACACACCTTTATCTATCTATCTATCTATCTATCTATCTATCTATCTATCTATATCTATCTATCGTCTATCATCTGTCTATCTATTGTCTATCTATCATCTATCATCTATCTATCTGTCTATCTATCTATCTATCTATCTATCTATCTATCTATCTCTATGTAATCTATAATCTATCTGTTGGCCTATTTTCTTATACTATTGATTAAATAGTCCATATTTTCCTTAAAAAATGCAACGCTTTTTTTATATATTGAATTTTTCCATTTATTTGGGTCTACTTGTGATTTTTTTCACAGATATTTCTAAGCAAGTGTCATACAAATCTACTATGTGTGTGTAATATGAAGCAATGATCAGGGTTTACTTTTTCCTCCAAACATATCCAGTTGTTTTAACACTAGACTTTTTATTTATTATAGTATCTCTGCTTTAGCATAATTTAGAACATTTACACTATGATCTGTAATCATAATTCTTATATTTGCTTTAGTTTTATAATTAAAGTAGTATCAATGATTGCTGCTAATCTTTTACTATCATTTTGATCTATATTTTTGTTTTCTAATGTTTGTCTTTCAATAATTTTGACTTTATTTCTGGATAAGAGGTTGGCTGGATATAAATTTTTCGAGGCACAATTTCAAAGCCTGAGGACTTTATAATGATAGTTTTACAATCTCACATTATGAATGCTGCCAACCTAATGTTCTGCTTAAATAGATGACTTGGCCATTTTTTTGCCAAGTCTGGTGAAGTCCAGAATTGGTCTAAGAGTATTTAGAGTATTTTGTCTCAGAGTAAAATACTCTGTCAGCTTTCAATCAGTAGATTCCAATTTCTTTAATAACTGGAAGTTTTTCTTGAGAAATATTTTGAATTTGTGTGTTACTGTTTATTTTCTCATTCCCTTCTTCAGGAAAGATTATTTTTCAATAGTTCTTAATTTGTTTTTCAGAAATGTTTTCCATTTGTTTTATAATATTCTCTCGGTTATTGTTTTAATAGTTTGTTTTACTTAATTTTCTTTTTTCATATGTCCGTTGTGTTGCTTCCAATGTGGCTTTATTTCTGTTTTCTTTTCTACGTCCTTCCTGATTCAGCTAGCTCACGTTATGTTTTTGTATGTTTCTTAAGCCCATATCTTCATTAATTCTACCCTCGTTGTTTTAAAATTTTTGGTGGTTTCGTTGATCACCTTGTTTATGGTGACATGCTTGTATATGCTTTCTATTTGCTCAGCGATGGTGTTTTCTTCTGATTAGTGTCCTGTGTCTGTTTTTTCTTTTTCCTAATTCTTTGCTCAGTTTATCTTATATCATCTTTGAATGAAGAGAATTTTTATTAATACAGCTGCCAAAAATTCATGCTAGTTCACACTGCACACCACTACACTACTTTCCCTATGATAAAGAAGAAAAAATTGTGTATGTGTGTGTATGTGTGTGTAGGAAAGGAGTCATTTTAATCCTTTTTTTTTTTTGCCACCTAAATAATCAGATTTGTAGGGCTGTTTACAGTTCAGCCTATCAACTCGGTATGGCCTTACTGATGTGCTGCATCCTAGAAAAATGTAGCCTTGTGTTTACTCATTCAGCACCACCTTCCCTATTACTCAGTCATGCTCAACAGGGTCCAGGGAAGCAACCACCTCCAGCCATACACACTGTGATTGTTTTGACCCTCAGGATGTATTGCTTACTTTGGGGGATTGTGCTCTGCCATCTGTAGCTGAAATCAGCTGCAATCATACTTTCTTGGCATCTTCCCACACTCATTTGATTTTCTCTGTATTTGGCAGCTTATAAATATATTGGTTTGAGACAACAGATGTAGTTTCCTCAAAGGTGGGTTTTTATCTGTTTTTTTGTTTGTTCGTTTGTTTGTTTTTTCGTCTTCTTTGATGACTATTTCTGAGAAGAGAATGTGGCAAAACCCAATAATTCTGCCATTGAAAGAGAATCACCATTCTTATTAAAGAGCTATTTTCAATATTATTTTAAAATATAATTATTCCTCTACTCAACATTTTAGAAAACAATGTAAGATCCCAAATTATGCCTACCTCGTACTCCGCAGCAATTATTCTGCTTATAATCTGTTTGAATCCAAATTTTCTTAATCATTCCTTGGTGTTACTGAATCCTACCATCATAGATTTTTATGTGCTCCAGAAGCATGATAAAGTACAACAAACAAGATTGTTGTTCAAGTCATAACTAGAGAACTTTTGTATATTTTTCAGTTTCTGAGAAGTAAAAGTTTAAAATTACCTGCTTTTAATCAGATTGAAACACAGATTTTTCTACCACAAATTATTATTACACATAAGTCTTGTTCATCCTTCATATATGTAAAATAATTAACAAATCAACTATACAGTGCTGGTCTCAGTCTATGAAAGTAAAATTTTAGTGCCACATGAAGAGAATCCTAATGATCAACTGAACATTGACTATATCTTATGGCTTAACAGAGGGAGAAATTTGATATAGAACAGTTCTCATCACTTTGACCAGTAAGCATTGCACATTCATTTAATGTGCCACATAAATGATAATATTCAGCACTTGTGAGATTCCAAACTGGCAACAGACGCCACCAATTTCTGCCTGAATGGTCACATCTGACCCTTCTAAGCATGAGCGGGTCATATTTCCTTGGTTCATTAAATATACAGCCACCACATTTATCCATTTCAGAGTCATTTATACATTTACTAATAACCCATTCAAAATATACCAATTCTACTAATCACTGGGAGCATCATAGATGTCACACGTTCCAACCCCCTATCCATTGCAAGAATAATTAATTCAGTGTGTTGATTTCAGCTTTTATTTGAAACCAGGAAGGGATGGTTAATTTAGTTACCCCCAAGAAAATTCCTTTTGTTTTTTGGACCAATGTATATATTCAACTCCTTATTAAGTTAAGCCTAAAACACCTTTCCCAGACTAATAGATAGGTAGATAGATAGATAGATAGATAGATAGATAGATAGATAGATAGATGGATGTACAGATACATCCATCCATAATGGAAATCCTCAGTTTCTTCAGCTGTGCTCTACATTGCACAAGTATTCTGACCGCCACCCTTCCTGATTACCTATTTTTGTTGCACTTTTTAAATTCTTAAAATATGGCTACCAAAATATACCATAATGGCCCCAAGGCATTCTAAGTATAATGAATAGCAAATATCTCCTTTGTCAAAATGCTATGCTATGATTATATTAAATTGTCTAATCATATTGAGTTGAATAAAAATTTAATTTGTTGCATCAATTCTTTAAATGTCCTGCTGTTGCCATCTTGAAGTTCTTTTTTTTATTTTCTTCTTAACTTCTATTTTAGATTCAGTGGTACATGTGCAGGTTTGTCATATAGGTAAATAGTATGTCACAATGATTTGGTGTACAGATTATTTCATTACCTAGTTAATAAACATAGTACCTGATAGGTAGTTTTTCAGTCCTCTACCCCCTCTCACCCTCCATCCTTGTATAGGCCCTGGTGTCTATTGTCCCTTCTTTGTGTCCATGTGTACTCAATGTTTAGCTCCAAATTCTAAGTGCAAACATGCAATATGTAGTTTTCTGTTGCTGCATTAGTTCACCTAGAATCATGGCCTTCAGCTCCATCCATCTTGCTGCAAAGGACATGATCTTATTCCTTTTTATGGCTGCATAGTATTCCATAGTATATATGTAATACATTTTTTTAAATTTGAAGATGAAGCATTCGTATTGATGGATTGCACAAGTATTATTTCAAATGCTCTCAGATAACATGGACTTAAGCAGCCTCATCATCCTGGTTGTCCTAAGGCAATATTTATTTATAACTTTTATTGTTTGCTCTAGCATCTAGTGAGCATTTTGATAAGCAAAGTATAAAAGAGGACCCATTCATTCTCCTTCCTTGTACATTACAGTCATATTAATTCAATTTACACTTCAATAGTATTTTGAGAGGGAAAATAGCATGGTGTTTCAAGCATGTCAGCTTGGAATGAAGTTACCTGGACTCATAACCAGACTCAACCACTTGCCAGCTATATGCCTGGTTTTGTCATCCATTAATGCATGTGATACGAACTTTGTGGGATTTTTTAGATTACCATGAGATAATATGCACAAAGAACATCAATAATGCCTGGCACACAAAGTAAGACCTCAGCTAATATTAATTATTATAATCATTGCTCCTTTGAAAACCTCTAGTTTTCATCATCAACTAAATTTTCCAGCATCAAAAATCACATTCAACGTTTAAAAATACTGTTACTGTCCCATTATCACCTTACTCTTGGTTAATTCTACCTACTCAATGAATCTCATTGCCAAATTAAATCAAAGACTTATCTTTCATATGACCCCTTGATATCAAAAGAATCTATTCAGACCCAGAGATTATCTTGGAATAATAGATGCTAAAATTTACTTTCTTTGACTAAAGTAGCATAAAAAATAGTAGCAGCAATAATAAAATGGTTTAATGAGTGTTTCCTATGTGCCAGTCATCAAACAAAAACTTATACAAACACAAAAACATATATCAAACATACCACACACACACACATACTCACACTCACATTATCTTCTTCGTTTTCCCATCAATAACTTAGAAATAATATTTATGGCAGTGATAGTAATACCAGCAGCTACTACACTCCTTTAGCCACAGAGACATTAGCGAGATAAAGAGACAATATCTGAATGTGTCCTTTCCAGGCTCTGCCACATTAGCCAGCAGGCTTTGCATTCATGATTGGGACTGTTTCATAGGCAATTTCTTCCCCATTGAAAACATATCCATAAGGCCATTCCAAACATCAGAACACTTTCCCTTTAGCAAACGCATCACAGCTCTGAATATTTTGATATAATTTTAATACTAACAAAGTAATTTCATAAACATTAGCTCATTTTAGCCTCACAAAAACTCTACAGCAAAGAACTTTTAAAAAGCTTTACAACCCTTGTATCAAAGCTTGCAAAATCACCTGTCAGGTGTTGGAATTAAGCATTGAGTTGATATCCATATGATCTCTAGTCTCTTTCATCCTCCCACCCAAAGATGCTTTCTGAGAGCCTTGCCTGGAAGGTAGCTGGCCTAAATAGGGTCTACCACTCACTCTGGCTCTACCACTGACATTGTGTGTGTACTTGGGAAAGTCCAATGACCCCCTCAGTATCTGCTTCCTGTCTGGAGATGGCTCAAATCCCCCTCTCATAGAACAGTGTTAAAGGAGATAGTGTGAATAAAAGTACAGTGCAAACTTACAAGTGTTTAACAGAGGTTCATCGCAAAATATGGCATATGAATGTCATATTTTACAAAAAATTCAAACTGATTTCCATACCGTCATAATGACAGCTATTATATGATTGTTGCTGTCAACAGTTTAAGTCACCATTTTGAAGTGTGTGCCTAATAAAAATGCAAACAATTTGTAGTCACTTATAAATATTTAAGTGTGAGAAATGACATTATTTTACAGTTTGGGAAATCTTTTCCAGCATCTCTGTATTAGTCTGTTTTTACACTGCCATAGACACATACCTAAATCTGGGTACTTATAAAGGAAAGAGGTTTACTTGATTCACAGTTCTGCATAGCTGGGAAGGCCTCAGGAAACTTACAATCCTGCAAAGGGGGTAGCAGGCACCGTCTTACATGGAGGCAGGTGAGAGAGAAAGATGTCAAGAAGGAACTGTCAAACACTTATAAAACTATCAGATTTCATGAGAACTCACTCACTATCTCGAGAACAGCATGAGGGAAACTGCCCAAGATTCAATCACCTCCCTCCCTCAACATGAGGGGATTACATGTCCCTCCTTGGACCCACTGGGATTACAATTTGAGATGAGATTTCAGTGGGAACACAGAGACAAACCATGTTAATCTCTTCACTCATCTTAATTTCTTCTTCACACAATAGCATCGATTTTGCCTCTTTAGAAATAAATATTTGATAAATATGCAAAAGTACATCATTGGGGTAGGTAATTAGTGCTATTCTGTGTTTCTTGATGTTCTACCCAAGCTTAATAAGGCTTTTTTTTTTAACTTTTATGTTAGATTCAGGGGTACATGTGCAGGTTTATTGTACAGGTAATTTGCATGTCACCAGGGTTTGCTATACAGATTACTTTGCCACCCAGGTAATCAGCATAGTACCCAATGGGTAGTTTTTTGCTTGTCACCCTCCTCTCACTCTCCACCTTCAAGTAGGCCCTGGTGTCTGTTGTTCTCTTCTTTGTTTCCATATGTATTCAATATTCAGCTCCCTCTTATAAATAAAAACATGTGGTATTTGTTTTTCTTTTCCTGCATTATTTCGCTTAGGATAATGAGCTCCAGCTCCATCCACGTTGCTGCAAAGAACATGATCTTGTTCTTTTTATGACTGTGTACTATTTCATGGGGTATATGAACCACGTTTTCTTTATCCAATCTCCATTGATGGGCATTTAGGTTAATTGTATGTCTTTGCTATTGTAAATACTACTGCGATGAACATATGCATGCATGTTTCTTTATGGTAGAACAATTTGTATTCCTTTGAGTATATATCCAGTAATGGCATTGCTGGTCGAATGCTAATTCTGCTTTGAGTTCTTTGAGAAATCACCAAACTGCATTCCACAGTGACTGAACTAATTTACATTCCCACTAGCAGTGTATAAGTGTTCCTTTTATCTGCAGCCTTACCTGCAAATCTGTTATTCTTTTACTTTTTAGATGATATCTCATTGTGGTTTTGATTTGCATTTCTTTAATGACCAGTGCTGTTCAGCATTTTTTCATATGCTTGTTGGTTTCATGTACATCTTCTTTCGAAAAGTGTCTGTTCACGTCCTTTGCCCACCTTTTTATGGGTTGTTTGCTTTTGCTTGTTGATTGGTTTAAGTTTCTTAAAGATTCTGATATCTTCCTCCTATCGTATTTGTATGATGTTTATTTGGAATCTGTGTTTGCCTCAGGCTTCTAACTCTTAACATTTATCTTTTGAAGGGTTATAATTGTGCCTGTAAAGACCACTTGATCATATAGTACACCATATTAGTATCTCATTAGTTCTGACTACTCCAAATTGTGATAAGCATGGAGAAAGTACAGGGATAGTCTCAAAAGCCTGGGCCTGAATATAAAAGCTGTTGACTCTTCCTTTGACTAGCTGTAACCTGTGGCAAGTTACCCAATCTGGACATCAAAAGTTTCCATGTTAGTAAAATGAGGATGTGAATACCTTATACTTCCTTTTGTTGTTAGGAGCATTAGATGAGATAGTACAAGGTGCCTGGCATAAAGTAAGTTTCTCATAAATGCTAGTAATAAAACATTATAAATTTTATTGTGTAAGGCTGAATCTACTGGTTTGCTATTGTTATCTTACATTGGTTCATGAGAGCTAATCTCTTGACAACATGAGTTCATGTTGGTAGTTTGGTAGATTAAATGTGTGAAACTGGGTAAATGGTATTTGCATGTTTTTTGTACTGCTTTTATTTTTTGTAACTTTTCTGTAAGCTTAAAATTATTTCTGAATAGAAGTTATAGGAAAGAAAAAAAAAGAAAGTGGCCATGGGAAAGTATTTACAACAATAATTGCCAAATATTCTACATATCAGGAACTTTTTTTTCTCTCTTTGATTCTATTCTTTCTTTCCTTCATTCATTCTTTTTTTATGAGCCCACATGAATCTTATGCATGCTATTAAGGAAACTCTTCCTATTAAAAAACTTGCATTTGCTATATATAACACAATGTCTCAAAATGGACACTGATCCATTAGTCATCATTCTTTGGCCTATGAGCACGTTCAGTATACTAGAAATCAGAATAGCCATACTATCATCCAGGTTACATATACAATTCTTCTTCAAAAGGATAACTTGGGAAAATTTGTCACGTGACTTGCCAAAATCTACACAAAACGTGTGTTTAGGATAGCATAATTTTCATTTCTCTTATTGGAACCACTAGCCAAAGAATAAAAGTTTGCTTGCTGTGGATAGCACTTTAAAAACCTAGGAGAGTGCTAAATATTCAATATTTTTTAAAATTGTAGTAGTACTAGTAGTAGTAGTGGTGGTAGCAGGGGTAAGAGTGGTAGCAGCGGTGATACAGCAGTGCTTGTACTCATGGCTTACATTGATTGAATGTTTTGTCACACAAACTTTCTACATTGTTCTAGGTACTCCATCTTAATTATTTTGCTTAATCATTTCTACAAATCTATAATTCATGTTCTATTATTTTGCTATTTTAAAAATGAGAAAAATTAGGTAAGGAGAGTTAAATTTGATCCATAACATATAATATTTGGAGTAGACTGTTCTTGAAGGCAGGAATTCTCTCCCTAGTGCCTACTTTTGTGCTTGTTCTGCTGCTTCCTTTTATGCTAAATCGTGTAATTGTTTTTTCAAATTATGTTACAATATTCTATAATGATGGACAGCTAGTTCATTATTTGAGAGTTTAAAAATCTATTATTTTTATTAATTTTGGGGAAAAAAAGGCAACAATTTTCTACTCACAATTGCCAAACACTGCTGTTTTCCGTGATCCTTTAAGAATGGCTGACAATAGTTTAACTCTCAGAAGGGTAGATTCTGTCTAGGACATAAATCATCTGAATCTGAAATTAATTTGAAACCTTCATATTATTTACTCATTTGTCATAGTTTTAATTGCTTCCGAAATTGCTTTTTCTATCCTTTCCAATTTAGAAATTCTATTCTCTCAGAAACACCTTTGGGTGATTCTCTTTTTATTCTGCCGCCATTTATTTTTATCTCATCATCACAAAAAACTGAGTCTTACATTTTATTTGCCTTTTTGCTATGGACACTGCCTTTAGAGTACTGTTTCACTACCTTTAGATTGCTCTGACCCTTTATGATCCTAAAAGTGTATTCTAAACTTTCTGCATCAGTCTTTGATTCTCCTTTGGCTAAATGCACGTTCTCAGATAAAACTGTAGTTTTAACTTTAAGTTCTGGTAATTCCTCAGTTTTTGTTTTGTTTCCCAGTTTGTTGGTTTATTTATCTTTGTTATTGTTGTTTTATAGTTCCCATTCTATTTATTGCCTTTGTATTCTTTCTAAATGTATTGATAGACATCTATTTTTGCGACTCTCTAGAGGACATGTATACTCCTATACTTTTTTAACCATAGAATCCTAGCCATCTACTTGTGTTAAAAAAATCTATTTTCCTATAGTGGAAGCTACATGCCCTAATATGTCCATAGTTTCTTTACTTAGTTTATATGAATACAAAACTCATGATCATTTTACCACCAGGATTCTCAATTTTCCGGTTTACTAAGAAGTTTTAATTTTTTCTTTTATTTTTGGGAATTTATATTAATAGAATTTCTTTTGATGTTTACTACATCTTAAGAAAGTAATTTTCATCAAAAAAAGATAAAATATATGAATTTTGCTTTTTTCTTTTTCCTGTATTTATAATAATATTTACAAGTTTAATGTTAGTAGGATGTCTATATGCTATCTGTTGAAATCTAAAATTTTGTTATATTGATTAGGAGGTAATAATCTACATCTATTATTTGGCCAAGAATCTGATATTCTATTCATCAAAATACCTTACTTCTGTTTCTTTTTCTTTTATTCTAACTTAAGTATTTTCACCAAATATTAGGTAATCTATGCAATATGGAGTTAATATTTCATCATACATGGTCTTTCTAATTGATGTATTTTGTTGAAACATAGAATCCTTCACATCATGCAATTTGACCCATGGATCTGCATCACTAAGTCATAGCAACAGTAGAGGGTTACAGTTGCCGCTTTAAAAACAGTAGAGGGTTACATTTGCCTCTTAATTTTTCGCAATGTTAGGGCACAGGGACTTGTAGACCTTTGAGTCTGTAAGTACTTTTCCAGCCTTCTCTTCTATAATATATTCCTTTCAATCATTGGACTCACCATCTGTTGTTTGTCTTTAAATATTATATTTTCATTCAGAGTTCCCAGTTGTGTAGTTGGATATAGGTAGTTTCCTCTCAGCTTCATAAATTTATATTTTTTAAAAACATTTTCCACATCAGGAGGGAGTGAGAATCTTCCACTTAATGAGTAGTAAATGTATATATACTGACATGAAAACACATTATACATGGTTACATAAGAAAAACAAATTATTGAACAGAGTGTCTTGGTTTTTAAAATGGGTTGGAAAAAAAGGGAAAAAAAACTACGTCAACAAAGATGGGTAGAGGTAGAAGAAAAGTGCACTCATTGTAAGGAGGAATGTGGACTAGAAATGGCACTGGAAATTTCAGGAGCTCAGCAGTTGTGTGGCCCAGTTTCTCTTGTCTCTTTGCCTCCAGAAAGTTTGTCTTCCTGCTCAGTTCTCTTCTCTGTACTAATTGGCTTTCTTTACTTACTCATGGATGCCACCCCTTCATGTTCAGCTTCACCCAGCCTTGAATAGCAGTATCCATTCTTTTCTCTGGTACCCTTTTGACATCATAATCTTTTGGCTTCCAATCATGCTGCTTACTCATAGGATTTTAGTAACCCAACTCCAAACTCTAAAGAAAGGAATTTGGTTGGCCCACTTCATGTTTGCACATTTTACATAAAGAGGTCAAAAAGTAGCCTACAGATTGACTCTCTTTAGTTTGTGTAACCCACATCTTAGTCAAATCGGATGTCAGTAATGGTTACGTGGTAAATATGTCTTTTTAGATGTCCGGAGGAGCAGGCAAATAATGATTCACTTAGTATATGGCATGGACTTAGTAGGCAGTGACTGACTTTTCTACATATTCTCCTCCTTTGTCTGCTTTTATAGATGTGTTATCAGCCTCACAAAAATAAGCCTCTCTATTTTTGCTCAACAACATCTACCTATCACTGAAATAGCTTCATTTTCCCAAATAGTAGAATTACTCAAAACATAATTCCATTTAGAAAATATATAAAGAGCACCTTCTGAATTTCCTCCCCAATGTGATCCCCCATTTAACACTACTAACACCAACCTTGTTGAAACATGAGGCACAGTGTAAGGCTGGTGAATTCTATGAGGATCATATCACTGTTTCACTTCAGTGCCAATGGAGTCTGTCTCCTGGTTAGCAGTGATAATTCTCTCATATTCTACGTCACTTTTTGGGGGGACTGATTTTCCCCAATGGGGCCCTGCAGCCAGCAGTGACTTTTCACGGCTTATAGCATCTATTATAAACTAGTCAAGAAATTGCTGAGCATCTAAGGTTTGACAAAAATTTAATAAAGATTTGGGCAAAGGTTTGAATCAAACTTTTGTTTTATTAAACTATACCTCACAAAACCATGCTCATCTGAATGGTGAAACTTCACTGCTTCAAAGGGGACTGGCGTAAATTTGCAAGTTTCATGTTGCTTAGAGACAACCCAGTTCTTAAAAACTTCAACTTTCTTTTTTTTAAATTTATTTTTATTATTATTATACTTTAAGTTCTATGGTACATGTGCACAACGTGCAGGTTTGTTACTTATGTAAACATGTGTCATGTTGGTGTGCTGCACCCACCTGTTAACTCATCATTTACATTAGGTATATCTCCTATTGCTATCCCTCCTCCCTCCCCTCAGCCCACGACAGGCCCCAGTGTGTGATGTTCCCCACCCTCTGTCCAAGTGTTCATTTCCCACCTATGAGTGAGAACATGTGATGTTTGGTTTTCTGTCCTTGTGATAGTTTGCTCAGAATGATGGTTTCCAGCTTCATCCATGTCCCTACAAAGGACATGAACTCATCCTTTTTTATGGCTGCATAGTATTCCATGGTGTATATTTGCCACATTTTCTTAATCTATTCTATCATTGATGGGCATTTGGGTTGGTTCCAAGTCTTTGCTATTGTGAATAGTGCTGCAGTAAACATAGGTGTGCATGTGTCTTTATAGCAGCATGATTTATAGTCCTTTGAGTATATGCCCAGTAATGGGATGGCTAGGTCAAATGGTATTTCTCTTTCTAGATCCTTGCAGAATTGCCACACTGTCTTCCACAATGGTTGAACTAGTTTACAGTCCCACCAACAGTGTAAAAGCGTTCCCATTTCTCCACATCCTCTCCAGCAGCTGTTGTTTCCTGACTTTTTAATGATCGCCATTCTAACTGGTGTGAGATGGTGTCTCATTGTGGTTTTGATTTGCATTTCTCTGATGGCCAGTGATGATGAGCATTTTTTCATGTGTCTGTGGGCTGTGTAAATGTCTTCTTTTGAGAAGTGTCTGTTCATATCCTTCACCCACTTTTTGATGGGGTTGTTTGATTTTTTCTTGTAAATTTGTTTAAGTTCTTTGTAGATTCTGGATATTAGCCCTTTGTCAGATGCATAGATTGTAAAAATTTTCTCCCATTCTGTAGGTTGCCTGTTCACTCTAATGAAAACTCCAACTTTCTAATAATGGTAAATAATCCATGGTTCTTAACAGGGTTAGGATTCAGAGACACAGCATTGAAGAGATTTTCTTTAAATTTGACCATTGTTCCTTGGCTCTCACGATGTTCAAATTTTATACCTTAACTGAAAAATTTGGAAATGTTTATATATCAGGGATGAGTTGGTTGAGAGTTGGAGGGGAAGATTTTCATTCATTGTGCTCCTCCCTATCACTATCTCCTTGGATAGAAAAGTTTCAAAAAAGGTTGGACTGTTACAAGGATCTACTCTTTCCCATAAATCTCTTCACCAATATTCTAGCCTTTAACATACCAGGAATTCAATTTTAAGCATTGCAGCAGAAAAGGAAATTTATTTGAAATCAGTAATATACATAATTTGTTTCTGGCCTGAGTTTATAATAATTTCAGAATTTGCCTACAAGCAGGAAATGTTTCCAGAAACAGAGTCAGAAGCTATCTCTGCCTTTTCTTATCTGCTTCCAGCAGGCAACATGGACTGCAGTTAATCCCTTTCTCACTAGTGCATGCCTTATTCTCTTGGAACTTCTCTAAAACATTAGCTACAAGATCCTTGCAAGCCTTATACTCAGTAGGCATGTGATCCTTGGACTGCAGGTAGACAGTTCAGTTACTAGTTACAACACTATATATATCAGCACAGGATTGAGAAGTGTATCTCGTGATTGTTCACTTTACCTCCATACAACTCAGCAAGTTTTAGTTTCATTTTCTCTTTTAGTTAGGCTCAATTTGGTTGCAATTAAAGCTATTTCAAAATGTAAAAGGGTTTATTATGCAGCAGGTTTAAATTTTTGTCCCTAATCTTACGTCTATGAGAAATACAACTGCGTTTATTTTCAAAATACAAATTAGAGTTTGATTCTGTGCTGCCTTTCACTTGTGGGAAAATATGACTTACAGTCTTTTTGTGACATCTGTTCTTTGACTGCCCTACATGTTTGTGCCACAGCCCCAAGGTCTTTTGTAGTGTCAAAATGTTGGGAAAAGAGTACTTCTCCAGCTCTCAGTCATCAGTTGTCTGGTTACTACTGGGACATCCACTGTTACTGATGCTTAGATCCCTTCAAACCATTTATTTCTGCTGATTGCAAACCACTCTTGGGGCAGAAAAGATTTTGTAACAATGGACCTGTCTGCCAAGTTATGCCATGCAGTTATCCTCTCCAGTGCTTGCTCTATAAATTCCCTGGTGGCACTGCCTCTTTTAAAGACATGTGCTATTTTATTCCTAGAATACATAGACCTCTCTTGTTGTGAACTAAATTGTGCCCCGCTCCTCCAAATTCATACATTGGAATCATAACCCACAGGACTTCTGAATGTGATTGTATTTGGAGAGAGGGCCTTTAAAGATTAATGAATATTCTCAAATATTTCTCCACCTATTACTGGAAGCATACATACAGTATGCTGAAACACAAAAATACAGAAAGAAAAGCAATTTCTCAAATATCTTCTATAAGTACCTATAATAATCATGTTTCTCTTTCTTTATGGTCCACTTGTTTTTTCTTTACTAATTAGTGGCATCTCCTGTTTTATAATTGTTCTTTCTCATAACCTAGTCTTTGACTTGTCCAGTAATGGTCACCATCTGTCTTCTATCTGGATCATTTTTCTATATAATCATCCTAGTAGTTCTATTCTTATTGTCAACTGCTGTAGCCCCAGAATTTAGATTAGTTACCCTAAAGTCAAGTATCAGTGACAGGAGAATAGGACAGCATGCTCTTCTGTTAGTGGCCTGGTAAAGCTGATGGCAAGGAGATAAGCATCTGGAAGGATACTGTACGACATGAAGAATAAAAAAGAGGTGAAAATTGCATGACTGCTGATGATTGAAATAGATAATAAGTATCCACCATAAATACTGACTTGCATAGAGAAAAACTAGGTTTAGATATGATTTTTATGAAACATTTTTCTGGGGTGCTCAGCATCTAACAAGTTAGACCCTTCAAGGAAAACTGTTAATATCTACATTATTCTTCAAGATAAATTTCAATCAGAGATATGTTTCCTCTGAATGTGTCTCTAAGCTAGGAAAGAGATCTTACAATTTATTAGAGTTGTATGTCAAGGGCTAATGTCTGGATTTAGCACCTAATATAAATAGTGACCCGATATCTCTTAGGTTAAATATTTAACCTTGACCTCTAGCTAAGAGTGCCTTTAAGTTTGACTTCCCCAAACGGAGGAATCAAGGAAAAAAGAAAGTAGATTGATTATATATGCAACTGTGATTCTTGGAAAATACAGCTGAAAAATCAGACCCTTCATAGAGTTAGTGATAATAAAGTTAGAATTATTTGAGGAGTAAGTATGTTTTCGTAAAACTATGGTCTAGAACAAGATGTTTCAGATAGGTCAGGTTAAGATGATGCTATAGTTTGTGTATCTGTCCTCCCAACCCTCATGTTGAAATTTGATCCTTAGTGTTGGAAGTGGGGTCTAGTTACAGGTGTTTGTATCATGGGGGTGGATCCCTCATGAATGGCTTGGTGCCATTCTAAAGATAGTGAGTGAGTTCTTGCTCTATTAGTTCCTGCAAGAGCAGGTTGTTTAAAAAAGTCTTCCTCCCCTTTCTCTCTTGCTTCCTCTCACACTATGTGATCTCTGAACTTGCCAGCTTCTTTTAGTCTTCTGCCATGAGAGGAAACTTCCTAAGGCCTTCCTCTGAAGCAGATGCTGGCATCATGCTTCTTGTACAGTCTACAGAACTATGAGAAAAATAAATCTTTATTCTTTTTAAATTACCCAGACTCGGGTATTCCTTTATGGCAACCTAAACAGACTAAGACAGATGACATTGTAAAAATCCACTAAATTTAGTAAGCATTAAAATCTTAACTTATAAAATTATGAACTATAAGTTATTTTTTGCCCACACTTAAATTAATGATTTTTATTAGGAAATAAAAAGTGCTACTCTTGACAGCAAGAAAAGCCTTTGTCAGACATTCTCACAATCATTTAAGACTGCTAAACAGGTCCTCACCTGAGACTTCTGAGTACCTATCAGCTACTGGAGAACATGTGGTAAGTAAGGCTATGAGACTATGGTACTGAACAGATTAGTGGGAAATACCATGCCATGGAATTGAGTCAAGAATTTTTATTTATCATCAAAGTTCACTAAAAATTGTAGAGAGATACACAAATACATAAGTGAGGGCTATGTTCAGAATCTGCAAATTCAGATACCTATAAGTGCCTGGAACGTAATGCAAATAATTGAAAAGACTGAGCCTAATACACTAGACAGTAGTGGGGACAGTTTCTTGCCACAGCTAAAAAGGAAGTTGCTGTGAAACTGATTTTGTTGCTGTGAAGAAATACATGCCCAGTTTCAACATTTTTTCTAATAAAACCGGAAGTCAACAATCCGAATTTTGGGAGAAATATTTGAATCTTTAAATATTGGTAACTAAACAAATTTATTAAATAATAGGCTTGCCAAAAACACATTTGTAGATCAAATCTTGTCTGCAAATGGTCCCTCAGTTAGCAATTTTGAGGTTAAAGATTTAGGCATCTTGTATTATTCATGGAACCAAACCCATATGAACTTGAATTTCTTTATGGGCCTTATATCAAGCCTATGAAGCATGGAAAGGGGTTGGAATCTATGAGTCAAATTCATAAATCAGCATTTCTTGGGGAATAAACAATTTAGGCTCTGTAGTTATTTTGGAGAAAAACAGTGCTCTTTGATCTGTTCACCAGATTACTTGAAAGACTGTGGAAGCCCAGAGGTATCTAGATAAAGTTTATATGGGGAAAATTTACACTTGGTTCAAAATTTTACACACTAAAACTGAGGCTTTGAAAACATACATTGTATTTTTTTTCTCTATAACTGCCCTTATATAGTTTTTCTTTATGAGATATTAAGGTAGGAATTGTGCGGTTCTTAAATTTGCCAGTTAAAGGTATTTCAATCTCTTTATTTTTAAAGCAATCTTTTTCAAGTTAACAAAGTTCATTATGATTAAATGTGCAGTTTTTCACAGTTCCTATTCTTGTTCACTTATTGTTGCAAGTTAGTATGCAGATGTAGCTGAAAGCTTATGTGTTAACTTGATGTAGAGAGAGCTCAGATCCATGTGTGTCCTCTTGAGTCTCATTAGTCATTGTTTGAGAGATGTTATCCTGCCTTCATCTGAAACTTTGCTTTTTTCTGCTCTTACAGAAATGTGTGGCTGCTGAAACATTTAAGCTACATTCCATTGACTCTGACTGCTGGTGATCTCCTGGTCTGGTACCTGACACTACCGACTAGCTTTATTGCTAAAACCTTGAATAACCTTTGGGCAATTTACTGGGCCTCCTCTCTTTAGCTTCCTAATATTAGGTATCCTATCAATGCATGACTCTTGATAGCTTCTATTCCTAATTATCAGCCTAATCCACAATTTCTGTTTGAATTCACCTCACTCTATGAATGACCTCACGGAATGGAAGTAGAAGATAAGCTCACTTATGAATAAAAAGAAAGATAAGCTCACTTATGTCTGAATCCCCTTGCTCAGCCTTTTCTAGGTATGTGTGGAACTTAAAAGACCCCATGGGGCTAACCAGCCATGAGGAACTTGGGGGTTATTACTGGTCTCTCTGGCATCTCATTATTTTATTTTTAAATTTCCAACTTTCTACTGAGATGATGTCCTGTTCAATGTTGTACTCACATAAGGAAACTCAAACTAGTCCCAGCCTCTGTTTGGGAAAATAAAAAACTAGCCTTATTCCTATGCCTGTTTTTTGTTTTTGTTTTTGTTTTTTTGTTTTTTTTGGACAGCAACCTTCTTACCTCCACTCCCTTCATTCTTTTCATTCCCATCCATTGTGGAGAGTCAGAAAATATGTGTTTCCTCTTCCCTGTACCTGTTCTCATCCTCATTCCAAAAAGATTTCTTCTTCTGCTGCTGGATGGGCAAACTCCTTAACTCTCATTCTATATCCTGTCTAGCTATATGTCATGTATTATAGAGTTAATGACCGAGACAGAACACACACCTGACCTGCTAGAGTAGGCATCCTTTCAGGAAACTCAAAAAGTGATCAGAACTAGTGTCCAGTATCCACTGATTCTAGAACAGCACACCACTCTTTCTAGATGGCTAGCATGGGTGGCATCAGACTATAAAAAGGGAACCCTTACCTCTAGGTTTTTAACTAGTAATGACCAGGATATAATAACTATGGGAAATAGAAAAAATGTTGCTTTAACTCTATTTTTCAATGCATTGTTTGTTTGTGGTTGGATAAAGGTTTGGCAGGGGGCATTTGGCCTTCCCCTGACATAATTGAGGGTCTGGGGTACAAAAAGCTCATATTCCATTGAGCTTTACAGAAGTTCAGTTCTTTTCTGGCAGGCAAGTAGTTTGGAATGAGTCAGCTCTTACCTCTTACTTCAAAAGATTAATTAAAAGAATAAAAAAGAAACTATTGGCATTTAGAAAAGCCATTCTTGCCAGAAAGCTTGTCTTTCAAGACAATTTTCTTACTACAGGTTTAAAAGAGTAGACTTAGGAGTCTCAAAGATATCTGTTGGTAGTTCTAGTGCCAACCACATCCATGAGCCATAAGCTCCAGGTTTACATATACAACTGATTTATCAGCATCTACAGTGGATATGTAATAGGCACCTCAAGTTTTGCAAGTGTATAATAGATCTCTTGATTCCTATTCACTATCTATGCCAATCCTTATTCACCTCAGGGTTTTTTTAGCCTAGTAATTGTGACCATAACTCACCATTTGAATTGAATCCAAAATTTAAGAGTCAATCTTAACTATTCTACTTATCCCATTATACTTCACACTCAATCAGTTAGCAGGTCTAGTTCAACCTACTTTTTAGACATAGCCCAGTCTGACCGCTTCTCATCACCTTGATAGATAACATGGACATCTAGCCTACAATGATAAAATGGCCTCATGATTTCTCTTCTCATGACACTTTAGATTCTGCTGTTTTAGAACAGCAGTTTAAATATGTACATCATATCAGTTTCTTAAAATTCTTAACATATAATTCAAACTCTTTAATGTGCTCTAATGGATCTGACATGATGCAGTGCTTGTTTTCCTCTCCAGCCTCATCTTGGACTGCTCTTGCTATTTCTCAGTCGGCTGAAGCCATCCTGACCTAGTCATTGAAACACACCAGACTTAACCCCTTTTGATTTCTTTTGCTGCTTGAAACCAAATTCCCAGTCTTTGAATGGCTTAGATCTTCAATTCAATTTGTTCTTGGCTTAAAGAATTTTCATGAATAACTTACTTAAAATTGCTCTTTTCTTCTATTGTTCAAGTCACTTTCTAATGGTTTTCCCATTTTATTTTTCATCATAGCATTTACAAGTATCTAAAAAGGTATTGTACATTTGTTATTTATTTTTTTCTAGATGTCCCCCATTATAAACTGTACTGGGGCAAAAAAATGGCATAATTCTTAATGTATATTCTTGGCATCTAGTATAATGCATGGGACATTATAGTATTAAGCAAGTATCTGTGGAAGTAAATGAATAAGTGAATGGAGGACTCATTATTGTAGGTGATTCCCCTTTAAAGAATGAATACCACATCTTTAAAATATGGACTCCACAAGGCAAGAATATTTACAGGTCTTAAAACTATATCAGTATTTCAAAGTGTTTCCCTATTTAAAATTTTATTAAGGTATATTTTCCCAGTGACTTGTCTATTTCATTTGCATTTTCAAATTAACTAATGTAAACACTACAGCAATGTCTTATTTTTTTAAGTCCCTGCTATGCCTCTAATTATCTCCATTTTTCATTCTTAAATAATTTTTTTTTGGTGTAGGGGCCTTCTGTTTTCCTGGTTAATCTTGCCAGATATTTGACAATCTTATTATATTACTTTTCTCAAGGACTGATGTTTTTCTCTCTGTTGTATCTTTGCTTTATATCTCAAAAATATCTGTCCTTATTTGTGTTATTTCCTTTTGATAGATTATTATGTTTATTATTCTTTTATTTTTTGAGTTCAAGGACTATTTTCTTGATTTCATCCATTTTCTTCCTAGAGTTATCTTTTAAGATGATAAATTTCCCCCTAAAAACTACCTTATCTGAATCACACAAGTGTGTTTTGTTTCCATAATTATTAAGTTCTACATATTTTATAATTTTCATGATGCTAGCTCATTTAACAAATGAGTTATTTAGAAGTATGTGAGGATTTTTTTCTAGTTATTGACTTGAAAATTACAATATAGACAGATATTTTAGCATATATGGTATTGGTTCATTGATATATGTTGTGGCTTGCATGATGGCCCAGTACATGTTCAACTTTTACAATTACTCCATGTGTCCTAGAGAAGAACATCCATTTCTTAATCAATGGGTACAAAATTCTACACACCCCTTATGTTAATGGTATTGTTCAAATACACTATACCAATTGTCTTACTGAGTGTTCTGTAAATTATCAAGAGAAAATTGCTAAAGTTCCCAGTCTAATGGCAAATATTTTCCATTATATCTTGCATATTTTGGATCATTTTATTTAAATATTTTAAATAATTTTTAAATTTTGAATAATTTTGAATTTATTAAATTGCAAAGATAGTACAGAGAATACTTATATACTTCAAATCTACTATATTCTGTTATTACATCTTATATTAATGCAGCACTCTGGTCATAATTAACAAACAAATATTAATACATTATTATTATGAACTAAATTGTATACTTTATTTTTATATTCTTTATACACTATATTTTCATATTCTTAATTTTTAACTGATATAATTTTTCTAACCCCATGTGTTTCATTCACAGCATGAAATTGTATTGAGTCATTATATTTCCTTAGGCTCCTCTTGACTGTGACAATTTCTCAGGCTTTTCTTTATTTTTAAGGAGTTTTGAAATAGTTTTGAGGGGTATTGGTGAGGTATTTTTTAGACTGTCCCTCAATTGGGATTAATTTTTTCATGTTTGATTGGCATTATGGATATTTGGGAGGAAGACTACAGAGAGAAAATGCCATTCTCATCACAGCATATTGAGTGTACGTATAATCACCAAGATTTGATTTTGACATTGATTAACTAGCTGAAGTAATATTTGTCAGTTTTCTCTGCTGTAAAGTTCCTCATATTTTCTCCCTTTTCATACTATACTCCTTGGACGGAAGTTAATAAATGCAGCCTACACCTAAGTGGTAAGGAGTTGTGTCCCACCTTAGTGAGGGCAAATGATGAACATAAATTATATGAAAGGCCCTTACATGAGAAATTTGTCTCTTCCTCCAATTTGTTTAATAATTTATTTATATAAGTATGATCTCATGAAAAATAGTTTTATAATTAGGATTATAGTATAATACTACTTTATTTTTTTTCTTAAATTATTTCAGCTTTGGCCATTGGCTATTGAGCTCTTTTAGTTACATGCCATGTCCCTTTATCTTATCCCCAGATTGTGGTGCTTTTTGGATTTTGGGGATGTGTTTTTGGTGTGTGTGTGTGTGTGTGTGTGTGTGTGTGTGTGTGTGTGTAGTTCTCTTGTTTGTTTTGTTTTCTGTTTCAGCGTTTTCTTACTTTCTGGCACTAGAAGATACTTTAAGCTCATATTGTATACTTCTTACCACACTCCTAGAAACAGACCATGCTGCTATTAAAGCCATCAAGCCTTTGTGTTTCCAAAGAGCTCTGTTTTCAAATCTGTTTCCAAAGGGCTTCGATGCCTTTAATTGAGCATGGTATTGAAATCCAAGATTTCAGTGCTGTGTGTTACTGGCATATTATTGTTTCTAGGTCTTCTCAGTGCACAGAACTATAAAATGTGTGTCCACATATAACCCACATGTGCGTACATATCTGTAAATATTTCTATATGTAATCTTCAGTGTTTATATCAAGTTAAGCCTGAATTTTATACTGATATATTTGACTGTAATCTATTACCATGTATATCATTCTATTCTTCTTGTCTATAACCTCCCACCCCAACAGTAGGAAACCTGGCCTCACCATCCTGATTCATTACTTAGTTTTCAATTTAAAAATAAATATATAGTGGTAGCAGAAATTTTTACCTGTACCCTTTAGGAAACAAGTTTATCAAATAGAATGCAGTGTTTTTGTACAGTTCCATTTTCTTTTAGTCTTACACTCATTTTCAAAGTTATATAGATGTCATCTTTCTCCCAACCCCTTTTAGTGGGGGTATATCATATATTTGTAATACAATTCTATTACTTGTAACTATAAATTATATCCTGGTGTCCCCTCTCTTTTCCAAATGTGTATTTTTTAATTTGCACAATAAAACTCTTTTTGCTTGGTGTCTTGATTTTGACAAGTATATAATGTCATATATCCACAATTATGTTGTCATACTGAATAGTTTCATTTCCCTGAAGAATCTCCTGTGCTTCATTTATTCAGTTCCTCCTCACCAAATCTCTGGCAACCAATGATGATTTTTTTTACTGATATATTCAACTGTAATCTATAGATTTGCTTTGTCCAAAATATCATATATGTGGAATCGTGCAGTATATAGCCCTTACAGAATGTCTTCATTCACTTAACAGTGTGCGTTTAAGATTCATCCATGCCTTTCCATGGCTTGGTAGCTCATTTTTATCATGGAATAATATTCAATTGTATGAATGTACCACAGTTTGTTTATTCATCTATCTGTTGAAAGGCAGGCATCTTTGTTCCTTTCGGTCTATAATGACTATAAATAAAGCTGCCAAAAACCTGTGTGTGCTGGTTTTGTGTGAACATAAGTTTTCAAATCAGTTAGTTAAATATCTAGGAGTGTGATTGCTGGATAACATCATAAGACTTTGGTTAACTTTTAAGAAACTGCCAAACTCTCTTCCAAAGTAAATGGTAAAGTCTCCCAAACTTTACTGTTTTGCATTGCCACCAGCAGGAATGAGAATTCCTTTTGTTCCACATTCCAGGCCCAAGATGGTAGATCTACCAACAGCTTGCACCATGGACCTGGAAAAGTCACAGACACGCAACACCAGCCCATGAAAGCAGCTGGAAGGGCAGCTGTAACCTGCAAAGCCACAGGAGCAGAGCTGCCCTAGGCCATGGGCGTCCACTTCTTGCATTGGCATGACCTGAATGTGAGACAGGGAGTCAAAGGTGTTCATTTCAGAGCTTTAAGATTTGATGGCCCTGTTGAATTTCAGATATGAAATTTGGAAAGGTCCAGGGGTGGAATGATATGGTTTGCCTCTGTGTCCCCACCCAGATCTCATTTTGAATTGTAGCTCCCATAGTTCCCACATGTTGTGAGAGGGAACTGGTGGGAGGTAATAGAATCATGGGGGCCGATCTTTCCTGTGCTCTTCCCATGATAGTGAGTAAGTCTTGTGACAGCTGATGATTTTATAAAGGGGAGCTCCCCCTACACATGCTCTCTAGCCTGCCGCCATGTAAGACATGACTTTGCTTTTCCTTTGCCTTCCACCTTGATTGGGAGGCCTAGCCATGTAGAACTGTGTCAATTAAACCTCTTTCCTTTACAAATTATTCAGTCTTGGCTATGTCTTCATTAGCAGTGTGAGGACAGATTAATACAGGAGGCATTCAGTAAATGTTTGCTCTGTATTTATAGGAAAAGCTAAGTACTTACTCATTAGTTTCCCTGACAATGAATGTTGTAAACCCTCTTCATATATGTGTTTGGGGGATGGTGTGGTCAACAGAATTTGCTCAGTGTGCTTTGGAACTGAAGTTGAGGCAGTGGTACATGCTAGGCCAACAGAGCTCAAGGTACGACTAATTTAAGTCAGAATAAAGGTCAAATGATAAATGAGAACAAATTCAAATGCCAAGTTTGTGGAAACTGGTCAGAACAACATCATGGAAACTACTCTGTCAGAGTCAGAAACACAGGAATGATGACAGCAATAAAATGAGAGCAATACACAAATGACTATATACCTACACTCTGAGACATTTCCCTAAACCTCTTTAATATAGGCCCATGAAGATAAAGGTGTCTCCAAGTTTTTTTGTAGATTTTTTCTTTCTTTCTTTCTTTCTTTCTTTCTTTCTTTCTTTCTTTCTTTCTTTCTTTCTTTCTTTCTTTCTCTTTCTTTCTTTCTTTCTTTCTTTCTTTCTTTCTTTCTTTCTTTCTTTTTTTTTTTTTTTTTTTTTGATGCAGTCTCACTCTTGTCTCCCAGGCTGGAGTGCAATGGCATGATCTCAGCTCACTGCAACCTCTACCTCCTGGGTTCAAGTGATTCTCCTGCCTCAGCCTCCCAAGTAGCTGGGATTACAGGCACCTGCCACCACACCTGGCTAATTTTTGTATTTTTAGTAAAGACAGTTTTTCACCATGTTGGCCAGGCTAGTCTCGAACTCTTGACCTCAGGTGATCCACCTGCCTCGGCCTCCCAAAATGCTGGGATTACAGGTATGAGCTGCCACACCTGGCTAACTTTGTCTTTAAAACTGTGTTTTTCTGTAACTCTGGCTGATTGCATTTATTTTTCAGACATCATGTCATCAAATCACTTCAGCTCTTATATGTATTGATTTCAGCTACAAATTCAACATAAAATAGTCTTCATTTTATATTTCATTTTGAAAAATTTAAGTTGCTGTTCAAGTTGGGTTGTTTTTTCTAATCATATAGTTTTATAGATCTCTAGTTCGGGGGCTCAGGTATATACGTGATAGATCAGGCAGCTTGGGGAGAAAAGAATAAACAATGGATTGTCTTCTTACCCTTTTATCCCTGCAAACTTTTTCCTAATCCTGAATAAAACACAAAGGTTCATTGCATATGGAATCACAAAAGTCTCCAGTGTAACATAAAAAGTGGAAAACAAGCTTTCTTTAGTATTGCAGTATTACTGGAAAACTTTTTAAAAAAATAACAGGACAATAGGAGAAAAACCTTAACATCCTATACACATTCAGAATAAGCATAAAATTCCTCTTATGGAAGAATTAGAACACAACTCACTTCAAGCAGCATTTAACAATCAAGAATAACTTGCACTACTTATTTTTTAGAACTGTACTTTTAATAGAATATGATATCTAAAGAGTATTAAAGAAACTTTTGAAATCAATTTTTTCATAACTGAATGTTTTCTAAGGTCAGCTAATAAAAATAAAAAATTGAAAATGATAGTTTTTTCATAATAAAGTATTATATTTAAAAATAGGACAGGTTCCCTCTTCTTCATAAGCAAATCAAAATTTTCGTTCATCCTATCAGATCTTTGCTTCAAATTCAACTGAAAATTAATACAGCTTATTAAGCTGGATCTTTTTCTCTCCTCTCTATTTTCTTCACAATAGCTTATTTAAAAACCTGGATTATCTACATATTTTTCTCAAATTACTGTTATATGACTTATCTACATGATAGTAATCTATCTCAAATGTGTAAGTATGGCAGGTATATTGAAGTGCACTGACACAGTTTCTTTTTTTAACACAAATGAATAATCCTATGGGCGCCAGCAGGATTAATTTTCTGAGGCATCTTATAACCTTAACAGTAGAAAGTACAGTATTCTACACACAGATTAATTATAAAGTGTGGTATTCTAAAATATCTGAATGTCATAGATTCTCAATTAACAACTGCAGAATGGTTTTACATTATTATTATAATTGAGAAGTTTATGTAACTGAAAGTATGAATTGTGATGGGCTCTGTTATACATTTGCAGCAAATCCTTATCAATGTAAAACAGCCCTTCATTGCCATATATACCCATATATCATATTATTTTGTTGCAACACCTAAATTGCATTCATATAAATTATGGTGAGAAAGAGCCCAATTTAGGGCTGTAAGGTCACCTATGGATTTATTAGTGGTAGAAAAGTTATTAGAACTTTGGAGTTTCTCATCAGCTTTGGCCAACATGCCTGTGGAATAGCACATTCTGATGCTGCATTTATGGTTAAGGGACATTGGGAATGGATTTCATTTTACTATGCCAGTTATCAGCACAGCCTTGTCATTTTCATCTGCTACACATTTTGCTTGCTGTCTTCAAAATCTCACTTTAGTGTTATCTCCCTGGCCTGTTGTCATAGGGCACTGGTCTAGCAGAAAGCATACTATCAATATAAACACATTAACAAAGAAAGATTACAAAAGGGAAAGATAATTGTCATAGGCACTTTCCTGAATTTTATTCCCAAAGGCTTTGGACTCAAATGATTCTCCTGGCCCATCAGCCAAACTCATGTTGTAGAGTGTCATCATTATCAGTGTCATAATCTAATCTATAGATGAAAATATTTCCTCTTTGGAAACTTGATATATTCTGACTTTATGTCTAATCTCTTTCTCCTGATGGTCCCTTATCAACGAAGAAAGAGCTTGTCAACTCATTAATTCTCTTCCATTTGAAGTGAAAAATGTTATCAATGGGAATGCTTGTGAAATTTTAAATGTTGATTTGTTCCTTTTGGGGAATAGGCCATGAGGTATCATTGAAGGTTTTAAATGCTTTCATATAAATCCCTTCCTCATATATTCATGCATAAATTACATTGACTAAAGAAAGCCAAATTTAATCACAAATAAGTGAAATTTCCTAAATATAGTAAAATAAACTTTTACTCAAAGTTTTATTATCAATTATAGAAATGCCTCACTTAATGACAGGATACATTCTAAGAAATGCATTGTTAGGTGATTTCACTGATGTGTGACTATCACAAAGTGTACTTACACAAACGTAGGTTACACTTCTAGTATCTATGGTATAGCTTATATTCTTAGGCTACCAACCTGTATAGCATGTTGCTGTACTGAATACTCTAGGCAATTAAAACAAAATGATAAGTCTTTATATATCTAAACATAGAAAAGATACAGTAAAAATACGGTATATGTATACATGAGGGTTTGTGTGTGTGTGTGTGTGTGTGTATGTGTGTGGTACACTTGTATAGGGCTCTTACTATGAATGGTGCTTGCAGAACTGGAAGTTGCTGTAGGTGATTCAGTGAGTGAGTAGTGAGTGAATGTGAAGGCCTAGGACATTACTGTTCACCACTGTAGACTTTAAAAACACTGTACATTTGTTACACTAAATGTACAGAGAATATATTTCTTCAATAATAAATTAATCTTAGCTTGCTGTAACATTTCTAACTTATAAACTTTTTAATTTTAAAAACTTTTTGGTTATTTTATAATAAAATAAGCTTAAAACACAAACACATAGTTTGGCCGTACAAAAATATTTATTTCTGTCCGGGCGTGGTGACTCACACCTGTAATCCCAGCACTTTGGGAGGCCGAGGTGGGCCGATCACTTGAGGTCAGGAGTTTGAGACTAGCCTGACCAACATGGTAAAACCCTGTCTCTACTAAAAATAAAAAAATTAGCCGGGCATGGTTGTCCATGCCTGTAATCCCAGCTACTCGGCAGGCTGAGGCAGGAGAATCGCTTGAATCTGGTAGGTGGAGGTTGCAGTGATCCGAGTTCATGCCACTGCACTCCAGCCTGGGCGACAGAGAGAGAGACTCTATCTTAAAAAAAGAAAAAATACATACATATCACAGTAAGTACGTAAACCAGTAACATAGTCATTTATTATCATTATTAAGTATTATGCACTGTATGTAATTGAATGTACTATACTTTTATATGATTGCAGTGTAGTAGGTTTATTATGAGATGCTATATTACTCATGTAGCATCTCAAACATGTGAGTAATGTATTGCACTACAGCATTTCAAGATTACAATATCACTAGGCTACAGGAAATTTTTTTGGCTCCATTATAATCTTATAGGACTACTGCCATATATGCAGTCCATCATTGAGCAAAATGTCATTATGTGGTACATGACTGTATTTCAAATATAATTTAGTTTCATATTCTAGTTAATGGAGTATTAAAGAATACTTCGTATTAGCCTTATCTCTCAAGAAATGCTATTACAAAATATTTTATTCCTGTTTCTGATTTCTTTCTCACTCAGTTTGTTGGTGAGCTTACACTTGCTTTCCTCTAGTGAAAAAAAAAAATTAAAGATGTCTTTCTTAACATTTATCTGTAAACCCAGGTGGCCTACTTATCTGCCGATTTTGAATGGATATATAAAGGAAAATGCCAGTAATTATACAAGCCAATGACACACTTGCTTTCATCTTACTAACCTTGTTTGGTTCCAGATTCACATACAATTTATCTGCTTTTGGGTCCTCAGTTTGCAGAAAACCTTTAGATTCTTTCAGCAGCTAATAGGATTTGTCATTCTGTTTGAATTTAGTTTGGAATGTTCTTCTGACTTTGGACCTTGGCTTCACTAATGATATGGGAGAAAATGACGAAGAAAATTGATGACATATTGTATAGTCTTTTCCTTTTATTTCATGGGGAAATTAGACTTTCTGTCATGGTGCTTGATATGCTAGTGATTTCCAAGTGAAATTTTCCCATTCATGTCCCTTATGAAAAAAAATAAAAATGGACTCTATGTGAATGACATGCCCAGCCACAGTTTATTAGATTAGCCATGGATTTCTGCCACAGAGATGGCAACATTTAGATAGGAGAATGAACTGATGTTACCTGCAGAAAAACAAAAATGAGTTTGATCAATCAGTATTGTTCCATGAAATCTGAGTTGAAAAACATGGAGAGAATAAGGTGATTAGAAACAGTAACTGTAGATGAAAGGTCCTTAAAAGTGAAATGACATTTTAATAAAGGAGGGAAAAATGTTATAGAGTAAGAAGAATAGATGAGGCCTGGAAGGGCATAGGGACACACACCTGTAGTCCCAGCTGCTTAGAGGGCTGAGAAGGGAGGAATTTTGAGCCCAGGAGCTCAAGGCCAGTCTAGGCAACAAAGTGAGATCTTATCTCTTAAAAAACAAAAAGAAAAGAAGGAAACAAGGAAAGAAAGAAAAAGAAAGAGAGAAAGAAAAAGAAAGAGAGAAAGAAAGAACGAAAGAAAGAAAGAAAAAGAAGGGAAGAAGGGAAGGAAGGAAGGAGAGAGGGAGGGAGGGAAGGAGCGAAGGAAGGAAGGAAGGAGAAAGAAGGAAAGAAAGAAAGAAAGAAGAAAGAAAGAAAGAAAGAAAGAAAGAAAGAAAGAAAGAAAGAAAGAAAGGGAAAGAAAGAAAGGAGAGAATAGGTGAAGTCTGTATGTTTAGCTTCAGAAAGCAGACCAAAGGCCTCAGATGGTAGTATGTACTCAGGGATCACCTCCTTTCCTTCTCACTACAGAGCCTACACTCTTGTGGTAACGCAAAGGAATATTAAGAGGTGACCCAGAAATGACCCAAAAGGAATAGAAAATATTCAGAAACATACACAATGTCAGCATCGATGCCAGCTGTGGTTCAACACAAGTCCAGTTTGCAAGGCAAGGAGAGTAAGACACCAGAAAAGAGCTGTTGCGTTATCTTTTATATCTAATGTGACTTTGTTTTTACCTTTTCTTAATTGAACCTGAATGTCCTAAATTCTCTAAACTTTAAATGTAAACAACATGCATGTTTTTCAGAAAACAACATTTTGAATATTAAAATGGTAAAATAAGTGTTTGCTGAGAACATTAGCATCAGGTCATGTGACATGTTTTTTTTTTGCTATACTATTTATTTATTTATTTTATTTATTTATTTACTATTATACTTTAAGTTCTGGGGTACATGTGCACAACGTGCAGGGTTGTTACATATGTATATATGTGCCATGTTGGTGTGCTGCACCCATTAACATTTATATTAGGTATGTCTCCTAATGCTTTCCCTCCCTCCTCCCCCCACCCCACAACAGGCCCTGGTGTGTGATGTTCCCCTTCCTGTGTCCAAGTGTTCTCATTGTTCAATTCCCACCTATGAGTAAGAACATGTGGTGTTTGGTTTTTTTGTCCTTGTGATAGTTTGCTCAGAATGATGGTTTCCAGCTTCATCCATGTCCCTAAAAAGGACATGAACTCATCCTTTTTTATGGCTGCATAGTACTCCATGGTGTATATGTGCCACATTTTCTTCATCCAGTCTATCATTGATGGTCATTTGGGTTGGTTCCAAGTCTTTACTATTGTGAATAGTGCCACAATAAACATACATGTGCAAGTGTCTTTATAGCATCATGATTTATAATCCTTTGGGTATATATCCAGTAATGGGATGGCTGGATCAAATGGTATTTCTAGTTCTAGATCCTGAAGGAATCGCCACATTGTCTTTCACAATGGTTGAACTAGTTTACAGTCCCACCAACAGTGTAAAAGTGTTCCTATTTCTCCACATCCTCTCCAGCAGCTGTTGTTTCATGACTTTTTAATGATCGCCATTCTAACTGGTGTGAGATGGTATCTCATTGTGGTTTTGATTTGCATTTCTCTGATGGCCAGTGATAATTAGTATTTTTTCATGTGTCTGTTGGCTGCATAAATGTCTTCTTTTGAGAAGTGTCTGTTCACATCCTTCACCCACTTTTTGATGGGGTTGTTTTTTTCTTGCAAATTTGTTTGAGTTCTTTATAGATTCTGGATATTAGCCCTTTGTCAGATGAGTAGATTGCAAGCATTTTCTCCCATTCTTTAGGTTGCCTGTTCACTCTGATGGTAGTTTCTTTTGCTGTGCAGAAGCTCTTTAGTTTGGTTAGATCCCATTTGTCAATTTTGGCTTTTGTTGCCCTCTCTCACCACTCCTATTCAACATAGTGTTGGAAGTTCTGGCCAGGGCAATCAGGCAGCAGAAAGAAATAAAGGGTATTCAATTAGGAAAAGCGGAAGTCAAATTTCCCTGTTTGCAGATGACATGATTTTATATCTAGAAAACCCCATTGTCTCAGCCCAAAATTTCCTTAAGCTGATAAACAACTTCAGCAAAGTCTCAGGATACAAAATCAATGTGCAAAAAATCACAAGCATTCTTATACACCAATAACAGACAAACAGAGAGCCAAATCACGAGTGAACTCCCATTCACAATTGCTTCAAAGAGAATAAAATACCTAGAAATCCAACTTACAAGGGATGTGAAGGACCTCTTCAAGGAGAACTACAAACCACGGCTCAATGAAATAAAAGAGGATACAAACAAATGGAAGAACATTCCATGCTCATGGATAGGAAGAATCAATATCATGAAAATGGCCATACTGCCCAGGGTAATTTATAGATTCAGGGCCATCCCCATCAAGCTACCAATGACTTTCTTCACAGAATTGGAAAAAACTACTTTAAAGTTCATATGGAACCAAAAAAGAGCCCACATTGCCAAAACAATCCTAAGCCAAAACAACAAAGCTGGAGGCATCACGCTACCTGACTTCAAACTATACTACAAGGCTACAGTAACCAAAACAGCATGGTACTGGTACCAAAACAGAGATATAGACCAATGGAACAGAACAGAGCCCTCAGAAATAATACCACACATCTACTATCATCTGATTTTAGACAAACCTGCCAAAAACAAGAAATGGGGAAAAGATTCCCTATTTAATAAATGGTGCTGGGAAAACTGGCTAGCCATATGTAGAAAGCTGAAACAGGATCCTTTCTTTAGACCTTATACAAAAATTAATTCAAGATGGATTAAAGACTTAAATGTTAGACCTAAAACCATAAAACCCCTAGAAGAAAACCTAGGCAATACCATTCAGGACATAGGCATGGGCAAGGACTTCATATCTAAGACATGTTTCTTAAAAATAAAATTTCTTGGCCTCTCTCAAAGTTGAGGACTTAGAATCACCAGAGAAATAGCTCAAGAATCTACATTTTTCACAATTTGTCCATGGTGAGTTGTATTCATTCTTATGCTGGTCATTGTTTCATAGATCCTCCAGATTCACTTGGCTAGGCTATCTAATGGAAGTTTGGTCTCAGTGATTACAACAATTGAAGAGGTTGGGATGTGAGGCCTTTCCTGGTGGGCTGTAGAGGAAGGAGTGTGGAGACACAAAGAGACAGGAATAAGGTAACGTATTCATTGTAATTTATTCATCTATCTACTAAACAGCTTTCCTTCTGCCACTGGAGATGGGCCAGAGTAAAATCTCTTTACTAAGTTATTAAGAATTGTGTAAGTGACAAGAGCACCAATGTCTGATGACTGAATAGACGTAACTTAAAAGCAAATGAATGATGCTGGACAAAGTTTTAAGACAAATAGTGTAACATGTGGTTTAAAAAGTTAGAGAGAAGACAATTGATGTATAGTACAAAAAAGGAGATTTAACAAAAGTTTTCTTGGTATTTCTGAAAAGGAGAATTCAACACTTTTCTGAAGATGAATTCCACTTTAAAATAGAAAATAACTTTCCTATCTTCAGCAGCACAGAGGTAACAGATAACAAAATGCTTTTAATATTGCTGGAAAGTACTGATTCAGTATAATCAACATTGAGATATATCCTAGTTGTGTAGTCTAGTTTCAAAAATAAAAAATGTTCAAGTATCCAGGCAGAGAAATGCAAGACAATAAAAACATTAAAATTATCTGAAACTTCTCCATAGCCACAGTAATTGTCTAAAGGCAATTGAGCAATGTCTACAAATTACTGAGGAAAATAATGATTCAAGTGTACTGTATCATACCAAGGTGTCAATAAAGTATAAAGATAAAAAGCACTTATATTTAAATATAAAACTATGAAGTAATATAGACCCCAAAGATTAATCAATGAAAAAAAATCCAGTCAAACCAGAAACTCCAGTAACAGGACTTGTGATCACAAGAATACTAAGAACTACTTACTAATTTGAGGTAATTAAAATGATAATATGGAGGGTTTTTGCACTGAGGACTATTCAAGGCTTCCTAAATTATTGAGCATATAACTAAAACTGAAAAATTAAATGCTTAAAAGTGGGAGATAGCAGTGAATGGATTTCTAATCCTTTCATTGTTTGCATTTGGCTCTGCAAGTATTTCCCTGTGTTTTCTTGCAGACTTTAAATTAAAAAATACATGCCCAAACAATTCAACTAGAAAATAGGCAAAAGACAAGAATAGACGTTTCAGCAGAGAGGAATTATGAATGACAAGTAATCACATGCAAAGATGTTCACCACCATGTGAAAGTTAAAGTCATGTACTATGAGATCTCACCATCAGAATGGCCAAAATGAAAAAAAACAGTAGTGATAACACCAAATGCTGGTGAGGATGTGAAGAACCTAGATCATTCATTTTAATAAGGAGTTTGACTTCATTTTTCTGATGTTTCTGCTGACAGCTTTTAAGGCTTACCCTCCCTTTTTCCCCCTACCATAGGTCTGGTCAAGTTGATAAAGCCTAAGTATTTCTATCTTTGGCACTGAATATGCAAGGGAAACCTCAACCCAGATCCATCCCCTAACCACAATTTAAAAAAAGAATCCTGGGCCAGACTCTCTTTTTTATTTTCTCAAGCCATTTGAGAACTGTTAAAGAAGTCTGCCATACTCTTTCCAGAGACTGCAATTATGTAAGTAATAAACATTTGCATATTATTTTGATGCGTGTGTACAGCATCATCAGTCTCAACCTCCAAGCAAAATTTGGGGTGGAGTTCCTGCCTGCCTTTACAGGATGACCAACATAATACACATTCCTGTTGGGAGTGTAAAATGGTACAGCCAAACTGGAAAACAGTTTGGCCATTTCTTTTTAAACTAGAAAGAGACTTACCAAATGGCCTAATTGCACTCTTGTGCATTTATTCCAGACACTGAAACATTTATTTTCACATACAAACTTGTACACTAATAGGCATAGCAGATTTGTTCATAAAAGCAAAAAGGCATACTACCAAAATGATCTTCCATGGTTAGGGTTAAACAAACCATGGTATATCAGTACCATGGAATTCCACTCATTAATAAAAAAAAAAGTGTGTACATGCAACAACAGGTGAACCGGAAGAAAATTATACTGCATAAAAAAGCCAATCTTACGTGTATACACACTGTATGATTCTATTCATTTAACTAAGGAATGGGAAAACAATTATTGAATGTCAGAGGTTAAGGATAAGACAGGGTGGAGCTATAAAGGGGTAGCGTGCAGGAGCTTTGTGGGGTAGGCACAATTATGTGTTTTGATTGTGGTGATGGTTACACAAAGCTACACATATAATAAAACTGCACAAACTACACACATACATTTATACATTTATTTATAAGTGGTGAAATTTGAATAATCTCTGTGGATAGCATCCTTGCTAATTTCATGTTAATTTTTGTATTTTACTATAGTTACGTAAGTTGTTGACATCGGAGGAAGCTAGATGAACATTACACAGCATTTCCCTATACATTTCTTTTTGCAATTTCCTCTGAATCCATATTTACTCCAAAGTAAGAAGTTAAAAATGTTTTGAAAGACATTTCAGAAGCAGAACGCAGACAGGAAGACTGCAGGATATACAAACAGTATCCCTGTAACTTTACTTTTTAGAAAGAGACAGAAAATTACACCTATCTAAGTTAAAGGGTAAGTGTACAGTGCAAAGTCTAATTCTTTGTTTCTGAGAGTGGACGTAGGGTGCCCACACGGAAAGCTGGAATTCTTGACATGGTCTGGTTTTGAAAAGCAGAGGGAACAGCCGAATCAGAAAGCCCACAATGAAATAATGTTTGCTCCCAACATCTAGTCTCTCCATGGAGTGGAAATACACTATGTACTGTCAATAATCCTATGGCCACATCAGCAAGTTAGAAATAAAAGGTAACAAAGTTCACAGGCAAAATTCTGGATCATCCCATTATCCTGAAACAAGACTCTGGCCTCTTCCTAACACGGAGCTTCTGCAAATAGCTCCTTTTGAAAAACAATAACAACAAAACAAAAACTTACCTTTTTCAAGGATGAGTAATCAGAAAACATCCAACTAGGATCTACAGAAAAGTTTAGAAAAATGAAAGAGAAAGCAAGAATAACAAATAACCAATGAAGAAATCTCACATGAAAAATTATTAAACCCGTAAAAATTTTTGATATGTTGTTATAAATGTTGATGTTATGTTGATGACTCATGATTAACCATATTTTTCTATGCTTATAATTTTTCTCTAGCTAATTTGTTTTCATGATGGGCTGAAGTTAAATTTTCTTGTATACACTTATAGACAATCATTTTCACTCCTTAATACATTGTGATTTTTCTAGAAGTGTAGAATATGGGTTGTGGAGTCAGACTACCTGAAGTTAAATAAGTCCTGGCTTCACAGTTTTGTGCCTTAGGCATATTTCTTAATCTCCCACAGCATATACTCATACTGCATATAAATATCCACTCCCCACTTTTTGCTGATTTTGATTTTGATTAAGGCAGCAATATACCCAGCTGAAAACTCTCCCAGCCTCCCTTGCAGGTAGAGGTGACCATGTAATGCGATTATTGCCAATGAGATCCAGACGGAAGTCACCTGAGTGATTTCCAGAAAATGTTGCTTTCTTGATAGAGGCTTTGCTTCTACCTCTTCTCGTTTATCTCCTCGTGCCTATAATGCTGGTCTTATGCCTGAGGGAAGAGAAAAGCCTTGCTATTATAAACACAAAACTGAATGCCAGGAATGGTGGAGGAGAAAGATAAAAGGAGGTTAGTTACCCTGCCTCAAGCAAAGGCATGAACCCCTGAACTGTGTACTTCCTGACCACTTGTTTGGTGAGAAAAAACAAGATTCGAAGGTGTTGCAGTGGTGTCACTGTTATGTGGAGCAAAATGCATTCTCATCAGTAAAGTGAGTACTACAAATTACATATTTCAGAGGTTTATTTTGAAAATCAAATGACTGTATTGTTTAAGTCACTATTATTTCTATTATTTGTTACTAGCATCAAAAGCTTATTTTAACTATTACATGAGATTCGTTTTTGTCACTGTTTTGTCCTCTATATCTAGCCCCAAACATAGTAGGCATTAAATATATGGTTATGCAAGCCCATATTGCTTCAATGAATTAATAGGGCTTGCCCTGAAACACATCAAATCCCACTGATGAATTGTGTTTACAAAATGTTGACTTTTTCATATACCTTTTAGTAATATCTGATAAAAGCATGCACAATATATGAAGTTAATACCAATTTATTGAATTAAAGTTTTTATTCATATAGGCAACCTTCCTTTTTTAAGATTAATCTGGTTGGTTCTACAGGAACAAAAAAAATCACATTTGTTTGGGACATTTACACCAAGGAAAATAAAATGAGATGGCTAAAGAAAATGCATCCCCAAAATGTGTCTGTTATTATAAAATACTGTCGAAAATGAAAATATTTCATAGTATATTTGAAATATGGGTTTGAACTCTGAATAAGGCTACTTTGCTCATTACTAAGAAATTATTTCCATTTTCATTGCACTTGAAAGCATGGGATATTTTGTACATGCTAATAATTACAGTGAATTAATAAGCATATGTCATCATATCCTATTAACTACTGATATTGTCACATTATGATTTTCTTTTGTCAATATTTCAAGAATTTCTTATTTAATTTGTTGGTTTTCTTTTGGTGGGTTTTTTCTACCAAGAGAATTATGAGACAACATGAGTGGTTATTCAATTCATTACTTGAAATACTGTGGATATATAATTGACAATTAAAATTAAACTCTGATAGAGGCTCTGCTTCCAGCTCTTCTCATTTATCGCATCTTGCCTATAACATTGGTCTTATGCCAACATTACTTTTCTTTAACTTCCAATAGTCAAATGGATAATAACCACTTTGATTAAATATTTAAAACTAAATATATTTTCTGTTTTTTGTCTTCATTTTAGTTACAACAAAACTCTGATTAGAATTCATATAGTTCTGTTTATGTTTGATTTATCCAAAATATAAATAATGGAATGAAGTCTTTAAACAGACTACCCATATGTCAATTAGTTCTGTAAGCAATGAATATTTCATAGATATTTAAATAGTTTTACATTACTAAATTTATGTCTATCAAGCAGTGGTGATAGACTAATAAACAGAATGGCATCTTCTGTTTTTGAAGATAGTTACAGAGACTGAACAGCAAATTTTCTCATCTTGGCTACTTTTAATAGAAAAAAAAATGCCCTAGCTTGATGTAGGCAAACCTCTTATTCAGTGAAAGGAGAACAAAATAATCTTAAGTCTTGAAACAGAAAGTTCTGCACTGATGTGCCCACTTTCTGAACACATGATGTCTTGGACAGTGGTGAGATATGCCCAGGCAGGTGAAGGTGGGTACCCATCCTCATAATAAGCATGCATTACTGCACACACTGAGATCCCTGCATGTTTCATGTTATGTTTTATCTTCAAGTTGAGTGTTTACATGAGGGTAACACTAGCAAAACATTTCATAATTAAAATGATGCTAATACAAACTTGACATGATGCTTAGCTTCTAGGTTTGTCTTTTTCCTGTTTGACAAAGAAAGTGAAGATAATGTATCTGCATTTACTTATTAGCAGAGTGTAATTTCAATAGTCAATTATATATCCACAATATTTTAAGTAATGAATTGAATAACTGCTCATGTTTTCTCATAATTCTTTTGGCAGCAAAAAATCCGCCAAAAGAAAACCAACAAATTAAATGAGTAATTCTTGAAATATTGACAATAGCAAATTATAAAGTGACAATATCAATAGTTAACAGGATATGATGACATATATTTATTAACTCAGTGTACTTATTAACGTGTACAAAGTATCCCACGCTTTCAAGAGCAATGAAAATGGAAATAATTTGTTAGTAGTGAGCTAAGTACCCTTAGTCAGGGAGATGTTTAAGTAAAGAGAAATTGGTAGATAAATAGTTATATAATTTACATATCTACATTACTTATTTTGTAATCCAGGAGGTCATAAGGACAGTCTTAAATAAATTACTTAGTATTTCCAGGGTCCGTATGATTGTTACCAATTCATAGACATTCTTTGTACCTTCTTACTTTTTCCTCTTGAGCTAACTCAAATTTATAAATAAACGCTACAAACCAAATACCTGGAAAATGGAGAAAGAATAATTACATGATGATTAGTTTGAGGGGCATTAATTTTTAGTCTTAGTTGTGGTTGTGCTAATTACTCTTGTTTTATTATACTTTAAGTTTTAGGGTACATGTGCACAACGTGCAGGTTTGTTACATATGTATACATGTGCCACGATGGTGTGCTGCACCCATTAACTCGTCATTTAACATTAGGTATATCTCCTAATGCTATCCCTCCCCGCTCCCCCCTTTACTGACCTCTCTGCTCTGCCATTCACCCCACCTTCCATCGGTGTGCTGGAAAACACCATTTAGTGAATATTAAAGGTGCACTGATACTAACTTGTTTGTGTTTGTTTCTCTGGAAACATGCATTTTGTCATTTTCACATATAAATTGGAAAATAGTTGAAAGAAAAAAATATTTTTCTTTGAGAAAAGGCTGTGAAATGACAAAAGAATTATCAAAAAAACTACTTTTTATACACTCCCATAAAGTAATCAATTTGGACTATTTATTTTCATGTCAAATGTGTACAGTGATAGATTCTTATTTCCTCTACTCTTCATTCACTAGTACTAATTTAATTTTGGATCAACTAGTTAGGAACAGGAGGGAGCTGGTTAGGCAAATCTATGTAAATCCTGGAAGGCTATCTCCATCCATGCTATAGTATTGCATATCTGCTAATTTTTCTTTCTCACTGCAGAAACTCATGTGGACATTTCCTCTCCATTTACTTCATACCCTAGAGCAGATGTTAAAGTGTTTTAAAGAATTAAAATTATTATAAAAATTGTGGTTTGCTGTTTGTTATTTTGGCAAGGCAGGGAGGTGATGGTCTTAGTGATGCTCGGTGGCTCATTGAGTAAATCTCTTTTTGCTTGTAAATCCAGGGAAAATACTCAAAAAGAAAAAGAAAAGAAACATTCAAAGATCTGTGAGGACCTGGGCCTTATGTGTCAGAACATTAGCCCTTTGGTCTTTGTGTAGAATTTTAAAATGTTATAATTCTATTCACGTTCATATCATTTCTTAAGATGGCACTGACACTATGTTTTTGTAACACAGTCTCACTCATGATACAAATGTTTTCAGTATCTCTTATGACAATAAAATATGATAATTTTAATTATCATAGTTATTATCAATAATACCTGTTGGTGACTTATTATTTGCTAAGCAATTTCCCCATATAACAGATATGGATATATAAATTTTGGCAAGAACTCTAAAAATCTACATATTTGTTTTCACAGTATGGTACCAGACTAGGGTAAAAATGTTAAAAAGTGCTCAAAAACCAATCTGATGACTCTTAATCCCTTCTTTCACATTGAGGCTATATATGTTTGGGGAAGTCATAATCACAAGAAAGATTTGTGAGTCAGAATTTTTAGAGTTGTTGTGCTGTTTTTCCTAGTAATAGGTTCCTCCAAGGTAGAAAGTAGAGTTTGCTTGGATCTCACCTCAAGCCTATGAGAAGGGCCTCAGCCTGCCTTTTGTTTCTTACTACTGGGGCACAGAGTAGCTTGCTATTTGACTCCTGCCTGGAAATTTAAAGTCAAGACACAGACTGACTTAATGCTAACGGACCCGGCTGGACACAGATGGCTGAACTGAGGATGGGCCTGCACTCTGGGGCTTGTCAGGGCAAATAATGCTGGAGTATTTCACAGAAAATACATGAGAATCACAAATGAGTCATGAATCATAAATAAACTGTCCATGCAGAGTCACTGTATATTCTGTACAAGGAATTTGGCTACAAAGCAGTTACCCTTCAGTCCTGAACGAGTCAGGAATAGCACCTTGGGAGTCAGGGAGAGGGTAAGTACAAAAGAAACATGGAGCCAATCATAGCCATTTTCCTACTCGGGACACCCACACATAGCTGACTCAAGAAAGAGAGGAGAGATTTAACTTTAAATCCAGTTCAGAATGTTGATATTTTGGACTGAATATTCTAATATCTGAATCAATGTTGTATTTTGTGAATGAAAGTGATACACGATTTATTATGTAAAGCCAAGGGTTCTCAACTTTAACTGCACATATGAATCACCTGGGGATACTTAATTATTTTTTATTATTTTTGTGTGTATGTGGGCAGAGACTGTGCTTTACTCATCTCTCTATTCACAGGCTCTAAAGCATTAATAAAAAATACATAGAAGTTATCATTTAGTTGTTTTGTTGATAAGCCTGGGCATCAGTGTATTTTAGAGTTTCCCGTGTTATTCTATTTTATGGTCTATGCTGAGAACCACAAATTTTAAGAAACAGCAAACTCATGGAACCTGTTGGAGATTTCATCTAGGGAAAGAGAAGAAATGGACCCCAATGAACAAATGTAAGATTTGGGTGTGAGAGAAAAATGCGGTGCTTTATGACTTTGCTACAGGAGTTGTGCTTGTTCAGTGTTTTACCTACACATTTATTATCCTATTTTATTCTCACATTAACAACATAAAGAAGTGATTGATAACCCCATTGAGTCCACATAGAGAGGAAACCTGTCTAGGTACAGGCCTGTTCTTTTTTTGCCCATGTAGCTTTGCTGCATGTCAGCATTGAAAGGAAACAAATAGTATACGGATTCAAGGAAAAAAAAATTGAGAATAGATTTTAAAAATCTAGGAAATGTGAAGATTAAGCTTTTACTCTGCCTTCTTGCCAGAGATGTGACATCCTCTCTATAAACTTACCTTTTATCATGCCCCAGGTCAGGGTCTCTTTTATGTCTACCAGTTTTCAGCATCATAATTGCACCCTACCTTCTACCACTATCACTCCCTTCTGAACATATGGCTTGGATCAGGGAAGTATCTGTGGGAATATAGCTAACATTTTATCATATCTTGTAAGAAAGCTGGATCAAAACATATAAAGCAGTTCAGGCTAACAGTTTACACCTGCTAACAGTTTACACCTGTGAAAACTTTAAAAATAATACAAATTCTGTCAATTTAAATTAATAGAAAAAGTTTACTATGGCCAATGATAACTGACTTTGTCTCTCATTTTTCACTTACTAAAATGATGCCACATTTTTTCAGATTTCTTGTATATGAGAATTATTATAATTAAATAAAAGCCAAACTTAAAATTAACTTATTAGATGCATAAGAGTAAAGACATTATTTGGATTAATTGTGTTTACCGTCTATTATTCAGAGCAACTGACTCATTTGAAAGGATAAAATAATACCACGACATTATTGGAAGTGTTCTCTAATTAGAATTCAACTAAGCTTATTTTCTCTTTTTCAAATATTTTTTTGCAATGGAATATGGACCAGATGGATAATTCATGTCAGTATTGAAACATACTGTGTTTCTTAAATACAAACAGCAGTTCAAGCTTTCATGCCTTTTCCCTTGTTGTAAGTATTGGGAGACAGCTCTTACTAATGTTTTCATACTTCTGCACAGTCCAGGCTTTCTGAGCAAAGACCACTAAAAAACTTGGTTAATGGATGATTAAATGGCAGACATGACTTAGAAGTTAGAGATAATGTATCCCTCCAAAAGATTAGAGATTTATCTTCCTCAGAGTGATTTGCTTACATTCCAGGTGGAGACCTTCCTCTTCCCTAAAAGGAAAGGATTTGTTTATATTCCATTTGAAAAGGTGTCTATCTCTCTTTCTTACTCCCTCCCTTTCAAGGGAAGAGGGGGCAAATGCATCAGCCCTACAGAAGCTCTGAGTTTCGTTGTATTGGATCCCACATTTACTGATTCCTTTCCAGTGGTACAACCCCTCTGCACAATCATGTGGACACCTGGCCCTCGTCACATTGCCCTATGGAAAACTGGAGCATAGGAACTAGTGCTAAGGTACTCTGTGAGTTATAAACAGCAGTCATTACTCTGATCCAGAGATCTCATATTTCCTGACAGAAAAGAAAAATACATACCCATATGCATGCACATATGCACATATCACATATATGTATATGTGTTTGTGTGTTAAGTATATGTAAATGTTCCCTCCTCTTGAAACATCCACTTCCCAACTCCTCATCCATCCTTTCTGCTTGGCAAATAACACTCATCATCTAGAATCTGTCAATTCCTCTTTCAATGAAACTATGCCTAAGAACTACAAGTTGGTCATCACTGATTATGTGTGTCTATAGTGCTTTGTGCATATTTCTTCAAACACTTATGACTCTGCCTTTTAATGTTTTGATAAGACTACATCTTCTCTTTTGAGTTAGAGTCTTAAAAGATACCAACCATGTTCCAGTCATTGTTTTATCCTAGCAGCTATCACGTTCCCCAGGATATAATGTGATTAAGAGATAATTAATTAGTGAATGCTAAGAGGTTTTAGTGGATTCTGGGTCACAGGAAGATTATAATCTTTGTCATCTTTAGGTCACGAATCAATTTTTACAGGTATGAAATATTTAAATAAGTATAATGGACAGGCTAGTAAGTATATGCATAAAGGGAAGAAGGTAGAGGCAATCTGATTCATATGCATAGCTGATCTTACAGATTTACAAATTGGTTAGTTGATTTCAGGATGAAGATGTTAATTGGCTGTTTGTTAAAGAAGCAAAGATTCTCCTTACCTAATCTAACGACCCTTGTTTTCACTCTCAAACCACCCTCTGAGCTCATTATCTAAACTGTAATCCAGACACAACACTGATTCACTCTATAAATATTGGTAATGTCTATTTTTCCTTGGTAAACTGTCTTTAAATCATTCCTTGATAAAGCAGGCACTCACAATACGACTATTCTCTAATAGCAGAGGATTCTTAACATTTTACCAAAGTTTAAATAACAACAAAATATGAGGTAGTTTCCCATTTTCTGAAAGAATATATATATTTTTTCAAATACACACCCACTTTTAATGCATAGATACTATGTAGTATTTAAATATGTAGTTGTTTTTCCAAAGCACCACAAAGATTTTGGTTAAAAAGTAATTTGTAAACTTCACTGAAGCTATCTTGTTTTAGGACATGGTTCTCATTGGAACCATGAAATATAGAGTAATTTGATAAAGGAGGAGGCAAATAATCTCAAAATGCAGCATAAGATCAATGTCAAAGTAACTAATCCCATGGCTAGTTTTTCGTTGTTCCATATAATAATATGTTAAAGAAAAATATTAGGGGATATATAAAACTGATTTCTCTAAGAAGCAAGAAATAGATAGATACATTATACATAAAAAAGTAATCTTCCTTTAAAATTCTGAAAATTTATTTTAAGAAGAATGTTGACCATAACACATAAGTAGTGTCACTAATAGTTATTCAAATTGTACAATGCCCTGGCCTCAATCCTTGGCATGCTGTCACAGATTGGGAACATAATAATCCTCACTTTTTTTCTACAAAGAAATAAAATTTTAAAAACCATAATACATCTAAACATTATAAATATATAGAAAAGAAGAACTTTATATGTTATTCATCTTGTTTCTATTTATCCCTCCTAACATTGCCCCTTATCAAACTTCCATATATAGGTCAACTGAAATCACTTCACCTATTCATACTTGTCACCTCATTCAACCAACGGATTAAATCACCTGTGACTACACTGCTTCCTCTAAAAAGGTGACACCAAATATCCTTATCTACTCCCAAATTTGTAAAAAGCATTCTCTTTATTTCCCTGAGTAGCTTTTCCCTTATTATTACACTAGCCACTTAGTTAAAATATAAAAACAAGTATCTTCTAGTTCTATTAATGACTCAAATTACTTTGTGACATTCCTTTCCCTAAAATCGCACACTTTCTTTTCCAGAATGTATGTGTGTGTGTGTGTGTGTATGTAAGATAAATGTGAGATACTGATGCACATATACATAAATGCATGCAAAACTGTGTATACATATATGTATGTAAAATGACAAGAATTAATATTTATTCCCAAATATAGTATTCTCAGTGATGATGAAGGAGATAATGATAGGTGGAAAGAAAAACAAAGAGAAAAGTTCAAATCCATTCTGGTCACTTTGATTAAATGTTTTACATTTTCACTCTGCATTAAAAAAGAAACACATGAGGTCAACCAATGACATTTAACAACACATCACTGCTCTAAAGTATAATTCACTTTGCACCTTCATTTTCAAGTTATAATTTCCCTTCCTTTTCATTGTGAGCCCTTACAGAAGATGACATCTAATACATGCAGCACTCTGGCTATTGTGGAGATTCTTGCTATTACATATTACAGGTCCAAATATTCTGCATTTTATCTTCCATAACTTTCCTTCAGTGATAGAGCATTGTGAGAAAGTGAGCATATGTTGGTATGTTTCAGGCGAATATACTGCAATTGTTCAAAGCTATTGTGTGTGGCAAGTAGGCTTGTACTAGATGAGTGACATTTCTCGCAGCAATTTGGAAAGAGTCAGTGGCTGTTAGAGAAAGAGCTTAGAGAGACCTTTCTGTCATGCAGGAATAGCGTAGCATTACCTTTTTCTTGCGACCCAGCTGGCTGGAGAATAGCTAGCCGTGGTCAGAGATAGCTCCATTATCCAAATGGAAGCAATAGTGGGGCTGCTAATCTGCTTTTCTCAGCACACAGAAGGCCCTCTCATTTGCCTGTCTAATTCTCCCTCTTCCTCCCCAGGTTTATCAAAAAGAATTGCTGGTTATAATATACACACATTATCATGCTACTCTGGCCTATTCTCTAGGCAGTTATAAATGCACACAGAGCCTCTCGTTATTGTGTGATCTATACAACAAACTAGAAAATACCTCTAAATTATGTGTAATTGACTTTTCAGAATATTCACTGCCCTATCACCTGGCATCTCTCAATTTGGATATTCTTTTCAGCAGGATATCTGTTTTGTTCTCTGACATCACTTTTTTTCTACCTTTCAAGAGAGGGCATTTCTTTTAAACTGTGATACATTGAATGAGTTATTTCTGCACTTCAACAATGTACTCCTTCTGTATTTAAATTTTAATTCAATAGTTGATTTACCTGAGAATTCAATGTTCATTAGAATGAAAGTTTAACTGTCCCAAAAGTAAGAGCTACCCCACCAACTCTTCTGTCTTCTTAGTTAAAATAAAACCTAGGAACTGAAAATTACCTAGGTCCCTTAGCCTGAGTTACTGAGAGGATAAAAGTTCTGCAAAGAAAAATAAACTGTTTAAAGGGAGAGAAAATTTGAAAGGGGTAAAATGATTATATTAATTTGACTTTTTCTAATTGATATGATGGTAACTCATGTATAACAGCAAAGATTCTGTGAGCAATGATGGAAGACCAGTTCTATGTTTCTGGGTTAAAACAGAAGATGTAGATTTGAGATATTATGAGAATTTTGAGAATTCAAATTTATGTGATAATCAAGCTGTTCAAATAACTCAGTTGTCCCAGAAAGACAGAGACATTGGGGGTGTTCACAATTAAATGAATGCAAAGCAAGGTAAGCCAGAAAAGGAAAAGAAAGGAGACATGGCTAATATGTGCTATGAGTCGGGCTTTGCCCTGGGTGTTTCGCCACCATTATTTCATTTAATCTTTCCAGATTTTTTATGTAATAAATAATTTTACAGATTTTATAGAAAAAATGGCTTCATGAGATTGAGTGACTTGATCCAGCTCTAATGACTAAAAGGTAGAAAATCAGAAGGAGAAAGGGAAAGTAAAGGGGAATGGGAAGAATATCATGCCAGGAAGGTAAAGAAAAAGAGTTTAAAAAGGGATTAGGGGAGAAGGAGTTCATGGTGTCAAATGCCTAAAAGGCTGTTGAGACTTAGATCTGAGTAATGGCTAGTGAGAAAGCTTAAAATGAAAGAGTAAAATTCAGTTGTTTGTTCATTTGCTTTGAGACTTATTGTCTAGACTCCAGAGATTTTATTAAATTCTCAAAGCTGTTTCCTTGGTTTGGCCTACATTTTACAATCTCCCTAAACACTTCCTTCTTTTCTGTTTTTATATTTCCTGGAATTTGAGTGAGAATTCTGTATGACTCTTAAACACAGGAATCAAAGGCATATGATATTCAGTTATCTAAATTAGAGACTCCACTACTAATTATAATCTATACGAGATTAGGATGCTGAAATGGGGCTGAATCAGAAGACAATATGATACTTATTACAATAAAATATAGTATATGGATCACTCTATAAAAGATACGACATGGATTTGGAACATCACGTTACTTACTTCTGTATTCTGACATGGGAAACACAATAGTCAATAAATTAGTAAGGTTTGTCAAGCCAGACTTATCACCATATCAAAACAGCCCTAGTGAGATCAAGGAACCCACATGCACTGGTTTTGGGTCTTATTACTAAAACCCTCATGCAATGTCTTATCAACAGGTGATATCAACAACTATATCTAACTCTTGCTATCACTTACCTATGAGTATGCTCCTCGTTCAATTTCACTTTTTTCCACATTATTTCTCTCTCAATTCATGATTATTTCAGCACACAAAATGCTTACTTATTAAGTAACTGTTATCTCTCAGTGATTTTGTCCTTCATCTCACAGCCGTGGTCCTACCCTAGAATTGTCATTTACCGGCATATCCATAATCTTAAAATCATGAATCCATTCCTTAGACCATCACCTCCTATACTGGCAGCTCACTCCCTCTCTTACTCCATCCCAATCACTGAATCTACGCACATAACCAATGCATTGATTCGATCACCTTTCACAGTTCCCTCACCCTGTTAATTTTTGCTCTATCCTTTTTTCCTATCTTAAAATCCAAGGTCAATGCAAATAATCTTTACACTTCTGTTGTTCTATCTCACTTACCTTAAAAGAGCCCAACCCTATTTAAATTCAATTCCATCTACCAGTTTTCTGCACGCATTCAGTTAAATGGAGCTGGAGAAAGCACACAGCCACACTGACTGGCCTTGAGTCATATTTATGAGCACAAACCTCACGTGAGCTTCCTATGACACCTGACTGTCATTCATACTGTACTTTCCTCATGTACTAATGCCCTAAAATACTTTCCACACAGATGACAATCCCACACCTTCTGGTCTGTCCTCAAACCTCTGACACTTCACTGTCCATCCTGACTCTCAGCAGAAAATAGTTCTCTATTTCATGAAGGAGAATTAGGAAAGCAATCAAAAGAGAACTTTTACAGAATCTACCTCTTAGCTACAAGCATTTGTACACATAGATGTCTGTTTCCATAAATGAAGTATTTATGCTTTTATCTAAAGTTATCTTCTTTCATGTATTATATTCTCACTGACTTAAGGACAACACTTGAACAATGTTTTCCTTTCTTAACATGCTCATCAAACTTTCCTTGTCTACCGGATTCATCCCATTAGTATATAGGCATGCTATTAATTATCCTATATGAAATACATTAGACAACAATGACAACAACAAGAACAACAAATTTCCTACTCATTTTTCTCTTTGCATTAAAGTTCTTCAAAAAAGTAGCTGGAACTAATATACAAATTCCTTATCTTGTATTTTTTCTTAAACTCACTTTAATCGGGCATTTAGTTTTACCATTCCATTGGAACTTCTCTTTAAAATATCACCAATGGCCTCCACTTTGCTAACTCCCATGACAAATTTTCTGTCCTCACTATGTTTTACCAATCGAAAGCATTGTACATAATTGATCTCTAAGATACTATATTGTGTGGATTTTTTTTTCTGTATTTCATTACTCACTTATTTCTAGTCTCCTTTGCTGGATCTTCATCTCCTTCATCTGTTAATGGTGTAATTACTCAGATCTCAATCCTTTCTCTTGAACTCCAGACTCATGTATCTGACTGCTACTAAACACTGTCACCTGGCTGTGTAATAAAAACCTCAAGTTTAACATATCGTAAAGGAATAACCAATCTTCTCTCAAAATGTACTCCACCATTTTCCTGTTCATCACAGTTGCTGACAACATCGGACATCATTCTGTTTCAACATACTTATTATCTTTCATGACTTTTCTCTTCATATTCCATATCACATCTGTTAGAAACCTTGTTGAATGTTGTTTCAAAATATATTTAGCATTCAACCATTTACCACAGGGACTACCACAAGTTGTAAGGGAAGTGGATATTCAGTTGAGGACATTGACTATTGAGAAAAATCAGATTTCATTTGGCTACTGGTAATGTTTAGTTACTGGTAATGTTTAGTATTAACCCACCATTGAATGCACAGAGAAGCTGATGAAAAGCAGGTGCCACTTGACCAATTGTAACCTCAAGTTGTCAGGTCCTGCCTAGTACTCCTTAACACATGGCACAGGAGCAGGAATTCTAAGGGAAGAGAAGCCACACATTATTAAGGGCTTTTGGTTTGTTTGTTTAAATTTTTTTTAAATAGAGATGGGGTTTTCCTATGTCGCCCAGGTTGGTTTTGAACTCCTGGGCTCAAGCGATCCTCCCATCTCAGCCTCCCAACGTGCTGGGATTACAGGCATGAGTCACCATGCCCTGCCTAACAGCTTTTTAATAGTACTCTGTTACTGAATTCACCAGTGACGTATGGCTCAATGAATATCCTGAGCTTTGATCAATTAGACTAGTAATTCCTTTCTCTTAGTGATTTGCTAAGAAGGAAATCAAACTATGTGGAAATTCTTGATATAGAGAAGTATAACCCTTTCCTATTATACATTTCCCTTAAAATAAAAAAATTGAACACATTTATCTTTCCTTTAGTCCATCCTCAAAATAAAACTCTTCCTTTCCTCTCTCCTTGATTACCATCCCCAAAGCTACTAAATGACAAAAGGGTTTCATCTGACCTCACTCATTGTATGTTATACTGCATACAGTTTTTAACCGACATAAAAACTACAGAAACAGGCAAAATTCCTAAGTATGAAGTTGTAGAAATTTTTATAATGTAAGGGTATCTGTGAAACAACCACTCAGAGGTAACCACTATTCTGATTTCTTTCATCATAGACTGCTTTATCTAATTTGAAATTTATATGAATTTATTCATGAAGTATGTTCTACTTTGCATCTAATTTATTTTTTGATATTCATCTGTATTGTGTGCAAAGGTGGCTTGTTAAGTCTCATTAGCTTTATATTATTTAGTTAAATGCATATGCTGCAACTAATTTTTTTTATTGTGCTACTGATGAACATTTGATTATTTCCCAGTTTTTGGTTCTTTTGAATGGTACTGCTATGAGCATTTTAATATGTGCCTTTTGGTGAACATGTGAATACATTTCTGTTGAGAATACGCTTGAGTGGAAGCGCTGATTATGGGACAGGTCCATGCTCCGTTTTAGTGATATAACAAAGAGTTTTCCAAACTTGTATCAATGTATATTCTCTTCAGAGAAGTATGACAATTTCAGTCAACTCACACACTTAGAAATACTTAGCGTTATAAGTTTTTACATTTTTCAAAAATTATTGTATCCATTCTGGTGATGATGAGTGATATCATATATGCTTTTATTTGCCTTCCCTTGATAATTAATGAGGCTTTCATAAGTCATCTTTATGATGCATTTCCTATTAGAGCATTTTAAAATTAAACATTTGCTTTCATCTTTTCTTGCTTTGTAGATTTTTTCTGTATTCTAGATACAAATTCTTTGTGAATATATGTAATTCATGTAATGTCTGTGTCTCTGTGGTTTGCCTTTTTATACTTTCATTTCATATCTTGTGTGTGTGTGTATGTGTGTGTGTTTAGACAGGGGCCACACTCTATCGCTTAGGTTGGTCTTGAACTCCTGAGCTCAAGCAATCTTTCTATATTGGCCTCACAAAGTGCTGGGATTACAGGCATGAACTACTGTGCCTGTCCCCTGTATCTTTAAATGAACTGAAATTTACAAATTTAAGAAAGTCGAATTTTTCTCTTTTCTTTCATAATTTTTGTTACCATTTACTAGTTTAAAAAACATTTGCATACCTCGGTTACAATAATAGTTTTCTACTTATTGCTAAGATTGAATCTTAATTGTTTTACCACGCACATGTCGATGTCAATTCACCCATTGTCCATTTTGTGTGTTATGTAAGGTAAGGGTCAAGATGTTTTTATAAAATATGATATTCAATACCCACAATTATTTTTTAATGAGACCATCATATGCCACTGAATTCAGATGCATCATTTTTATAAGTAAATTAATAAGTTACATAGAATTATAATCTTTGGACTCTTCTCCAATGTTTTATGTGTATATTGATGAGCCAATAGTCATATCATATAAATTAGGGTATATTTCTAACACTGGGAATGTGTCTTCCAACTCAATTCTTAAAGTTTATAATTTTGGCTCTTCTCTAGTTTTTGAATTTCCATGTAAGTGTAAATTATCTTCTGAATATTCACAAGTAAATGCTGGTAGAATATTTTATCTGGATTGCATTGAATATATTGATCAATCTGAAGAGAATAGAGTTCTCCAATCATTAACATATTGTATCTATTTATTTAGACAGTCTTTAATTTTTTCATTGCAGTGTTCAGTGGTATATTAATACAGTGCTTACATTTCTTTCATGAGATTTATTCTAAGAAATTTGATGTAATCTGTGCTATTGCAAGTCTTCGTTTATGTTTATTTTGAATTATTTTTGGTGGTAAATGGAAATTATATTATTCTTTTATGTTACATCAAAAGATCCTATTATGTTCACTTATCAATACTTATTAATTCTCAAAGCATGTTTATAGATTCTTTAGATTTTTCTACATATGAAAATCATGATATCCTTAAATACAGTTTTTGTACTTTGGTTCCAAACTTTTAACATTTCATTTTTTTTTTACTTGACTTTAGGAAAATGATCAGTAGAAAAAGGATAGTAAACAATATTTACATTCTTGACTCCAGTGGGAAACGCTTTTATGTATTTCAATATTTCACCACAAAGTATAGTGCTAGTTCCTTTTCAATTTTTTTTAAACTGTCAGATTAAGTAAGTCTCTTTCTATTTCAAGATTGCCAAGTGGGTTTTGTTGTTATTTTAATTACTAAGAGGATTTTAATGATCTCAAATTCTTCAATTACATAAAAAATGATATATGGCTTTTCCCCTTTTTAATTAATTTGTTGAATTACAATGATGAATTTTCAAAAGTTATATATGTTTTCTTTAATAAAATAAATCTCACTTTGTATGATATATCTTTTTGTATGTAACTGAATTCAATTTTGTAATATGTTACTTTGGAATTCTCATGTTGTTTACAAAGATACTGCCTTTAATTTTTCTTGCTTACACTGCCTTTGTCAGGTTTAGATACAAGATTATGTTGACTTCATAAAATGAGTTAAATATTTTCACTCTCCTTTAATTTTCTGAAAAAGATGTAAATTTGCTATCATTATTTCTTTTAATATTGGGAAAAATCCAACAGACAAGTAATCTGATCAGGCAGGAAGATTTTGTGGTGTGGTTTGTATTTAAGATATAATTTACTTGACAGATTTAAGAATTTTTAGATCTTCTATTTCTTCTTGTGTCAGTTTTACTAATTTTGTTCTTTTCCAAAAATTTCTTCCTTTCATCAATTCTGTAAAATATATTGTTATAAAAAATTTTATAATATCTGATTTTAAGTTTATGAAGGATTTATAACCTTCTTTAACTTCTAATATTAGCAATTCATTAGTTCTATTTGCTTTATTAATTTATTGAGAGATTTGTGAAATTTATGAATTCTTTCAATGAAGTTTTTGCTCTCTTGCGTTTCTTAGTTTCTTTATTCTGCATACACTTTATTTCACTGATACTGATTTCTGCTCTTATATTGACAACTAGAACTTTCTTCCTTTTACTTAGACACACTGTAAATTCACAAATGAAATATGAAATTTATTTTTAAATGAATAATGTTTAGAGAACAAACTTTTATAATTCCATTTATTTAGAATTTACTGAGGCTAGTTTTATGAGTCAGCATATGGTTTGTTTTTGCGCACTTAAAAAGAATCAGTATTCTACAGCTGTTGAGTACAGTGTATCATATCACTTAGTTCAATTTGGTTTCCTGAATTTTACAAATCTTTTTAAGGCTTACTGTTTTCAAATTTTAAGCAGTTCTTATTCCTTATTTTTAATTCTGTTCATTCTTTCTATACACATATTTCAAATAAATACTGAATAGTTACAATTTCGTGTTGAATTAGCATGTTATAATTATAAAATGGTCACTTAATCATCAGTAATACTTCTTTACTTAAAGCATCTTTTGTCTGTGAAGTAGGAGGTTTTGACTGAGACACGTTACTCCATCATAGTGGGAACTAGAACTCTAATGCATACATGTATCTCTTCTACATATTTCTTAAGTATTGATGATTGATATGCTTTCCTTTTCACTTAGCATATTGAGTTTTTTAATCATATCTAGCATATCATTGCAATATTCTTTTAAATTGTTATCAATTTATCTCCCTTCAAAAATTTTCTATGTAGCTTTGCAATCACATTTTTAAAATAAACATCTTATTTTTCTCCCCAGCTTAAAATCCATCTTTGAAATGCATTACTCTTATAATAAAATTAAAATCCATAGTAGAATCTATAGGACACTCAGTATCTAACTACCCTGCTTGATCTTTTAAACTCATCTCCTAGTAACACCCTATTTTAGCACTTCATTCCAAACACAGTGAGTGAATTCCATCATGATCTATCAGGTTTCCAAGGTTTCACATGTAATGTACAATGAGAATTATAATATCCTTCCTAGACAACTCACTCCAATTGGCTTGATGAATGAATTCTTATTTCCTACAGTGCTCAAAAATCAATCTCTTAAAAAAAATTCTTGACTCTTTTCATATCTAGCTCCCATCCAATTTCTCAAATTGAGTTGGCAACTTTTTCTCTCTTCTCCACTTGGCACCTTATTGATACATCTATCACAGCACTTATTCCATACAACAATCATTTATTTATATGTCTGCACTTCCAACTAGACCAAGCCTCTCAAGGAAAAATATTATGTATGTATTTGTTTAATGTTTGAATGATATTCAACTAGAACATATTCTGGGACTCTATAAACATTTTAAGACAAATTAAGAGAGAACTCTCACTGTGTTTTACCAATAAGCTTCTTAAAATGATTAGACAGAATTGCATATTTCTGTCCCTTCAGTATGGACAGGCATTCAGTATGGACAAAAGCAGATTTGATTTCTGTATTTTCCATCAATTAGGTAGCAATGTAATATTGAGCTAGTAACTTAACCTATTTTTTCTTACTCTCTCATAGGTTGAATTCTGTCCACACAAAATTTATGAGTGAAACACATTACTCCATCATACAGGGAAATAGAAATCTAATGCATATATTTCTATCTTCTACATGTTTCTTAAACATTGATAATTGATATGCTTATCTTTTCACTTATCTACTTGAGATTTTTAAAATACTTATTACACTGGGTGCGGTGGCTTACGCCTGTAATCCCAGCACTTTGGGAGGCTGAGTCGGGCAGATCACGGGGTCAAGAGATCCAGGCCATCCTGGCCAACATGGTGAAACCCCATCTCTACTGAAAATACAAAATTAGTTGGGCATGATGGTGTGCACCTGTAGTCCCAGCTAATTGGGAGGCTGAGGCAGGAGAATTGCTTGAACCCGGGAGGCGGAGGTTGCAGTGAGCTGAGATCACGCCACTGCACTCCAGCCTGGTGACAGAGCAAGACTCCATCTCAAAAAAAATAAATAAAATAAAATAAAATACTTACTACTAGTCCCTCAGAATGTGATTGTAATCAAATTTAGGGCCTTTAAAGGAGGTAATTAAGGTTAAATGAGACCACTGTTGTGGGCCCTAATCCAATATAACTGATGTCTTTATAAGAAGAGGAGACTAATTCACAGACAACAGAGGAAACAGACAACAGAGACATAGACAACAGAGGAAACACCAGATGTAGATAAAGGGAAAATATGGCCAATTACAAGCCAAAGAGAGAGGCCTCAGAATGAAACCATCATTGCCAACAGCCTAGGTCTTGGCTAATAGCATCCAGAGCTGTGAGAAAATAAATTTCTGTTGTCTAAGTCATCCAGTCTTTGGTATTTGTTATGTCAGTAGCACTAGTGAACTAACACAATCTTGCATGAATTTGGTGATGGCTGAATAAGATAAAATATGTAACTTTGTTTGGAAATTTCTAACATGTGATGTTACTCACATTCTTAAATAAGTACAGTTATGTGTCACATAATAATATTGCATTCAACAATGAGCAGCATATATGATAGTGGCCCCATATAATTATAATATATTTTTACTATACCTTTTTCTGTTTAGATATGTTTAGAGGCACACATATTTATCATCATGTTATAATTACCTACAGTATTCAGTACAGCAACATGCTGTACAGGTTGGCAACCTAGGAGCAATAGGATATACCATATAGCCTAAATGTGTGGTAGGCTATGACATCTAGGTTTTTGTTAGTACACTCTTTGATGTTCCCATGACTACGAAATCGCCTAATGATGCATTTCTCAGGATATAGCTGCATTGATAAGCAATGGTTGGCTGTTTTCTAAATTTTACTATCAGCCCCCCAAAAGTTAACTTCTCTGTCATTTTTAAATACTTTTAATTTGGGAACAATTATAGATTTACAGAGTCGTTGAAAAGATAGGACAGAGTTTCTGTATATCCCACTCTCAGTTGATTTTTTACTAACATCTTACATGAAGAGTGTGCATTTGACGCAATTAATAAAATAACATTAGTGCACTATTATTCATTAATCTCCATTTTTAATACACCTAAAAATTTCTCTTATAATTTTATGTATATTATTTATTGATATATATATATAATCTCTCTATAATATTACATATATATAATATTTATCCATCCCCTCAGGTTCCACTTGTAAGCTACTAAAATTAAAAACTCTTTGAACACTGAAGTCTGGAATCTTTACTTAGAAAAAAGCTCATTAAATGATTCAGAGATAGTCATGTCTGTTAACCCTTACTTTAGGCATAGCTATAATAATGCCAGTGTCAAATAAGGTTACTTCAACCTTTCCCTTATCCACAGATTATGAATTTGCAGTAGCCCCTCAAGAATTCTATGATTTATTTTTTCCTAGTGACCTCTGGTCCCAAGGGCCTCTTTTCTCTGAATTAACTCTGTTTAATGGGATCTTATCATTCCACACGTGTTGTCACTGTTTCTTACTGCATGAAAACAGATGTGAAATGCAGTCCTTTTCATTCTTTTACAAATACATGCACATGCATAAAAACACATATTAATAGCAAATATTGGATTATGTATTAAATTTAATATTAAATAGCTATATAATAAAGACACAAAAACAAATAACTTAGAAATGAATATTTGACAAGTTTCTTTAAAAAGCAACCACTATTTTTTCTCATCCATTTTGCAATCTGTTCTGTGATCTCTTGCAAGTTTTTTAGGATTTTTTTACATTCTCCTGTCAAACTTCCTTCCCAGAAAGAAAAAATAAATTACTTTATATTTTGTTTGTGAACTTACAATATGTCATAGAAATGTATTCTATAAAAAATCTATCCACAGTTGATATTGTTCCAAGTCAATAGTAGGCAATATGGTTTGGCTCTGTGTCCCCACCCAAATCTCATGTTCAACTGTGGTCCTGAGTGTTGGAGGTGGGGCCTGGTGGGTGATTGGGTAATAGGGGTGGTTTCTGATGGTTTAACACCATCCTCCTATTGGTGTCTTGTGAGTCCTTACAAGATCTGGTTGTTTAAAAGTGTGTAGCACTGCCCCCTTTGCTTTCTTTTCCTCTTGCTTCAGCCCTGTAGGACGTGCCAGCTTCCCCTCCACCTTCTGCCATGATTGTAAGTTTCCTGAGGCCTCCACAGCTGTGCTTCCAGTACAGCTTGTGGAACGAAAAGCCAATTAAACCATGTTTCTTATAAATTACCCAGTGATATAGTTATGCTGTATCCCCACCCAAATCTCACCTTGAACTGTAGCTCCCATAGTCTCTAAGTATCATGAGAGGGACCCAGTGGGAGGCAATTAAATCATGGTGCTGAGTTTTCCCCATGCTGTTCCTGTGACAGTGAATAAATCTCATGAGATCTGATGGTTTTATAAATGGAAGTTCCTCTGCACACGCTCCCTCACCTGCCACCATGTAAGATGTGCCTTTGTTCCTCTTTCACCTTCCACCAGGATTGTGAGGCCTCCCCAGCCATGTGGAAACTGTAAGTCCATTAAACCTCTTCCTTTTATAAATTAGTCAGTCTGGGGTATGTCCTTATAGCAGTGTGAGAACAGACTAATACATGTAGTCCTTTATATTATATGGGTACAAAAGTAATTGCAGTTTTTACCATTAAAAGTAAGCAATGTGAGAACAGATTAATACACTGGGCATGCTAGAGAGTTAGTACCATGGAAGCTGTCAAAGAGCTTACTGGTTGTGCATGTCAAATTAGGGACTTTTATATACATATTCCTTTTTAACCTTCATGAAAACACACTGGTGTGTGTTTTCACTGTATTCTCTCATTGTACAGAGGAAACTGAGGTACCAATAGTTCAAACTACATTGAAATGCACAGTTTGTTAAAAGTGTAGAAGCAGAAGTTGAATTCAAATACAGACTCCAAAACCTTGATTATTTTTACATCAACAGTCCGCTTCTACAGCTAGAGCCTTAAAGTGTTCCTTCTAATGCTCCTTTCCACCACCAATTGTGCTCCAGCCTACTGAGAAGACAAATAGAGTGGTAAATTTTCCAGGAAAGCTGCAGCAATCTGCAGAGTGGCAGGAATTCAAGTTGGTGAAGTTAAAGGTAATAGCCAATTGAATGTTGGTTGCCCTTTTGACAGATGTACCAGCTACTAGCATTAAATCATCTCTATATTTGGCAGGTGCACCAGCTACTGGTGTTAACACCATCCAAAATAGGGTTAATTGGTGGAGCTAGATTAAAAATAAGACAGATCATCTAATTTCACTACAATTGCTTAGTCAGTTACCCAGTGGTTGCCATATGCCATCTAAATTAGTACTTTTACATTTACAAACAATATAGTTTCTCTTTGCAAGGGCCTGTTCTTTATCTTATACTTTTCTTTCTATGTAACTGATTTAATAATTTGATTTATACTCTGTGATCTTTAGTAACAAACCCAACACAGATTAATAAGCTCCAGACAATCAAAGGCTACATAATTTTAAATAGATCTGAAAAAACCTACACTTCGTTATATTATTAACAATACTGAAGAGAGTTAAGTCTAACTACTTTGTTTTACATTTGTCTCATCCTAAAGCTGGTGAATACTATTATCATGCAAATGCAGAAGCAGTTAATTTGTTTACATGTGAAGCAAAAATTAGATATACTTGGGAGATTTTCCTCATACAACTCTTCACTTCAAAATAAATAGTTTTTAAAGTATTTTCCATTATAGAAACAATAATAAAGTGTCTATAAAAATAGTTGTTCATAGTAACAAAATGGAAAAATGTGAAATTTTTTTTTTCTTTTTGCTCATTCTTACTTCTATAATTTTCATAGCCCCTCACTCTTTATAGTATATAAGAGAGGTCGACATTTTTTCTCCAAATCATATGTGATGATTACGTTAGGTAAGCAATCTGATCACAGAATCTCTACACCAACACAATTATAAAGTACTTAGTAAAATGACACTCAACAAACCTTGAGATTATTTGACTTGTTTTTCTCTTTAATTAAAATGAAGAACTGAGAAAACTATATAATTTCAAGCAATAAATTAAAGAACTATATTTAAAATTCTAGGTCTAAAGAGTCCATTTATTTCTGTTTAGATTTTCTTCCTTTCATCCTCTGTTGTGGTACCTATTTAGGTTCTTAAATAAAACAGGAAGTTATAATTTTTCTACATTTTATAAGATGTGGAACTGTTAACAAAAAACCTTCTCCCCTGAAGTTGTTTCTTGCATTTTACTATGTTTTAAGATAATTATCCCAACAACACAGATCAAATTCAAAGGAACAGTGAGATATTTTCACACATGTGATTTCAACACTCATTATTTAGATAGCCTTTCTTCTTTTCTAATACTGGCCATGGAGCCGATATTTTCATTTTAACAGTGAAGCCAGTTATTCAATTTCACTTATATTTAATGGATAAACCTAGGGTTTTATTTTTTTGCTAACAAAGGCAAGGATGGGAAGTGATCTTGGGAATGGGTGACAGTTGACAGCTTCTACAAACAGCCATCCTGCTTCTGCAGCTGGTGACAATGCTTAATATTGCAGCTCCATAGACTTGTACTGGCTGGGGGCCAGGCCTCTTGTTGGAATTCAAAGAACCCATCTGGATAAAGCTCCCCTGACACTGACCTGAATTGAGATCACAGACTGGCATAGTCCTTCAGATTCTAGGTATTGTGTACCTTTTATCAAGGGCAGGCCATGACACTGACAAAAGAAGAAAACATATATTCTCCATATTGACAGATTTTTCCCCACTTTTATAGATGTAAAGCAAGATATAGAAATAAAAATAAAACAGCAGAAAGACAGAAAGACCCTTTATGTCTTGAGTATAAAATATGTTTATGTGTATATTTTACAGTTATGTTTGTGAAGCGATGTTTTTCACATACTTTCATTTAAGTTGGGGATTTAAAGAGCGTTATGTTAGCGAATGAGGTGCTTACATGAGAAAAAATTAATGTTTCGCAGTTTAAGCATTATTCTTCATGGGTGAGTATCAGCTTTAGAGAGACAGGTGAAAAGTTAGAAAATATGACTATGTATTTCATTTTGTTTCATAGCAAAATAATTAACTTTTTCTGTGCTTTATTCCTCTGCCTTAAATCAGGCAAGGAAAAGTTTCAAAAGACTTTTTGAGCCAAACCTTGGTAAGCAGCTCTCCAAGCTGTAAAAGTCACTATAGCCTGCCTGTGAGCACCATTATAGGTCTCCCAGACTCCATGAATCGTGCCCTGGAAGCCTTCTTACATGACATAACATCATGACTCGAAACACAATCTTCTCACAGACAACCATAATTAGACAAAAACATTCTGAATCATAGCAAGAGGCTGTTAGCTCTCATCACAGAAAGTAACAACACTCATCCAGTGTACCTCCCTACTGACCTTAGTCACTGCCTGTAGCAGCCAAGATAGGCTAGATTACATGCTAGTACCAAATAAATTCAAACAGCCTGTGGCTTGCATCAACAGATACGTATCCCTTACTCATACTATATGGACATTTTAGAACCAGTGTTACCTGAGTCCAGGTTTTTCTCCACTGGAACCCAGATAATGAAGCAGGGTCAGTATGAAACATTGCTGGTTATTGTAACAGGAAAAATAATGTATGGGGAGATATAATCTTGTTCTAAAAGCTTTTGCTCAAAAATAATATGTCACTTTTGCTTACATTCTATTGACCAAAGCAAGTCACATAAATCCCCAGTTAACATTTTCTAGGTGGTACCAAAACGAAACAAAAAAAAGCAAATATGTAAGCCATTTCTTTTTAAAGTTGAGAGTGTTTCTAGACTAGCAATGTACCCAGATGCCAGAAAGAAGCAAATGCAAACTATTTCCAGAGGATAAACCTTCATTTTAGGTCTCAAATAACTCAAGACTACAAATAATTCTTCAAGAGAAATTCTCAGTGCACAATCAGAAATGACCAAACACAAAATAAAAGCTGAGAATAAGAAACAAAAGCAAACAAACAAAAAAACTAGTGTAAATATATCCTATAAGACTTCAGATATTGAAATAATCACAATAATGTAAAGAATACAAAATAATTAAGCTTACAATATTTGAGAACTATTAGTTTAAAGCATCTTCAGGAAACAGTAACATGCTACTTTTACAACTTTAAGAAGAAAAAATTGGAAAAAAAGGAAAGTGCAAAAAAAAATTGCTACATTTATTTACAATAAAACTAACAAATTAGGGATAGAAGGAAATTCACTTAACCTGAAAAAGAGTGTCTTCAAAATCCTTAAACAAATTGCTTTTTATATGTAGATACATTGAAAACTTTCTCTTTAAGGTAAGAAATAAAGAAAAGTTGCTGATCCATACCACATCTATTAAACAATGTACTAGATGTTTTAGCCAGCCCATCAAGAAAAGAAAAAGAAGAAAAAAAGTAGATTAGGAAAAAATGAACTGTCATTATTTACAGCTAATATAATATAATTTTCTGTTACAGAAAATCCAATATGTATCAGCAGAAAAAAATTTAGCTTAAAATGCACAATGGCAATTTTTCAAGAAATAAGAACAAAATATAAAAAGTAACTATATTGTTATAATCAAAACAAGTCAATCATAAAAATAGAAAATATTTATTAAAATTAGCCATCACCTTTCTAAAGTACACAGAAATAAATTTAACAAACGTCACAACTGAGAAAAAATTTAATATAGAGAAACATTAAAGAAGCTACAAATTATAGAGAGTATAATTTATTTTCTAAGTATGGAAGACTTACAATTATGTAGTTATTGATTCTCCCCCAAGTTTTATATAGAGGCAATGCAATTTAAATCAAAATCTCAATAGACTTATTTGTGTGGCTTTGACAAGCTGATTCTAAAATTCAAGGACCAGGAATAGCCGTAACTCTTTTTTGTTTGTTTGTTTGTTTGTTTGTTTGTTTTTTGAGACACAGTCTCACTCTGTCACCCAGGCTGGAGTGCAGTGGCGCGATCTTGGCTCACTGCAACCTCCCTGTCTCCTGGGTTCAAGCTATTCTCCTACCTCAGCCTCCCGAGTAGCTGGGATTACAAGCACATGCCAACATGCCCTGCTAATTTTTGTATTTTTAGTAGACACAGGGTTTTGCCATGTTGGGCAGGCTGGTCTTGAACTCCTGACCTCAAGTTATCTGCCTGCCTCAGCCTCCCAAAGTGTTGAGATTACAGGTCTGAGCCACTGTGCCCAGCCCATAACTCTCTCTTGAAGAAAAAAGAGGTTGGAGAACTTACCCAAATGTATGTAAAAAACATTATAAGGCTATTCTTACTAAAACCAGTGTGTTATCTATGGGGAGATAGCAAATAGCTCAAGGGACAAGACTAGAAGATTCAGAAAACCATACTTAATATATTGACACATGTATTAGTTTCTTAGGGATGTTATTACAAAGTACTATAAACAGAAATCTGTTGTCTCACAGTTCTTGAGATTAGAAGTTTGAAATCAGGTGTTAGCAGGACCTTGTTCACTTTGAAACCAGTAGAGGAGCCCTTCCTTGACTCTTCCTAGCTTCTCATGGTTTGCTGACATTCGTGTTCCTTGTCTTGTAGATGCATCACTCCAATCCTCTGGCTTCATGTGGCATTTTCTTTGTGTATCTCTGTGTCTTCATATGACCATTTTCTTATAGCAATGGTCATATTGAGTTAGGGGTCCATTACTTTTAATGGCAAAAATCACAATTCCTTATGCACCAACCTAGTAGCTTTTTGGATGTGATTTTTATCTAAAGAAATGGATAGTACTTTGATGCATAAGAAACCCATCAACTTGAACTGAGTGATAAAAGTTTAGAATCTTAAAAGGCTTTTGGGTTCTGAAATTTCTATGGGCCAGAAGATGGATCTGGAGGTGACTTTATTGTAAACCTGAACATTTCATATGGAAAAAGAAGGATGACTCACAGGGCAAAAGTGGGAGGCCAGAAATCAGAATAAGGACCCAGGGAGAACAACCCTCAGGTTGGTGGTCTAAGATATCATCAAGGAAATGGCAAGATGGGTCTGGCTGTATTTCAGAATTTCTATGAACCAGTGACTGGACTCTTACTCTCAATTTCCCCCTTCTTTATTGAACACATCCTCTGTGTTTCTCTTGTCCCTGTTTCACCTCTGTGTGTTGGGTATGTAAAAGGATATATGCCTTGTCTCTTTAGTTGTCAGATCTTCAGCTGTAGAAGAGCCATATCTCATGAGCTTCATCCATACCTGGACATAATTTAAATGGTGGGGTCTTGGACTATGATCTTGATTTTGTAATGGGATGAAGCTTTGTGAGAATCTGGAGTATTTGGAATGTCGGACTATTGCAATTCATTTATAATCAGAAAGAAACTGCAATGTATTAATTGTTTCAAATTCTTGGTCACTCTTCCCTCACAGAGTTGGAGTTCATTTTTCTTCTATTTGCCTCAGATGGACTGTGCCTTCTGAACCAATAGACTATGTTCCAAATGATAACATGACTGTTCTGGGTCTAGCTTTTAAGAAGACTAATGACTTTTCCTTTTTTTGTCTTTGAATGCATATGCCTGGGACACTGCCTCTTGGAACCCAGCCCTTTTGTTTTGAGAAGTTCAAGCTATGTGGTAGAGTCACATGCAGGCCTGCCTGCTAGCCAGCACCAACTACCAGCCTTGTAAGTGAGTCTTTGAGCTCCCAGATGACTACAGTCCCAGCTAATAACTTATGGAGCGAAAGAACCAACCAACTTGATCTGGTCAGCTCGAGAACCATGAGAGATAATAAAACAGTTGTTACATTAAGCCAGTATGTTTTGGGATGGTTTATTTTGCATTGATAATTTAAATAGTTTAGGATATGATCAAATAGAACTGTTATTCTTGCTATTGTAATTGTAGCAGAAATAATGCTTAAGAAAACTCTGCTATTTAACGCAATATATCTATCCTATTGACATAATATGTAATCTCCTCATTAATTTTTTCCAAGTTTATGATTCAAAAATCTACAGAAATTTATAGTACTATAAATATATTATTTTTCAAAAGATGATTATATATTAATTCTTTCCATTTCAATAAACTGATTTGGTTTTCAAGGTAAAAAGTGAAAAAATAAGGATTGAGAAAAAAAATATGAACATTCAGTTTTTTGGTGAAGAAAGAATTCTGGTAAAGTTTTGTTTGTTTGTTTGTCTGTTTTTTCCCAAGACAGAGTCTCACTCTGTCGCCCAGGCTGGAGTGCAGTGGTGCAATCTCGGTTCACTGCAACCTCCGCCTCCCGGGTACAAGAAATTCTCCTGCCTCAGCCTCCTGAGTAGCTAAGATTACAGGTGTGTGCCACCATGCCCTGCTAATTTTTGTATTTTTGGTAGAGACAGGATTTCACCATGTTGGCAGATTAGTCTCCAGTTCCTGACCTCGCGATCTGCCCACCTCAGCCTCCCAAAGTGCTGGGATTACAGGTGTGAGCCACTGTGCCAGGCCAATTCTGGTAATTTTACAGTACAGAAAATTGTGAAGTAATATTGCATCCAGACTTATTCCATTTCTGCTGAATTTAATGTTTGTGAAGATTGCCCTACACATTTGAACCATTTTTCTACTATATTTTCATAACTTGTAATGATAATACTCTCATTCCACATTATATATTTGTTTCTATACAAAGGTCCTTCACAAGCCTCAAATTTTTGGACACTTTTGATGACTTGTGATGTGTTGGGGGGCAAGGCAACCACAGATAACAAACACCCTGCAATTGTGGATAAGATCCTTCACAACAGAAAGGTGTCCAAACACATACACCAGCAACCCTGCTGAGAAACATTGTGCTGATATGCAAGGTTAGAAATAGTATAGACGATGCAGGCCATAAGGCAGGATAAATGGCGAGAAACTCTCTGGGTAGATCAATCCTTAGGTGTCCCTAAATTATACCTTCCTACATGTTTTAAGTCTGTCGCTATGTAGCTTAATAAAACATAAAATAAAATTTATATAGGCATAAGTACCCTCTACCTGATTTAATTTCCCAATTGTTAATGGTAATTCAAGAAAAATATTAAAATACACCAAAAGAAAGTTGTTAGAAGGCCCTTGATGTTCACTCATTGCATAAGCTTCCACCCAATAGTGATTCTCAACCTTGGAAGCATGTTGAATCATTCTGAGTGCTTAAAGTGCCAATGCCCAGCACTTAGTCCAGACCATTTAAACCAGCATCTTGCAGATGGAGCCCAAGCACACATATTTTTAAAAGCCACCCCAATGTAATTTCTATGTATAGGCAAGCCTGAGAACAACTATTAAAATTTCATGGCTCCTGCTTTCACTTATACATTAATTAAGAATGGAAGAAACAGGTTTTAATTAGAATTAGATAAATAATACTACAAACTGAGTTATGGAAAAAACATGCTACAACGAGATAAGTCTCAGCACTTGCCTTTGAAAGAACAATTGTGAAGTATTTTGCCCCATCCCAAACCCAACCGTGATATTATATTTGTACAGAAAACTTACTGGTTCCAAAACTGGATTGAACTCACTTCTCCTGGGTCTCTAGCTTGCTAAATGAGACCTGTCAACCTCTGTAATCATGTTAGCCAATTCCTTATAAATCTCTTTTTATTTTTTCCTCTCTCTTCTCTCTCTCTCTCTCTCTGTCTCTCTCTCCGTCTCTCTCTCTCTCTGTCATTCTCGCTCTTGCTCTCACTCTGTCTCACTCTCTCAGGTCTGTTTCTTTGGAGAACCCAGACTAATACAATTCTAAGATTGAAAAAATATAGCTGCATTTAGGAAAACAAAACATGAAAAAGGAAACAAAAAAAAAAAAGGAAAATACAAACCACCCCCCAATACTAAAGACAAAAATACCAAATAAATAATAAAATTATAAAAAATCATCCTATTTTGCAAGTTAATTCAAATTGTGATGCAAGCAGTAATGATATATATGCTTTAAATTGTTTCATGCAATGAAAAAGATGAAAAGCTTTAACTTTTTTAAATCAAACATCAATATAAAATCAGTCTGAAACCAAAATTTGCACACAAGTGAAAACTACCTAACTAATCTGAGTTTGGGATATTGATGTAGAAAAACAAAATAAAATTTAAGAACTAATTTAGCATTCCCTATTTTATTTGTATAATAGCACTTTATCTCTCTTTTTTTCTTTCTTCCCATTGTTCCTTCCTCTCTCCTTTCTCGTTTCTTTTGGTTCAGTCTTGACAGAGATATTTCTATTTCATTTATCTTTCTCAAGAGTTGACTATTATGCAAATTAAAATTTGCAAGATATATAGAGTTATAAGGTAAGCCTTTTGATTTCCTTGCAAATGATAAAGCCCGTTCAAACTTTTATATAGTAATGAAATAAATTAACCAGTTCAGGACAAAAAATTTCAAGGTATGGTTTAATTCAGAACCTCAAATGAGATCATCAATACTTGTGATCCCATAATTTCTTTGTTTTAAGTTTCACTGCATTGACTTTATATCTAGGATAAATGTGGTGGCTAAAATCAGTTTCATGCTAACAGCACCCTCATTCACCTTCTCGATGTAAACAAACAAACAAGCTAACAAAGTACATGCTCTCCAACAGTCTCTGCAAACCTTTTATGCTATTTCAGTGTCCCTGCTTGGATCCCATACTTGTTGATGTACCAATCACTGAAACACCATGCTATGATTGACTCCATTTGAAATACTAGTCCAGCTCTGGATCCAGACACATAGCTAACTGCATCAGATATACATCCACTAGAAGAAAGTCAGAATTAAAAGAGCTGTGTATGGTAGGATGTTGGTGGTAAAAATTACAAATTTTCTTAGTAGTAGACAAATACAAGCTTTTAATTTAGTTGAGTTTTGAATTTAGTAAATTAATCTCTTAATTTACTTTTTATAAGGATACCGTGTGACTATCATATTGGATTAGAGGCCACTGTTCTCTAGTGTCACCTCACTGTAACTTGACTAATTACATCTGCAACAACTCTATTTCCAAACAAGGTAACATTCTGAAGCATTAGGGCATAGGATTTCAATATATGAATATTTGAGGGAACACAATTCAACCCATAACAGCAACATTCAAATAAATCTTTAAAATTTCCTTAATGCATCTAGTACATTTAAGGAATATGATTAGTTTAGAAATATAGTGAGTGGTCTTAATGTTTGAAAGTAAACATTTTCCAACGGCATCACTCTATACTCTCTAGCTGCCTTCATTTGCATTCTATTAACAGAAATCAGAAAGACACAGTATGTCTCAAACAAAAAAAAGCAACGATTTAAAACTAAATGTTTACTGACTCACCACAGTTAATGAAGTCAGAGAGAAAAGCTAAAGCACTGTTTACTGCCATTAAATAATAATTTGTCTCAACCTTCCATCTGGGAGAGATATATGAGCAGTTTGTTGTTCAGCATGATATTGGAATTTTACAGGCAAGAAAAGTCAGGGAATTATTGAAGAAATTATTTTAAATAGAATATTTTCAAAGTTTTGGATATGATTGCTCAATTAGATTCTTTTTAGGCATTATCTAAAAAAATAGAAAATAATTTCAAAACAACAAAAAGTAAATAAACCCCTTTAAGTAAGTACATATTGGAAAGAATGATGGTATACACTTAGGTAAAACTTTTCAATAACTTTTCATGCCACATTAGTGGCTTTTCATTTAGCTTCAAACACAGCATCCACCTCTTTACCTAACCAACATTAAAGTCTAACCAAGATTAATTCTGATGTTTCCTCACCATCTTACCTCCTGACTTCACTTCATCATGACAACTCAATTACCTTGCATTTTCCTATTTTTACACATATGATTATGATGCCTTTTGCTTAGAGCTTTGCAGCTCAGGTATATCCATTGATTAACTGAACTTAGTTTTTGGTTACCAAACTTAGTAAACACACCTATATTTTCTATTTGCCCACATTCAATTTTAGAAACCTTAACCATACTCACAGAATTATCAAAAGTAATACCTAAAAGCTATATGATATCAGTCTATTTCTTTTAAAAAAAGAACTAGTAACTACTAGAGACTGCTAATTTGAATGACATTTTAAAAACTATTTGAAAAAAATAATAATAATCTTCTCTATTCTGACTTGACTCACTCTACTTTCTTTCATAGGGGTTTATGTTCTAACCACCTGATTTCAAAACGTTTTGAAATAATGTGCTAAAAAAAAATTTGGGAACTTTATTATCCTTTTTTTTAAAAAAAAATGAAAAAACATTTCTATTGATCAATTTAGGCTTTGAAGAGCTTGTTTGTGTTATCTTGATTATTTTAATTTTAGCAACCTATGCTGTTTTTAACCTTCACCTAAGGACATTAATTTATGATATCCTTTTGTGGTATTTTTACAATCAAATATTACATCTTTGCAAATTGCTTGGTCAAGAAAGCAGTTCTCTAATTTTTCTGTTAATTTTCTTATATTTAAATATAAGTAAATTGTGGTTGAAGTTGTTATTTGTATTTTGTTTTATTTCTTTGTTTTTTAAAAAGTCTAGTTCTGCAGGAACCTGGGAAGGAACCACATAAACGACATTTCCCTCCTTGAGTCAGAAATTATTAATATATTAAGCCAGTATATATATTAAATCATATAAATAATAATATATATAATATTATATTATGTTTTGATATTATTAGGGCTTAGGTTAAGTTTTCAAGATAACAGTCAAATCAAAGGTATAGTCAATGCTCATGAAGTATTCATGAAACAGAAGGGGTAGTAATGCCAGAGTAAAGCCATGACATCTAGTTAACTTTTAATTTTAGATACACAATGAATGTCTTTTTTCAAAAAAGTGTGTATCCCTGTAATCCCAGCAATGTGGGAGGCCGAGACGGGCGGATCACGATGTCAGGAGATCCAGACCATCCTGGCTAACGCGGTGAAACCCCGTCTCTACTAAAAAATACAAAAATTAGCTGGGCGTGGTGGCGGAAGCCTGTAGTCCCAGCTACTCAGGAGGCTGAGGCAGGAGAATGGCGTGAACCCGGGAGGCGGAGCTTGCAGTGAGTGGAGATCGCGCCACTGCACTCCAGCCTGGGCGACAGAGCGAGACTGTGTCTCAAAAAAAAAAAAAAAAAAAGTGTATACCATACATTTTTCTGTGCTATATTTGATGCAAATATAATATGGGACACAAAAAGTATTCAGTTAACAAATTTCTGAAATTACTTCACTAAACTGAGTAAGGAAAAATGTTTTTGCACTAAGTAACTTTGGAAATGAAGAGATGTCGCAAAACTCAAGGCAAAAGAAACTTCACATAAGCACCGTGCTTTAGTTGGTAAATTTACTTTTTTATAAGAGCATAGGTTAACAATTCTACTACCACTATATGTGTATGCTGGAACAATTAAATAAATGGATGCTGAATAGTAGGAACCCCTTCTCACTGTAGGAGTGAGAGGTTGCAAGTAAGGGGAGCTGGTTAAAAAAAAGATCAATGTGTAAATATATTTAAGTTGAAGAAATCAGTATAAACTCATGTTCACCTTAATATAGATATAAATGCTTACATAGAGAAGTATTTATGGATATTAATATATGTACATGTACAGATTAATATACACACATATTTATCTTTGCTTTGTTAGGCGAAGAAGCTATAGCAGCAAGGACTTCCCAGAAGCAACAAGCCCATCTGCCTCCCAGATCCTTAGTTCTAATACTATTCTACAACAAAAGAAACTAGGGTTCCTTGTAGAAATGACTGATAGCCTATTCTAGAACTCAGGCAAGAAATATACCTGATGAGCCCACAGCATCTTGTAATGCATGAAGTAAGAAAGTGCTAAACACACAGACACATATACTAATGGGGGTATGTCAAAGGGACATAGGAGCCAACCGAAAGAGTTCCTAATGATCATAGTTGGAACAATTTGCCAAGTAAATTAATTACTGTGAAATTATAACCTAACATATACAATAAATATTGACAAGTCCACACCAATATAAGTGACAGAATGGATAAATAGTATACATGGAGGAGAAGAGACAATTCTCTCTTGTAAAAAAAAAAAATAATGTATTTAGGTACTCTAGCTTTTTACAGTTCTGCAGGTTGGAAGTTCAACAAAGGTCTCACTAGGGAAAATCCAGATGGAGACAGAGCTACATTTCTTTTGGGGAGTTTTAGCGGTGAGTTCTTTTCTATGCCTTTGCCAACTTCTAGAAGCGGCCCACATTATCTTGGCTCATGGCCCCTTTCTGCATCATCAAAGTAGGCAACATTACATCTCAATGACTATTCTTCCATAGTCACAGTTTTTTTCCTGATTCTCTTCCACTTTTAAGGGCCTTTGTAATAAATTGGTCCCACCTGAAAAACTGAAGATGTCCTCCCTATTTTGAGGTCAACTGATTAACAATCTTAATTCCATTTGAACTTTAATTTATCTTGCAATGTTAAATGACTTATTCAGAGATTTTAGGAATTAGGAAATGCAATTACACTCTATGGGAACCTTTATTGGGTCTACGACATCCCTCAAGCAGGTGGGACATAACTCCCCACTCCTTAACTGCATAGTGACTTCCTTCCAAAGAACACAGTGTGGAAATGGGTATAAAAAAGTATGTTGTAGAAGAAATCTGATCTGTATTTCTTCAGCCACATGATAAAAGTTAACACCAACCATGATGTCATGTTGCTGATATGTATCCTTGATTTTATGTGATGTAAATGACACTTTACTCTGTTATCTTCCTCCCAAAAAATACAACCTAGTTTAATTATAAGAAAAACATGAGAGAAATTCCAGTTAAAGGACATGCTACAAAATACCTGGCCAACACTACTCTGAAATGAAAGGTCATCAAAAACAATTTCATGTAACTGTCTAAGAAACAGTTACAGCCAACGGTTCTCCCAAGAAGAAATGATGAGTAAGTTTAATGTAGTATTCTGGCTGGAATCATGAAACAGCAAAGGATATTAAGAAAAAAAAACCTGAGGAAATCTGAAATTAGTATGGACTTCAGTTAATAATAGTGTGTCAATATTCGTTCATTAATTATAATAAATGTATCACACTAATGTAAGATGTTAACAATAGGGGAAACTTAGTGTGGGTATTTGAGACCTCTTTGAACTATCTTCATAACTTTTCACTAAACTAAAATTGTTCTAAAAATTAAAAAATAATTCAGTGACATAGAAAGCTATAAATGCCCTGCTGTGAAACCTAAGAAAAGCACCTAACCCAAACTGAAAAGGTCACAAGCATCATCTTTTTTTTTCCAGTGGATTTAGCTAATAAACATAAACATATGGAATGAAAAGAAATGAACAATGTCGATCCTGATTCTCCTCCAGACAAATGGAATGTTGACTCATTGGAAGGCATGAATGAATTAAACCAGGGCAACCTAAACAATAGCAAATGAGACAGAACTGGGAAAGAGAATGGTTCAGTGAGAGAGTGTTAAGTGAAAGGTAAAAGAGTAGGATGAAACGAGGTCATGTAGGACATGATATTAAGCATTTTCTATTCCATTTTATCAGGGAAGACAATATATTTTCTATTTTAAAAATCCCTCAAAATGACAGCCTCTTTGATAAGCTTGTAGTTATGTTTAACCCTAAATCCAACCCTCTGAAATTTTAGCAATTTCTGCTTATTTGTCTTCAGCAGAGCAACTTGACCAAAGCAATAAGTCACTTCATAAGTGAGGTTTTTCCACAGGCTTCTTTATTTCCCTCACCATTGGCCATCAGGCACACAGCCCAGTTTAAAAGACATTGACAAGGAATATCCCCAGGGCTAGATGCCTGTTTCAAAGCTTGAAGTAGTTATCTGTATTAGACCATTCTTGTATTACTGTAAAGAAATACCTGAGACTGGGTAATTTATAAGAAAAAGAGGTTTAATTTGCTCATGGTTCTGCAGGCTATACAGAAGCACAGCTCTAGCATCAGCTTCTGGGGAGGGCTCAGGAAGCTAATAATCACAGCAGAAGGTGAAATGGGAGCAGGCATGTCACATGGTAGAAGCAGGAGCAAAAGAGAATGAGGAGGTGCCACACACTTTCTAAATTTTTTCTTTTTAATTTTCATGGGTACATAGTATGTGTATATACTTATGAGGTACATTAGATGTTTTGATACAGGCATGCAATATGAAATAGTTACATCATGGAAAATGGGGTATCCGTGCCCTCAAGCATTTATTCTTTGTGTTACAAAAAATCTAATTACATTCTTTTAGTTATTTTAAAGTGTATAAATAAGCTGTTATTGACTATAGTCATGCTGTTTGCTACCTGTGATGGTTAATACTGAGTGTCAACTTGATTGAAGGATGCAAAGAACTGATCCTGGGTATGCCTGTCAGGGTGTTGCCAAAGGAGATTAACATTTCAGTCAGTGGACTGGGAAAGGCAGACCCACCCTTATTCTGGGTGGGCACCATCTAATCAGCTTCCAGTCCAGCTAGAATATAAAGCAGGCAGAAAAACGTGAAAAAACCAGACTGGCCTAGCCACTCAGGCTACATCTTTCTCCTGTGCCCGATGTTTCCTCACCTTGAACATTGGACTCCGTGTTCTTCAGTTTGGGGACTCAGACTGACTCCCCTTGCTCCTCAACTTGCAGACGGCATATTATGGGACCTTGTGATTGTGTGAGTTAATACTTAAGAAACTCATATATATATATATGTGTGTGTGTGTGTGTGTGTGTGTGTGTGTGTGTGTGTATTCTATTAGTTCTGTCCCTCTAGAGAACTCTAATGCACTACCCAAAAAAGAAAGGTGCTACATGCTTTTAAACAACCAGATCTCATGAGAACTCATTCACTATCAGGAAGACAGACCAAGGGGATGGTAACCATTCATGAGAAACCATTCAAGAGAAACCACTCCCATGATCCAATCACCTCCCACCAGGCCCTACCTCCAACACTGGGGATTACAATTCAACATCAGATTTCGGTGGGGACACAGATCCAAACCATATCACCGTCTGAACCTTTAAGAAAATGTTTTCCTATCCTGTCCAAGATATCATTTTTTTCACTAAAAAAATGACATAGCAATCAAACAATGTACATTATATAGGTTCCCTGATTAATAGCGTAATCTGTTGAGTATTTCACTTACTTATGTTTGCAACTCCTATTTGCCACGATGAGGCATGGTTAGTTTTCTACTTCTATTTGTTCTGTAATGCAGTTATAATAATTTCAGTGATATCAAAGAGGTTATTGAAAGCACTATTATAGACAAATTAACAAAAGGAATAATGGTTTCTGGGAGAAAGAATGAAGACATTAAGGAAATAAATTAAAGGATAAGGAAAACTACATCTTATTAAGTGTAAAAATGAGTCCTACGTTTCTGGGACTTGTAATGTTAGTATATTTTGCAGTGGTTATGTCTGTTTTGTGGAAAAACTTGACGATTCATTCACGTATTCTTATCCTATAATAACTGTTGAAGTTAATTCAAGGTGTCTTACTATTGGAACTGCCTCTGCCCTTTAATAGGAATACATTTCACATGATTAGTAGATTGTAGTGAAGCAAGGTATCTCATCAAATAACACACAAAAATGTAAGGCTCTTCCCCAGTGAAAACCAGAAATAATAATTATATGCATGTGTGTATACAAGATATACATATATATACACACACACGTATATATTTACATATCCTTCAGACAAAGTAATATTTTTACTTATTGTACTATCTTGACTAGTTACTATATTTAGAAACATTCAGTTACCAAACCTTGTCTTGAAGGATTTCTTAAATTTCTCATTGTATTTTTCAGCAATGGAATTTCTGCCTTTTTTTTTAATCTCTCTATTAAATTATTTGTTTTGGTCACTTATTGTTTTCCTCATTTCACAGAGTTGTTTCTCTGCACTTTCTTGAGGCTTAAAGAGCTTCCTTAAACAATTATTTTGAAGTCTTTGTCAGGCAGTTTATGTATATTCATTACTTTAGGACCAGTCACTGTCAGTATTTTTTCTGTTTAGCAATGTCCTGTTTCCCTGATTTTTCTTGATCTTTGTGGTTGCACATTGATGTTTGTACATTTCAAGAAGTAGATACTTATTCCAGTTATAGACTGGCTTTGCCTTGGAATGCTCTGTGGCAGATGTGATGTGAGGGTGTGTCAGAAGCTCAAGACCACTAAGGCCTGCCTACTGCTAAGGGCTGTGCAAAGCCAGGGGCTCCTGTAGTCAAGTTGCCAGTGGTGCAGGCCAGAGATCAAGTTTGTCATACAGGCTTGAAGCCTGGGACTGTGTGGTGCCATCTGCTGCTGGAATAAGTGTAGAGACAGTTTTTCAGTACATCCTTGGAATATGGGGGAATGGGGGGGTCTGCCCAGTGCTGAGTTTTACTATGGTTTGCTTATTGTTGGGATCCAAAGCAAGATCTTATACTCACTTTCCTCTCTTTCCCCCAAGCAGACAGTGTCTCTCTTCATGGTGTGCAGACTGGGCTTGGGGTAGGGAAAATCTGGGTAACATAAAACTGACCAACCTACCCTCTTTAATGTGTATTTTCTTATTACTGTGCTACAATCACATGCTGTGAACTATCACCAGGTATTTTTTTTCTTGTTTGGCTCTTATGAAGGTATTTTAATGTATGGATAAATTTTTAAATTCATGTTTCTCCAGGGCAACAATCATTGGAGAGTCATACCCCATCATCTGCAAGGATTTCTTAAATTTATAGGGAAGGTCAGAAGGAATAATCAAGAAACTAAAGGCACACTTCATTTTCTTATTGACCTTTGCTTTATTGTGCTTTGCAGATATACATTTTTTTACATACTGAAGTTTTCCAGCAACCTCATTTCAAGCAAGTCTACCAGTGCCACTTTTCCAACAGCATGTGCTCACAGATAATTCATGTATCTGTGTCACATATTGGTAATTCTCATGATACTTCAAACTTTCTCATTTTTGTATTTGTTATGGTGATCTGTGATCAATTATCTATAATGTTGCTATTGTGATCGTTTTAGGGAGTCATTAATTGTGCCCATATAACATGGCAAACATAATCAATTAATGTCATGTGTGTTCTGGCTGCTCCACCAAACAGCCATTCCCCAATCTCTCTTCCTCTGCTGGGCCACTCTATTCTCTGAGACAACAATATTGAAATCAGGCCAAATAATAATTCTAAGATAGCCTCTAAGAATTCAAGTGAAAGAAAATGTCTCACATCTCTCACTTTAAATCAAAACCTAGAAATGATTAATCTTAGTGAGGAAGGAATGTAGAAAGCCAAAAAAGGCGGAAAACTGGGCCTCTTGTGCCAATCAGCCAACTGGTGAATGGAAAGAAAAAGTTCTTGAAAGAAAATCAATATGCTATTACAATGAACATATGGATAATAAGAAAGCAAAAAAAAAAAAAAACCTTTTTGCTGACATGAAGAAAGTTTTAGTGGTTGAATAGAAGATCAAATCACCCACAATATTTTCTTAAGCCAAATGCTAACCCAAAGTAAGGCCCTAACTCTCACTAATTCTACGAAGATTGAGAGAGGTAAGAAAGATGCAGAGAAAAAAGTTGGAAAACAGCAGAGGTTGATTCATAGTTTATGGAAAGAGGCCATCTCCATTACACTGAAGTGCAAGGTGAATCAGCAAGTGCTAATGTAGAAGCTGCAGCAAGTTATCCAGCAGATCTAGCTAAAATCACTGATGAAGGTTGCTATGCTAAACAACTAATTTTCAGTGTAGATGAAACAGCCTTATATTGGAAGAAGATGGCATCCAGGACTTTTCTAGCCAGAGAGGATAAGTCAATGCCTAGCTTCAAAGCTTCAAAGGACAGGGTGACCCTCTTCTGTGGGACTAATGCAGCTGGTGACTTTAAGTTGAAGCCAATGCCCATTCAACTTTTTTTTTTTTTTTTGAAACAGAGTCCCTCTCTGTCACCCAGGCTGGAGTACAGTGGCTCTGTATCGGCCCACTGCAACCTCTGCCTCCCGGGTTCAAGCAATTCTCTGCCTCAGCCTCCCGAGTAGCTGGGATTACAGGAGATCGCCACCATGCCAGGCTAATTTTTGTATTTTTAGTAGAGACAGGGTTTCACCATCTTGGCCAGGCTGGTTTTGAACTCCTAATCTCATGATCCACCCGCCTCAGCTTCCCAAAGTGCTGGGATTATAGGTGTGAGCCACTGTGCCCAGCCCATTTACCATTCTAAAAATCCTAGATCTCTTAAGAATTGTGCTCAATATGCCTTGTGGGTGTTCTGTAAACAGAACAATGAAGACTACATGACAGTACATCTGCTTACAGCTTGGTTTACTGAATACTTTAGACCCACTGAAGACCTAGTGCTCAAAAGCGAAGGTTTCTTCCTGAATATCACTGCTCATTGACCATACACCTAATCACCCAAAACCTCTGATGGAGATGTACAAAGAGATTAACGTACAATATCCATTCTGCAGCCCATAGACCAGAGTAATTTTGACTTTCAGGTCTCATTATTTAAGAAATACTTTTCATAAGGCTATAGCTGACATAAACAGTGATTCCTCAGCTAGATCTGAGCAAAGTCAATTGAAAGCCTTCTGGAAAGCATTTGCCATTCTAGATGACATTAAGAACATTCATGATTCATGGAAGAAGGTCAAAATATCAACCAGGAGTTGGGAAGAAGTTGATTCCAACCTTCATGGATGACTTGGAGGGGTTTTAGACTTCAGTGGAGGAAGTAACTGCAGATGTGGTAGAAACAGTAAAATAACTAGAATTAGAAGTGGATCCTATAGATGCGAATGAATTGTTGCAATCTCATGATCAAACGAATCAATTAGGAGTTGCTTCTTGTGAATGAGAAAAATAACTGGTTCCTTGAAATAGAATCTATGCCTGGTAAAGATGCTGTGAAAATTGTTGAAATGACACCAAAGGATTTAGAATATTACATAGGCTTATTTGATAAATCAGAGGCAGGGTTGAAAGAGATTGACTTTAATTTTAAAAGATATTCTTCTGTGGGTAAAATGCCATGAAAGAATATCACATGCTACTGAGAAATTTTCTGTAAAAGTAAGAGTCAATCAATACAGCAAACCTCACTGTTGATGTTTACTTACAAACTGTCACAGCACCCAAACATCAGCAACCACCAACTGGATCAGTCAGCCTCCATCAACATAGAGGCAAAAACTCTAAAGCCAGTAAAGAGAGTATGACTTGTTGAGGGCTCAGATTATGATTGGCACTCTTTAGCAATAAAGTAATTTTTAATTTTTAATTAAGGTATATACTTTTTTTTTTTTTGTCACCAGGCCATTGCATACTTTATAGACTACAGTGTAGTTTAAATATAACTTTTATGGACTGGCAAACCAAAAATTACACAACTCACTTTATTGTGGTATTTGCTTTATTGCCGTGATCTTAAACTAAACCTGTGGTATCTCCAAGGTATGCTTGTACTTGCATTGTGTAAATAAGAAAAAAAAAAAAAAGGCCTTTGGAGAAGACATCAAAATCCATTCAACTCTGGCTATTAGTATTTTTTATATTAGTCCGTGAAGATTTTTGCCCCAATAAAGAGGGCCTCTCTATTTCTTTCTGGGAATATTTATTTTTAAAAAGGTGATTCACTTTGGAATTTCTATTACTTGAAGTTGGAAGCCTTTGTATGAGTTTTCTTTCTTTTTCCTCTGTGTCTGCAGCTCCCTGTTTGTTTAATCACAATATGTTTTGTTTAATATTTCAGTGCTGTTTATCAGGACACCCTAATTTGATTGTTTTCTTTTGTATTTGTCTTCACCAGGTGTTTCTTGACTACAGCACATTTCCCACATGATAAAATTAAAGGTCTAATTAATGCCTTTAAGAACACTGGTGCACAATTCAACACCTAATTTTCTGCAGGGGGCATATTTAGGTGTTTAACTAGGTGGAACTTGGTGCCAAAGATTTCATTTGCATACAAAGCCTCTCTTATTTTCTTGTAAACACTCTTCAATACACAAAGAATGCATTCACTTGGTATGCACTTTTCCAGCAAGTAGAAGAATACAGCAAATAAATATATCTAAGCCACATTTCATCAGAGCAGAAACAAAAATCCTATTAGATGAGATGTTGAAATATGAGGTCCATTTCTTTGGAACAGTGAGCATAATACCCAGCATTTGAAAATAATTGGGGAGAGGGACTGGGGCTGCAAAAGCACTGCATAAAAAAAAAAATGCTTTGAAAAATCACATCTGAGATGTAGAGGATCTTAAGAAAAATATGGCATCACATCAAGCACAAAACGAAAAGCTAAATCACCACCTGGCAGTGGTGGGCATAGAGCTGGCCAGGAAGCAAAACTCATTCATCTATCTTATGACTACAAGGACTGGGAAAGGGACCATCTATATAAAGGCTGGGACAATGTTTCTAATTTTATTTCATTTTATTTACTTTCAATCTAGTTTGAAACAGAAATGTGACAGATGTGTTAGATCATATTACTAATAAAATGTTTGCTTATCAGGATATTAAATTTATTAAAAATTGCATTTCATTGCAGTGTCTTCAAAGACATGATTTATTAGAGACAGATCAAATTTTGGCCTGATTTCTACTTCTCTACAAAATTATAATCTTTATCAGCACCTTACTTTTGACATGAACAACAGATATTTTCTCAACATTCCCAAAATGTTGTATCAAAGCAAAAACTGCCCTCCACAAGGTTAAAAAAAAAAACCAAAAAAACAAAAAAAACAAAGATTTTATTCAAGGATGTTATGATAGGAGACTGAGGCCAGAATTCTTTCTGAATTCAACTGCACTAAAACAAAAGGCTGGAGGGTTTTTCAAGAGATGGGGTGGGGGGATTATAGGCTCTCTGTGTTTGCTAATTGGCTTTACTCAGAGTAAAAGTAAACTTTCTTATATTTTCGTGAAAGGAAGTAGTTTTACAACTTGGAGCAAGGCACTTCACTGAAATCAGGCACTTATCCTTCCATAGAAAGTGAGAAACAAAGACCTTGTCTTCCTGAATGTTTACATTTTAATGGGTTGGTTCACAAGTTCTCAAGAAAGACTTCCCTAGTGGTAAATGTGGCCAGAGGCTTTTTAAAGTTTTACATCTGAAAGGGGCAGAGAAACAATTTGCAATTATATGCTTTCTCCAGGAGATGCTCTAAGTAAAAGGAAGTTAGGGTCCTAGAGGCAGGAAAACTACCTGTCTGAAGTTTGAAGTTTCTTGAAGTTAAAGGAAACTCTAAGATCCTCTTTGGTCATTAGGCAAATATAACTTTTGAAGAAATCAGCAGGCCAACCTCTTCAATTCTATTATTGTTAATATATACCACCTAAATAGAAATTCTAGGGTCCCCGTGTTTTAATCTTCATTGTTAGATTAACAATTTCCTCTAGCTGGGTGTGGCAGCTCACACCTATAATCCCAGCTCTTAGGGAGGCAGAGGGGGGAGGATAGCCTGAGCCTAGGAGTTCGAGACCTGCCTGGCAATATAGTTAGATCCCATTCTCCACAAAAAGGAAAAAAAAAAGACAAAAAAATAAGTGTAACAATTTCCTCTAGTATGTTCATCCATAGTCATTTACTGTGTAATATTATGTAAGTATTACATTGGATTGAGTAAGGGAGATATTGAAATAGAAATCAAATATTAAACTGGAAATCATAGTAACAGAATAATTAAGTAATGTGAATCATAGTATTTCATCCTCTTACTTTCCCTTTACATCACATTAGCCTGGGAGCTTCTCAGAAACCTTATGGTTCAGAGGATCACACAATGAGGAAATGTCAGCTTCAAATTTTATCTCTAATGCAGGACTGGTAACACAAATTTTGGGGCCCTGTGCAAAAACAAATGTGACCCCTTGTTCAAATATTATTTAGAATTTTAAGCTAGCAACAATGGAGCGTTGAACTAAGAATGAGGCTCTTCTGCACAAAAACAATGCAAGTTTTATGGGCATAAAGTTGGTCTTTCTCAAGTGCTAATTTTCCCTTAAGAATATTTGTATAATCCTGTTGGGGTTCTGAAAATGATATCTTATATGATACTTTGGCATGCTGAACACTTTAAACTAAAATAGCAAGGCTTTAAAAGCTGTCTCAGAATCAAAGACTTTCAAATCTCTTGTTTCTCCTTCCCCACCCCACATCACTCCTTCAAGCACAAAGGGACTCCTGGAATTTTCTTATCTGACTAAAAAATTTTATTCTAAAAAAATGCAATTGTCTTAAGGTCCTCTCCCTAAGAATCTCATCAAATAACCAAGAAAGATTAACCGCTGATGAAGAGACTAAAAGTTTGTCACCACCCACAGACAGACTTTCCATCTATTCTTCTGAGGGCAACTCTGAGAGATTACCTGGGAGACTTTATTTGCCTAATAAGACAATCTCCTTTGTTCACAGGGAAGTTCTGTCCCTCACCTACTTGCTGCCTCCCCCGGAGCTCAGGGGAATTTTGTCCCAGGCCATAGCTCATGGGGCTTCTTCATTTCTCCTGAAAGTCATTTACTACCCCTTATAATTACCGATATCCATCCCCCCGAAAAATCTTTCCTCTCCTCTATAAAGAAGGGATTTAAACCTCAACCATCTGGCACTTCTTTATATTTACATTACATATATTGAGACTGATATGTGTGAGACTCCTGTGTTCATATCGGAACTGCCACTGCAAAATTATAACTGAGACAGTGAAAGAAATCTGACCTAACCAACTCCATCTTGCTTCTAACTTCCAAGCTGTCCCTGTTCATTCCTGGGCATAGGCTGAACTAACCTTGGGAGAAACTTAGTTTATAGTTTAGAACAAAGACAATAAGAGCCCTTTTCCAAAACAAACCCCCTTCTTGCGTGGGGACTGGACTGCCTTTGTAGGACTAACAAATTAGCCAAAAGATTAGAAATGATGGTTTAGGAGTCATGGAGCTAGAGGTTACAAGATTCTGACCCCGCCAAAATTGTTCCTGGGGATAACATCACTATCGTAAATCCTAAGATCGGTGCTTGAGATATTTTGCAGACCCTGCACTGGATGGATCAGCTGGCACCACACAAATTGATAAACTGGCTCATTTGACCTGTGGCCCACACCCAGGAACTGACTCAGTACAAGACAGCTTTGACTACCTATGATTTTTTTTTTTTTTTTTTTTTTTTTTTTTTTTTTTTTTTTTTTTTGAGACAGAGTCTCTCTCTGTTACCCAGGCTGGAGTGCAGTGGCGAGATCTTGGCTCACTGCAACTTCCACATCATGAATTCAACCGATTCTCTTGTCTCAGCCTCCAGAGTAGCTGGGATTACAGGCATGCACCACCACGTCCGGCTAGCATTTTTTGTATTTTTAGTAGAGAAGGGGTTTCACGACGTTGTTCAGACTAGTCTCAAACTCCTGACCTCAGGTGATCCACTTGCCTCAGCCTCCCAAAGTGCTGGGATTACAGGCTTGAGCCACTGTGCCCAGCCTGACTCCCTATGATTTTATCTCTGACCCAACCAATCAGCACATCTTACTCACTGGCTGCCCTATCCACCAACAAAATTATCCTTAAAAATTCTCATCCCCAAATGCTCTGAGAGACTGATTTGAGTAATAATAAACCTCCGGTCTCCCGCACAGTCAGCTCTGCATGAGTTACACTTTCTCTATTGCAATTCCCCTGTCTTAATAAATTGTCTCTGTCTAGGCAGCCGGCAAGGTGAACCCACTGGGCAGTTACAATATACACATTAATACATACGTATACCTTTCCTCCTATTAATCTGTCTCTTGTCAATCTTTCTAGTGAACCCTTCAGAGAGGACAGAAGGGAAGCTTTCCTGCCACCCCTACAATCCTTATGCAGATTGACTACCAACCTTATAAAGTCTCATAGAAGTTTGTTCTTTTGTTTCATCATGTGTTATAACAATTTGTAATTACTTTCTATTTTCCTTATTAATTGAATACCATTTGAGAGCAGAGTAAATGTCATATTTATTTCTCTTACTTGTTCAACAGTCTGTTTTTTTTTCTTTTTTTTTTTTTGAGCTGACATTTCACTCTTGTTGCCCAGTCTGGAGTGCAATGACACGATCTCTGCTCACTGCAACCCCTGCCTCCCGGGTTCAAGCAATTCTCCTGCCTCAGCCTCCTGAGTAGCTGGGATTACAGGTGTGTGCCACCATGCCTCCCTCATTTTTTGTATTTTTAATAGAAACCTGGTTTCACCATGTTAGCCAGGCTGGTCTCAAACTCCTGATCTCAGGTGATCTGCTCACCTCAGCCTCCCAAAGTGCTAGGATTACAGCTGTGAGCCACCACACCTGGCCTTGTTTTTATTTAAAATTTAAAAATAAGTAGCACATCATATGATTCACAAAACACAATAACGTAAGAAAGGTATGTATTGCAAAGTCTTGGTTTCACCCTGCCCAATCCACTTGTTTCTAACTCATTCCCTACCTCCATAGATAACCATTTTATTAGTTTGTGGGTGTATCCTTCTGTAGACTCTTTAAGCAAATGTGAGGGACATGTGAATATGTGTTTTTACCTCCCTTTTTTCTTACATAAAAGTAATGTATTTTATGCACATAAAAATATTAATTAACAGATTGTTCTGAACTTACCTTTTTCAGTTACACATATATATTGAAGAATGTTTCATATCCTACTAGAGAATTTCCTCTGTGCCATAATTTTTTTAATCTGTTATAGATGGCTAGATATTTAAATTATTTCCAATTTCTTGCTATTACAATGTAGCAATAAGTATATTTATAGATAGACAATTTCATTTATTAATGCATATTTGTAAAATAAATTCTTTCCTATGCTTTTCAAAGTCTGTTTTTCATCTTGTCCTCTTTTAATTCAGACTTAATTTCTGATACAGCTTTGAGTTTTTAAAAAATTATTTTTCAAAAATTTAAACATTTTCCCCTAATATTATCTGTGTGTATCACCCGTAAGGGTTTGCATTTCTGTTTTGAGGGCTTATTTCTTAGTAATAATTTCAGTAAGGTATTTTGTTTTGTTTTTAAATCAGATTGGAATATTTGGCTTATGCTTTTGTATGCCTTTCAAATGAAATATTCTTGTAGTGAGTTTTATATTTATTCATTGTTTGGATGCTACTTATTCACATTTTTCTTATAGTATGTCTTTAGGTGTATTGGTTCTCTTTTTGATATATATGTTTAAATATATTAAAAGTTCCTGGATTATATATGGATACAAGTTTCCATTAAAAGGGTGCAGGGGCCGTGGACTTTATTAGGTATCTCTATTCAAGTCTTCCTCTTCTTTTGCTATAATGACATATTTTTCATTAAAAAATGGTTGTTCTGTGTGACTACGTCACTTTTTCTATCACTCAGGATCTAATCTTGATTAGAAGACCTTTTATTATTAACCATAAATTTTCTGAAGCCCTGGGATAACATGGGAAATGCCCCCTGTTTTTAAAATGCTCTATTACTTAAAAAAAAAAAAAATCTTTCTGCCATAGGACCAATCTTGGACCCGCAAGTTTCCCAACTCTTTTTCCTCAACTTCTATATCCCCAGTGACTGAAAACTATTGTATGGTACAAAAAGTACAAACGAGAGCTCAAAGATGGGCTTTGATACCTAAGGAAAATTAACCACAGCATTTAGTAAAACATAGCTAATCCTGGAGATCAGATTTTGTGTAACTGTAGTAAGAAGATGGACAGTGTGGAAAAAGCATTGGAAAAGGAATAGAAGTGTGGAACATGTGGCTTTCATTTAAGAATGAAAAAAACGGGAAGAAAGGAAGGATTTTTCCTTTCCGCCACCTGGTGCATGATGAAACTGAATAAATATTTGTTAAACAAAATTTATTTAGGGCATATTTTAGCATGTAGGACATTTTTAAAAATATGTCCAAAAATTAATAAAATCACCTTTGAAGACTTGACTCAGGAACTTTATTTTTATGTAATTTTCCTCTTCTGACATTGCCATTTTGTTCATACTTTTTTTTTTCTTTCTGAGACAGGGTCTTACTCTGTAACCCAGGCTGGAGTGCAGTGGCGCAATCTTGGTTCACTGCAAACTCTGCCTCCTTGGTTAAGCAATTCTTGTGCCTCAGCCTCCCGAGTAGCTGGGACTACAGTTGAGTGCCACCACCCCTGGTTAATTTTAGTATATTTTGTAGAGACGGGGTTTTTGTCTTGTTGCCTAGGCTGGTCTTGAACTCCTGAGCTCAAGGGATCCACCCGCCTTGGCCTACCAAAGTGCTGGGATTACAGCAGTGAGCCACCGCACCCAGCCTCTTTCTTAACTATGCTCTGAACATATATTACTAAAACAAACCTAGTAGTTTCTTGATCTAGAAAACTCTGACCTATCTAACACTCCGCCTTTGTATAGACATATTTTGTTGTTTGTCTTCCAAAATCAGGCCCTTTTGTATAAAAATCCCAACTAAGGGGTTGAAAGAAGTAGACAGGAGCTCATTTTCATTAGAAGACATATTTTAAAAGCATCTAAAGGCAAAGTTATATGAATATGATTAATCTCCGTAATGTTGTATATAATCTACAATTGGTCAATACCATACATTATAAGAATATCTTCATATTCCCCTTCTACAATTATGGTATCTCTATCCTCAGTACCATTTAGTGGAAAAATAGAAAATAATAGTAACCACAAAAATAAAATTTAAACTCACAGAAGTATAATTTATCATTTGGATAGATTCGATAAGCAACCAAAGTTTAATCGGCTAAGAATCTATATTTATAGTATCTCCTTTTGACCTCTGGTTGCATGGAAGAGTTCTCATCCAATCCTGTTGATATGTTATTTTGAAGTTAGAGAGCAGCTAAGCAGTGAAGTATGGGGCCCTACAATGGAGTAGAACTTCCACATGAAACTGTGGAAGAATAGATGGTCTTATCGAGAAAGATGGTTCTGCCCGTGAGTTGATGGTGAAATCAGGCTGAAAGCAAAAAAGCCAAACATTGATACAAATAAATGAATATTAAAAATGGAAACAACCAGGCCAGGCCTGGTGGCTCATGCCTGTAATTCCAGCACTTTAGGAGGCTGAGGGAGGCAGATCGCTTGAGCTCAGGAGTTTGAGACCAGCCTGGGCAACATGTAGTAACCTCGTCTCTACAAAAAAAAAAAAAAAAAAAAGTCCCAGCTTCTAGGGAGGCTGAGGTGGGAGGATCGCTTGAGCCCAGGAGGTTGAGGCTGCAGTGAGCCATGAGTGTGCCCCTGTACTCCAGCCTGGGAGACAGAGCAGAATCCCGTGTCAAAAAAACAAAAAAAAAAAAAAAAAAAGAAACAACCATACCAAATGTTAATTATGCTAATATGGGTTTTAATGTCTCCAATTTATAAATAAGGAAATTTAAGTCCAAGTGTTTCATTTAAGATCACACAGCAAGAAAATGACAGAAAAAGGACTTAGGGCTGTGTTAGTCCACTTTTGTGTCACTATAAAGGAATACCTGAGACTGAGTAATTTATAAAGAAAAGAGGTTTATTTTGGCTCACATTTCTGCAGGCTGTACAGGAAGCCTGGAGCTGGCTTCTTCTTCTGGTGAGGTCTCAGGAAGCTTATAATCATGGCAGAAGGTAAAGGGAAAGCAGGAGATATCACATGGTGAGAGTGGGAGCAAGAGAGATGGAGCAAGAGAGAATGAGGGGGCAGGAGCTACACTCCTTTAAACAACCAGATCTCATGTGAACTCTCTGAGAACTCACTCATTGCTGTGAGGAGGGCACCAAGCCATTCATGAAAGATACTCCCCTAAGACCCAAACACTACTCTACATGCCGAGTCTCCAACACCAGGAATTACATTTCAACATGAGATTTGGAGGGGACAAGCCTCCAACCTACATCATTGTCCATCTACTCAGGTACTTTGCATGTCAAAATCCAAACTTCTTTGCCACATGGGCTCTCTACTAACAGGCTCTAGAATAAGCAAATTTGGACCACAACAACAACAACAAAAAAGCTGGGAGATTCTATTATATGTAATGTTTTGTGAAAAACACATAATGAGGTTCGGAGAGCGTAAAGAACTAGGTCCAGCTAGATTTCAAAATTCCATGTCCAAAAATGAAGTCAACATAGTTCCTCAAACATTTATGTTTGCTATATGTTCCTTTTCTCATGAGAAATACTGGCAGCTCCCCTACTTCAGAAACAAAAACTAAGAAGTTGCCCCTGAGTTTTCCCTCATGTATGTTATGCATTATAAGTATCATCAAACTCTATGTTCCAACATCCTGTAGAAATCTCAAGCCTGGACACTTCTCGTGATTACCACTGTAGTACACTATTTAAGCAAATCATCATGTCTGGATTACTACAATAGCATCTCAGATGCCTCTCCCTCCCTCCCTCCTGACTTGGGTATTTCCAGGCTCAACCAATTCCATATCCTAGATTGAAGATAATTTTTTAAGGCTAGTCTTACCATGTGACTCTCCTGTTTATAATCTTTATCAATTCCTTTCAGGATAAGATCCAAATGATATAATGTATAATTAGGAAACAGTATATCTCAAATTTCTCTGATGTAGGTAAGAAAGTATATCCAAGGGTTGACCAGTGGGTGGAGATGACCAGTTCAGATTTGGACATTTATAATTTGAAGTGCTTATGGGATATCCAGTTGGAGATGTCCAGGTGTGTGTGTGTGTGTGTGTGTGTGTGTGTGTGTGTGTGTGCGTGTGTGTGTCTGTTTTAACTGGCCTTTCAAACAAGAAAGAAACCAAGCAAATTTATTCAAAATAAAATACTAGTAACACTTATCACCCATTGCAGGAGCATTTCTTTGCATTAAATAACATGAGGGAAATATTAATTCATACACATAAAGGAATTTCAAAACATAGCACCTCAAGCACAATAGAATTGAGTTGGAAAGGTATTTTTAAAGGGTAGGCCTTGGCCCTTCTAATCATGCTGCTTACGTATTTTATACATGCGGTAAAAGGCACTGGTTTCAGAGAAGCTACTGTAAAATCCACCATGGCCGAAACATGCAAATCAGCACAGAATGTTTGCTGGAGGGTAAGTCAGAGCAATGCCATTGAAGTAGCCTCTATATGCATGTCTCATTGGTGACATCTTGATCTCCATTAATCAATTCCTATTTGAGATAAATGCATCTGCTTGTATCTCAAAAGACTAGATTCACGGAACCGTGACTAAGATATTTCATAGATGCTCTCCAAGGACTTTAAAAGGCAAAACGACAGGAAATTTACTAAATCCATACAGCTAACCTGAAGAAAAGGTTAAGCAAAATTCAGAAGCTTCTCAATCTTCTTTTATAGTCTGAAAATTTTAATAAATGATGCCCTAAATTTGTCCAAAAATTTCTAGAGATATGATTTATTACATGATGTCTGTATTAAATGAGACTTCTAAAAGGTGCTAATTTCTGTTTTAGAAAATAATATATAGCACAATTTCATTCCTCCATTGAACAGACCCCTCTAAATATTTAAAAAGCAGAGATTCTCTGTTTAGGAAGAACTGAACAAAAAATATCTGAGAAAATAAGAGAAAAATGCTAGGATTTTTATATAGAATGAAGCACTACAGAATTTTGCTTACAATTATGCATAGAGCTCCTAAGGGCTACAGATGACATCTTTACCTCAAATTGTTTCTCTCCTAAATCATTGATAATAGAAGCCCCAGGCATTGTGGATTAAACTCTGAAGCTCACTGCACATAAACTCGAAGGGGTATTATTTTCATGGTTCAGTTAACAAAAGAAGTGAAACTCACACCATTATTTGACTTGCTTAAAATTACCCTTTTTGTATTTTAAGCTCTCCTATCCCATATATTTGCAATTATTTGGCCCTTAGCACTCTCTTTGAAACTCTTCTCCTCTGCCTATTTCTCTTCTTGTTCCTGATGACATTTTTTACTCCATAGCTTCTAGCTATCCCTCAACCACAAAGGTAGTTGAAGCAACATCCAAAAATACCAGCTCCCAGGAGCTGTTAGTTCTGTGCTTGGAGTATAAAATGGGTCTCAGGCCTGGGTAATAACTGAATTCATGAATCTCAATTCCCAGATGACATTAATAGCAGCATAGAGCAGGAAGCAGAGTTATGTTAATTTCCGCAGGTAATGCGTGAAAGCAGATAGGGAAAGCTTGAAAGGTCAACATCTGCTGTCATGCAGGAGTGTTGCAAAATGTGATTGGCCAGTAAATGTCAACACCATGTTCTAAAATCTACATGCCACCCTTTCAATTTAATCGTAGCTTGCAGCCCAGCTAACAATCATGCAGCATGTTTCAAAAGCTCTTGAATTCTAAAATGGAATTGTATGATTGCATTCCCATGGCAATAAGACACCTGTAAATTACAAACTTGTCATTTAATCAGCATAAATGTAGGGAGTTTGTGCAACCACTGTGAATTTTTTTTGTATCTATTTTCAGGGACGGCTGAAGACCTCTTAATGATTATATACCATAACGAACTGCAGGTCTAACTGTTGCCGTGGCATTACGTACTTTTTTTTTTTCTTTTAAAGAAGTGACTGGAATGAGAGCAGATAATGAATCTAATTGATTGTCCTCTGCTCCACACAGATATGCTTTATATTCTCTCCCTTTTGTGTTCTTCCTCCCTTTCACTGCAGATTGGATTCACAGGTATGCATTTGTTCAGTGACAAGAATGGCTCTCATCCAGACCATCCCCCCACCTTAAAAAATTGAATAAATATAAAATAGTCTGCTTTGAAAAATGTCTATAACAAAAAGGTATATGTATAAAGAGCATAGAAGAAAAAAAATTACACTCACCATACACACTGTCAGATGAAATCAGTAAGAAGCAAGACAATAGGTTTTTCTCAAAAACTAAGGTATAGTCTTGTAGGCTCAGTATCCACAGTTATGCATAGGTTCTTTTTAATTAAATGAAAACTAAGTTAGAGAATCTAAAACTTCCCAGATATTCAAATTGAATAAATCACCAGCATATTTAATATGTAACTGGATTTTTAAAATATCATTATTATTAACATGTATTTGCCAACTAGAAGCTGGCAAATATGTATTCATAATTTACAGCACAAAGAACAAAATGTAATATAATTAACTATTATTTTTAGGCTATGAAATATGACCAAATAGAATTTTTACAGAGAGTATTTTAGCCTGAGTAATTATTTTGGACAGAATAACAAATACTTGGCTTCAGAGTTTACAATCCTCCTACCTCTGTATACTTACATTTATAGATCATAGGTATAGAGAAATAGTCTGCATAATTTTCTATTCAATGATTCCTGAAATAAAAATCTATAGCTGCATGAATTCATTCATTTGGGAGACGTGTCCAAAGTCACAGAATCAAGTGAGGAGCCTGGCTAGATCCCAGCCTTCCTGATAGTTTCATTAAGTGCACTTTCTAGTACTGAAGAATGCAGCTGGTATTATTGTATCTCTCAAATTACAATACATAAATAAAATTTAAAAAGATATATTTTTCTCTCTTAAGAAAATTAATGTAGACATGTATCACCTGAGTTGCTGCTTAGTATCTGTAAGTTATGCCAGAGCATAAATAATATGCTGACATTTAATATTAGGTATTCCTAGTAGAGTTTACAAAAGTTTATATTAGAAAATGTAATATGGTTTTTAAAAGAAAAGAATGACCAAAGAATTAAAAATCACATTATAAAATAACTCTTTTATCTCAAAAACATTGAATTATAACATGCTATCTCCTTGATTTTATTGGCAACTTAAAATATGAATCTAGGCCCAGGGCAGTGGCTCACACCTGTAATCCCAGCACTTTGGGAAGCCGAGGTGGGTGGATCACCTGAGGTCAGCAGTTTTAGACCAGCCTGACCAAACATGGCGAAACCCCATCTCTACTAAAAATACAAAAAATTAGCCACGTGTGGTGGCGTGCACCTGTAATCCCAGCTACTCTAGAGGCTGAGACAGGAAAATTGCTTGAACCCAGGAGGTAGAGGCTGCAGTGAGCCGAGATCGTGCCATTGCACTGCAGCCTGGGCAACAAGAGCAAAACTCTGTCTTAAAAAAAGAAAAAAAAAAAAAAAAAAAAAAAAAAAGAATCTAATGCCTGCCTGAGAACATGTAAATTGTAGTTTTCTTTGTTTCAGTGATCATGTTACTAAAGGTGATGTACTAAAGATGCCCATCTTTTATTCTGCTCAAACACTTGTTAAGAACATATAGTACTTGGTACATCTTTCCACTTTCTACCATTAATTAGTCAGCCTGTTTTCAATTATGCTAAGAAACCTACTAATCCAAGTGTGAAAGTAGGTGCTAATTGCTTATATCGGCAAAGTGGGCCATATTAACTCTCTGTTGATGGTTCATGTCTAATCCAAGAGTATGACTGATTTCACCTCCCCTGCATAGCCAGCTAACAAGAAATGCTTTCATGCTTAAACCGCAAAAAGCCATTAAAATACATATGCACGTTGAAATAAATAAAGCACAATGACATATTTTATCATTCTTCCAAATAAAAAAAGTGCACCAAGTCATATTAGTCACCAAAAGCATGATCAGTGACATAAGAATAATTATTTCCTTTTTGAAAAAAGTAAAGAAAATTGGAAGAAATTCCACTGAATTTTTGAAGATGTTATGGCAAATATTTTAAAAAATTATGAAAGCCTGCTAGTTACTGAAATTGTCAGATATAGCTTCCTTGTGTTATTCTTTTGTAGTTGAATACTTATCAATATACTACAAAATTTGATCTGAAATATTTCAAGGAAATGCTTTGTTGTAAACTACCTCAAATCTCACATATCGTCAGTTCTTTCTTACATGATGGCAACTCCTAAATTTGTATCATATCTTCTTTTAAGTTCCATATTACAACATCCACATGAAATCTGTCTCAGATATTTTCCCAAGAACCTCACACTCACCACATGTAAAATGAAATTAAGTACTTTTTGTCTCCTTCTTCTTTTAATTTGTTGCATTACTTGCTGATATTACCTTAACCTAAGGCATGAAACTGTAGTCATTTTTGCTTCCTTCTTTAGATTATTCCCCACATAGAACATATGTCCCCAGCATTTGGCACCAGGGATGAGTTTTATGGAAGACAGTTTTTCTATGGACTGGGGGTGGGGTGGGGGTTGGGAGGGAATGGTTTTGGGATGAAACTGTTCCACTTCAGATCATCAGGTATTACATTCTCACAAGGAACGTGCAACCTAGATCTTTAGCATGTGCAGTTCAAAATAGGGTGTGTGCTTCTATGAGAATCTAATGCCACATGACAGGAGGTGGAGCTCAGGCCATAAAGGTCTCTTGCATACTGCTCACTTCCTGCTGTGTGGTCTCATTCTATGGCTCCAGTACTGGTCAATGGCCTGGAGGCTGGGGATCCTTGCCATGGAATATACATAAGAATAATGACGACAGTAATGCCAAAGTTGAGGTGAGTAAAGAGATCTGAGTAAATTTCTTATCTTGTAAATATATTATTCTAAAGGACTAAGAAAACAGATAAATTTCCCAATTTGATAGGGAGACTTCCTTATTCAAATGTTTTAAAGAGTCTGGATATATACCCAAAGGAACATATATCATTCTATTATAAAGACACCTGCACACATATGTTCATTGCAACACTATTCACAATAGCAAAGACATGGAATCAACCTAAATGCCTATCAGTGATAGACTGGATAAGAAAAAAAAAATGTGGTATGTATACACCATGGACTACTATGCAGCCATGAAAAAGATTGAGATCATATGCTTTGCAAGGACATAGATGGAGCTGGACACCATTATCCTAACTAAACTAGTGTAGGAACAGAAAACCAAATACCACATCTTCTCACTTATAAGTGGGAGCTAAATGATGAGAACTTATGAACGCAGAGAGGAAAACAACACACACTGGAGTTTATCAGAAGGTGTAGGGCGGGAGGAGGTAGAGGATCAGGATAAATAACTAATGGGTACTAGGCTTAATACCTGGGTAATGAAATATTCTGTACAGCAAACCCAATGACACAAGTTTACTTAGGTGAGAAACCTGCACATGTACCCCTGAACTTAAAATAGAAGTTAAATATATATATATATTTATTTATTTATATAAAAAATAGAGCCATGCATTTTCCCATAGAGCATTAAACTTATTTTATGATTTAAATTTGAGTATTGCCAAATTTTATTGTCAAATGTCTCACACAAGCATATATACACAAACACACACTCATACATATCACACATAAACACACGCTTGCCTAAATATGAAAGGACAATGATCCTAGATTAAACTATCAAAGTGCCGCTAGCTACATTTTTAATCTTCTGCAGTTTAGAAACATCTTCAAGAATCCTGTCCCCTTTCCTCGTCTAGCACAGAAGATTGAATGGATCTCCTAACTATACTGATGATAAGAAGAGAAAGATAAACCAGAGAAGTCATTCTTGCCTTTAGGGATTCACCTGGTAAATTGCTGCTTAAAGAGTGCTGTCAATAAGTTAACTTCTTTACTGTCGGGAGCAATTCTCTACTGGCGGTAAGATGGACAAGATGACCTAACAGATCTTTTTTCATCTCAAGATTCAAAGTTTCTTTTCAAGGAACTGTGACTGAAGAACAGAAACAGTGTTTAGGATCCGCCCACAACATTTTAATTTTAAAATAATTCACATATTATTTGCGTTTTTAGTGAACCGATTTAAATTCTCTAAAAGTAATCTTTCCTTACTCACATATTGCCTTGCTGTGTTTATTTTTTAAATAATGAAATATTTAAGAGATATTGCACAATTTAATACTACAGGATGGAGATTTCTTCTCGTACTCTTTTTGTTTCCAGCACCCATGTTACCTTAAATGGAGGACTTTTCCTCTTCCATTTCTGTATCTTTTAGTCAGCAGACAGATATAGTGAAATGGTTAAAAGCACTGACATTAGAACCAGGTTGGGTTTTTAAATCTGAATCCTCAGCCTATTACATGTGTGATCTTGGACAAATATCACCCACCTCTCTCTGCCCCAGTTTTTTTAATCTGTAAAACAGAGTTACAGAGAGACCTCCTATCTCATGTGGCTTCTCTCTTAGGTGGCTGTTACGAAGATTAAACGAGTTAATAGATGTAAAGCATGTAGAAGGCTCCCTGGCATGTACTACATGTTTGTAAGAGTTTGCTACTGTGGCTACTATGGCGATGAGGATTATTATTATTATTGTGGCAAATGTTATTAAATGCACTGTTCTTAGAATTGTTAAATTATTCTCCAATTACATACATTTTAAAAAATCAGTTTTAGGGCCAGGTGTGGTGGCTCACGCCTGTAATCCCAGCACTTTGGGAGGCCGAGGCGGGCAGATCACGAGGTCAGGAGATCGAGACCATCTTGGCTAACAGGGTGAAACCCCGTCTCTACTAAAAATACAAAAAAAAATTAGCCTGGCGTGGTGGCGGGCGCCTGTAGTCCCAGCTACTCAGGAGACTGAGGCAGGAGAATGGTGTGAACCCGGGAGGAGGAGCTTGCAGTGAGCCGAGATTGGGCCACTGCACTCCAGCCTGGACAACAGAGCGAGACACCATCTCAAAAAAAAATCAGTTTTAGAAAGCATGTCAAGTTAGTTTCCATGTTTGATGGGTGGCTCAGTGGTTTGTGCATTATCTTGCTAAGTTAGAATGGTAAAGTTTTTTGAAATAGAGACTTGAAAACCATAGAGAACTTTGTAATTTAAACCATGAGGTGAACTTGCACGTGTGAAGGAAATGATAATTGTGTGCCACCATTACTTCTCCTGTATCATGGCGCTTCTCAAATAGCACGCATAGAGTTACTGGAGACATCAATGTAGCACATGGTGAGAACAAACAAGATCTCATTGGTTTTAGAAAGATTATATTTTGAGTGGTTTCATAGATGCATTTTTATTAAATTAATATGTTATTTATAATGACTTACAAAAACGTTTCACATTTCTACCAGCTTTAAATTCAGTTGACCATCAGAACTTCACTTCCTTTCTGAGGTTGTCCTCACTGGCTCTAATGGGAATGTGATTGCCATTGCATTGTGGGAGCTCACTACATCCCCAGGTGCATAACTTACTTATGGAATTCTCTGTTTAGAGACTGAGCATTTCATTGATTAGACTGTGAACTACTTATGAGTAGTAACAGCATTTCCTTAATCTTTGCAATTCTTAGCATCTAACGTACTTCTTGGTATAAAGCAGGTTTCAATAAAAGTTTATTGAATGAGTAAATGAATGAATTCATCTAATATGACTCTCAAAATTGATTTTTAAAATTATTCCTCCATTGTGATGATGATATGGTCATCTGTACTCATGCCTTTTAATATTGAGAAAGAAAAAAGTGAAATCATAGCACATGACTTAGTAAATACGAATTTATGCTATATAACTGAGATTTGCCTTTAAGGTTCATCAGCTCTCACAGATCCAATATATGGTCACATTTAGTGTACGAAATGTCAATTTGATCCTGGAAATTATTTCTGTTGCTGCCATATAATTGATTGTTATAAAATTTTCTGGCCAGGCGCGATGGCTCACTCCTGTAATCCCAGCATTTTGGGAGGCCGAGGCGGGCAGATCACGAGGTCAGGAGATCAAGACCTTCCTGGCTAACAAGGTGAAACCCCGTCTCTACTAAAAAAAATACAAAAATTAGTCAGGCTTGGTGGTGGGCGCCTGTAGTCTCAGCTACTCGGGAGGCCCAGGCAGGAGAATGGCGTGAACCCGGGAGGCGGAGCTTGCAGCGAGCCGAGATCGCGCCACTGCACCCTAGCCTGGGCGACAGAGCAAGACTCTGTCTCTGGAAAAAAAAAAAATCTATAAAAATGACTGAATCTGAGATCTGGGTACACATAGGCAAAGCTAAACTGTATTAAATGTGTTTCATGGTGCATACAATATAGCAAATGCATAATTTATATTTTCACTGAGTTTTCCATATTATTAATGGCCATGATTTTACTATAGCCTATAATTATTTTTCATACCCCTTTGAAAACTAAAATTATAAGAAATTATTTTTTGCATTATTTAAGTACCTTTTCTCCTTTACTCTCATACATTAAAAAAATAGTTTTTGAAGATGCAGATAACTAACATAGATTCCTACATTTTGCCTTCTTTGGGAAGAAAGCAAATTTTAAAATAAAGGAGGACTTGGATGAGGTTGCTGAGGTTAAAAATTATCTACCTAGAAAATTCTTTCTAGCTGAGGTATTTCAGAGTGGAAAAAAATGCTTGGAAAAAAACCTTCCTATCTTTGCCCCTAAGGAAATAAAGTTACAATGACAGTCACCTAATCTAATAACTTCTCTTATTCCTGTCATAGGTTCACCTTGCAGGTGTACTGGTTTTCCTCATTTTCATTCTTTTCACTGATTCTTTTTTAGCCTCTGATTCCTTACTGAAATCTATTGAAAAGTGCACAATTGCAATTTTAGCATTAAATTTCTCTTTAATACTGCTTGTCACTTTTCCTCTCATTGATTCAAAGCTACGTGCCAAGTCAATGGAGCAATGTGAGTTTAATTCTTTCTTTGGTTTGGTTACCTTCCTTCTTCAAGCAGCAGCAATTAGAGAACACTACACCTTGGTCCTTTTTTTGATATAATTAAATGAGTAATTCTTATAACTGTTTATTATTGATTCCCTCAACTTTTCATCCTTTCATTCTCTCTGCATTCCACTCGGCTCCCCCCAAAGTTAGCCACAGCAGAAGTAGGACATCTGCTTGGAAAAACATTTAGATTGCTAATGATTCTTTTAAACATCTGTTACACTGCTACTGAACAGTTGTTGTTTCTTTAAGGAGGCTCAAGGGACAAGACCTATGTCACCTTAATAGTGAGTACTTTTTGGAAGTGGTAAGCCCTATGCCTCTGGGAGCCATGCAACAGTGCTATTGTATACATACATAAACTTAATGCTTCTGGCCTTACATTTTATCTTTGTCCACTGCAGTATTTCTGATTATAGTACTTTGTGTCTGGTTATTTCAATACTTAATAGATTTTTTTTGTCTTCCCACTCCATTACAGTTGTACTTTTAAAGAAAAACACTACTAAGCAGAAAACATATCTCATATCCTTATTGACTTAGATGTGAGCTTTTTATAGAAAAACTTCAAATGGACTTTGATACCAACATCTAAACCTGTACGATAATTCTTAATAAGGAAAAGACTTGAGAAAATAGATTGGGATTAAAGTTTCTAGAATTTTCTTTTCAGCAAATGTATACATACTCATTCACAAATACTTTGCATAAAAAGAAATAAAAAAGAATTTATTTTTAATGTGTCTTCTCAGAGTATCCTGAAAATACTCTCTCCTGTTCCCATGTTGCAAAAGAGAATGTTTCTCACACACCCAGAATACAGGGGCCAGAAATTACTGGTGAGACAAGGTATGATGCACATCAAAATTAACCCTCTGGTAATTCGACAGAACGGTAAAATATCTAGAAGGAATTTTAGAGACTCAGGTCTGGCCAAAAGAAAACTGGCATCTGAAACAGACCTTAAAACAAATATGAGATTATTGTATTTTGCTAATTCATTTTCCTCTCAATTTTAGATTACACCAAATCAAATATCTAAGGGAATTGCCACTTGGCTTTTATTTATTAATCTTTCCTATATACAAATATATATAGAGAGAGATAACAGATACTAGATAGATGACTACCTTTCTCATATTCTGCACAGACTCACTATTTCCATCGTCTTTCCTCTGCAAAAAGCCCTATTGTAACCTCTGTGGATAAATTAATTAAGATGCTGGGAAAAAATAACCTACTGTCTTTATAGGAATTTATATAACTACAAAGAATATCTTCAACTTTATATAACAAATTATAACTCTAAGATCAATGATGTGAACCAGAGATTATTTTTCCACTAACACATTGAGGTAATTATTGTGGTTTTAGTATTATTATTACCTTTGTAAAATTCAAGTTAAATATGAGGACAAAAATCAAACAAGTTAATTCAACTCATTAGGTTCTTCCACTTTTGACTTTCACTTAGCTATTACTAGTTTGGGTATAGTGCTCCAGCATTTTAGACATTTATTAAGGAGTTTATTCTAAAAAGTAAATCACTGGTAGTTTGTTAAACCAATTAAATGAAAACCAATCGAGTTATAAGTTTTCTCTGGAATGTATAATGCAATTTTATGTGAAGGTGTAGAATTTAAAGCAAAATATGTTTAGTTCTTTCCTCCTAACATTGTTCAGTAACTGATATTATATTACTTGATTGATAAGTCATTGGAATTAAAAAATATTGTTTTAGACAACAGCTATTAACTGACATATTAGAAGTGAATAGCATGGTTTAAACAGATCATGCATTTATATAAAAATTAGTACAAGAAAATACTATTTAGTACAATTCAAAATATGACAACTAGCATGTCCTTTAGTTGACTGTAAATCCAGGATACCCTGACTTTTAGATCATTATGTTTTTCAAATACACTAAAATCATGCATCATAATTGAGTTTTGATTTAATCACATAAAATGGGATTCCTACATCTAAAGTTTAAGCACTTAAGCATTTTATTATATCACTCTGTTAAATTTTAATTAAAAATTCAATTGTAAACTTTTTAATTAAAAACATTAATATCATTGTACAGTCTTTTCCTCATTACTTCACGTATACCTCAATCCTAGAACCTTGTGATTCCTATTCAATGAGATGTTGCAGATAAAAATGGGAGACCTCAAACAATCCAAAGTAGCCTTATTCTAGTTCAGTCCCTATCAGTAAAGAAGTCTTCAAAGTAGTTATTTTATTTAACGGTTTGTAAGGCTTGCTTTCCTTTCACCTTTCTCCCTTCCTTCCTTCCTTCCTTCCTTCCTTCCTTCCTTCCTTCCTTCCTTCCTTCCTTCTTTCCTTCCTTCCTTCCCTTCCCTTCCCTTCCTTCCTTCCTTCTTCTTTCCTTCCCTCCTTCCTTCCTTCTTTCTTCTTTCCTTCCCTCCTTCCTTTCTTCTTTTTCTTTCTCTTTCCTTCTTTCCTTCCTCTTTTTAAAATTTGCTATTTTAACATCTCTACATGCTATTTTAACATCTTACAGTTAATGACTAATCGCAATTGAATACATATTTTTATTTCTTAGTGAACACAAAATAATGATACATCTTACTCTAATGACATCTTAGAGTCAATAACACAAAAAGTAAGTACTAAAAATATATTGAACTTAGAGAGAACACATTGGTTGGATTCTGTACACTATTTTTTTAAGCAACAGCTAACAATCGATGTTTTTTATCCTTTCTGAGTTACCTACAATCAATCCTAGCCACTCACTAAAATTTTAAAGCTATTTATTTTCTCCTTCATTTTCCTCTCAGCCAATTCTCCAAATTATAAGTTTAAGAGAAAAAACAGTGACCCTGAAGGGCAGAAGATGTAGATCATATCTGCCAGATCATGAGAACACAGTACTCAGCATTTTGCAGAACACTAACTATGAGATACTCAAGTGCATTATTATAATGCCACATCCAAAATCATCTAGCATATTGTCAGGTGGTATTTCATTATGTGAATAGATTTTCTCCACATATCTTAAACTTTAAAAATACTTACCCAGTCAAAAAACTTTACTTATTTATAATGTAATATTCTGCTAGACTGTCTAAAAACAGCAAAGTTTATGCTGGAGACCATTGTGTTATTTTACTTGAGCTTCTGCACATACATACAACAAAGCATCAATGCCATGGCCTTAGGCACTGCCTTGTCTTTCTTGCCATTGCTATCGTTAGGGAAAAAAGTGAAAAAGTTAGGTAAGTGACGTGGCCCTTTATCTATTGAGTATTCAGAACTCAGTAAGATAAAAAGATCTATTTGGGTAAGTCTTTCCAGAAAACATAACATCAGCAGCAATGACATGAATGTGAGCTATTAGCTCCCTCTATATTCATATATAGGAGGAGGAAAGGAGTTGAAATGGGCAAGCCAATTTATGCTTTTTCTTATTCTTTTTGTCTTTTTATTCAAGGGAGATGGCAGTCCTTTCCATTTAGCACCACTCGGGTTCCCTTAGGTGAGTCACTGTCACCTTGGTGAGTCTCGACTGCCTTGTAATGTCTGGTCTTACTAGCCTGTGTCAGACACTCTATCTCAAAGGCCATGTGTATGTTTGCATATGCTTATACCTCAACATAAACACATATATTGCCAAATTTGGATTTAATAGGCACACATTAAACAAAGCATAGCTAGTACATCTATTTACTTGCCATTCCATGGCAAGCAAAAGCCATGGAATTGTGCATAGAGGCTCTGGGTTATGTTTATTCTAGAATAAGCAATATTTAAAAACTCATTTTAATCTTTCAGTTCCTTAGAAGGTCAAGATCATTATACATTTTTCTTGGACTGTTTAATTCATTGTTCCCACTTACATGGCTGCCTTCATTACCATGCATATATAAAATGACAGGAAAAGTTTATGGAGGGCAGCTAACTTCAAAATATGCATTAGTATAGAGAATAAGTAATATTCATTATCATCATAAATTTGGGGGGTTCTTTTTAGTAGGCCTTATGAGAAACGGCTTTCTTATAGTCCTAAAATATAGTTTGAAAGGAGCACTAATGTTGGCAAGGAATAAAGAAAGAAAAGAGAGAAATAAAGAAATTGCTGTTAAACCATTTTCTTCATCTACATTTATTATATTTGATACTCAAATTTTGGGGAAAAGAAATTCCAGTTCTCAGGGTATGCATATTAGCAACAAGGAATACAGAACCAATATTATTTCATTCGAGTTTAAAGTTAGCCTGTTTTATGTCTTTGTTCACATAAGAGCTGTGGGAAGAAAAAAAAAAGAAAAAAGAATAAAGCAAAGGCCAGTTCTTAAGCCAATCAAACGTTTTACTCCCACCTTGTGGCAGTGTGGCTACATGGCTAGTTTTCCAAAATGAGACCTCATAATTTTGATTGAAGTGACTTATTTTTATATTGTCTTATCCACTGATGAAAATAAGATTGATGAAGAAGGGGCTTTGTGATTCACCTAATACAGGTTTGTGATGCAGGGCTTTTGCAGGAAGCCAGTCAGCAAAGAGCAATATGAACAGTGCTAATCAATTAGGGAGACAGTAAAATCTAAGCAATATAAACGGTGCTACAGAATAAATAGGCTTATTTTCTTGAGTTTGAATATTGAATTTAAAGAAATTTGTAGGCTCCAGCTATACTAACAAACCCTGTATGTCAAAATTCAAAATTATTTTAAATATCAAAATTATTTCACAAACCTAACTTAGAGTGTTAATAAAAGCAAGCTTTCTCGTTCAGTTTCTTTTAACATTGAAGATATACAAAGACACTTATAAGATACCTCTAAAAACATACTACATAAATCAGATTTTCTGTAAAAGTATAAGGAAAACTGAACTTGAATGTTTATTTATGTGATTTTATTTCTCTCTTTCCTTTTCCTTTTTCATTTCTAAGGATTGAAAAATAGAAAAGGAATCATTGGCTGGTAAGTTAGCAAAATAGATCTGAGAGCATTTTTTTTTTAAATATCTTGCTACTCTTGCTTATTCCGTGGTTTAATACTCCAAACTATCGGCCAAAACTCCACCTGTCTTCTCTCTCAGATTGATTTTACTATCTCCCTAATTGAGTTTAAAATTCATCTTTATTAGAAAGAAAACTCAGCGTCTCTCAGCTAGAATAAAATAAAGGCATCTTAGTTTCAGGACGAAACCAGCCTGGAAGCAGGGACTCTTTCTCCTGTACTACAGCCAAGGGGCTTCTTAAAGGCATCTGTGAATCCTGCCCCTTTGTCTTCACTACTGCCTGGCAATTTCCGGAGACAATCAGCTTTCTATTTTCCAAGGGCTCTCTCTACCAAAAGCTGTGTTAGTCCAAGTGCAATTTAACTTATGACTAGTAGCCTCTGTCTGAGGTTTGGGTTGACTTTACATTAAAACTTATCAGAATGAGTTCAGGAGAATAAAATTAAATGTGTTTTCTTGATCCACAAATGTAGGAAAGTATGAATGAGGAATTAGCCTAATTTATGAAACAATTTCTAATTCATCTGAAATTGGGTATTCCCTTTTTTAAAAAGTCCTAAATAAATATATCTGTTCATATTTTTTGTTTGCAAAATGTAAAATGATTCAGATATAATTTTTTTATGCTTCTCAATTTTGAGGATTGCAGCAACTAAAAGCACTGTGATTTCGGTACATTTCGGTCCTCAGAACATTCTTTTCATTCAGATCCCCATATTTTTTTTATCGGTTACTAAAAAATAAATAATAGAGAGAGATAAGGGATTTTTCCCAGTACTTAATTATGTTATCCACTATCTAATTAATGATATTAAATTGCAAGCAAAAACAATGCATTCTTAACAACATGATTATCTTAACATTCTTTTTTTTTTTTTTTTTTTTTAACAGAGTTTCACTCTTGTTGCCCAGGCTGGAGGGCAATGCTGCAATCTTGGCTCACTGCAACTTCCACTTCCTGAGTTCAAGCAAGTCTCCTGCCTCAGCCTCCCAAGTAGCTGAGATTACAGGCGCGCCCTTCCACGCCCGACTAATTTTGTATTTTTAGTAGAGACGGGGTTTCTCCATGTTGGTCAGGCTGGTCTCAAACTCCCGACCTCAGGTGATCGGCCCACCTCGGCGTCCCAAAGTGCTGGGATTACAGGCATTAGCCACAGCGCCTGGCCCATTCTTTCCTTTAAATACAACATTAGGCATTTAAAAATGATTGACCGGAGGGGTGCGATGGCTCACGCCTGTAATCCCAGCACTTTGGGAGGCCGAGGCAGGTGGATCACTTGAGGTCTGGAGTTTGAGACCAGCCTGGCCAATATAGTGGAATCCTGTCTCTACTAAAAATACAAAAATTAGCCGGGCGTGGTGGCGGGAGCCTGTAATCCCAGCTACTTGGGAGGCTGAGGCAGGAGAATCACTTGAACCTGGGAGGCAGAGGTTGCAGTGAGCTGAGATCGCGCCACTGCATAGCAGCCTGGGCAACAAGAGGGAAACTCCATTTTCCCACCCTCCACCCCCACAAAAAAAAGCTTGACTGCAAACTTCTTCTAAGTTTATGAATGATGATATCAATTTCAAAATTCCAGTCACATAGCCATTCAACGTTTCAAGTTGAGGATGTATGGGGATTAAACAGGTATACAAAAGCCTCCAATATCCACTTTATTTCACATGTAATATTATCACCTACGTAACTCATTTCCCAATTCTAGAAAACAGAGAAGAGTTGTTCTATTAACCATCTTTAGAGAGAAAGAGGAAAAAGCATATACTTCCTATTTTTTTTTTCGTAACACTTGTTTCTTTTGTACTTGGGGAAGATTTTTTTCTCACAAAACTGTTACTTGGAGTTAGGTACAAGCTGGCTCTGTATATCTCGTCACACTCTCCACCTGCATCCTTATCTGAATGTCTTATCTGGGAGAATTTGAGTATTGTTTATTGATGTTGCACTCCTGCCTGACTGCATGTTAAACCAGTCTGCCATCCCTTTAAGAGGTAAGCTACAGTAATAAATGAAGTCAGAATTCTTTATTCCTCATCTGGCACACATCGTTTGTTTTCTTAGAGGAGGTAATGCAAGACTGCATTCCAACCTTGAATTTCTTTTCTTTTCCAAGACCTAAGAATGTTTCTTCCATTGTGACAGTTTTTTTTTATTTTGTTTTTAACAATCACGTACTTTATTGTTCTGTCTATTTAGAATTTAATCCTAGGTGTTTTCACGGAAGACAGGATTTTTTTTCCTTTCTTTTTTGTTTTGGACAAATCTTGTCCCAACAACGTTAAGAAATGCTAAAGTTGCTAGTATATCTGAATTGTCTTTTATCTTCTAAATACCTAAATAACATGGTATCTCTGGATCAGACAACATACTCCAAAATGGCATGAATATATTCCTCACTTCTGATCAAAAGCAGGGAGCTCAGACTTTAAAAAAATAATGGACAGTTAGAATTTTTTTTACTTTTTTAACTCAAAGTATATAGACAGTAGTATCTGTATAACTCATTAATTACTTATGATTTTCTATTCTTAAATTTATTACCTTAAATTTTTTTTGTGATTACACATGTAGAATATACCATTTTAGAGAAATTAGAGAATGATCATAAGGAGTGAATACCAACAATAAAAAACACAATCTAGAGAAAATCACTCTTGACGTTTTGTAGTGAAACTATCCAAACCTTAATTATATTCTACAGTAAAAATGTTCTATAAAATACTTAACTTGGTCTCTAGTGTTGTACATTTAGGTTGTTTGAATTTTATTCAATGAGAAATTGAGCATATAATGAAAATACATCTCCCTACAAATCTCTGATTATTCCCTAGGGTAGGTTTCTAGAAATGTCATTGTTGAATTAGAAGTACACACATTTACTTTTAAGGAAAGCCATTGGATAAAACTATTATTTACATCACTACCAGCAGTAACTGGAAGGGACTATTTCCCTGCAACTTTGCCAACACTGAATAATATGTGTTTATTCCTACTCTTACAAGTTTGTTAGGGTAAGATAGCATATTGTTGTAATTATTAAAGATAATATAAATATACATTATTAAAGTGGGTAGTCTGTCAATGATGAAAGGAGGGAATATCAGGAAAAAATACTTTCAAATGACAATGTAAACTTAAAATTAATTATTCCACACACTCTTAATTGAAAATCTAGTTATCATATTCTGTTCATCATCTCTCTTATTTGGAATTTGTGATTTCTTACTCAGCCATTTTAATATTTACCAAACACTCACAAAAATACATTTGCTCTCTTCCACTGTTTATACTTCAGTGGCAAAAGAAAAATAATAAATAGTCTTAAAATTAGTGTACTTGAACATTACAAACAATTTAAAATTTATAATAAATAGTTTCAGAATATAAAGTTAAAGCCAATAAGGAAAGTCTAAGTCCCTTTGTAAGCTATCAAACTATATGAACCAATGTATCATTTTATAGTCTGAGAATAGACTACTGAATGAATATAGGTTAGCAGCAGGGAGGAAAATAACTACAGAAGTAATAAAGCTCAGATGCACACATATGCATATTTCATATCTACACTACAGAAAAATAACAGGTTTGCTTAGTGGATAGTGACTTTCATTGATAAGGATGACCCCTAAACCCATGTAGTACTGGGTGAATTGTGCAAATGAATGTCCACATACCACAAATCTAAATGTTTAAAAGTTAAAATTTCAGCTATTTTTACAGCTGGTACAAGTTTTTATTCAGGGTCCCTCAGCTTGCACTTTGAAAATTTCCCTCAGGACCAAAGCTAAAAGAAAAGAGGCCCTAGGGAGTACTGGTTACTGAGAGCACCCATGTCTCTGGTCAGGACAAGGCAGGAACTAGTTCAGTGATCAGGATTCCATGGAGGAATCCCACCTGTACAAGCTTCCTGGGAGCCAGGGCTAGCAATTTCTTTTTTCTATGCTTCAGTTTTTCAAATCCGGATGTCTGGGAAGTTCCGAATCCCTCCCAAGAGGACATTATTAGAAAAGATGGGAAGGTAGGAACGCAGTCTTCTGGGGAAATTCGTCAGTATGCACACTCTGGGTGACTTGGGCAGCCAAAGAGAATCAAGATCAGCCACTTTTCTCCAGTGTCTCAGGGCAGAAGTGTGCTTTTTGCTCTTCCTGGACACACGGCCCTGCTTCCATCCTCCTATACTGGCTGGGAGCACAGTTCAGCTCCATCTTTTCCTGCCTTCATTCCTCTCCATTTATCAGTTGCCAAATTTCCTAAAACAAACAAACAAACAAAAACCTTCTTATGGTATCGCAAAGAGAAAAGTTATTTTATTCAAACAGAAAAGTGATTTTATTTTGGTATTTGTGATGTTTGTGCCCTTAAAATGGGGTCCCAGGGCAGGAATGCCTGTAGTCCAGGTTTAAAGATGATCCTGGTCTTGAGTGTGGCTACCCGTTAGTACACCAGAGTGAGTGATGAAGTACCAGTAAAGTTGGCTCAGACTCATTAGGCACTTGATTATTTTAATTAGGACTTTGTTGATTAAAGAATATCGCTTTGCTTCTCTTTATGTGAGTTTTTTTTTATTTTGTAAAATGAGTAGACTGAATATAATCTCTGAAGACCTCTTTTGTGACAACAAACATCTGGCTGCATAAATGTCTTCTTTTGAGAAGTGTCTGTTCATGTCCTTCGCCCACTTTTTGATGGGGTTTCTGTTTTTTTCTTGTAAATTTGTTTGAGTTCATTGTAGATTCTGGATATTAGCCCTTTGTCAGATGAGTAGCTTGTGAAAATTTTCTCCCATTTTGTAGGTTGCCTGTTCACTCTGATGGTAGTTTCTTTTGCTGTGCAGAAGCTCTTTAGTTTAATTAGATCCCATTTGTCAATTTTGGCTTTTGTTGCCATTGCTTTTGGTGTTTTAGACATGAAGTCCTTGCTGATGCCTATGTCCTGAATGGTAATGCCTAGGTTGTCTTCTAGGGTTTTTATGGTTTTAGGTCTAACGTCTAAGTCTTTAATCCACCTTGAATTAATTTTTGTATAAGGTGTAAGGAAGGGATCCAGTTTCAGTTTTCTACATATGGCTAGCCAGTTTTCCCAGCACCATTTATTAAATAGGGAATCCTTTCCCCATTGCTTGTTTTTCTCAGGTTTGTCAAAGATCAGATAGTTGTAGATATGCGGCGTTATTTCTGAGGGCTCTGTTCTGTTCCATTGATCTATATCTCTGTTTTGGTACCAGTACCATACTGTTTTGGTTACTGTGGCCTTGTAGTATAGTTTGAAGTCAGGTAGCGTGATGCCTCCAGCTTTGTTCTTTTGGCTTAGGATTGACTTGGCAATGCGGGTTCTTTTTTGGTTCCATATGAACTTTAAAATAGTTTTTTCCAATTCTGTGAAGAAAGTCATTGGTAGCTTGATGGGGATGGCATTGAATCTATAAATTACCTTGGGCAGTATGGCCATTTTCACGATATTGATTCTTCCTACCCATGAGCATGGAATGTTCTTCCATTTGTTTGTATCCTCTTTTATTTCATTGAGCAGTGGTTTGTAGTTCTCCTTGAAGAGGTCCTTTACATCCCTTGTAAGTTGGATTCCTAGGTATTTTATTCTCTTTGAAGAAATTGTGAATGGGCGTTCACTCATGATTTGGCTCTCTGTTTGTCTGTTGTTGGTGTATAAGAATGCTTGTGATTTTTGCACATTGATTTTGTATCCTGAGACTTTGCTGAAGTTGCTTATCAGCTTAAGGGGATTTGGGGCTGACATTTATGCAGCCAAAAAACACATGAAAAAATGCTCACCATCACTGGCCATCAGAGAAATGCAAATCAAAACCACAATGAGATACCATCTCACACCAGTTAGAATGGCAATCATTAAAAAGTCAGGAAACAACAGGTGCTGGAGAGGATGTGGAGAAATAGGAACACTTTTACACTGTTGGTGGGACTGTAAACTAGTTCAACCCTTGTGGAGGTCAGTGTGGCGATTCCTCAGGGATCTAGAACTAGAAATACCATTTGACCCAGCCATCCCATTACTGGGTATATACCCAAAGGATCATAAATCATGCTGCTATAAAGACACATGCACACGTATGTTTATTGTGGCACTATTCACAATAGCAAAGACTTGGAACCAACCCAAATGTCCAACAATGATAGACTGGATTAAGAAAATGTGGCACATATACACCATGGAATACTATGCAGCCATAAAAAATGATGAGTTCATGTCCTTTGTAGGGACATGGATGAAATTGGAAATCATCATTCTCAGTAAACTATCCCAAGAACGAAAAACCAAACACCGCATATTCTCACTCATAGGTGAGAATTGAACAATGAGAACACATGGACACAGGAAGGGGAACGTCACACTCTGGGGACTGTTGTGGGGTGGGAGGAGGGAGGAGGGATAGCTTTAGGAGATATACCTAATGCTAAATGACGAGTTAATGGGTGCAGCACACCAGCATGGCACATGTATACATATGTAACTAATCTGCACATTGTGCACATGTACCCTAAAACTTAAAGTATAATAATAATAAAATAAAATAAACAAAAAAAAGAAAATTCTACAACTTTAAAGTAGAAAAAAATATAGATTAGAAACAAAAATGGGAGTAAAGTATGACTTTGTTTTTAATTCTTGAATGATTATTACTTAGGTATTATCATTTCATTAAAATCCTCATATTTCTGGGCCTAAAAAAAAAAATCTGAAGTTCTGTGATGTTAAATACTATAGATGAAACTTTATCTGGCTTAGTGCCTTCTGGAATCCATTGCCCAGAAGTGAATAAGGGCATTTGAAACTAATAAGAGAATGAGAATGAGGTCCTCTTATCATGTGACTTTGAAATGGCTACCTACATGCACCCCACTGGGAAGTTCACTCCATGCTCTTATAAATTACTAAGAAGAAAGGGTAGCATAGAAACATACATGGGCACACACACACACACACACACACACACAGCGCCAGATATATCCCACCAGAAATATCCCACTTGAAGTAGTGTTCTAAATTTTAAGAGCAAAAATGCTATGTTAAAAATTCTTCAGATTTGTCATCATCTTAGTTTCCGCAATTTCCATTTAGCATATTTTAAAATGATGCAATTTTTTTTTTTTTTTTTTTTGAGATAGAGTCTCACTCTGTCACCCAGGCTGGAGTGCAGTGGCTGGATCTGGGCTCAGTGCAAGCTCTGCCTCACGGGTTCATGCCATTCTGCCTCGGCCTCTCCGAGTAGCTGGGACTACAGGCACCCGCCACCATGCCCGGCTAATTTTTTGAATGATACCGAATTTTAACGTCTCACTTCATTTTTTGTATATTAGAATAATTATATTCAGAAAATAATTGAAATGGTCATAGAATTTTACAGCATAAATAGTATAGTTTTCCTGAACTCCTTCAATATTATTCAAAAATGTTTTTCTTGTTTAATGTTATTTTTGTTTATCTGTCTACTTAAGAAGTGACTACTGTGGACTAGGCATATTATCACTTTGAAAATATAAGAAAACAAAACATATTTCTTGTTACAAATTGTTATGATATAGCTGGGACCCACAAGAATAAATTCAAAGTTGTTATGGAGAATGACAAGGTTACAATGAAGGTATGCACTGGTTTGGACATCCTACTGATTCTCTTTTTTCAAATACCACTTTTTGAAGTTTTTTTTTTTCTTTTTTTAACACAGCTTTAGTCAGGGAGCTCTTTTCAAAAGGGAAAACAGCAGAATCTATCCATTTTAATATATGCATATGCATATTTTTATGCAATACTATAAAGTGGCAAATGACCTGAGTTTTCTTGTGTACTTCCTCAATAGAATGCCACCACTATTTTTTGAGCCCCTAGCAATGCAAAGCATTTTATAAGGAAAAATTCAGAAATTTTTTTAAAGGTTCTGCAGCTCATAATTTGACTACACAAGCCAAGTGGAGTAAAGATTACAGTAAAATATATAGAGAGATAATCTGATCAAGGTAGAAATCCTGTCTCTGATTACTCTAGTGTAAATACATGCCACTTTGACCCACTGAGGACCAGAACTGTCTGCATTATCTCAGACTGAAACAGAACACTGTGGGAGATCTGAAAAGGCAATTGAAACCACAGTGGGGAAACTTGTTATTGGATTTTTTAAAAATCTCATGTCTTGTGACATACTAGCATTTGAGAAGGTCAGCCTCGTTGAGGAGTGGATACTTTAATAACAAGTATCTGTTCTTAACAAACTTCACTTGATACTGTAATTGACTTCACCTCTGTGAGATTTTTATTACTGTGGATTTTCATCCTAAATTGCCACTGAATAATGCCTAGTGAGTATCACAGACCTCAGATTACAAAGTGGGCTCTGTGGTTGACAGCCTCTTTTATGGAACCATTGCCAGTATATAAATAGGATGAAAACATTTTTGTAAGATGCTTATATTTGACCCTTGCAATAGTTATCTGTTAATATCACTGTGCTACTGGCAAGGAATTACTTTTCCCTCCCCAGAATCTTCATGGTTGATCGTGAACTCCAACAGAACTGAACTAAAATTTCAACTTTGTGTAAAATTTCTTGTAAAAACTGCCATCTACTTGTAATATAAAACCGTTTTGATCAGTTATCTTTACCATATTGTTTAAAAGATTCACATAAATTAGAAAGTAAACCCTCCCTTTAAGATGAGATTAGAAACACTATCAGAAATTATGGAGTCAAGTTAAAATGTCAAGCTTTCTTTTATATCAACTTTCTCTTATGCAGAGTCCTCACACAACTCAGGACAGTGGGTGAATGATTGCTTAAGAGGGCACCAGAGAAACTCAACCAAACCAGAGAGCAAAATGTCAGGAAGGATCCTTTTCATAGACTATTAATTAGCAGGTGTCTAATAAATCTAGTTAAATGCATTTTCTCTGGTAAGGCTAGTAGGAGGAATCGCAGCACAATCGATGCTAAGGTACTTTTGACACCAAACCAAGTTAGGACAGGCTGCAGTTTGGTGCAATCTGGTGCAAGACTTTTGAAAATAAAAAGGCTAAAAGCTCGCTTTGATTGGAAATGCAATATTTTTTAAAAAACCAAACAGGGGAAATCAGAAAGAAAACAAAACTGAGCAGGGCAGTGAAGAAAACAGAATCAAATTAGTTTTCCCCTTAATGACTCCACATAAATGAAGATAATTAATCCTTTATTAATATTTAAAGTGCTTTTTAATAGAGATTTATGTTTATATAGTAAAAGGTGAATATTGTCATTCCTCTTCACTGTAAAATTTCTTCCCTATGAAAACCCAAATCTATATCAATGACAATATTTCACACTACCGAAATGGTATACCCAAATGCTACACCAGAAGGAAAAAAGGACATTGCCATTTATTAGGTGCCTACTATGTGCTAGAGACATCAATATCAATTAATTAATTATCCATAGCTGTTCTATGTTTTAGTCATTATTTTGCTTTTGCAGATGATGAAAAAAGAAAGAGTCAAATTATATATGTTCTTCAGATTCAAACAACGTGTCAGAGACTAAGCTAACATTTGACTGCGTTTAGTTTGACACCAAAGTCCATGTATATATTTACTTTTTTGTTTCTTATCTTACTTACTACATCTCACTCTTCTGACATTGTAGGTAACAAGGGCTGCTGACTGCACAAAGCAAGCTATTTAATTAATATTGTAGGTAGACTAATTGATTTTGGTCAGTGAATGTTTAATGATAATTTCACTTCCTCCCTTGATGACTCTAGTTGTAGTTAACGAGTCAAGAATGTGCTGATTATTCTGAAACACTAAAGAATATTCATAAAAAGTCAATTGGTAAGGGAGTGCTACTTCTATGAAATATACATATTTCATGTAATTGCATTATCATTATGATCACAATCCTTCTTCAATGTCACCCCAATATAGTATTCTCTGTCACAAAGTAAAAGCACTACAATTATGCTATTTCTTGCCAATACATGTAGCAAAATATATGTTGATAAAGGAAATGAATTTAAGGTTTCCCACTAACGTTTCTAACTTAGTGGGAAAATTGTAAAAGTCTTGTTAATTTTATATAAATAATACATTTTTAATATGCCATAAAACAATAACTTGTATAAGTCATTGAATGTATACCTTATGAATTACTGTAAATTGTTATGATATTAATTCTTTTAGATAGGCTGTAATTTCCTCTGAAAAAATGCTCCCGAACTCTCTTACCGACTTCCCCTACAAACCTATATTCTCCTACACTGTCTTACACCCTTTCCTTTCTCTTGTCCTTACCTTCTCCCTTTTCTTTCCTTGGTGTCTGATTTTTCCTCTTGTTTCTAGGACTGATCCTCCTCAGATTCCTGTTTCTTTTGATTTCTAAAATATTTATAGTCTCCAAATGCCCACTGTTCCAGCTAATTTGTTGTACTAATACTTTCATCTACTTTGTCTTATTGTTTCTATTTTGTTCATTCAAAATGTATTAAATCATACATCTTGCTTATTTTTATGTATTTGTTGTTACTCAAATTTTAAACAAATATCAGTTTTCCTTATGTTTAGACTTGTCCTTTTTGATAATGAAGACATTTCAAACAAACATTTTCAGCTGAGTATAGGATTCTTTTTCATCTTATAAATTTGGTACGAATTTTTCCTTTGTTTTATTGCTTTCTAGAGATATGTTGATTTCTCATTTGATTTTTGCTTTAACCCAGGTATCATATAAGAGGTTGCTTTCAATTTCCAATTAGTAAAGATTTCTGTATCTATCTTTACTGTGCATTTATAATTGTATTTGATTGTATTCAGAGAATGGAGCTATAAAACCTCTACTTTAAAATGACTTAAGTCCTCTTTATTGTCATTTTTGTAAATGTTTCTATAAAAGTGAAACAAGATATTTTTAACCAGAAATAATGTGTAGCTATTAAGTAGAGACTTAACTGATCTATTCAGTTGGACATTAGAGATAAAGCATAATCTTACCTTATGACAATATTTTCATCAAATTGTTCTTGTGTTTCTAATAATCTTGTAACTTGTGCCTCTATATAAGAGATCAGAAACTCTTTGCTGCTTACCTAAAATCTAGCATCTCCTTAATTCCCCCCCTTTTTCAAGGACATTTCTAGATTTTGTCAGATATCTGCCAGATATCTTTTTAAATTAAGAAAGTTGTGATTAGTCCTGGATCTTAGGTGGGCTCTTCACCCATTTCTGGGAGATAAATTGCAAGTAAATATCTGGTGAGAGAGAGAGAGAGAGGCATAAGTTACCATATCCCTTTCATTCTTGCCTTTTTGTTGTGTGAGGCAGTGAGGTTTGGAGTTACTGCAGCTATGAGGAAAATAAGAATGACAGAGACAACCACCAGAGTCCTGACATCACCAAGTCACTGAAAAAATGCCAGTTATGCCTTCCTCCAAATTTTTTGTTGTCAAACCAAATAAACCCATATTTAATCTCTAATGCACTTTCACATCATACTCATTATACTGTAAACACCACAAGGACAAAGGTTTTGTTTCTTTGATCATTTTCATAGATGTATCTCATGTGCCTAGATCATTGTCTAGCACAAAACAGTGCTCAATAAGTAACTATTATGTGCACTGCTGAGGAAAAGATTTCTCTCTTCTTTTTATCACATTTATCTTTTAATTCCATCTCATCTAATGAAAATATCATAGCTGCTGCTTTTGGGGGAATTCGTTTATATTTGACTGGTACTTCTTTGTCCGCATGCTCATTTTCAACCTTTCTTTACCACTTTGGTTTAAGTCTGTTACTTAGAGCTGAGTTGTTTTTAAACTCAACCCAACAGGTTCCATTTTTAAACTGGAGATTTCAGCTCACTCTAATTTAGCTTAAGATAATTTCCTTATTTCATCTTAATGTGTGTTTATGTTTTTAGCCATTTTAAATTTTTCTTTATTTTTTACTGTTTTCGTCAACAGAGGCTTGTTAATCAAGATAACTATTGCAGTTTGTTTTTTCTAATAATGATTATCTTCTCTTACCCAATACTCACAATAGAATATATATTTCTCTACTATTACATAGAAAGAAGATATTATTTTCCCCACTTAGATGTTCTAAACTGTTTGCTCTTTTTGCTTTTCCCCAAATAAGATAAGCCTTTTAGAATACATTCTCATTCCTGCTTTTCTCCAAGCACTTTGTAAATGAAATATTCAAAGCATGTTACTGCTCCCTAGAATCTCAAGACAGTTTAGTATAATTAATTATTTATTGTTATCAGAATTTCCCTTGAAGTATTTTTTTTAAGAATCCTGCTTTAACTCTATAGTCTTATAAATTTAGATACAACTATGTTGGTCAGCAGTGTTTTCTATCTTCTTATTCTATACCTTGAGGTCTCTAGTATAACTTATGTATAGTTTGGTTGGAATTATTAATCAAGAATTTTTCTAGATGAAGTAGCTGGGATACTCTTTGGACCCTATCTAGTCTGTCAATATGTGTTGTACTGACAAATGAATTACATCTCTGCTGTGTATTTTTTTATCTTAATAGTCTGTAATTGTTCTACTTTTTTCCAGCTTCCAGATATGCAGATAAGAAGTCTGTTACTTTCTGATAATTTTTCCCCTGTAGGAAACCCAGTCTGGTAATAAATATAGACACATACATACATACATACACATACGGACATACTATCACAGAAACACACTCCACACTTGTACCAGAAATATACCATAAAATGCTGAGACGTACTTATTTATTTTAATGAGTCTTTTTGATCTATAAATTCAGTTTTTAACAGTTTTTTTAAAGAAAATTTTTATTTTATTATGTATGATTTCCTCGTCTATCTGTTCCTTGTTCTTTTTCACATAGTAAGTCTCCTGAATCTATATCCAAGCCTTATATCTTCTAAAGTGATTTAAATCTAATTGTATTTTTGTTTTGTGATTTGAGCTACTTCTTACAGATTGTTTAAGGATAAACTTTGGTTTCAGCAGTATATTTCCCTTTCTGAAATTTAGTTATTATATATTTCCATTTGAAAATCATGGATTTTAGACACAAGATAAAATTTTTTGTGTTGACTTGAAATCTACTTATGTGTTCTTTGCAAGCAGTAATTAGAATGTACAATGCAATGAATTTGTAAAGTGCCCAATCTGCAACTTGTTTTTATTTCTACCTTAAATTATAAGGACTTGTTAATTGTCCTGGTCAAAACCTTATTTTTGGCATTTTAGAGTGGCCTAAAACAAACAAACAAAAATAGTGAAATCCATTCCCTGAGGCAAAGTACCAAGAAAGTGGAAATTTAGTGGAAATTTAAAGGGAATATTACTGGCACTCTCACAACAACAAGAGAAAAATAGACCAAAATTATTCATAGTAATCAAAAGATATTGTTTCCAGAGTTGTCAAGGGAATTATTTAGGAGATATTTTCTATAATTTATTTTGAACAATTCTAAAATAGGATGTTAGCATCACTCTTCTGTTAGTAATCAGACATGACAGTAAAATAATATGAACAAAAATAAATGAAACAAGTAGAGTGACAATTGGCTCTGTTCCTAAAGATGTATATAAAAATAAGAGAATATTGAATGTACAGTATTCAAAAATTGAATTTGTTATATTGGAGTTGTGGGGACAGAGCAGGGTTAGTCTTTTGGTATCAGTGAATTCCATGAAGTTATGCATGTTACCAAGGCCATGTGTAGAAAGAGAAAAATAATTTTACAAAAAACATTATATTATTATCACTTGTATAAGACAAGTATTCATACTTAGATAAGATAAAAACACAGTTAAATCTTGTTACAATGAAGCAGAATCAAATGTCAACTGGACTAAGTAGGCAGAACTTTATTACTGTGGCAGTACCTCTTACATAATAATACAGCGAGACTGAAGCATGGAATAATTAAAGTAAGATAACATGTTTATCAAAGTTTCCCTAGAGAGAATCTAGGGGAGAAGATCTGAAGAGGCATTGGTGGGGGAAATAAATTTTATGTTGCATAGACAAAATAAGATCATAATGTCATGGGAGGCTTGGGGTGTTGCTTTGACAGCCTGAAACCTCTGTGGCCAGTGGCACCTTCTGCCTGAGTGTTGCTTGCGACCCCGGGCTTGTTCCGCCCACTCGGCCCAGCACGCCATGCTCAGCTCACACTACTGGCCCAGATCCCACACCTGCCGAGGGCGAGCCAAGTGCACAGTGACAAGGGGTGTGTGGGCGAGCGAGTGCACAGTCCAACCAGTGTGCACAGCCAGGCACACTGGCCGCTGTGGTGGGGCAGCCAGCTCCAGGCGTTTGCACAGGTGCTGGCTCCACATTAGGCTGAGGCTGGACAAGACTTAACTGCACACAGCTTCTGCTGCGGACACTTGTGTCTGGATGAGGGGAACGTGGTGGGACCTGGAATCTTGGACATGCCAGGAACTAGAGAGCCTTAAAAGGGGTGTCACAGCCCTGGCTTGGGAAGCCCCTAGGCTGGGCTTCCCAATGGGCCACAGCTCTTCCATCCTCCCTGCCCACAATGTGGCAGGCAGGGGTGTGTGCTTCAGCCCTGTTTGTGTTACACCTCTTTTAGTCACGCCATTCAGCTGGTTCCAAGTTCTTGTCCTGTGTCCAGGAAGAATGAGGTATGCCAACAACTGGAAGGTGAGCAAGGCAGAGAGGAGCTTCACTGAGAGGCAGAACAGTTCTGAGGAGACCTGCAGTGGGTAGCTCCTTTCAGCAGGCAGGTCATCCTGATGTGTGCTGGAGTCTGGCTGAGTGCACGGTTTTTAATGGGCTTCAGAGGGGAGGAAGTATGTGCTGATTGGTCCCTGGGTGGCCATAGGCGGGCCTAAGAAAAGCACCATAAGTTCTCACTCTGTTCTGCCGAATTGGCAGCCCAGCCTCCAGGATTCAGGCCCTCCCTGCTTGAAGGTGGAGCTTCACGGAGGATCTGTCCCTTTCTGCCCAGGAACCTATCTGCCTCCTGCCGCCAGCAACCAGCCATCCACGTGCCCATGGCACCCAGCCTGTTCATGCCAAGGGGCATCCGCATCCACAGGACCATGCTGAGCTGCCCTCACGTCCCCCTCCCATCGCTCCCCCAACCTGCCTTACCCAGACTCCCCTCCCTTGCTCATCGGTGCCCAAAGTCCTGAGGGGGCCGAGGCAGCAGGAGGCTGGTGTGTCAGTGCCACCCCAAGCACACGCACACTGGCTGGGTTGTGATAGTGCCAGGCTTGGCCACAACTTTACTCCACCCCAGAGTGGGCACCAGGAGCAGGGAGAAGCCAGGCAGCGGGAGCAGGCATCTCTGAACCTGCGGGGGCTCGGGAGCTTACTGGGCCCGAGAGCACAGGGATGCCGGGGCCTGCAGCCGTGGCTGGCTGGCTTCAGTTGCACCTGGAAGGGCGGGGCTCCTGCCCTGCCAGCTCAGAAGATAGCGGGGCACCTGCCTGTTCCCAGCAGGAGGAACTGCTGGCTACGCGGAGCACACACAGCTCCTGCGTGGAGCACGCAGCCTTGGCGGCGCCTCCCATGCTGCAGTGAGCGGCTTTGTATTGGTAGCTGCAGATAGGCCATCACTGCCATCAATAATTTGAATCGCATATACAAATTTTAGATCAGACCTGCATACATAATATCACTCAGGATAACCAATCTCTATTGTTTTTCCAACTCACTTTAGTCTAAATCTCATATTAGATGCATGTCAGTATCATGTCTCCAGCTCTATCCATCAGCATCACTGCCTGAAAGGATTCTAAAATATTTGGAAGGTTTTCTGTTGGTTCCCAGGGTGAAGTAGCTGGAAACGGACCAATGATCAGAGGCTGTAGTTTCCTTGCTCTGTCTTTCTTTGTTCCATTCTATTGTGCATGAGACTTGGATGCCTATGGGTGAGTTGTAGTGCCAACAATTTTTAAGCTTATATTTTGATAAGGAACTACTCTGGACAAAGTCTCATGCAAAGTTCCAGGGAGAATAAAAATGAAGAAGACCTGATTTTCCCCTCAAAGTCAAACTCCAAAGAGATAATAGACACATAGACTATTACTTTAGGTGCTAATATGATAAGAGAATCATTATCTTGTATGCCTCCAAGAAAAAAATAACTCTTGCCGCTTCAGAGATTGTAAAATGTGTATTTATAAAAATGGAACTATCATCACCCAAACTTTGAATCTTGTTTTGACAATTACTTTTCTGTGCTTCTTGCCTCAAATTTCTACCCTCTCCAATTTCGTCCAACACACTAATATCAGATTAATCTTTCTAAAGCATATCTCTGATTATGTTAATACTATCTACAAAACTCTTGTCTATCAGTATACAGAATTCTTATAGAGTTTTCACTATATTTTTGTATCTTTTTGGATGCTGGTGAAGTTTGGGTGAAATCACTGATGATAAGTCATAAATACTGTCATGCATTCTATATTCCAATCAAATGATATTTCTGAAATACATACATGCCAAGAGCATCCATGTCATCAATATTTTACAATATAGTTTCTACTTTCTTCCATGTGTACCTTTTTAGCTTTCTATACATCTCCATAAAGTCTTCCTGATACGCATTCTGCCTCTTCATCATTGTAAGTACCTCTCTTACAACACTTATTGTCTGCTCTGTTTTGTAGTAAATTAGTGCCTTATCTTATCCTTTGCTTGCCTTTAAGTTCTTTGAGGGCAGGATTTATGTCTGACTTACATTTTCTCCTTATTTCACAGACTTAATGTGAGAGATGCTTGATAAACACTGGATGTATATGTACTGTTGTTTAGTCTGTTGACATTATGTTATTATATTTGTTTGTTTGGCAACACAAAATGGGCCAAATTCAGGAACAAAATATTCCAATGGCTAGCAATGCCTTTAACATATTTTACACTCAAAAATATTTTAAATGAATTAATGAAGAAATGAATGAAAATGTAAACACTGATTGTTGATTTGTTACACACGTTTTCTTTTAGACCACCGATACAATGACAGGCCTAGATTTTCATTTTGCAAATGTGAAACTACGCCAAGTTCCCTATAGGTGAAGGCTGTACCGCCAGCCTTTGGTATAATCTTGGTATGAATTTAAGTATGATAAGATTTGGAGCAGTGCAGCCTGGTTAACAGTAGTAAGAAACCCCAACAAACAAGTTAAAAGTCAGAGATTTTGCAATCTCCTCATGAACTAACTTTGGTTCAGTTGAGTTTAGTCTACAAATCCACTTCCATTCAACAATAAAATAGACATAGTAAATGCTAATACCCTTAGAACTTACCTTAAAAATTATTTTAAATTCAAAGGGAAAATTTACAATACAATCACACTTTTAAGGTTTGGCTCAATATTAAACAGGAATTTTTGTCATACAGTCACGCTTGTCTAGTAATTAAGACATTTATTTTTACACAAAGTCATAAGCATCATTTTAAAAGATAGTAGATCCAAATTATACAAATTCAGAAAATTCATATTCTTTATTCAAATATGTGATTTTTTAAAAATGTATGCTCTTCCTTAAAAGCTCATGTATCTTAGACACTGAGTGACATTTATGCTATTTATAGATGACAGCACTACCACACAGCAGAATTGTAAAAATAATTTTCTATGAACTATTCTCTTTAGAAGATTGTATTTTCCAGTATTCTAGCTGCCATGAAATAATACATGTGCCAAACTTTTTTGAAATTACCAAAGAAAATGCATTATAATACCATGACCTCCATTGTTCTTATTCAGACATAGATCACTTGGCAATTTTAATGTCTAAACCAGCAAGGATAAAATTTTGTAATACTATTTTTTTGGAAATTGAGTAAGAGTTATTTTAAATAAAGTGTTGCATGAATCTTGTTGATATTACCTATTAAAAACTGACAATAGCTATTTTCTTTTGCCTGCTCAGATGCAGGCATGAGTGTTGCTTCTTGCTCAGAACTTCATATTTCTGATGAATGTGACTCATATTCTTTGTCATATATCAGCTCGATGGCATAATATAATGGTGATGATGATGATGACAGCTAGCATTAAACAAATATCATGTGTCATTGTGTTCTGCATTTTGGATGTAATATCTTATTTAACCTTCAAACCAAATCTTAAAATATGTAACATTATTTCTCCATTTACTTACAGAAAACGGAGACATAAAGAAACTAAGTAAGTTGCCATGGGTCTTATATCCACTAAATTGGAGAGTCAACTTTCCTATCCAGTTTTATCTGGACTCACAGCATAAACTCTGTGTTATGACAGATGAAATACTGTGAATGACTAATTCTCAGATTTCAGGATTTTTTGTCAAAAATTTAAATGATAATAGAAATTTATGTAATAGAAGCAGGTTTGTTCTGAAAACTAGGCAAGTATTTAAAAGAATGAGATTTCAGTGTTAATTAGCTTTACTTCTTTCATTCTCTTTTCTTTTCTCTTTCTCTTTCTTTCTGTCTTCCTCGTTTTCTCTCTCCACCCATTTCTTCCACAAAATGATAAGGATTCATTAATATTTGAGTTTATGGGAAAATGGCTGGTAGACCCCTAAATATGATTAAATGTTATATCAAATCACAATATAAAATAAATGTGCAATAAAAATACATGAAAGGCCAGGCATGGTGGCTCACACCTGTAATCCCAGCACTTTCGGAGGCCGAGGTGGGCAGATCATGAGGTCAGGAGATCGAGCCCATCTTGGCTAACACGGTGAAACCCCATCTCTACTAAAAATACAAAAAATTAGCTGGGTGTGGTGGCGGGTGCCTGTAGTCCCAGCTACTTGGGAGGCTGAGGCAGGAGAGTGGCATGAACCCCAGAGGCAGAGCTTGCAGTGAGCCAAGATTATGCCACTGCACTCCAGCCTGGGTGACAGAGCGAGACTCCGTCTCAAAAAAAAAAAAAAAAAAAAATGAAAAAGTCTTTTCTGGAAAGTTACTATTGTGCAAAAATAACATCAGCATTACTTATATAATTCTGTCACTTGAATGAATATTTCCAGTCATCTAGTTCAATATTCGCTGTTCGTTTTTACTCCAAAATCTCACAGAAAGATGTATTCCTGTCAAAGTCACTCTTCACAAGTTCAGCCATAATAGTCTTTTAACAACCAGAGTCTGTTTTGATTGCTTGGCATCCACTTGGACTCATCTTTATACATGTACTATTTTAGTTGTTAAATGTTTTTTAATATCACTGCTAGTCTTATGATTTCCCTTAGGGATTTTATTTATTTATTTATTTTTTATCATTACAGACATTCTAAATGTATCCCTTAGGGATTTAAAAATTAATATTGCATGGTAGATATGTTGCTTCTAGTTCATCAAAAAGCAGAGGCCAAAACGTATTTACATTTGTGTAAGTTTGAATAGGGGAAATGCCTGTGAAAGAAAATGAGACGGAGCCAGGATGAGTGGAACAACCTGTGTTGTTCCACCGTCTGACAGCTCTCCCAGCCATCCCAGTAAATAAATGTAAAATAACCTCCCTCTATAATATTAATGTTCTTCATTGTCAAGTCTACCACATATGAACACAATTAATGGGAAGAGATGAAACAATAACTCAATAAACCAAGTATTAAAATGATAATAATTTCATTCTAAATAATTAGAATTTCACTAATCCATTGTTAATATAAAATACATTGACTAATTGATTGCCTTTTACCAAATTCTGGCTCCCAAGGTTCAAATGGCAAGGAGATAGAATACAGAATTCTGGGAATATTTGAAAATTCTAAATGACTTTAAATTCCTTAATCTACCACACCTATCAACAACAGCAGCAACAAGCAAACAAATACTTTAGGCCTATCAGTTCTCCATTATCCCTTGTTTTGATAAAAGAATTTTTTTTTTCAAACTGAGATTAGAGGGTGAGTGAACCAGCAAAAGACAATTAAGTTAGAGCTACACTTGCTTTCTCAAGTACTCAGCAATCTGAATGCAGCATAATGCTGTTTTTATTCACCAGGCACAAATATAAATCAGCTTTAATGTCAATAAAGTCAGTAATGATAGATTTCATCACTGAAATATAACTAAGCAATAATGACCAGGAAAACAGTAAGTAGCTCATAGCCGCAGAAGTTATTTCTTTTTTCATCCTAGGTGAAGTCAAGGGTAACTGAGAAGCCTGGCCTTTCCCCCTCTATTATTAACTGCAAATCATTCTTGTCATGTTGGAAAGCAGATTGTTTTCTTCAAGTGTTATCCACCATTATGTTTGGATCACATAACCTGACCTTATTCCTGGCAACTTAAACTCCACTTCCAATTAGCAAGAATGCTTATGGTAGAGATTAAGCATATCTGCCTGTTAAGCCGTTCTTACTATAACAGTTTGAATTGATATAAAGAAATTTATATTATCTATTTCCCTGTGCTGATGTTACCTTGTGACCAAATTTCCCAATTTATTTTCATACTTTTCATACTGCCATTTTTTCATTTGCCAAAAGAAAACACAATGAAAAGGAAAATTTAAAGTTTTCAATTTATGCTCTTGGTGAGCTGAAAAATTAATAACATAATAGTATGAAAATAGCAAGTAGAGGTAGAGGGCTTGTTTATACAATTAGCAAAAACAAAACAAAACAAAACAAAACAAAAAACCCCAAACAAAAAAAGCTTTAATCACAGCAGCCACATTAGAAACTTAACAAAAACCATCACTTGAAGAAAGATGCTATAAATTATACAATTCGCTCAAATTGTGTCTTAAAACAACATACTATGATTTTATGCACAGAGTGTTTAGCCCTCAGGCAGCCTGGTCCTTAGCACTCCGGGGCCATGTTTCAGTATTTTTGTCTGACATCTGACTAATGTCTGAGCTGCTAATAATGCACTTAGTCCACCCATCTGTCCTCAGCCTATCCTTTCAAAAACTCTTATTAAAAGCAGCAACCAATATTATCATTGTCATTGTGATCTTATCTAATGGGATGATAAATCACTTCCATGCTCACAAGATTATAAATAATCTTTAATTCAATTTCATTTATAAAGATTAAATTTTTTTTTAAAATTTCAATTTCAAATAAAAATTAATGCACCAATTATTTTCTCTTTTAATGGTTTTTGAACCATCTGATTCTATCTTGATGTCATTTTGTGCTTTACTAGAACAGAAGTAAACTGGAAAGTAGATGCAATGTTTTTGAAAATGTTTATACTAAAATAGGTTGATTTTACATATACACCTTAATCTTTTATGTCTAAATGTAAAATATAATTTCTTCCTTTCTATTTTGACTCATTTTCTTAAATTATAATGGAATCATTATTATAAAATAAGAATAATTTGCCATACAACTGCAAATTGTTAGCTAGGTAAAGTTTAAACTCAGTTATTGGTATATAATTATAAAATTTGACATTTGACACAAATAAGTGTTCATTAAAAATAAAACTGTTGTCAGTTTTTTTTTGACACATACATTTGTATATAATACCTGTGAATTATTTAAAATATCTTCTTGATATCCTTGAGTATATCATCAAATGGTATCATGAGGGTCCAAATATAAAAGAATGTGCTAAATACTAAAAGTTCCCTTAATTATATCACTTTAAATATTACCTTACCAGATATTTTATTATATATATTCAAATCAGCTTCATAGTTTCTATTAAGGCAAGTGAATGAAATATCTAAATTGCAATATGTTTATAATGCTTACTCTTTTTTTTCTTTTCTTTTCTTTTTTTCTTTGAGATGGAGTCTCACTCTGTCACCCAGGCTGGAGTGCAGTGGCACCATCTCGACTCACTGCAACCTTGGCCTCCTGGGTTCAAGCAATTCTCCTGCCTCAGCCTCCCAAGTAGCTAAGATTACAGGCGCCCACCACCACGCCCAGCTAATTTTTGTATTTTTAGTAGAGACAGTGTTTTGCCATGCTGGCCAGGCTGGTCTCAAAGTCCTGACCTCAAGTGATCCGCCCCCCTCAGCCTCCGAAAGTGCTGGGATTACAGGCATGAGCCACTGCACCTGGTCTATAATGCTTAGAATTAACGTTTATTATTAAGCAACTCTGGTAAAGGTAAGAATTCTAACATTGTTCCAAATAAATATTGGTAGCTCTGTACTACAGAGACCATAATTATATTGTGTTTCAATAGTGAATGAATTGGTAAACTCATCATCTTTATAGATTTTATAACTTTAATATTTCTAATTGCCACTTTAAAAATTTTGATACACAGATTATCTTATAATAGATATGAAAAGTCAAAAATTTCCGTGTTAAATGATAACATTAGGTTTAAAAAAATTATCTCCTATCAAAGTCATGTGAAAAATGCCATGTTTTCTATAAAAGGTAGTTTTAAAGAACTCCTCCCAGAGTTCAGTTTCTAAGTACAGTAGGTACCATTCAAAATGTAAAATTTCAAACTCTAGAAAAAATGCTACTACATTACAAAATAAAACTAAATGAAATTTTCATGGATGATATCCTGAAATATGTTTTCCGACTGTCTCTAAGGACTACACTTGAGATGACCCTGATAAGTACGTTTTCCTCTTTTTAAAAATATTATTCTAAAAAAATGAAATATAGATGGAGTCTCACTATGTTGCCCAGGCTAGTCTTGAATTCCTGGGCTGAAGCAATCCTCCCACCTTGGCCTCCTGAAGTGTTGGGATTATAGGCATGAGCCACAGTGCCTGGCACAGACAAGTACTTTGAAGCAACTCTTATGACTATGCTCAATATTAGAAATAGAAGTAACAAAAGGTCTTTAGCATGAACTAAAATTCCACTTTAAGAAGGCCAGAAAAGGGCAAAGTAAACCCAAAGTTAGTAGAAGGATGAAAATAATAAATGTAAGAACAGAAATTGATGCAATAAGAAACAAACAACAGAAAAACATAGCAAAGCCAGAAGTTGGTTATTTGAGAATGCCAACAAAATTGTGAAGGATGACAACATCAAAGAAGCTAAAGAGAAAGCAAATAATTAAATCTTAGTGTATCCATAGTAATAATTACATTAAATATTAATGAATTAAATGCTCCAATTAAAAGACAGTGATTAGTTCTATTCTGCTGTTAAGTTCATCCACTTTATATTTTGTTCTTGCATTTTTCCATTCTAAAATTCCATTGATTGTTGTTTTATATTTTTTCTCTGCTAAAATTTTCTACATTTTTATTCATTGAGATTACATTTCTCTGAAATAGTTTAGCTAGTCATTTGTCAATTTTTTTGGACAGAATTTTTATTTTTTTAATTATTAGTGTTTCTGTCTTGCTTCAATAACTCACCAATATAATCGCTACTTAATCTACATTAACATCTTGGGTTTACGTATTTCGTATGTTGTCCACAATAACATGTAAATATATATGGGATTTTTTTCAACATTTTTATACATAAAATGAGATCAAATATGAACACTTTTTGGAATCTTGTTTTACTTATTAACAATATTTAGGGAACATTTTTAAAGCCAGTGACATAGCACTGTATCATTCTTTTGTATGGAGGCAATATTTCATGGTGTCAATGAAGTATTGTGACTTATTCAACAATTTTTTCTACTGGTATTATTTATCAAATATGTTACAAAGAAAGAGATTATGGGAGCTAAGGGTTTATATGTACCATCTTGTTTTTAACATTTTTTACCACTTCATTTTGGGTGTTTTCTTTGTAACAGTACAGAAAAACATTTTGTTTTTACATTTAGTGTAATATTTCTGTCTTTTAATAAGAAAATCCAAATCATTCATATGTGGTGTAGTAACACCATTATTTTTATCCCTACCTTCTTGTTATATATTTAAAAGTTTTTATTTGTATTGGGTTAACTTTAAAAAAATAATGGTTTGGTAGAATTCTAATTGTTATATTCTCCCCCACAATTGTTTGAAGTCCCTTGGCTCTACTGTTATGCTATTTGCTTTCAGTTTTACTGCCCTCATAAATAAAGAACAAATCTCTTTATTATCACATACATACAGCGTATCATTTCTTTCACAGTGCTTTCACTTCTGTTAACTCTGATTCACAGCGAGTCTTCAAATAACATTGTTTCATTCGATGACATATTGTTATAACAGTAATGAGAAATACAAAAAGGATTCCCAGCCAGGGCACTATCTGTGTAGAGTTTACACATTCTCCCCATGTCTGTGTGAATTTTCTCCCAGTTTTATCTCACATTCCAAAGACATGCACATTAAGATGATTGGCATGTCTAAACTGTCCCAGTCTGAGTGAATGTGGATATGGATATGAGTGTGCCCTGCAGTGGAATGGCATCCTGTTCATGTTTGGTTTCCATTTTGCACCTTGAGCTGCCGAGATGGTCTTCAGCCACTTGCAACTCTGAACTGGAATAAGCAGCTTGAAAAATCAATAAATGAATGGATACAAATAATTGTAAAATTAAAAACCCATAAAATAGACAATAATAATATATATGTATAACAATAAACAATGCCATAGGAAACTCAGTGAACTGGCCATATTTGTTATTCTTTTTGGACTGCCTGGTAGGAGGAGGTGCTCCTTACAATTTTCATTTTGTAAACATTTATTTCTTGATTTAATTCACCACCACTATGTCTGCTGTCACTCACTGAGTCACTCAATATTGGGTAAATAATTTTCTTGTTGTTGTTACTCATCTCTCTTAAATGTATGTATAATTCACAATTATTCTAGTGTTTAATAATACAAGTGATTTGGGTTTTTATTTACGAGTTTATTTTGGGAGAGGAGCGTTCCAAGATGGCTGAATATGAACAGCTCCAGTCTGCAGCCCCTAAAGTGATCCACACAGAAGATGGGTGATTTCTGCATTTCCAACTGAGGTACCTGGTTCATCCCATTGGGACTGGTAGGACAGTGGGTGCAGCCCACAGAAGGTGAGCTGAAGCAGGGCGGGGCATTGCCTCACCTGGGAAGGTTTGGGGGATTTCCCTTTCCTAGCCAAGAGAAGCCATGACAGACTACCTGGAAAAATGGGGCACTCCCGCCCAAATACTGCGCTTGTCTCAAGGTCTTAGCAACTGGCAGACAAGGTGATTCTCTCCTGTGCCTGGCTTGGCAGGTCCCACGCCCACAGAGCCTTGCTCACTGCTAGCACAACAGTCTGAGATCAATCTGAGAGGCTGCAGCCTGGCTGGGGGATGGGCGTCTGCCATTGCTGAGGCTTGAGTAGGTAAACAAAGTGGTGGGGAAGCTCAAACTGGGTGGAGCCCACTGCAACTCAACAAGGCCTACTGCCTCTAGACTCCACCTCTGTTGGCAGGGCATAGCCGAACAAAAGGCAGCACACAACTTCTGCAGACTTAAACATCCCTGTCTGACAGCTCTGAAGAGAGCAGTGGTTCTCCCAGCACAGTGTTTGAGCTCTGAGAAAGGACAGATTGCCCCCTCAAGTGTGCCTGACCTCCGTGTAGCCTAACTGGGAGACAACTCCCAGTAGGGGCCGACTGACACCTCATATAAGCAACTGCCCCTCTGGGACGAAGCTTCCAGAGGAAGGATCAGACAGCAATATTTGCTGTTCTGCAGCCTCCACTGGTGATACCCAGGCAAACAGGGTCAGGAGTGGAGCTCCAGCAAATTCCAACAGACCTGCAGCTGAGGGATCTGTTAGAAGGAAAACTAACAAAGAGAAAGAAATAGCATCAACATCAACAAAAAGGTCATCTAAACCAAAACCCCATCTGTACATCACCAACATCAAAGACCAAAGGTAGATAAAATCACAAAGACAGGGAGAAACCAGAGCAGAACAGCCAAAAATTCTAAAAATCAGAGCACCTCTTCTCCCCTAAAGGATCGCAGCTCCTCGCCAGCAGTGGAACAAAGCTGGACGAGAATGACTGTGAGTTGATAGAAGTAGGCTTCAGAAGGTCAGTAATAACAAACTTCTCTGAGCTAAAGGAGGATGTTCAAACCCATTGCGAGGAAGCTAAAATCCTTGAAAAATGATTAGATGAACAGCTAATTAGAATAAACAGTGGAGAGAAGACCTTAAATGACCTGATGGAGCTGAAAACTATGGCATGAGAACTTCATGACACATGCACAAGCTTCAATAGCCGATTCGATCAAGTAGAAGAAACAGTATCAGTGATTGAAGATCAAATTAATGAAATAAAATGACAAGACAAGGTTAGAGAAAAAAGAGCAAAAAGAAATGAACAAAGCCTCTAAGAAATATGGGACTATGTGAAAAGACCAAATCTATGTTTGACTGGTGTACCTGAAAGTGATGGGGAGAATGGAAACAAGTTGGAAAACACTTCAGGATATTATCCAGGAGAACTTCCCCAACCTAGCAAGGCAGGCCAACATTCAAATTCAGGAAATACAGAGAACACCACAAAGATACTCCTGGAGGAGAGCAACCCCATGACACATAATTGTCATATTGACTAAGGTTGAAATGAAGGAAAAAGTGTTAAGGGCAGCCAGAGTGGAAGGTCAAGTTACCCAGAAAGGGAAGCCCATCAGACTAACAGTGGGTCTCTCAGCAGAAACACTGCAAACCAGAGGAGAGTGGGGGCCAATATTCAACATTTTTAAAGAGAGGAATCTTCAACCCAGAATTTCATATCTGGCCAAACTAAGCTTCTTAAGTGAAGGAGAAATAAAATCCTTTACAGACAAAAGCTGAGAGCTTTTGTCACCATCAGGCCTGCCTTACAAGAGCTCCTGAAGGAAGCACTAAACATGGAAAGAAAAAACCCATACAAGCCACTGCAAAAACATGCCAAATTGTAAAGACCATCGATGTTAGGAAGAAACTACATCAATTAACAGGCAAAATAACCAGCGAATATCATAATGACAGGATCAAATTCACACATAACAATATTAACCTTAAATGTAAATGGGCTAAATGTCCCAATTAAAAGACACAGACTGGCAAATTGGATAAAGAGTCAAGACCCATCAGTGTGCTGTATTCAGGAGACCCATCTCATGTGCAAAGACACACATAGGCTCAAAATAAAGGGATGGAGAAAGATCTACCTAGCAAATGAAATGCAAAAAAAAAAGCAAGGGTTGCAATCCTAGTCTCTGATAAAACAGACTTTAAACCAACAAAGATCAAAAGAGACAAAGAAGGCCATTATATAATGGTAAAGGGATCAATTCAACAAGAAGATCTAGCTATCCTAAATATATATGTACCCAATACAGGAGCACCCAGATTCATAAAGCAAGTCCTTTGAGACCTACAAAGAGACTTAAACTCCCACATAATAATAATAATGGGAGACTTTAACACCCCACTGTCAATATTAGACAGATCAATGAGACAGAAGGTTAGCAAGGGTATCAAGGATCTGAACTCAGCTCTGCAACAAGCAGACCTAATAGACATCTACGGAACTCTCCACCCCAAATCAACAGAATATACATTCTTCTCAGCACCACATCACACTTATTCTAAAATTGACCATGTAAGTTGAAGTAAAGCCCTCCTGAGCAAATGTAAAAGAACAGAAATCACAACAAACTGTCTCTCAGACCACAGTGCAATGAAATTAGAACTTAGAATTAAGAAACTCACTCAAAACTGCACAACTACATGGAAACAGAACAACTTGCTCCTGATTGACTACTGGGTAAATAACGAAATGAAGGCAGAAATAAAGATGTTCTTTGAAACCAATGATAACAGAGACACAACACACCAGAATCTCTGGGACACATTTAAAGCAGTGTATAGAGGGATATTTATAGCACTAAATGCCTGCAAGAGAAGGCAGAAAAGATCTAAAATCAATACTTTAACATCACAATTAAAAGAATTAGAGAAGCAAGAGCAAACGAATTCAAAAGCTAGCAGAAAGCAAAAAATAACTAAGATCAGAGCAGAACTGAAAGAGATAGAGATACAAAAAAAAAAAAAAAAAAAACCCCTTCAAATATCAATGAATCCAGAGCTGGTTTTTTGAAAAGATCAACAAAACTGATAGACCACTAGCAAGACTAATAAAGAAGAAAAGAGAGAAGAATCAAATAGATGCAATAAAAAATGATAAAGGGGATATCACCACCAATCCCACAGAAATATGAACTACCATCAGAGAATACTATTAACCCCTCTATGCAAATAAACTAGAAAATATAGAAGAAATGGATACATCTCTGGACACATACACCCTCCCAAGACTAAACCAGGAAGAAGTTGAATCTCTGAATAGACCAATAAGAGGCTCTGAAATTGAGGCAGCAATTAATAGCCTACCAACCAAAAAAGTCCAGGAAAAGACAGATTCACAGCCAAATTCTACCAGAGGTACAAAGAGGAGCTGGTACCATTCCTTCTGAAACTATTTCAGTCAACAGAAGAAAGAGGGAATCCTCCCTAACTGATTTTATGAGACCAACATCATCCTGATACCAAAGCCTGGCAGACACACAACAAAAAAAGATAATTTTGGACCAATATCCCTGATGAACACTGATGCAAAAATCGTCAATACCATACTATCAAACCAAATTCAGCAGCACATCAAAAAGCTTATCCACCACGATCAAGTTGGCTTTATCCCTGGGAGGCAAGTCTGGTTCAACATACACAAATCAATAAACATAATCCATCACATAAACAGAACCAATGACAAAAACCACATGATTATCTCAATAGAGGCAGAATAAGCCTTTGACAACATTCAACAGCCCTTCATGCTAAAAACTCTCAATAAACTAGGTATTGATGAAACGTATCTCAAAATAATAAGAGCTATTATAATGAGAGCTATTTATGACAAATCCACAGCCAATAGCATACTGAATGGGCAAAAACTGGAAGCATTCCCTTTGAAAACTGGCACAAGACAAGGATGCCCTCTCTCACCACTCTTATTCAACATAGTGTTGGAAGTTCTGGCCAGGGCAATCAGGCAGGAGAAAGAAACAAAGGGTATTCAATTAGGAAAAGAGGAAGTCAAATTGTTCCTTTTTGCAGATGACATGCTTGTATATTTAGAAAACCCCATCGTCTTAGCCCAAAATCTCCTTAAGCTGATAAGCCACTTCAGCAAAGTCTCAGGATACAAAATCCATGTGCAAAAATCTCTAGCATTCCTATACATCATTAACAGACAAACAGAGAGCCAAATCATGAGTGAACTCCCATTCACAATTGCTACAAAGAGAATAAAATACCTAAGAATCCAACTTACAAGGGATGTGAAGGACCTCTTCAAGGAGAACTACAAATGACTGCTCAACAAAATAAAAGAGGACACAAACAAAAGGAAGAATATTCCATGCTTATGGATAGGAAGAATCAATATCATGAAAATGGCCATACTGCCCAAGGTAATTTATAGAATAAATGCTATCCCCATCAAGCTACCAATGACTTCCCTCACAGAATTGGAAAAAACTACTTTAAAGTTCATGTGGAACCAAAAAAGATCCTGCATTGCTAAGACAATCCTAAACAAAAAGAACAAAGCTGGAAGCATCATGCTACCTGACTTCAAACTATACTACAAGGCTACAGTAACCAAAACAGCATGGTACAGGTACCAAAACAGATATATAGACCAATGGAACAGACCAGAGGTCTCAGAAATAACACCACACATTTATAACCATCTGATCTTTGATGAACCTGACAAAAACAAGAAATGGGGAAATGATTCCCTATTTAATAAATGGTGCTGGGAAAACTGGCTAGCCATATGTAGAAAGCTGAAACTGGATCTTTTCTTTACACCTTATACAAAAATTAATTCAAGATGGATTAAAGACTTAAATGTTAGACCTAAAACCATAAAAACCCTAGAAAAAAAACCTAGGCAATACCATTCAGGACATAGGCATGGGCAAGGACTTCATGTCTAAAACACAAAAAGCAATGGCAACAAAAGCCAAAATTGACAAATGGGATCTAATTAAACTAAAGAGCTTCTGCACACCAAAAGAAATTACCATCAGAGTGAACAGGCAACCTACAGAATGTGGGAAAATTTTTGAAATCTACTCATCTGACAAAGAGCTAATATCCAGAATCTACAAAAAACACAAATTAATTTACAAGAAAAAAAAACCATCAAAAGGTGAGCAAAGGGTATGAACAGACACTTTTCGAAAGAAGACACCTATGCAGCCAACAGACACATGACAAAATGCTCATCATCACTAGTCATCAGAGAAATGCAAATCAAAACCACAATGAGATACCATCTCACACCAGTTAGAATGGCAATCATTAAAAAGTCAGGAAACAACAGGTGCTGGAGAGGATGTGGAGAAATAGGAACACTTTTACACTGTTGGTAGGAGTGTAAATTAGTTCAACCATGGTGGAAGACAGTGTGGTGATTCCTCAAGGATCTAGAACTAGAATTACCATTTGACCCAGCAATCCCATTACTGGGTATATAACCAAAGGATTGTAAATCATACTACTATAAAGACACATACACACATATGTTTATTGTGGCACTGTTCACAATAGCAAAGACTTGGAACCAACCCAAATGTCTATCAATGACAGACTGGGTTAAAAAAATGTGGCACATATACACCATGGAATACTATGCAGCCATAAAAAATGATGAGTTCATGTCCAGGGACATGGATGAAGCTGGAAACCATCATTCTCAGCAAACGATCACAAGAACAGAAAACCAGACACCGCATGTTCTCACTCATCGGAGGAATTGAAACATGAGATCACTTGGACACAGGGCAGGGAACATCACACACCAGTGCTCGTAGCGGGGTGGGGGCTGGAGAAGGGATAGCATTAGAAGAGATACCTAATGTAAATGATGAGTTGATGGGTGCAGCAAACCAACATGGCACATGTATACCTATGTATCAAACCTGCACGTTGTGCACATGTGCCTTAGAACTTAAAGTATAATTTTAAAAAAAGAAAAAAACTTTATTGATGTCTTGGGATCAGAAATATGCTTTAGGAACTTAACCCTTGTGTTCATCAATTCACCTATGGTAAAAGTGGTTTTAATGTATGTAATTTTACTTAAAGTTGCAGTTTCCAGGAACCTATGGATAACTCACTGTATATCAATTCAATTATTTTCTTGGCCTCCTGGGGTGCAGAAAAAACAGTGGTCTTCAGTCTGGCCTATGTCAACTTTTGCTCACATCTCCAAACATCTCTGCAGGCCAGAATCTTCCCAACATTTACAGCTTTCTTGTCTTGCCCCACCCTCTCAGACACTTATCTGTAGGTTGTGATCTTGTGCTCTTGAGAGAAAGTCTTGCCCTAGCGCTAAGAGATGGGCTTAGTCTAACGTCTCATCTCTTACACAGTGGGGATAAGCCTGAGAACCTGTTTGGAAGGAGGCCACATTTGTTTCTCTGCCTTTCCAAAGTTATGTATCCCAATTATATATTTGATTTTATATGCATTTGATTAAGTAATTTAACTGTATATGTATATATGTGCACACATAAATATAGTAATTTGACTATATATGATAAACACGTAGAAATATGTGTATAGTTATTTGACTAAGATGATTTTTAATTGGCAAGAAAGTGAAGATTAGCCATTTTGCATAAACTGTCAAATTAAAATGTCCATATATCAATATTTAAGTTGATGTTATTCTACATAAATGCCTGGTTGCACAGTAGATATAACCCTATTTCATTATCATTAGCTTACATGTCAATCTTTATTATGTGTATGACAGTATGCATTGACAGATGTCTAAACCAATCAGAAGTCTTATCTTTAAATGTACTCTGGGTTTACTCTGTGAAATTAAAGGTTCATTATTTACATAGGTAGCCTAAGGATAATTCTTAACACATAGTTTTTGTACCTAAGTGTAATATTTTATTATTCATCTGAAATAGGAAATTAGTTTATATTGATGTTAAAATTTCCTATGAAATAAATTTATCATTGGAAAAGATAGCTAACGTCTTCGTAATTAAAATAAAGGGTTTGATTTTTTCTGTCATACTCAGTTTAAATTGGTAACCTTTATGGTATGTCTCTACTGAGAGAAAATTTGTTCTAAATCTATAAATTTGAATTTATAGAATTAGTTATGCAATAAGAAGTTATTTAAATTTATAAAATTAGAACAAATTTTCACTCAATATAGTGACATGACATATAGATTAACTATTTTAAATAAACTTAAGCCTTTTGTAATATTTTAAAGCTTCTATTTAATTTTGCTAATATAGGAATGCAAGAAGCAAATGATAAAGTTAGAATTATGATTCTATTTACATGTACTTTAATAATAAATGAAAAGTGTAGAGGTAGAATATCCAGTAAATATGCCTTTTCTTTAGTTATGCAGAGAGATGGAAATATTACCTTTTATTTATGTTTGAGTTAGTTCATAATTCAGAGTTAATTAATAATGCTTATAATTTATACAGAAGAGAAAGGTAAACATAGCAACATCTAGAACAAACTAAAGAACATTTTTTTCTTGGAAGCACCTTATATCCCATAGTAGTCAAAATCCGATGGAAGAGAAGCTTTTCTAATATTGCTTCCAAAAATTAATTTACATTTTTAAATTACATGTTTATCCTTTTATTCATTATTTATTAGATGCAATAAGCAGTAATGGAGCAAAGTATAATATTTTTCTTCTGTTTATAAGAGGTAGCCAGTCTGATTCAGAAGGTAGACTCATAAATGCCGGGTACAGGGCAGTTCTAAATAGAATATTCTGTGATTGCTGTATAGAAAAGACTCTTTATTTGGGTATTTAATGATACTTATAAGTTTTTCAGGAAGAATTTTGGAAAGGTAATGAAAGGAATCAGTTACAGGCAGAGTAAAGTGCATAGGCAATTTTAGAAAGGCAAGAATATTCATGGTGTTTTGGAAAATGAGAAGAGGTTTGTGTAATTGCAGTATATCATCCCAAGGGTACATAGTGTGGGCTAAAAAGTGTAGCTGAACAGAAAGGCGACTCAATATAAGATAGTTTTTGCACGCTTTTAATGAAGAAAATATCTCCTCAAGCTTCAAACCACATTTGTATTTACTAAAATAAAAGGTACTTAAAACATACACAGCCAATTGTGAAACCAAGAAACAGGAATGATCACGTACCAGGGAGAAAGAGGTCTGGGAAAATGGAAAGTGATATGGCTTGGCTGTGTCCCCACCTAAATCTCATCTCAAATTGTAGCCATAATTCCCTTGTGTTGTGGGAGGGACCCACTGGAAGATAATTGAATTATGGGGGTGGTTTCCCGCATACTGTTTTCATGGTAGTGAATAAGTCTCACAAGATCTGATGGTTTTATAAGGGGAAACCCCTTTCGCTTGGCTCCCTCTCTTCTCTTGTCTGCCTCCATGTAAGAAATGTCTTTCACCTTCCACCATGATTGTGAGGCTTCCCCAGCAACAAGGAACTGTGAGTCCATTAAACCTATTTTTCTTCCCAGTCGCAGGTATGTCTTTATCAGCAGCATGAAATCATCTAATACAGAAAGTAAGAGAATTAGCAGAGACTGAATCTTTAAGGTTACAGTGCTAGTGAAACTTGGCAAAGCCTCAGGTGCAAAGAGCTAGTATTTTAAAGGCAAAAGGGGATCTAAGGTCATGCAAGGTACAATTGAAACACTCATGCTTGCTGAAAGCTTTGGGGTGTGTTGCAGTTATTACAAGCAGAAAAATTGACTTAAAATAAGTTGAGAAATGGGGGAAACACACAGAGTCCCGGCAGTAGCACATAAACACAATCATATAGGAGTGATAAAAATGCCCTAGAACACAGAAACCATCGTTCTTCCACAGAAAACAACCCCTCTGAAGATGAGCTCACAGTCAAAAATTGCAAACCACATAACAAAGCATAGCACAGTTAAGAAACACTTTAGAAAAGAGAGAGAATAGTTCTCACATCAAGAATGAATATGATAAAAGTTTGAAAGATGAATTAAAATAATCACATTTTACATGAATAAGAAGAAATAACAAGAAATAGAAACCAAAAGTCAAGAACAAAAAGTAAAATATGAAGAAACAGAAAGTAAATATTGCAAATAAAAGTCATTAATATTTTTAAAATCTTAACTAAGCCAGAGGTCCCCAACCCCCAGTACTGGTCCAATCCGAGTCCTGTTAGGAACCATGCCACACAGCAGGAGGTGAGCAGCAGGTGAGCAGGCAAAACGTCATCTGTATTTACAGCCGTTCCCCATCACATTACTGCCTGAGCTCCGTCTCCTGTCAGATTAGTAGTGCCATTAGATTCTCACAGGCGCAGGAACCCTATTATGAACTGTGCATGCAGGGGATCTAGGTTGCGTGCTCCTTATGAGAATCTAATGCCTGATGGTCTGTCACTGTCTCCCATCACCCCCAGATGGGACCGTCTAGTTGTGGGAAAACAAGGTCAGGGCTTCCACTGATTCTACACTGTGGTGAGTTGTATAATTATTTTGCTATATATTATAATGTAATAATAATAGAAATAAAGTGCACAATAAATGTAATGTACTTGAATCACCCCAAAACCCCAGACCATGGAAAAATTGTCTTCCATGAAACTTGTCCCTGGTGCCACAAAGGCTGGGGACTGCTGATCTAAGTAGCAGATCAGATCCAGGGGAAGAGCGAATTAGTCTATCGGTCTACAGTTTTGGGAATCACCCAGAATGCAACACAGATAGATATGAAAACTATAAAAATACAATAGAGGCATAGTGGATAGACTTTTGAGGTATTCACTCAAAAAATATTGTCTACTGCATGCCATCCACTTTTCAAAGCACTTGGAATGTACCTGTGGGGAAAAAAGTCTAGTCTTTAAGAAGTTTGCATCCTTTGCTATTGTGAATAATGCCGCAATAAACATACGTGTGCATGTGTCTTTATAGCAGCATGATTTATAGTCATATGGGTATATACCCAGTAATGGGATGGCTGGGTCAAATGGTATTTCTAGTTCTAGATCCCTGAGGAATTGCCACACTGACTTCCACAATGGTTGAACTAGTTTACAGTCCCACCAACAGTGTAAAAGTGTTCCTATTTCTCCACATCCTCTCCAGCACCTGTTGTTTCCTGACTTTTTAATGATTGCCATTCTAACTGGTGTGAGATGGTATCTCATTGTGGTTTTGATTTGCATTTCTCTGATGGCGAGTGATGATGAGCATTTTTTCATGTGTTTTTTGGCTGCATAAATGTCTTCTTTTGAGAAGTGTCTGTTCATGTCCTTCGCCCACTTTTTGATGGGGTTGTTTGTTTTTTTCTTGTAAATTTGTTTGAGTTCATTGTAGATTCTGGATATTAGCCCTTTGTCAGATGAGTAGGTTGCGAAAATTTTCTCCCATTTTGTAGGTTGCCTGTTCACTCTGATGGTAGTTTCTTTTGCTGTGCAGAAGCTCTTTAGTTTAATTAGATCCCATTTGTCAATTTTGGCTTTTGTTGCCATTGCTTTTGGTGTTTTGAACATGAAGTCCTTGCCCATGCCTATGTCCTGAATGGTAATGCCTAGGTTTTCTTCTAGGGTTTTTATGGTTTTAGGTCTAACATTTAAATCTTTAATCCATCTTGAATTGATTTTTGTATAAGGTGTAAGGAAGGGATCCAGGTTCAGCTTCCTACATATGGCTAGCCAGTTTTCCCAGCACCATTTATTAAATAGGGAATCCTTTCCCCATTGCTTGTTTTTCTCAGGTTTGTCAAAGATCAGATAGTTGTAGGTATGCGGTGTTATTTCTGAGGGCTCTGTTCTGTTCCATTGATCTATATCTCTGTTTTGGTACCAGTACCATGCTGTTTTGATTACTGTGGCCTTGTAGTATAGTTTGAAGTCAGGTAGAGTGATTCCTCCAGCTTTGTTCTTTTGGCTCAGGATTGACTTGGCAATGTGGGCTCTTTTTTGGTTCCATATGAACTTTAAAGTAGTTTTTTCCAATTCTGTGAAGAAAGTCATTGGTAGCTTGATGGGGATGGCATTGAATCTGTAAATTACCTTGGGCAGTATGGCCATTTTCACGATATTGATTCTTCCTACCCATGAGCATGGAATGTTCTTCCATTTGTTTGTATCATATTTTATTTCCTTGAGCAGTGGTTTGTAGTTCTCCTTGAAGAGGTCCTTCACATCCCTTGTAAGTTGGATTCCTAGGTATTTTATTCTCTTTGAAGCAATTGTGAATGGGAGTTCACTCATGATTTGGCTCTCTGTTTGTCTGTTGTTGGTGTATAAGAATGCTTGTGATTTTTGTACATTGATTTTGCATCCTGAGACGTTGCTGAAGTTGCTTATCAGCTTAAGGAGATTTTGGGCTGAGACAATGGGGTTTTCTAGATATACAATCCAAATGTCCAACAATGATAGACTGGATTAAGAAAATGTGGCATATATACACCATGGAATACTATGCAGCCATAAAAAAGGATGAGTTCATGTCCTTTGTAGGGACATGGATGAAATTGGAAATCATCATTCTCAGTAAACTATCGCAAGAACAAAAAACCAAACACCGCATATTCTCACTCATAGGTGGGAATTGAACAATGAGATCACATGGACACAGGAAGGGGAATATCACACTCTGGGGACTGTGGTGGGGTGGAGGGAGGGGGGAGGGATAGCATTGGGAGATATACCTAATGCTAGATGACGAGTTAGTGGGTGCAGCGCACCAGCATGGCACATGTATACATATGTAACTAACCTGCACAATGTGCACATGTACCCTAAAACTTAAAATATAATAAAAAAAAAAAAAAAGAAGAAGTTTGCATCCTAGCCAGATGTGAGAGTGGGAGCAGGTCACACTATTACATAGGGTGCTCTGGAAAGGTCTCATTGAGAAGAGGACACTTGAAAATAAAATATTTGATAGACTAAGAAATTTGGTCAAATGGATAGTTATTAGATTTGTACTCTGGGCAGAAGAAAGAAATAGAGCAAACGCCCTATGCTGGGAACATGCATGTGCCCCACAAACCGCATGTTTGTCCAACAAATAGCAAAAAGGTAAGGCTAGAAAAAGTGTGAGAAATAAAAGTACCAGTGTTAGATACCATGCAGTTAGATACCATGATATGTAAGAAATTGTAAGAATAATAAATAAATTCAATAATTTATGGAAGCATTTGTGAGTCTTAGCGAAGTAATAAGAGCTGGGACATGATTTATATTACAGGATCATTCTAGCTGATGTGTTGGGAATGGACTGTTGGGGTGGGGGAAAGTGCAAGCTTGGAGATCTGTTACTAGGCTAGTGCAGTATTTCAATTCCAAAAGTAAGTAACAGGAAAAAAAACTAGACATAATTGTATTCAAAGGAATAACTACAAACATGGCAGAATTAAAAAAGACATGAGTCTTGAGACTGAAGCACTATACTGAGTCAAGAATATCACACTATGTATAAACATGTTCACACATATACCTCAAAACTAGACACATTATAAGGAAATTGAAGAAAGCCAATGAAAATGAGTGGAATTAAAAAGCATTCAGAACTTATCTATAAAAATGATAATTAGACTGAAGTGTGTTGCTCTTTAACAAAAATAGAATTCAGGTGCCAATTTTATACCATTTCAAAGTTATAAATCATTCCATATTCTGGTAATAGAAGAATAGATTATATCAGACTAAACCTCCCTTTGATAACAATTGTAAACTGTGGACAAAATATTTTAAAGCACAATGATTTGAAGTCACTGGAAAGGGATGAAACACTGGTAGAAAGTGGAGCTGATTTGACCTTTGAGAGGAGGAATAACCCTGAGTTAGAGCTATATTTATATAGTTCAAAGAGTGTTCCTCAGTCTACATGGAGTGGGAAGTTAAACTCAAACAGAGGTCTCCAGTGTTTTCGAATTGAGGCATCAAAGAATTTGGGACTGTCAGAGGGGGAAATGATCAGAAAGGAAGATAGTTCAGGGAACAGAGGCCAAAAACTGGCATATAAACTCTCCTTAATTTCTTGACTGATTATTGAAATATGAATGCATAGGGCCTCTCAAGAAGCACAGTGAAAAGCCACTGGAAATATGGAAGACTGAAAAGCTAAGCAGAAATTTCAGCTCCAGCTTTACTCAAAATATAACAACAAGTATACATTAATACATTATTGTTTAAGAATTGAACTTTGTTTCCTAAAAACAGAAAATTAGTTATCAAACAGTTTCTATTGATCAGGAAAGAACTCCTCGAGGGGGAAGAAACAGAATTATGAAAGCATAAAATGCATATATCATTTCAGTCAAATACTGCAGATTAAGTAAATATATAAACTCACAGTAGTCTAGCATGTAATTACAAGCCCTAGCCCCAGTTTTTATCTAGCTGATGAATTGTATGTTTCCCGCCCAGAAGCCCTAAAATCAACCACTTTTGTTTCCTTCTTATGCAATTTTTGCTCCTAGCTTCTCTTCAAACTTTTGCAGAAATTTGAAGAGAAACTAGAGGAAATTTGAAGATTTCTATATGGAAATCTTATAAATTCTTAAAAACCACCTAGTGAAATCTTTTCATTTCCTCTGGAAACTGTACAGCTGTATAATTTTGGGTACTACACATATAACTATCTATTTTTCTGTTTCTTTTGCAATATTTATGTCCCCATACTTCTGTGCTAACATATATTATTAGTGGGACTATCAGAATATAGAAACCCAGTTAATCACATTAGGCTCTCCAATCTGTTTGAGTCTTATTATTGCTGTATGAATCAGAAAAGTTAGAATAATAATAGCTACCATTTACTATTATTGTGGTTTAAGTACTATATTAATTGATGTTAAAAAGAAAGATTTAACTCACCAATCTTTTAAGTTATGTACTATTTTGATCTCTTTTTATAGATGATAAAACTGAAGCAAAGAGAGGATATATAACTTACCTAAGTCCATAAAAATTCAGAACTATCCATCTAGTTGTGTGGCCTGCCCTTTTCATCACTTTTCTGTATTCTTTTTAGAAATTTAGGATTTACATCACTTAAACCCCAGATTTTACAGATGTTGAACTGGAAGTCCAGGAAATTTATGTGAGTTTCCTGAGATCTTCGTTGGAAATCCATTCAGCCTTCTTGAATTTCTAATCTTTCTTTGCATAAGAGTAAATAATGGAATAGATTTTGTTAAGTTTAGTAAGAACATTGAAAATTATTTTTATGTATATGTAATAAGCAAGTAAATTTCTCCAAACATGGTTGAGATGAGAAACTTGTTGAATAACACATATTGCAATTGTGGTAAAAACTCCTTATAGCACACATTAATTAAGTGATCCACTACAAAATCTTTGATTTGTCAAACTAATAACCTGCAGACATTTTGGTGGCAGAAGTGAAAGCCAAAGCAAGATAAACAAAATTTATATGAACTTAAATTTGAAATAAAATTTGTATAGAAAAAAATACAAAAAGAGAAATTAAATGCAGTTATAGCTTATTCTATAATTTCAATTATTTCCCAAATCATTAAAAATGTTTGATAAATACTAGTGTATTTTAGCACATTAACAAAATCTACTAAAATTTAGTAAATATTTTTGTCAGAAATTCATCAATTACTATATTTGCATATATTACTTTTATTTTATATTCTAATTTTTTTTTCAGAGACAGGATCTTGCTCTGTCACCCAGGCTGGAATGCAGTAGTGAGAGCACTCACTTGAACTCCTGGGCTTGAGCGATACTCACACCTCAGTCTCCTAAGTAGCCGGGACTACAGGCATGTGCCATTAGACTCAGCTAAAATTTTTTTTTTTTTTAGTTTTTGTAGAGACAGAGTCTTGCTATGTTGCCCAGCTGGTCTCAAACTCCTGGCATGAAGGGATAGTCCCTCTTTCACCTCCCAAAGCACTGGGATGACAGGCATGAACCCACTGTGTCCATTCCTCATATACTATCTTTAAACAGTTATTCCTATATTGATTTTTCTCTATCCCCAATAAGGACTTAAAAATTAAATATTTGTATATGAGATTACAATATCCCACATGTGAAAAAAGGGCTACAGAATAAGAGAAAATAAAAATTACTCCAGTAGTTATGAAGGTACTTATATATGGAGGATTTTTTTTAATTAATCAAAAGAAAGTTGTGAAACAGAAACTATAAAATACAAATAAAAGTAATTAAACAAGACACAAACAAATGGAAAGACATCCCATGACCATGAATTCGGAGAATTAATATTGCTAAAATGGCCTATTTGAAGCAATCTACAGATTTATTGTAATTTTTATCAAAATACCAATGATATTCTTCACAGAAATAGAAAAAAAATCCTAAAATTTATCCTGAAGTCTGCAATACCTCAAATAGCCAAAGTGGTCCTGAGCTAAAAAGAACAAAGCTGGAGGCATCACACTGTCTGACATTAAAATATGCTACAACACTATAGTAAAAAAAAATAGTATGGTATGGGTTTAAAAACAGACAGACCACAGGAAGAGAATGGAGAATGAAGAAATAAATCCATGTATTAGCAGTTAATTAATTTTCAGTAAAAGTACCAAGAGCATATAATGGAGAAAAAAAAACAACCTCTTTAATAAATTATGCTGGAAAACTAGATATCCATTTGCAGAAGAAGGAAACTAAACTCCTAAATATTACCATATAAAAAATGCAAAATAGATTAAAAACTTAAATTTAACATCTGAAGCTATAAAACTACTATGAGAAAACATAGGGGAAACACTTCAGGAAGTTGGTCTAGGTGATGATTTTATGGCTAAGTGTTCAAAAGCAGAGGCAATAAAAGCAAAAATAGATTACTGGAACTATATTAAATTGAAAACCTTCCACATGGCAAAGGAAGCAATCAACAGAATGAAGAGACAACCTATACAATGGGAGAAAATACTTGCAAAAATTCACTGTACAAGGGACTAACATCTGGAAAAAACAAGGAACTCAAACAACTCAATAGCAATGAAACAGATAATCCAATTTAAAAGTGGGCAAATGAACTGAATATATATTTCTCAAAAGAAGATATAAATATGACCAACAAATATATATAAAATTTCTCAGCATCACTAATCATCAGATAAATGCAAGTCAAAATGCCAATGAGATATCATCTCACCTCAGTTAGAATGGCTATTAAAAGACAAAAAAAATGCTAACGCGGATGTGGAGAAAAGGAAACGCTTATACAATATTATTGGTAATGTAAATTAATACAGCCATTACGGAAAACAGTATGGAGGTGTCTCAAATAATTAAAAATAGAACTACCATACAATCCAACAATCCAACTATTGGGTATTTATCCAAAGGAAAGGAAATCAGTAAATCTGCACCCCCTTGTTTATTGCAGCATTATTCCCAATAGCCAAGATATGGAATCAACATATATGTCCATCAAAAGATGAATGGATAAAGAAAATGTGGTATACATACACAAAGGAATACTATTCATCCATAAAAAAGAAAAAAATCTGTTATTTGTGGAAACGTGGATAAGCTTGCTTAACATTATGTTAAGCAAAATAAGTCAGGCAGAGAAAGATAAATTCTGCATGTTCTCATTTATATGCGAACTAAAAAAAATGAGCTTACGGAAGCAGAGAGTAGAATTTGGGTATTAGAGGCTGAGAAGAAAAGAGGGGAGGGGAGGATAGGGAGAGGTTGGTTAACAAATACAAAATTACAGGTACATAGGAGGAATGAGTTATAGTGTTCTGAATCACTGAAGGGTAAATATGGTTAACTAATTTATTGTATATTTTCAAAAAGCTAGGAGAAGAGATTTTAATGTTCACAACACAAGTAAATGGTAAATGTTTGAGGTGATGGATATGTTAATTACTCTAATTTGATCAATTATACATTATATGTAAGTATTAAAATAACACTCTCTGTATCTGATAAATATGTAAAATTATCATGTGTTAATTAAAAATAAAAGGGGAGAGGCATAAAAAAGTATTTTTAAAAAGAAACTTGTAAAAAAAACCTTGGTAGGTAGATAGATTTTTATTTATATTATATTGAACATAATATATATATAGATATGTATATGTATCTATATAAAGACAACACAATTGGCTATGCTATTTGTGACAATGATGAAAGTTGTGATCTTATGTGTTATTATACATCTTAAATTTCTTATATAGTCTATTAAAATTAGAGATTAAACACAGATGAAGTCCTTGTGCTATATAGGTTTATACCTTACTTAAATCTGAGGTGGTGACATTTTGCAGACATTTTATTTAAGGTAATTAATTGCATCATTCATTAAGAACTGCTTTTCCAGAACAGAAGTTAACTGCATGGACTGAACTAATATAAGACTAAAATACTCCTTTTATGACTTTTTGCTCAAAACGTTGCTGATTTTTTATTTTTCAGAGTCAAGAAAACTTTTGAGCTATTTACAGCTTGTAACAATTGAGCAAAGTATACTCCTGTGAACAAAATTTGGAGCATATTTGTTTCTCTACCTGATTTCTCCAGAATTTGGAAACTACTTGTGAGTATTCTTAACTTATGGCAATATAGTTATTTGCATAAGTGCAATAAGAATGTTTTCTTTTGCAATGGGACACATTGGAGAAACTGGTTATTTTACCAAGGCTTTGACTGGAATGACATGCTTTCCTTTTAAAGAGTCATACTTGACTTATAGAGCCAATAAAAGCCCCTTGGGAAAACTGGCCTCATACCTCAACCACACAGTCCCTGTACAGGTTCCTGACTTATGGTAAGTAAAGAATGCCACTTTCTGACAGGCTCAGGAGCCCCTAGTTATCTTGGGATCTCAGGAGGTGAGGAATTTAACCAACTTATATAGGTATTTGGTGGTTCAAACTCATGGCTGGGTTCAGGGCTTTATAAAAAAAAGTCTTATCTAAGATTTATTTTATGGAAAAAAGAGAAAAATTATTCTTGCTGCACTTTATACAAACAATCAGGCCAAATAAAAGACTAAAGCTTATTTTGCAAACAAATCATTCCTATTATGATTTGTCTTTACTAAACATAGAAGACTGGAGAGGTTAAAGTTATGTTTCAGGAACTATGTTACACTTGTTATTAGATTCTAGCCTTGTAAGTTGTTTCTGAGTTTTTTCTGCAATTTAGGTTGACTCTGCTTATTCCTGTGAACCAACCAGTGATCTCTGGCTGCTGCTCAGAAGAAACAGGAGGGATGCATAGTGTAAAAATCTGGATCAGCATTCTAATTCTGGGCACATATTGGAATCAGCTAGTAACTCTATATCAGTTTGGTTCCAACATTTGCCCAGTTCATGGAAAGCCTGCTTACTTAGTTTAGTTGGGAAAATTTCACTTATTTTGCATTACTGTTGTGGAATATATTGCTGTTGTACTCTTTGTATAGGAATGCAGGATAAGCTTACTGAATGTTTTCTTAAATTGAACACTTATTAATCTTTCAGATATCACCTTTTATCAGAACTCAAGAGTCATGAATGGCTTCACCAGACCCATGCTTTCTGATTGAGCTCCTCTCTACACTGAATATAAGAGTTTCCAATAGGCAGAAATATCATCACCCCTGTTCAACATGAAGAAGATACAAAAGATGAATCTTTGTCCCTCTACAACCTTTAGGATTAAGGGTTCCCTTCTAAAAGAGAGAGGAGAAATCTGTCAGGGGTGCTTGAACTAGTGCCATTCCATCTTGAGTAGGGGCTGGGTAAAATAAGGCTGAGACCTACTGGACTGCATTCCCAGGAAGTTAGGCACTGTTAGTCACAGGATGAAATAGGAGGCTGACACAAGATACAGGTCACAAAGACCTTGCTGATAAAACAGGTTGAGGTAAAGCAGCTGGCCAAATCCCACCAAAACCAAGATGGTGACAAAACTGACCTCTGGTCATCCTCACTACGCATTATACACTAATTATAATGCATTAGCATGCTAAAAAAACTCTGTCCAGTGCTATGACAGTTTATAAATGCCATGCCAATGTCAGGAAGCTGCCCTATATGGCCTCAAAATGGGAGGAACCCTCATATCTGGGAATTACCCATACCTTTCCCAGAAAACTCATGAGTAATCAACCCCTTGTTTAGCATATAATCAAGAAATAATAAAAAAAAAATAGCTAACCAGGAGTGCTCAGGGCTGCTCTGCCTACAGAGTAGTCTTTCTTTTATTCCTTTACTTTCTTAAGAAACTTGCTTTCACTTTAAAAAAGGAACTGCTTAACGTTAAAATTACTACATCTTGGGTATAGTAAATAACTACCAGAGACAGTTAAATTTCATGCTTGATGAATTAAATGCACAAACTGCAGTCTACCCTCTTACATAGAGATTTTTTAAACATTTAGTCTTGTTTGATGCACAAGAAATGTTTGAAAACATTGACTAAAAGTTTTTTAAACTTTTTGAGTGACATTGCATCTTATATAAATGCTTAATTATTTTGTGCAAAAATGTTCACACATATGTATAATTCAATTTGGTAGTTATTAACAGTGAAGCTGAGCTTTAAAAATTTCATTAGCCCACGTAACAGTTGGCTCATATTCCAATTTTAACATTGTTTTCCAGAAATGAAAATAATGTTCCAAAATACACACTTAAAGTCATGTAGTTGATACTATTTTTAATGCATCTTTTGAGTTTCTCTATTAATAAAAAAACTAAGTATATGGTTACTTTACATTTTACTTGTGGAAATCATATTTTACCAAAGAGATTATTCTATTTGCATTTTCTACTTAAAATACATATTATGGAGAATATTCTAGGGTGGCAGGGAGGGTGAGGGACAATACTGATAAAGTCTATATAAGGCAGTGTCTGAGTGTCTTTAACTCACAATAGTTTGATATGGTCTAGAATATATGTGTGTAGAAAAGCATATGCGGATATTCACTAGTTCACACAGACACAGCGGCATACAGAGGCTTAATATTTCAGTCAGTGATGCTTGGTTTTGCTCCCACAGAGCACTATGGTCCTCTGTGTCTACCTTAGATATGCACTCACCGGCAACTTTTCTGAGTGACTATTCTCTTCCCTATATTTTTGGGGGATTCTCAATGTTGTTAGTTTGTTTATTGGTTTGACATCCTAGAAAAGATATAGATTAGAAGAAAAGTTAGACAAGAAATAGACAAGCCCTCACAGAAAACAAAGCCTTACTTTGAATCAAGTCAGTCTCTGATTATATTAAGTAATCTACACTAACTAGTTTCCCAAGATAATGCAATAAAGAAATTGAAAGTTTATGGAAGAAACTTACAGGTTGGGAGGAGCCAAGATGGCCGAATAGGAACAGCTCCGGTCTACAGCTCCCAGCGTGAGTGATGCAGAAGACGGGTGATTTCTGCATTTCCATCTGATGTACTGGGTTCATCTCACTAGGGAGCGCCAGACAGTGGGCGCAGGTCAGTGGGTGCGCGCACCGTGCGCGAGCCTAAGCAGGGCGAGGCATTGCCTCACTTGGGAAGCACAAGGGGTCGGGGAGTTCCCTTTCCCAGTCAAAGAAAGGGGTGACGGACGCACCTGGAAAATTGGGTCACTCCCACCCAAATATTGCGCTTTTCAGACCGGCTTAAAAAACGGCGCGCCACAAGATTATATCCCGCACCTGGCGCGGAGGGTCCTACGCCCACGGAGTCTCGCTGATTGCTAGCACAGCAGTCTGAGATCAAACTGCAAGGCAGCAGCGAGGCTGGGGGAGGGGCGCCCGCCATTGCCCAGGCTTGATTAGGTAAACAAAGCAGCTGGGAAGCTCCAACTGGGTGGAGCCCACCACAGCTCAAGGAGGCCTGCCTGCCTCTGTAGGCTCCACCTCTGGGGGCAGGGCACAGACAAACAAAAAGACAGCAGTAACCTCTGCAGACTTAAATGTCCCTGTCTGACAGCTTTGAAGAGAGCAGTGGTTCTCCCAGCACGCAGCTGGAGATCTGAGAACGGGCAGACTGCCTCCTCAAGTGGGTCCCTGACCCCTGACCCCCGAGCAGCCTAACTGGGAGGAATCCCCCAGCAGGGGCACACTGACACCTTACACTGCAGGGTATACCAACAGACCTGCAGCTGAGGGTCCTGTCTGTTAGAAGGAAAACTAACAAACAGAAAGGACATCCACACCAAAAACCCATCTGTACATCACCATCATCAAAGACCAAAAGTAGATAAAACCACAAAGATGGGGAAAAAACAGAACAGAAAAACTGGAAACTCTAAAACGCAGAGCACCTCTCCTCCTCCAAAGGAAAGCAGTTCCTCACCAGCAATGGAACAAAGCTGGATGGAGAATGACTTTGACGAGCTGAGAAGAAGGCTTCAGACGATCAAATTACTCTGAGCTACGGGAGGACATTCAAACCAAAGGCAAAGAAGTTGAAAACTTTGAAAAAAATTTAGAAGAATGTATAACTAGAATAACCAATACAGAGAAGTGCTTAAAGGAGCTGATGGAGCTGAAAACCAAGGCTCGAGAACTACGTGAAGAATGCAGAAGCCTCAGGAGCCGATGCGACCAACTGGAAGAAAGGGTATCAGCAATGGAAGATGAAATGAATGAAATGAAGTGAGAAGGGAAGTTTAGAGAAAAAAAGAATAAAAAGAAATGAGCAAAGCCTCCAAGAAATATGGGACTATGTGAAAAGACCAAATCTACGTCTGATTGGTGTACCTGAAAGTGATGGGGAGAATGGAACCAAGTTGGAAAACATTCTGCAGGATATTATCTAGGAGAACTTCCCCAATCTAGCAAGGCAAGCCAACGTTCAGATTCAGGAAATACAGAGAACGCCACAAAGATACTCCTCGAGAAGAGCAACTCCAAGACACATAATTGTCAGATTCACCAAAGTTGAAATGAAGGAAAAAATGTTAAGGGCAGCCAGAGAGAAAGGTCGGGTTACCCTCAAAGGGAAGCCCATCAGACAAACAGTGGATCTCTTGGCAGAAACCCTACAAGCCAGAAGAGAGTGGGGGCCAATATTCAACATTCTTAAAGAAAAGAATTTTCAACCCAGAATTTCATATCCAGCCAAACTAAGCTTCATAAGCGAAGGATAAATAAAATACTTTACAGACAAGCAAATGCTGACAGATTTTGTCACCACCAGGCCTGCCCTAAAAGAGCTCCTGAAGGAAGTGCTAAACATGGAAAGGAACAACCAGTACCAGCCACTGCAAAATCATGCCACAATGTAAAGACCATCAAGACTAGGAAGAAACTGCATCAACTAACGAGCAAAATCACCAGCTAACATCATAATGACAGGATCACATTCACACATAACAATATTAACTTTAAATATAAATGGACTAAATGCTCCAATTAAAAGACACAGACTGGCAAATTGGATAAAGAGTCAAGACCCATCAGTGTGCTGTATTCAGGAAACCCATCTGATGTGCAGAGACACACATAGGCTGAAAATAAAAGGATGGAGGAAGATCTACCAAGCAAATGGAAAACAAAAAAAGGCAGGGGTTGCCATCCTAGTCTCTGATAAAACAGACTTTAAACCAACAAAGATCAAAAGAGACAAAGAAGGCCATTACATAATGGTAAAGGCATCAATTCAACAAGAAGAGCTAACTATCCTAAATATATATGCACCCAATACAGGAGCACCCAGATTCATAAAGCAAGTCCTGAGTGACCTACAAAGAGACTTAGACTCCCACACATTAATAATGGGAGACTTTAACACCCCACTGTCAACATTAGACAGATCGACGAGACAGAAAGTCAACAAGGATACCCAGGAATTGAACTCAGCTCTGCACCAAGCGGACCTAATAGACATCTACAGAACTCTCCACCCCAAATCAACAGAATATACATTTTTTTCAACACCACACGACACCTATTCCAAAATTGACCACATACTGGGAAGTAAAGCTCTCCTCAGCAAATGTAAAAGAACAGAAATTATAACAAACTATCTCTCAGACCACAGTGCAATCAAACTAGAACTCAGGATTAAGAATCTCACTCAAAACTGCTCAACTACGTGGAAACTGAACAACCTGCTCCTGAATGAATACTGGATACATAACGAAATGAAGGCAGAAATAAAGATGTTCTTTGAAACCAACGAGAACAAAGACACAACATACCAGAATCTCTGGGAAACATTCAAAGCAGTGTGTAGAGGGAAATTTATAGCACTAAATGCCCACAAGAGAAAGCAGGAAAGATCCAAAATTGACACTCTAACATCACAATTAAAAGAACTAGAAAAGCAAGAGCAAACACATTCAAAAGCTAGCAGAAGGCAAGAAATAACTAAAATCAGAGCAGAACTGAAGGAAACAGAGACACAAAAAACCCTTCAAAAAATTAATGAATCCAGGAGCTGGTTTTTTGAAAGGATCAACAAAATTGATAGACCGCTAGCAAGACTAATAAAGAAAAATAGAGAGAAGAATCAAATAGACACAATAAAAAATGATAAAGGGGATATCACCACCGATCCCACAGAAATACAAACTACCATCAGAGAATACTACAAACACCTCTACGCAAATAAACTAGAAAATCTAGAAGAAATGGATAAATTCCTCGACACATACAACCTCCCAAGACTAAACCAGGAAGAAGTTGAATCTCTGAATAGACCAATAACAGGAGCTGAAATTGTGGCAATAATCAATAGTTTACCAACCAAAAAGAGTCCAGGACCAGATGGATTCACAGCCGAATTCTACCAGAGGTACAAGGAGGAACTGGTACCATTCCTTCTGAAACTATTCCAATCAATAGAAAAAGAGGGAATCCTCCCTAACTCATTTTATGAGGCCAGCATCATTCTGATACCAAAGCCGGGCAGAGACACAACCAAAAAAGAGAATTTTAGACCAATATCCTTGATGAACATTGATGCAAAAATCCTCAATAAAATACTGGCAAAACGAATGCAGCAGCACATCAAAAAGCTTATCTACCATGATCAAGTGGGCTTCATCCCTGGGATGCAAGGCTGGTTCAATATATGCAAATCAATAAATGTAATCCAGCATATAAACAGAGCCAAAGACAAAAACCACATGATTATCTCAATAGATGCAGAAAAAGCCTTTGACAAAATTCAACAACCCTTCATGCTAAAAACTCTCAATAAATTAGGTATTGATGGGAGGTATTTCAAAATAATAAGAGCTATCTATGACAAACCCACAGCCAATATCATACTGAATGGGCAAAAACTGGAAGCATTCCCCTTGAAAACTGGCACAAGACAGGGATGCCCTCTCTCACCACTCCTATTCAACATAGTGTTGGAAGTTGTGGCCAGGGCAATTAGGCAGGAGAAGGAAATAAAGGGTATTCAATTAGGAAAAGAGGAAGTCAAATTGTCCCTGTTTGCAGATGACATGATTGTATATCTAGAAAACCCCATTGTCTCAGCCCAAAATCTCCTTAAGCTGATAAGCAACTTCAGCAAAGTCTCAGGATAGAAAATCAATGTACAAAAATCACAAGCATTCTTATACACCAACAACAGACAAACAGAGAGCCAAATCATGAGTGAACTCCCATTCACAATTGCTTCAAAGAGAATAAAATACCTAGGAATCCAGCTTATAAGGGATGTGAAGGAACTCTTCAAGGAGAACTACAAACCACTGCTCAAGGAAATAAAAGAGGATACAAACAAATGGAAGAATATTCTATGCTCATGGGTAGGAAGAATCAATATCGTGAAAATGGCCATACTGCCGAAGGTAATTTACAGATTCAATGCCATCCCCATCAAGCTACCAATGCCTTTCTTCACAGAATTGGAAAAAACTACTTTAAAGTTCATATGGAACCAAAAAAGAGCCCGCATCGCCAAGGCAATCCTAAGCCAAAAGAACAAAGCTGGAGGCATCACACTAGCTGACTTCAAACTATACTACAAGGCTACAGTAACCAAAACAGCATGGTACTGGTACCAAAACAGAGATATAGATCAATGGAACAGAACAGAGCCCTCAGAAATAATGCCGCATATCTACAACTATCAGATCTTTGACAAACCTGAGAAAAACAAGCAATGGGGAAAGGATTCCCTATTTAATAAATGGTGCTGGGAAAACTGGCTAGCCATATGTAGAAAGCTGAAACTGGATCCCTTCCTTACACCTTATACAAAAATCAATTCAACATGGATTAAAGACTTAAACGTTAGACCTAAAACCATAAAAACCCTAGAAGAAAACCTAGGCATTACCATTCAGGACATAGGCATGGGTAAGGACTTCATGTCCAAAACACCAAAAGCAATGGCAACAAAAGCCAAAATTGACAAATGGGATCTAATTAAACTAAAGAGCTTCTGCACAGCAAAAGAAACTACCATCAGAGTGAACAGGCAACCTACAAAATGGGAGAAAATTTTCGCAACCTACTCATCTGACAAAGGGCTAATATCCAGAATCTACAATGAACTCAAACAAATTTACAAGAAAAAAACAAACAACCCCATCAAAAAGTGGGCGAAGGACATGAACAGACACTTCTCAAAAGAAGACATTTATGCAGCCAAAAAACACATGAAAAAATGCTCATCATCACTGGCCATCAGAGAAATGCAAATCAAAACCACAATGAGATACCATCTCACACCAGTTAGAATGGCAATCATTAAAAAGTCAGGAAACAACAGGTGCTGGAGAGGATGTGGAGAAATAGGAACACTTTTACACTGTTGGTAGGACTGTAAACTAGTTCAACCATTGTGGAAGTCAGTGTGGCGATTCCTCAGGGATCTAGAACTAGAAATACCATTTGACCCAGCCATCCCATTACTGGGTATATACCCAAAGGACTATAAATCATGCTGCTATAAAGACACATGCACACGTATGTTTATTGCGGCATTATTCACAATAGCAAAGACTTGGAACCAACCCAAATGTCCAACAATGATAGACTGGATTAAGAAAATGTGGCACATATACACCATGGAATACTATGCAGCCATAAAAAATGATGAGTTCATGTCCTTTGTAGGGACATGGATGAAACTGGAAATCATCGTTCTCAGTAAACTATCGCAAGAACAAAAAACCAAACACCGCATATTCTCACTCATAGTTGGGAATTGAACAATGAGATCACATGGACACAGGAAGGGGAATATCACAGTCTGGGGACTGTGGTGGGGTGGGGGGAGGAGGGAGGGATAGCATTGGGAGATATACCTAATGCTAGATTACCAGTTAGTGGGTGTAGCACACCAGCATGGCACTTGTATACATATGTAACTAACCTGCACAATGTGCACATGTACCCTAAAACTTAAAGTATAATAAAAAAAAAGAAGAAAAAAAGAAACACATAATCAAAAGGTTTTAATTTCTTTACCATTTTTGTTTGCAGTGTCTGTCATTGAATCAAAAATTTAGTAATTTTTGGCAGATGAGGAGGAAAGAATGCGTGACATACTGAAAACAAAGAGAACTAACAAAAATTAGAAACAGATTCGCAAAAGTCTAGCTATTTTAGAAACTGACTTTATTACATATTGAATATTTAGAAATTGTATATATATATTAGGAATTAATATGAGATATGTAAATATTACATTGGATATTCTAGATATCCTTTGGATATATAAAAAATTGTCTTGAAAATAACTATGTTTAATATACTTGAAGACTTAGAAGGCAAGATTGTGAATTTTGGCAGAGCACAGGATCTATAAAAAAGGATGACAGGAGGTGGAGACAGAATGAATGGTAAACAGATATTTGAAGAGGCAATGATGAAATTTTTCTCAAAACTAAGAAAAAATATAGCCACTGATTAAAGACATATCATGAATTCCCATACAGAATGAATTTAAAAGACCACATGTAGAAACATAATAGTTAACCTAGGGAAAACAAAATGCAAGAAAACATTCGTAAAATAATTAAGAGAAAAGGAGATATATTATCATCTAAAGGGCAAAAATAAAACTTGTTAAAAGAAAATTAATCTGATATAGATAGCTAGAAAAATATCATAAATTATACATAATGACAAAATATTGAAATGTTTTGGAATTAGACAAGAATGCTAGAGGTCACCACATCTGTTTGGGAATTAGCCAAGAATGCTAGAGGTCACCACATCTGTTCAGCATTGCCTTTGAGGTCATAGTCAGCGCAAGAAGAGAAACCAAACATACAAATCTTAAAGACATAAAGATTTGAAATAAACAATAAGCCTACCAGTATTTGTAAACTAACATATTCATTTTGTAGAAAATGTAAATGAATCTACAAATAACAAGATTACTGAATTCAAGGTTCATATGGAAAATAATATTAATATGTCAGTCAAAAATATACAAATAAAATTTAAAAATGCTAAAATAGCTTCAAAATGAACAAATATGTAGGAAAACATGCAAAACACATCATACTAACTATAAACAATTAAAATATTAATTGAAGAAATATATTGTATTCCTAAATTAAAAGAATAATGTAAAAATATGAATGCTCTTAAATTCATCTAAAAATCCATTGCAATTTCATTTAAAATCTTAGGAATATGGTATAATATTCTGAAAATAAATTGAAATCCAAAAGACCTAATATAGGCAAAATAATCTTGTCAAAAAAGAACACAATGGACAATATATTCTACCATTTATCAAGATTGTTGTGAAGCTGCAGTGATTAAGGTAGTGTTGTTTTGCCGCACCGATATACAATAGACCGGAGTGTTCAGAGGGAGATTATGCATATATGGACATGTATTTAAGACAAAGGTGGCATTTTAGAGTAGTGGGGAATGGACAATATTTTTAATAAATGCTTCTGGATTAATTCCCATAAATGAAAACAGAATAATTAGCTTACATTGAAAGACATCAACAGAGTTTTTTTGGCATACCTTTCAACCTCTGTAAACAGGTTATTTGCAGCCCGTATAAGAAAGAAGGGATTGGTCTGGAAAATATGAATAACTTCTACATCTTAATAAGGAAATGAGAGACAGCCCAATAAAAAATGGGCAAAAAGACTTGGATAGGAATTTTACAAAACAGGAAAGATATAAAAGCAGTTACCCTGTGAAAATGTGGTTGATTTCAAATGCAATACTATTACTACAATGAGATACTCTTCATCAAAATGGCTGTTTGTTTGTTTGTTTCAAGACAATGCAAGGATGTGGAGCAACTTACTTCTCAAGTGCTGTTGGTGAAAGGATAAATCAGTGCAAATAACTTTGAAAAACTTTTTGGCATCACCTAAAAAATATGAACATATGTAGTGCAGCATATATATACTCCTAACTGTGAATGTAACAGACATACATACATATATGTACACCAACTGTAATGTTCTGAAGTGTTCGTCACCATATTATAATAGCCAAAATTTAGAGAACATCCAAATTTCCATCGAATGTAGACTGAATTGTTATTTTCAATAAAATATCATATAGTAATGTAAATTAAATAATGCTATAGATGTATAAATATCACATACATTCTTAAATAGCACAAATGTAATATTAACTGAAAAATATATTGAGTAAAATTTCGTTTTTGTAGAGGTAAAACAATCTGTGGTTAGTAGTTACAATGACAGCTCTTTTCAGAAAGGCAAGTGTAGGAACTGGAGTCTTCTTAAAGTAATGGGGAGTCTTCATTGGTGCTGGAAATCATGTTTTTTGATGTGATGGTGGTTACCGTGGTATGTTCAGTTTATGATAATTCATTAATGTGTGCACTTAGGACTTGATAACTTAATGGTCCAACCAATCATTCCATCCTTTAGCTCATTATGACCTATATAGCAGTAGGAGAAAAAAGAAAAAAAATGTGGGATATTGCTTATTTCATTTCTGACCATTTAGCCCTTATCCTTCCATATTAGGAGTTGTTATAAGATCTATTAACTTTATTAACCATGTTTTGGGCACTGTGCTGAGTTAGCAATTATATGACAATTGTGATAAAGCCCAGTGTTGTGTTGTTGTTGTTGACACAAAGTCTTGCTCTGTTGCCTAAGCTGGTGTGCAGTGGCACAACCTCGGCTCACTGCAACCTCTGCCTCCCAGGTTCAAGCGATTCTCCTGTCTCAGCCCCTCGAGAAGCTGGGATTACAGTGTGTGTCACCAAGCCCGGCTAATTTTTTTTTTTTTTTTTTTTTTTTTTTTTTTAGTAGAGACGGAGTTTTGCCATGTGGGCCAGGCTGGTCTTGAGCTCCTGACCTCATGTGATCCACCCGCCTCAGCCTCCCAAAGTGCTCAGATTACAGGCGTGAGCCACCGCGCCCAGCATTGTTCTTATTCCATTAAGTCTAGTTTGGATATAATTTTACATGATTGCAGAGACACTGGTATGGGACAGTTCTTTTGTTTCAGTATATGTGAAGTTTTATTTATTTTATTTATTTTGTCTGGTTTCCTAGAAACCTGCACTTACTCTGCCCTCTTTTTTACTACTAGGAAGACTTTGCACAGATCAAGTCATATGATTGAAATTGCACCTCCATTTTTTAAGGCTAGAAAAATATGTTTAAAATGAATCTAACAAGCCCACAACTCTTTGTAAATAATTGTATTTATTATGTTTTTAATTGATTTAAGTATTTACTTGATAAAGTTAAAGTCTCTTACAAATGATATTTATTTAGAGTTCCATTATTTTTTAGGCTTCGAGCACTGGAAACATAGCCACCAAAACAAGTCAAGTCTTTGAGCTCACCTTAAACTAGTATCACAAGCAGAAATATTATTTTTAGTTTAGTAATTTGCTTTCACAACTCATAATATACTCAAATTGGAAGTAGGGTAGTATGCTTGAAGTAAAGACAATGAAAAAGCAGCAAGTACAAAGAGATATAAAGAATAAAATCACACATGAGACCTCAATATGTCTTGCAAATTGATTTTTAAAATTTGATAAAAATCACTCCCCTGGAAATACAGCTACTTTGATACTGGTAAGCAAATTCCTACCTTTTTTTATTGAAGTTTGATTAAATATACATATAGAAATTTAGTACTTCAAATATTAGACCAAGAGAAAAAAATAGACTTGTCTTTCAACTAAAAACAAAAAGTTTACAAGTACAGTTGACTCTTGAATAACACGGGTTTTAATTGTGCAATATGTGAATTTGTTTAAATATATACTTAGGCCCTTCTACATCCTCAACCAAACATGGATCAAAAGTACAATATTGGCGGGATGGAGGACCAACTTTTCCTATGGGTGGGTTTGAAGGGCCAACTAAGGGACTTAAGTATGAGCAGATTTTGGTATCCATGGGAAGTCCTGAAAATAATCCCTCATAGACACTTAGGGACGACTGTAATGGAAACAAATGATTCATTTTAATGAAGATTCCTAAAATCGTGAATAAGAAAATAAATACAATAGAACTATTAAACATAGAATAGGTTTATTAAAATTATTATGCATAATTATGTAACTAAATCAATAAAACTATTAAATATACAAATATAACATTTCAGAGAATATTGTGGAAGACTGTAGTAATAAAGATTTCATTGAAATTGGCTAGTAAAATAAGTATATACAACCAAATTTTCTAAAAAAGGTAAAATATCATTAAAAATAATCACAAAAAAATGGAAAAAGGTTTATTTGAAAATTATTTTCCAATAAACTTGGAATCTATAAAGTTTCAGAGGTGAATATTTTCACATAGTTAGGGAATAGAAGCATATGCAGGCATACATGCTGTGGGAACTCCTCAATTAACTTTATAAAGCATCAAACTCTGATAGCAAAAGTTGATAAATATTAAAAAACATGAAAGTTTCATGTTAATAAGAGATTCTTTTTTTGTTGTAACCCAGGCTCCCAAGAAACATTGTTTCACTCTCCCCTACCTTATGGAAATCACCAATAAAAAAATTTAAAAAAGAAATAAATCAAAGTAAATAATGATTAACTCATATAATGAATCACATACAGACATTAAACATTTAAAACAATAAGGTAAAAAGGGACTTATGTTAAATTAAGTATTATTTAGTCTGAAGTTATCATACACTGAGTAACAAAATAGTAGTTCTACATGTATTATATTTGATCTTAATAATAATACTACTGTTTAAGTTTTATTTTTCCTATTTGAGAACCCAAAGAAAGATATATTAGATAACTCGACCAAGTTCTTTCAATGAATGGATGAGACAGGTCTTGGATCTAGGCCTGATGGTCTCCAAAAGGCATGATCAGCCTCATTGCTTCCATACTTTGATTTTTCTTATTAAATCGAATGATATAAGTTATATTTATGAATAATCTCAACTATGTTCATATTTCCCCTAAAACACCCCAACAATGAAAATTATGCACATTTATCACTGAGTGGTAGAATTATATGTTATTTTTTAAATTTATACATGCTTCCATATTTGATGAATAAAATTACTTTTTAAAAAATACATGCTTTTATAATTACAAAAATAATTGCCTTTACTTCCATAGAATGTCTTCAAGGTATCACTCTCTGTCTCTCTCTCTCTCTCTCTCTGTCTCTTTCTTTCTCTCTCTCACATGTACTAAACTTGAGTTGTCATTTTTGGGTTTTAAAAGTTTTGGGTTTTAAAAGTTTTGGCTTAATTGTGAGTTAGGAGAGGATTTTTTTTTAATTGCTTAATTCTATATCCTTACAGCTCTAAAGAAAAAGAAAAAAAAAAAGAAAATCAAAGCTAACAAGAACTCATTTCATTGGTTAATAAATAGCAGAGTTTTAAAGGCTTTTAAAATTGAACCACCAAGCATTTGAGCTACCAGAGACCTTGGAAGGTCATGAAGTTCACCTTCTACAATGCTACAGAGACCAGTATAGCAATATATCAGGCATATTGTCATCCATTCTCCATTTGAATGCTTCCAGTGACAGGTTGCTCAAGAACATCTGAGAACATAGCCCATACTTAGGATGAACAGCTATAATTATGAAGAAATTTCTCCTTATTCTGAGAAAACCTCCTCCCTTCTTGTATCAGTCCGAGTATAATTGCTTTTGCAGAATCAGTCTATCAAATTTTATTTAGATATTTAATATTCCTTTCCAAAAATCTTTTAGTGTTTAATGTCTTCAAAATATTCTCATTTGAAACAGCTTCCAGGCCCTCAATATTCTGATCACTCTTCTGGGAACATTTTTATGCACTTGTCAATGTCCTTCTCAACTGTAATGCCAAGAACTGAAAATGATACTCAAGATGATGTATGATTAATGCACAAAACAGTAGAACTAGTTCCTCTTTTAATTCTGAACACCACATTTCTATTAATAAAACCTGATAATGCATTAGCTGTCTTTTGACAGGCATGTCACACTGTTGACTCTCAGTGAAATCACAGTTATTATAACTTCTAGCTAGTTTACATATGAAAAGTCGTTAAATCAGACTTCATGAGGCAGACACTTTAAGCTTAAGAAAAAAAAAAGTAAGAATAATGTGACAATTTCTCAGAAGCAAACCGATCAACTGTGAGTAACCTCAGTGGTGTTATTTTTTTTTTTAAGAGAAGATTATAACTTCAAAGATAATGCTAGATATATCAGTAGCTTTTTCCTCACTTTACAGGGAGAACACTTATATGTAGACTTCTGGATAGGGCAACAATAGATGCATTTTCTCCTCTTTTGAATAGTATTAACATGATATGCCATTATCACTCTTTATGTTTAGTTTTAACCTACCTAAGTTTTTATATTTAATTCTTTTGTAGAGAGCTCACTTATCTACTCTGAGAATTTTTGTCTTTTAACTGCTATACTTAGATCACTCACATTTACAGTCCTCATTAATAGAGTCAGATTAGGATCTACCATGTTATAATTGTTTTCTCTTTCCTGCATTTCTCATTTCTATTTTAAATCTTTTTCTTACCTAGTTTTAATTAAGAGTTTAATCTGACTTAATGGTATCTCTTCTCTTAACATGCCATTTATGGTTCTTTTAATTTTGTTTTCTCTTGAGTGTAAAACATCCCTATTAAAATAATTTGTCTGCCTTCAAATACACTATATGACTTTACATATGGTGCAAGTACCTCATAACAATGTATCTCCAATTTCTCCCTCCTATTCATTATTTCATTGCCATCATTTATCTATCCATATGACATAATTACCCAATATATTGTTCTTATTACTGCTTTAAGCAGTTATATTGTAGATAAATTTAAAGTGAGAAAAGTATAAAGAGTATATTTTACCTTCAAATTTTTCCTCCTCTAAAACTCTTCCTTTGTTGATGTGGATCCTAATTTCTGATCTATGTAATTTTTCTTCTCCCTGACATACTTCTTTTAACATTACTTGCAGAGCAAATCTGCTAGTGACTAATTCCCCAAGTTTTGTTTGTGTGAGGAAAGTCTTTCGCATTCACTTCAGCAGGATAATTTCACAGGATATAGAATTCTAGATTTTTGTTGTTTTTGTTTTGTTTACTTTCAACACTTTAACATTTCACTGTATTTATCTTTTTTTTTTGCATGATTTCTTAAGAGAAGTCTGATGTAATTATTGTCCTTGTTCCTCTATAGATAAGATATTCTCTTCTTCCCTGACCACCTTCAAGTTTTCTCTTTGTCTTTGGTTTTCTACAGCTTGAATATAACATGTCTAGGTGCCGTGTGTGTGTGTGTGTGTGTGTGTGTATTTTGTATTTATTCTATGTTGGAGCTTGTGAAGCACATGAAGTCTACATATTCTGTTAACTCTAACTTCAGTGAAAGTGATAAAAGTAGCAAACCGGTAACATTTATTATGTGCTACTACATGTTAGGCACTAATAGACACAGACAGGTAGAGATATAGATAAAAATATAGACATAGATATTGATTTATAAATTGATATTTATTTGTACATATATATACACATGCACACATCTGTATATGTGTATAGCCTCTTTTAATTCTTGCGATAACTCTTTTAGGTAGTTACTTATCTCTATTTCATAAATGTAGAAATGGAAGCCTAAAATAGTATAACTTGTGCAAGTTCACACAGCAGAGCCCAAATTCAAACCCAGGCAGTCAAATTTTAGATTTTGTGCTGTATAGCCACTATGTTTTATTAGCTATGTAACTAAATAAGGTTTTAGTTTTGCACCAGAACTGGAAGCTGTGACTGAATACCATCCACAGATCAGCACCACAGAGGAATTTTTGCCGATATTGATGCAACTGAGATTAAATTTAAAGACAGATTAATGTAGAATGACCCTTCTATGGAAAAGCAGGATAGCTACAAATTCAAGGAAAGAGACTCTGATAGCAATTATCTGACACCCCCTAACTCAGAGGGTTAAGTTTAAGCTTTAGAGATCTTTGGAGACACCCATTTCTACTTGTCACAGGAAATTGATGAGATTTAGATCCCCACCCCTCAAGGCTTTATAATTCCCAGGTGTTATTCTTCAACTGAGAGTCATCTTGAGCAGAGAACATTCCTACTAAGCCTTGCTCCTTTAGGGAGCACTCATATCAAACCAAGAAAACAGAGACTAAGACATTTCTGTGATTCCAACTTCTTTCTCATTTCTCTCAGGCTCCTGAATCTCAGTAGTAATAAAGCAAGACTACTGTAAATATTATTTTTTCCATTTATTCACCAATAAATTTAAAGTATTCAAAGTGCACAAATCTCTTATTCAAATAAAAGCCAAAATCAGGCAAGCACAATCTACCTTATGCAAGGAACTAAATGTGAAAAATCATTACTTTCATGAGAAAATATGGCAGTTCACAGAAACTGAAATTTTTAAATCAAAAATATATTTCTGAAATATAATTATTGTTAAAAAACATTTTAGAAAATGACCCATGCATATTATTAAAGTATTTTCTGTTAAAAATAAAAATTTGAGCTCATATACTTAAAATCCATGTAAATGACCCAATATATTCAATAGGAAAAATTATCTATTTCAGCAGAAGCCAGAGAATATCATCTAAATGTTGACATTTCAAGAAACTGGATATAAATGAAACCAAAGTGAGATATGAAACAATGCAGCAAGGAGAATAAGAAACCTGCCTAAAAATGAATTTTGAAACCAAGGGTAAAATGCAAGGGCATAACTAATGATTGCTCATAGTGTATCTTAGATAAAATGCCAACTCAAGCTAAGGGTGTGGGTGTGACAGGGGGGTGGGGGGAGGGTGGTGTGTGCTGCTAGAATTTAGGTTTTTGAAATCCAAGTTTTACTCCAGAACACTAATTCCTTAGAAGGAGGGCCTTTCCAACTCAGAGTAATGTCACCTAGGGTATTTTTTCTTAACACTGATCAGGTTGTTTTTCTGCTATTTGCTAAGATGACAGAAGTTCATGTCCTTCAGAACAGGGTTTGAGAAGTTGGATGTTAAGGTATATGTGTTTGAATCTGTTGCATCTGAATTTATAACAATTGTTCCAAGCACCAATTTAGATAGACTGAATTCTACTATATGTAGCCTACTTACAGTTTGCACTTACTATGAACAACATTCTGAATAAATCTTCAGCCTTACCAAGGATGCTTCCTTTAAAGACAATTTGAGATGGATTTTTGCATTATTTCGTTTGACTTGCTATAGTACTTGAAAGACAAAATATTTTGCAAGTATTCTCCCTGCCTACGTATATCCTGTCTTACTCAGTGCAGATTATAAAAGCCATAGACAGATGAAAAATCATTCAATATTTTCTGTTGCTTGTGCAAGATTAAGATTGTCTGACAAAAACCACATCACTTCCAAATTCTTTGCAATCATAGACCCTTTTCTAACAGAGAAAGTGGGTTGATTTGGGAGTATAAAGAGAGAGCCTAATATGTGAAATCTTAACAAATATCTTTCTTTGAAAAGAACTTACCCAAAGCTGTGAAAAAATCTTTCTTAACATTCACATTTTTAAAATGTGATTTGAAAGATAATTGCACTTATATAAATTATATAAAATTAATTTAGAAATTATAGAAAAAATACTGAGAAAAGTGAGAAAAATCATAGCTATTTAAAAACATAATTACTGAGAAGAAAAACTCAATAGAATTATGCAAACAAAACTTTATAGAGGCGGTAAAGATCTACATGGTAAATTATTTCAGAATATAAACAAGAAAGATAAGATGATAGAAACTATGAGTACGAAAATTCTATGTACTTTCTATTCTCCAAAGAGAAAAATATTCTAAAAAAGAATTATATACTCTAAAAAAAGCAATCACAAATTTTTAAAAAGTTCTATTAATTTTTTATTAATTTAATGAAATAAAATAACAATTTAATATTTTTTATTAATTTAATTTTAAAATGTTAATTGAAAAGTTGTTTTGGAAAAATAGAAGTGATAAGTAAAATAATATAAAATTAGATTTATTGAGTCATTGCTTTAATATGTTTATTAGTCTTAAAAATAATATAAAAATAAATTAATAATGAAAAATATTATTCTCAAGTAAATTCTCAGTGCTTTTCTGAGGTTGTCAAGATTATATGACATGGTGAATCTAATGCACTGATTCAAATACCTAGTACATAATACTTTCTCAACAAGTGACAAATTATAGTAATGATTATAATCATTATTATTACTACAGTATTGTCAACCTTTACCTCAAGCCACAGACAAGGAGAAAATATTCACAATACATATATCTGGAAAGAACTTATGCTCAGAATATATGAAGAATACCCACAAGTCAATAATAATAAGCAAGTAATCCATTAATAGTAAGCAAAAATAGTTGTAGAGACAATTCACATATAAAGATGTATCAGTGGCCAATAATTACATTAAAAGATATTGACTATCATGAGCCATCAGAGAAATGCAAATTAGGATCACAAACGCATGAAACTGCAAGCAGCCAAGAATGGATAAATCAAGAGTGACAACAACAAATGCTAGTGAGGTTGTGGAATGACCTCTTATATTGACGTTAAAATGGTAAAATGGTACAATGAAATTTGAAAAAAAGTTTGCATTTTCTTATCAAATTAAACATGCATCTATTCTGCAACCACACAATTCTATTCCTAGTTACTTTTCCAGGGGAAATTAAGATGTATGCCTACAAAAGACTTATAAAAATATGTTCATAGCAACTTCATTTACAATAGAAAAAAATGAAAATAACCCAGAGTTCAATCAGCAATACATGCACACATTTTAGTATATTTGTTTAATAGAATACTGCTTAATGATAAAAAGAAAGAAACAACATGAATGAATTTTAAAAACATTCTAAGGAGAAGAAAAAGCTGGACACAAAAAAACACATTCTGAATAATCCCGTATATATGAAGTTCTAGAACAGATCAGTGGTTGTTCTGTGCAGGAAGAGGCAGTAAAAAATGTTGGGTGTAATAAACATGTTTTTATCTTGAAAAGGATGGGGCTTATATTTGTGTATGCACATGTAAAATGTATTAAGTTGTAAAATTAAGATTAGTCTGTTGCACTGTATGTAAATGTAAATTTTACAAAAAGCAAATCAGTGATAAGTTTGATGTTTGGAAACAAACATTAAACACCATTGAGCAGGTTTCTTTTTATAGCGGTGTATTAGTCCATTCTCATGCTGCTATGGAGAAATATCCAAGACTGGGTAATTTATGAAGAAAAGAGTTTAATTGACTCACAGTTCTGAGTAGATGGGGAGGCCTCAGGAAACTTAGAATCATGGTGGAAGACGCCTCTTCAAAGGGTGGCAGGAGAGAGAAGTGCTGAGCAAAGGCGGGGAAAGCGCCTTAGAAAACCATCAGATCTCATGAGAACTCACTCACTATCGTGAGAGCAGCATAGGGATAATCGTCCCCATAATTCAATTATCTCCCACAACAGGTGGGGATTATGGAAACTACAATTCAAGATGAAATGTGGGCGTGGACACAGCCAAACCATATCAAGTGATATCTTTTAAAATGCTGAAACTATTTTTTAACAACTTAAGCAAATAAATAAGCTTTTGAGAATTATAGGAACCAGATTTCTCACAGTTCCAACACAATGTTACCAATAGAAAGGCAGAAGACTAGAATGTACCCTGTGGTGTTTGTTTGATATCAGAGATAATGTATCAATATGCAATCACGGTTTCAATATATGTAAACTATGTGTCTATATTGTAGCTCTCTGCAGAAAGGGTCTAGAAATAATAACAAGTGCAATTAAACTTATCTACTAGTTGCTTATTACATGCCATATTTCACTAATAAGAACGAGGATTCCTTGGAGAAAATGCTGATTTCAGAGTTGGAAGTGAGAGCAAGTAAAAGATGGGCCTGAAATAACTTTTTGCATCAGGAAATAAGAAAGTGCTAGGTCTTAGTCTGTTCAGGCTGCTATAACAAAATACCATGGACTGAGTGTAACAACAGACACTTATTTCTTCTACTTCTGGAGGTTGAGAAGTCCAAGTTCAAGGTGCCATCCAATTTAGATCCTGGTGAGGGTCCTCTTCCTTCTCTTTCCTCTCTGTGTCTTCAATGGTCTTCAGTGGTGGAGAGAGAGTTCTAGTTTGTCTTCCACTTTTAGTAAAGACACTAATCCCATCATGGGACCCCACGTCATGACCCAAACCAAATTACCTTGCAAAGACCCCTGGCTCCAAATGTCCTACAATTAGGAGTTAAAACTTCAACATAGAAATTTGGGGGTGGGGACATAAACTTTCAGTTCATAACATGTTTCCAAAAAATTATAGAAATATAAAAAGGATGTAAATATTATCACAAAGGAGGTTCCACTGGCTAAATTTGTGACAATTTGATCATCAAAATAAATCATTATACTAATGAATTATAACCCAGTTTAAGAAATAAGAATCCATGATATAAATAAATGCTCGAATAAGCAAGTAAATGAGGAAATTCTACTGTAGAATTTTAACATATATAGATATAGAATTAGATGAAGTTACAAAACCATCAAAAGATGTTGAAACAGGTATGTGAAAGTTTAAAAAAATGAAGACCAGAACACTTTTACATAGTCTCAAAATACCTCCTTACAAATTATTTAATACAAGAAGAAAAAAACAATAAGATTACATGAGCAACTTGACAATATCCACCTTAAGCAACTGAGCAAAGATAATATCACCATTACTGGGAAAAATTGATATCATGTTTCTCCAGATAGAATATAATTTCTGTGGTATTCTTGTCAAAATGCATGACCTAAATCAAATAATAAAGAAATATAAAATAGCCCAGCTTGGTGGCTCACGCCTGTAATCACAGCACGTTGGGAGGCTGAGGTGGGTGGATCATGAGGTCAGGAGTTCAAGACCAGACTGGCCAATATGGTGAAACCCTGTCTCTACTAAAAATACAAAAATTAGCCAGGCGTGGTGGCATATGCCTGTAATCCCAGCTACTCGGGAGGCTGAGGCAAAAGAATCGCTTGAACCTGGGAGATGGAGGTTGCAGTGGGCCAAGATGGTGCTACACTCCCGCCTGGGTGACAGAATGAGATTCCGTCTCAAAAAAAAAGAAGACATATAAAATAAACAAAATTGAGGCTCAAGGTACAAAGTACTTAGCCTGTACTCTTCAACATGTCACTTTAAAGAAAGACAGAACAGCTGAGAGATATTCTAGATTAAAAGAAGCTGAAGAGCCATGAGGGCTAAAATGAATTTTGAGATTGTGGATTGCATCTTTGACTAAACAACAACAACAACAAAAAGCTGTAAAGGAAATTATTGATACAACAGATGCAATCTGAATACTGGTTAGAGTTGTGGATATTTATCAATATCAAATGTCCTTATTTTGATAATTGTACTGTTGTCATGTGAGAGAATATTCCTGTTGTTCAGAAATACTTCCTGATATATTTAGGGGTAATGAGAAACAATGTCTCTAAATTACTTTTATAAGATTCAGAAAAATAAAAATTCCGTACATATTTTTTAGAAGGTAGCCTCCATGAAGGGCTCCCATGATCCCTGCCTTGAGGTATTTCATGGGCTGGATTTTGGAGACTTGCTTTTCAGGACTAGAAGGCAGAGACATGGTATGTGTTTTCAAGGGTAGTTTGTAAGAGTGAGTGTAGCCTTACCATCTCTTAGACTTGCAGGATCTTCAGGCTACACTCTGCAGACATATTGAGTAGAATCTTAAGAGAGATCCTAAGCAAGACACCCAGCTGAGGTGCCCCCTGATTCCTAATCCTTGCAAATGGTGTGATATGTTGAAAGTTGTTTAAGTTGCCAGGTTTTGGAGTGATTTACTACCCAATAGTGAATATATACTATATGTTTCTTTTCATATGAAATCCTAAGCTAGATAAAACTAAATGATATTGAAATGTACAACACTGCTAAGTTTTGGACGTAATCTGTTAAACTACAAAAGATAACTACTACCAACAGACATAAAGTGAAAGGGAGAGAATAAAAGAGACTGGGGGAGAAAGAGAGAGAGAGAGAGGAGACAATGATAAAGCAAACTAAGAAAAAGTAAAAATTAGTGAATCTTGGTAAAATATATATGGGTGTTCTCTTACTATTATTGCATAGTTTTTGTAAGTTTGTAATTATATGGAAACAAAAACAGTAACAAATAAAAACTAGTAAATAATGTCATGGTCAATTCACACAAATAATATTTGGCATATAATTGTTCATCAAATGGTAGCAGTTATCATCATCATTATTACTATTACTAATCTGATGTGAGTCTCATGTAGCAATAGATACAATAAAGGAAAAGTTGATAAAACAACTCAATATATTTTCGGAAAACCTACTATCAAAATAAAAGGTAGGGTACTTTCTATTTCCAAAAGCTGATGAAAGATGTAAAATATTAAACTTTTTAAATTTTTAATTGTGACTACATAGTAGGTGTACATATTTATGGGGCACATGAGAGTTTTTGATATAGGCATACAATGCATAATAATCACATCATGGAAAATGGGGTATCTGTCTTCTCAAGCATTTATCCTTTGTGTTACAAAAAATCCAAATACACTCTTTCGGTTATTATAAAATGTACAACAAAATTATTTTGACTATAGTCACTGATATGGTTTGGCTGTGTCCCCACCTAAATCTCATCTTGTAGCTCCAATAATTCCCATGTGTTGTGGGAGGGACCTGGAGGGAGGTTATTGAATCATGGTGGTGGGCCTTTCCCATGCTGTTCTCATGATAGTGAATGGGTCTCATGAGATCTGATGGTTTTAAAAATGGTTGTTTCTCCGCACAAGCTCTCTCTTTGTCTGCTGCCATCCATGTGTAAGATGCGACTTGCTCCTCCTTGCCTTCCACCATGATTGTGAGGCCTCCCCAGCCATGTGGAACTGTAAGTCCAATAAACCTCTTTCTTTTGTAAATTGCCCAGTCTTGAGTATGTGTTTATCAGCAGTGTGAAAAAGGATGAATACAGTAAATTGGTACCAATACAGTGGGGTGCTGCTGAAAAGATACCAAATGACGTGAGAGCAACTTTGGAACTGGGTAACAGGCAGAGGTTGGAACAGTTTGGAGGGCTCAGAAGAAGACAGGAAAATGTGGGACAGTGTGGAACTTCTTAGAAACTTGTTGAATGGCTTTGCCCAAAATGCTGATAGAGATATGAACAATACAGTCCAGGCTGAGGTGACTTCAGGTGGAAATAAGAAACCTGTTGGGAACTGGAGCAAAGATGACTCTTGCTATGTTTTAGCAAAGAGATTAGTGGCATTTTGCCCCTGCCCTAGAGATTTGTGGAACTTTGAACTTGAGAGAGATGATTTAAGGTATCTGGCAGAAAAAATATCTAAGCAGCAAAGCATTCAAGAAGTGACTTGGGTGCTATTAAAGGCATTCAGTTTTATAAGGGAAGCAGAGCATAAAAGTTCAGAAAATTTGCTGCCTGATAATATGATAGAAAGGAAAATCCCATTTTCTGAGGAGAAATTCAAACTGGTTGCAGAAATTTGCATAAGTAAAGAGGAGTCAAATGTTAATCACCAAGACAATGGAGAAAATGTCTCCAGGGCATGTCAGAGGTCTTCACAGCACCCCTCTCATCACAGGCCCAGAGGCCTAGGAAGAAAAAGTGGTTTGGTGAATCGGACCCAGGGTCACTGTGCTATGTGCAACTTAGGGACTTGGTGACCTGCGTCCCAGCCACTCCTGCCAAGGCTGAAAGGGGCCAACATAGAGCTCAGGCCATGGGGCTTCAAAGGGTACAAGCCCCAAGCCTTGGCAGCTTCCATGTGGTATTGAGCCTGTGGGTGCACAAAAGTCAATAATTGAGGTTTGGGAACCTCCACTTAGATTTCAGAAGATGTATGGAAATTCCTGGATGTCCAGGTAGAAGTTTGCTATAGGGGCAGTGTCCTCATGGAGAACCTCTGCTAGGGTAGTGTGGACAGGAAATGTGGGGTGGGAGCCCCCACATAGAGTCCCTACTGGGACACTACCTGGTGGAGCTATGAGAAGAGTGCCGCCATCCTTTAGACCCCAGAATGGTAGATCCACCTACAGCTTGCACCATGCACCAGGAAAAGCCACAGACACTCAACACCAGCCCATGAGGGCAGCTGGCAGGGAGACTCTACCCTGCTAAGCCACAAGGGTGGAGCTGCCCAAGGCCATGGCAACCCACCTCTTGCATCAGCATGACCTGGATGTGAGACATGGAGTCAAAGGAGATCATTTTGGAGCCTTAAAATTTGACTGCCCCGCTGGATTTCACACTTGCATAGGGGCTGTAGCCCCTTTATGGGGGCCAATTTCTCCCATTGGGAATGGCTGTATTACCCAATGCCTGTACCCCCATTGTATCTAGGAAGTAACTAAGTTGCTTTTGGTTTTACAGGCTCATAGGCAGAAGGGACTTGCCTTGTCTCAGATGAGACTTTGGACTGTGGAATTTTGAGTTAATGCTGAAATGAGTTGAGACTTTAGGGGACTGTTGGGAAGGTATGACTGGTTTTGAAATATGAAGATATGAGATTCGAGAGGGGCCGGGGGTGGAATGATATGGTGTGGCTCTGTGTCCCCACCCAAATCTCATCTTGTAGCTCCCGGAATTCCCATGTGCTGTAAAATAGTAGGTCTTATTCATTATTTCTATTTTCTGTACCCATTAGCCATCCCTACCTGCCCCCCACTGCCACTACACTTCCCATCCTTCTATCATCCTTCTACCATCTATCTCCATGAATTCAATAGTTTTGAATTTTAGACCACACTAATAAGTGAGAACATGCAAATTTTGTCTTCCATGCCTGGCTTTTCACTTAACATGATAACCTCCAGTTCTGTTCATGTTGTTGCAAGTTATAGGCTCTCAATCTTTTTATGGCTGAATAGTACTACGTTGTATATATGTACCATGTGTTATTTATCCATCCATCTATTAATGGACACTTGGGTTGCTTCCAAATCTTGACTATTGTGAACAGTGCTGTAACACACATGGGAATGCAGATATCTCTTTGGTATACTTATTTCCTTTCTTTTGGATATATATCCAACAGTGGAATTTCTAGATCATATGGTAGTTCTATCTTTAGTTTTTTATGAAACCTTCAACCTGTTCTCCATTGTAATTGTACTAATTTACATTCCCACTAACAGTGTACAAAGGTTCCCTTTTCTCCACATCTTCTTCACCAATTGTTATTGCCTGTCTTTTGGATGAAAGCAATTTTAACAGGAGTAAGATGATATCCTATTGTAGTTTTGATTTGCCTTTCTTTGATGATTCAATGATTTTGATACGTTATTGTATGCCTGTTTGTAATTTAAATGTCTTCTTTTGAGAAATATCTATTCAAATATTTTGCACATTGTTAAATTGGATTATTAGATTTTTTTTCTATAGAGTTGTTTGAGCCTCCTTATATATTCTGGGTATTAATCCCTCATCAGCTGGGTAATCTGAGAATATTTGCTCCCATTCTGAAGGTTTTCTCTTTTCTTTGTTGGTTGTTTCCCTTGCTGTGTTGAAGCTTTTTAAAGTGATGTGATCCCATTTGTCTCTTTTTGCTGTGGTTGCCTATGCTTGTGGGGTATGAGTCAAGAAATGTTTGCCCAGTCTAATACCCTACAGAGTTTCCCCAGTGTTTTCTCTTAGTTGTTCTGTATCATGAAGTCTTAAATTTAACTCTTTAGTTTCAATTTTTTATATGGTATGAGAGAGGGGTCTAGTTTTATTCTTCCCCATATGGATATCCACTTTTCCCAGCACTATTTATTGAAGAGACTGTCTTTTCCCAAAGTGTATGTTTTCGGTGACTTTGTTGAAAATTAGTTCACTGTAGGTGTGTGGATTTATTTCTGGGTTCTCTATTCTGTTCCATTAGTGTATGTATCTGTTTTTATGCCAGTAGCATTCTTTTTTGGTTACTACAGCTCTGTAGTATAAATTGAAGTCAGGTAATGTGATTCCTCCAGTTTTGTTCTTTTTGCTTCGGCTAGCTTTGGCTGTTCTGTGATTTTTTTGTGTGTAGTTCCATATAAAGTTTGGAATTTTTTTTTTCTATTTTTGCGAGGAATGTCGTTGGTATTTTGATAGTGATTACATTAAATCTGTAGATTGCTTCAGGTAGTGTGGACATTTTGACTATATTGATTCTTCCAATTATGAACATGAAATATCTTTCTGTTTTTTGATGTCCTCCTCATTTTTTTCATAGTTTTTATTGTAGAGATCTTTCACTCCTTTAGTTAAGTTAATTCCTAGGTATTTAATTTTATGTGTGGCTATTTTAAATGGGGCTACTTTTTCTATTTATTTTTAGATTTTTCACTGTTGGTATAGAAATGCCACTGATCTTTGCATGTTCTCTTTGTTTCAGCAACTTAACTAAATTTGTTTATCAGTTTTCTTGTGCAGTTTTTTGAAAATATCATATCATATCATGTGCAAACAAGGGTAATTTTACTTTTTTCTTTCCAATTTAGATGCCAGTATTTCTTTCTCTTGTCTAATTTCTCTAGCTAGAATCTCCAGTACTGTGACATTTCACAGTGGTAAAAGTGGGCATCATTGTATTGTTCCATATCTTAGAGGAAAGGCTTTCAGTTTTTTCCCATTTATTATGAGACCAGTGGTGGGTCTGTCACATATGGCTTTTATTACACTGGATTACCTTCCTTCTATACCCAGATTTTTGCATTTTTATCATAAAGGAATGTTACATTTTGTCAAATGCTTTTCAGCATCAATTGAAAAGATCATAGTAGTCATAGTTTTTGTCATTCATTCTGTTGATAAGATGTATCACATTGATTGATTTGCATATGCTGAACCATCCTTACATCCCAGGGATAAATCCCACTTGGTCATGATAAATAATCTTTCTAATGTATTGTTTAATTTGGTTTGCTAGTATTTTGTTGAGAATTTTTGCATCAATATTTATCAGAGATATATTTTTTGATGTTTCTTTGTCTGGTTTGGGTAACAGGGTAATACTGGCCTCATAGAACGAATTTGGAAAGAAGCCCTCCTCCTCAATTCTTCAGAATAGTTTGAGTAGGATTGGTGTTAGCTCTTCTTTAAATATTTAGTAAATTTGTCATTGAAGACATTGGATCTTGGACTTTACTGGGAAACTGTTTATTACTGCCTTCATCTTGTTACTTGTTATTGGTCTGTTCTGGTTTTGAACTTCTTCCCAGTTCAATCTCGTATGTGTCTAGGAATTTGTCCATTTCTTCTAGGCTTTTTAATTTATTGGCATATAGTTTCTCATAGAAGCCACTAATGATCCTTTGAATTTCTGCAGTATCAGTTGTAATATCTTCTTTTTTATCTCTGATTTTCTTTATTTGGGTCTTTTTCCATTTTTCTTTGTTAGTCTAGCTAAACAAAACTTTGTCAACTTTGTTTATCTTTTCTAAAATAAAATTTTTATTTCATTCATTTTTGTATAGTTTTGTCATTTAAAATTTATGCTCTCATCTTTATTATTTATTTTATTCTATTAATTTTAAGTTCTATTTGCTCTTGCTTTTTAGTTCTTAAAAATGCATTACTAAGTTATTTATTGAAAGTGTTTGTTCTTTTTGATGTAGGCACTTATAGCTATAAATTTTCCTCTTAGTACTACTTTCACCATTTCCCATAGATTTTCATGTGTTGTGTTTCCATTATCATTTGCTTCAAGGAACTTTTCAATTTTTTTCTTAATTTCTTTATTGACCCACTGGTCATCCAAAAGCATATTATATAATTTCCATGTGTTTATATAGTTTTCAACATTCCTCTTATTATTAATTTCTGGTTTTATTCCATTGTGGTCAGAGAATATGCTTGATATTACTTTAATTTTTGAATATTTTAGGATTTGTTTTGTAAGCTAAATATGGCCTACCCTTCAGAATGATCCATGTGCTGGAGAGATGAATGTATATTCTGCTGCTTTTGGATAAAAGGTTCTGTAAACATCTATTAGGTCCATTTGTTGTACAGTGCAGATTAAATCTAACCTTTCTTTGTTGAGTTTCTGCCTGGGAGATCTGTGCAATACTGAAAGTGGAATGTTGAAGCCTCCAACTATTATTGTAACATGCTGTATCTCTCTCTTTAGCTCTAGCAATATTTGCTTTATATACCTGTGTGCTCCTGTGTTGGGTGCATATATATTTACAAGTGTTATCTCTTGTTGCTAGATTGACCTCTTTACCATTATGTAATGACCTTCTTTGTCTCTTCTTACAGTTTTTTGTCTTGAAATCTATTTTGTCTAGTATAAGTTTAGCAACTTTGGCTTTTTAATTTTTTTTGGTTTCTATTGGCATGAAATATCTTTTTCCATTCCTTTAGTTTCAGTCTGTTTGTGTCTTTATAGGTGAAGTGTGTTTCTTGTAAGCAACAGGTCAATGAGTCTTGTTTTTTTAATTCATTCATCCACTTAACATGTTTTAATTTATTAGTATAGTCTATTTACACTCGATATTATTATTGATAAGTAGAAATTTACTCTTGCCATCTTATTGTTTGTTTTCTAATAGTTTTGTGGTCTTCTCCACCTTATTTTTATTCTTTCTGTCTCCCTTTCAGTGAAGGTGATTTTCTCTGGTGGTGTGATTTAATTTATTGCTTTTTATTTGTTGTGTATCCATTGCATATTTTTTTGATTTGAGGTTACTGTGAGGCTTTCTAAGACTATCTTATAACCGATTATTTTAAACTGATGGTAACTTAACTCTGATTGCGCAAAAAGCAAACAAACATGGAAAAAAAACTTAATAAAAACTTCACATTAACTTTATCCCTCCACTTTTTAACATTCTGTTGTTTTTCTTTATGTCTTATTGTACTAGGTCTTCAAAAGCTGTAGTTACTATTTTTGATTGGTTCATTATGTAGTCTTTCTACTTAACATAAAATTAGTGTTATAATATTCTATTTTTCTGTGTGCTTACTATTACAGTGAGTTTGGTACATTCTGATGATTTCTTCTTGCTCACATCTTTTTCTTTCAGCTTGAAAAACTCCTTTCAGTATTTCTTGTAGGAGAGATGTGGTGTTGATGATATCCCTCAGCTTTTGTCTGGGAATGTCTTTATTTCCCCTTCATGCTTGAATGATATTTTCAACAGATATACTATTCTAAGATAAAAGTTATGTTCCTTCAGTACTTTAACTATTTCGTGCTGCTCTACTGGCTTGTAAGGTTTCCACCGAAAAGTCTGCTGTCAGATGTATTGGAGATCCATTGTATGTTATTTGTTTCTTTTCTCTTGCTGCTTTTAAGATAGTTTCTTTATCCTTGATCTTTGGGAGCTTGATTATTAAATTCCTTGAGATAGTTTTCTCTGTGTTCAATCTGCTTGGTGTTCTATAACCTTCTTGTACATGAATGCAGATATCTTTCTCTAATTTTGGAAGTTCTGTGATATTACCCCCTTTGAATAAACTTTCTACCTCCATCTCTTTCAGTTTCCCTTCCTCCTTTTTAAGGTAAATAACGCTTAGATTTTCCCTTTTGTGGCTATTTTCTAGCTCTTGTAGGCATGCTTCATTCTTTCTTATTCTGTTTTCATTTGTTTCCCTTGGCTGTGTATTTTAAAATAGCCTGTCGTCAAGCTCACTAATTCTTTCTTCTGCTTGATCAGTTCTGTCATTAAGAACCTCTGATGTATCATTCAATATGTCACCTGCATTTTTCAACTGTGGAATTTTTGCTCTATTCTTCTTAATTATTTCAATCTCTTTGTTAAATTTTTCTGATATAATTCTGAATTCTTTCTTTGTGTTTTCTTGAATTTCTTTGAGTTTTCTCAAAACAGCTCTTTTGAATTATCTGTCTAAAAGCTCACATATCTCTTTCTACAGGATTGATTCCTGGCACCTTATTTAGTTCATTTAGTGAAGTCATGTTTTCCTGGGTGATCTTGATGCTTGTAGATGTTTATTGGTGTCAGGGCATGAAAGACTTAGGTATTTGTTGTAGTCCTTACAATCTGGGCTTATTTGTGCCTGTCCTTCTTGGGAATTCTTTCCAGGTATCCAAGGGAACCTGAGTCCAAAGCCCACGAATGCTGTGGTTTTTGCAGACTTCAGAGGTACCAACTTGGTGGTCTTGGATAAGCTCCAAAGAAATTTTCTGGATTACCAGGTAGAGACCCTTGTTCTTTTTCCTTATTTTCTCCCAAACAAATGGAGTGTCTCTTTGCTGAGCTGCCTTGAACTGGGAGTGTCCCGATGCAAGCACCTCTGTGACCACCACCACTGGAACTGTGCTAGGTCAGACCTGAAGCCAGCACAGCATTGTGTCTCACCCAAGATCTGCTGTATACACTACCTGGCTACCACTTATGCTCACTCAAGACCTTTCATCTCTATGATCAGCAGGTGGTGAGGCCAGCCAGGTTTGTGTCCTTCCCTTTAGGGTAGCAAGTTTTACCAGGCCCTGGGCAGGTCCACAGATTGAATGGGAGCCAGACACTAGAGTTAAAAAAAACCTTAGTAATTTGCCTGATTCTGTATTCTACTGTGGCTAAGCTTGCACTCACACCACAAAACAGTCTTTCCCACTCTTCCCTCCAATTTTCACAAGTGGAGGAGCCTCTCCCCATGGCCACCACCATCAGCAGCCCATGGGGGAGTTCAGCCAGTCCACCACTGATGTTCAATTAAAGCCCAAGAACCCTTCAGTTAGCTTATAGTGAATGCTGCTAGGCCTGGAACTCATCATTCAGGGCTTGGTCTCCCCTCTGGCCCAGAGAAGGTCCAGAAATGATATCTAAGAGCCTAGACCTAGATTCAGAGACCCCAAGAGGCTATTTGTTCCTCTACCCCACTGTGGCTGAGCTGGTACCTAAGGTGTAAGACAGAATCCTCTTTACTTTTCCCCCTCCTTTACTCAAACAGAAGGAGTCTTTTGCCATAATCACCACAGCTGGAAATGGGTTGGGTCACACCTGAAGACAGCACATCTCAGAGCCCTAGGCCCCAGTGGAGTACTATCTGAGTAACACTGCTGGTTATTCAGGGCCCAAAGACCCTTTAGTCAGTAGGTCATGAATTCTGCCAGGACTGGGTCCTTCCCTTCAAGGCAGTGGGTTCTGTTTTGGCTCAGGGTGCATCTAGAAATGTAATCTGTGAGCTTAAGCCTGGAATGGGGGTACTCATGATTCTGCCTGGTCCCCTATCCTACTGTGGTTGAGCTGGTATTCAAGATGCAAGACAGAGTCTTCTTTACTCTTTGCTCTCCTCTCCTTAAGCAGAAGGAGGGAGTCACTTTGTTGCTGTGAGCTTCACTGTCTGGGGTGGGGGAAGGATAGCAAAAGCTCTCCCTTAGCCACCCCAGCTGGTGATACACTATATTGCTTGCTGCCCTAGTCCTCTGGCTCTGGGCCAAGTTCAGCCCTAGAAGTTACCTAGGAATTACAAGCTTTGTGTCCTATACTGTCTTTCAAGTTTACCTAGCACCTCAGAGCATTTTGACCTGTAGTGGTGAGGCTTGCAAAAACACTCAAGTTCTGACCACTGGGATGGGTGATTTCCCTCTGGCTAGGTCTGATCCAAATGCCTCCTCCCTGTGTGGGCACTGGCTGAGCCCAGCACAGCTTTATTCTGCACTGTGACAGGGCAGTACTGAGTTCAATGTAAAAGTCCTGCAGTTGCTGCACTCTCCTTCCTGCAAAGGCACAAATTCTCTTCATTGCAAGGCTGCTGCTAGGGATGGAGGATGGGTGGTGTTGGCGATTCAAGACTGTCTCTCCTACCCTCTTGAAGGCCTCTTTTAGTAAAATGAAGTTAAAATCAGGTACTGTGATTGCTCACCTGAGCTTTGGTTCTTGTGATAGTGCTTTTCTGTGTGCAGATGATTGTTAAAATTTGGTATACCTGCAGAGGGGACAAATAGTGTAGGCTTCTATTCTCCAATCTTGCGCTGACTCCTCTCTACAAAATTAATCATAAAAATTAGAAACACTGATTACATTTTTAAAAATATTATTCGGATCACATTCTCTGACCAAGGTGTTATAAACTAAATTTACTAATAAAGTATTCATTTTTGTAATCTAAAAAAACTGAAATTAAAATAACACCAAAGCATGATACACTTCAAAATGACTATTGTGTCAGAAAGTACAAAATAAAATTAAATATTAATTTAATTAAACTAAAATTCAGAGAATGAACCAAATTTCCAAAGGAAAATTAGTAACTCTAAAAATAATTTTACATAATAATCTTAGAATTAAAAAATATATTCAAGGAAAAATTAGTTTAGCTTCAGTTAGTGTATCTAGGGAAGAAGAAACATTACAAAAACAGAAAATAAAATTAAGAAAATAATATATTTTGAAACAGGAAGAACTGTCTACAATTTATAAATATATTCATAAAATATAGAGCTTTTTCTGTATTTTATACAGAAAATCAAAAATACCTTAAATGTAGTCAAGAGCAAAAAAAGGTAGCAAAACTATAGATACCACAATATAATTAATGGAAACAACCACAGACTTGGGATGAATTAAATATTATAAATAAAATATTATTTATAAAATCAATTTTTAAAAAATTTTACAAATGAGTAGTCCAGCTGGAAAAAAATTTATTCTTGACACCTCACTGCATTATAACTTCTGAGGAGTCAGGCATTTTCTCAACTTTGATCACCATTATGTATTCTTTGCCTAATACAAAATAACTAGTCAGTAAAAAAATCTATTGAAAATAAACACAAATAAATGTGTATTCACATTAATCAATTATAAAGAAAACAACATATTCAACCTGATAGGAAATATAAATAAAAGCAATGATTATACATGTTTTCATATATCTTAGCAAAAATTAAAACATTTGTTAAGATTATCTGTTTTTGGCTTGTAGAAAGATAGAGTATTTCATAGAGATTCTAGGAATTTAAATTGGTAGAGCCACTTGAGAGGGAGTTATGGAAACATTAAATATTCACCTGCTCTATCGTAACAAAATCCCACTTTAATATGTTCTCTCTAGAAAATACTCAGGTATGGACACAAGAAGCATATACAGGAATATTTCTGCAACATTGTCAACAATAATCAAAGGAAGTGGAAATATTATTGAGCACAACCAACATTTCATTCACAGGACTTGGCTAAATAAATTACATTACACCAATTCCATAGAAACTAGGTTTGCTTTAAGTGTAACCTCCCAGGAAACAATTAATATGATTAGTGAAAATCACTCTCTAACTTTATGCTTTCTTTTTAATTCTAAAAGTTATTATTATCTATAATGTTCACTTTTTTCATGTTGACTTTGACTTTTAAATATCTTATGCTTAAGAAAATGCTTTAAAATAATTCTGTAGTTTACCTAGCTTAGATATTCATACTTTTGATGAGTAGCATTTTCGGGCTATCAAATATGAAATTCTATGTGGGTGGGCAAAACTTTCTGCTTTGAAAGTTGCAAAAATCAATTCATAATAATTATCTTGTCTAATCACACACACTTTTAAATTCTGTAAGATGATCTTAATACATTTTTCTCAAACAATTGGAATTGATATGTCTTCATTAAACATGTACACGGATATTACAAGTTGATTTATTTGAGTTTTTTAGCCAGTTTCCTTATAGAAGTTTCTGTCTATTCAATTTTATTCAATTAAAAATTTTTCTAAACTTCTAATTAGCTGCCAAGTTATAGTCCAGTTGTACTGCCATTGTATAGGTATATTTTTAAAGCTACATAACTGAGCACAAACTGTTCCCTGTTGCTGAACCTTGTTTTCATCCTACGATATTAGGGATGGAAAAGTAAAGAACTAGACAAACGTAAATAGTCAGGGACTGTTGACTGCTTCAATTCACCTGCAGCTAACCCACCAAGTGGGACACCCTGTTTGTTGAGAAATGCTGTGCCAAGGATATAGCATTTAATGGCTTTGGCAAGAAGAATGATTTTCATCAGCTGTAACAAACAAGTTCCTCATCTCCAACCCTACCATCTGTCCTCCTGGTTCCCACCCAGAACGCTATCTATGGTCTCAATTGAACAGGTTTCAGACTGCCTAAGGTCACTATACAATCAACCTTAACAGATGGCATCACAGCAAACATCTAAACTGTAGCAGTGGCCAAATGCAGAGGATGATCCTCATCACTGAGGAAGAATGCCCTCTGTGCACACTGCCCTGATGTTCTGGTTCTGCTCAACATTGCATGTGAAAATAAGGCTCCATCGTCTTTGTGTTAATAGATTAAGTAGATTGGATTTTGCACTAATTTCTCAGTGAATTTTATGTCTTAAACTTTGTTTTCTAGTATTTTCTTTGCTCTGATATAATTAAAGATAAATCTTTGAGATAATATCTACTATTAATGACCACAGAATATTATACATGTATTTAAGAGGAGAAGTCACCCAGGTATGGTTTGTTTTATTGCTTTTGTTTTGTTTTGTTTTCCTAAGAAATCTCTGTGTACTGAAAGGTAATATTATCTGCTGCAAAAAATTATTGCATACAGCATAAGATACTGATAAGTATTTAATAATGAATGCAGCATATTTTAACTTTAATTTAAGCCCTGTTTAGCACCCATACAGCCATGCTTATCTACAGTTGACTGATATTCTCACTTAGATTTCTCAACATCATTTCAAATTCAAGCGTAAAAGGCATTATTCTTACTCTTAAAAAAACTTTAATCCAGAATTTCCACATTTCTGTTTTGTGTAGCTTCATTTCATCATTAACCTAGTTTTAATGTTTGGATGCAAAGAATGCTAGAATTTAAAGATCATCTAGTCTTTCATTCCCCCCCAAATTTACACCTTTATTTACGTATTCCATCTTCATTTCAATAATTCTGGCAGCCAGATTTATAACCTCCATTTGGAAGTTGGGCAGATCCTTTCTCAAGAAGGAAATTGGCCCAAGAGAAAGGCTTGCAGATACTAAAAGTTTACAAACCCCAGTGAAAATGATCAGAGGGAATTTTCTATAATAAAATCTTCCATTCACAAGTGTCATTAAACACACTGAAAAATGCAAGACACTGTTCAGGAAAAATATTAAAATTAGCATAAAAATAAAAAATTCAAAATAGAAGATGAAAATGAATACATTATCAGTTTAAGAATATCAGTGGCCAGATAACAGAAAATTCAAACAACAAAATAAAAGAAGGAAAAATATTAGAGGTCAAGTAATTTTTTAAAAAAATTAAAGACATTAGTTTTCTACTAAAATGATTGGTCAAGTTTTCCTGAAGTCCTACACTACTACACCATGGTATTTTTTCAAAAAAATTTCGAGATTCTACAGACCTAAAGAAAACCATAACTGCCAGAGAGAATAGAACAGTTCACATATAGGGATCAAAAATCAGAACAGCAGCATTGGAAGCTAGAAGACAATATAGATGAATGCCTTTCTATTTTGGAGGGAAAATATTTTTTTAACTTAGCTATCTAAACACATGTAAATAATCAAAATGCAGCTCAAATAAATATATTTTCTAAAATATATTATCAAATAATCTGTGTAATGTAAATTATCAAAAAATGTATCTTCAAAAGTTCATAGGTCGTTATCAACAAAAGTAGGATATAAACCAAGAAAGAAAAGGACATAGTATTAAATCAAGCAGTCCAGATCAAAAGATTGGAGACAGGGCTCAAAAAGGTCTTCAAGAAAATTAAAAAATAAAAATACTTATAGAGCCCCTAATGTGTTTACTATGTGTAATACAATATTCACCAAGGTTTACAATTTTCTTAGAAGATAGAAAATTAAGAGAGAACTAGAGATTGTGAATATCAGAAATAACAAAGAAAAAAGAAACAAATATTTCTGTATCACCATAGTCAATCATAGTATAGGGTAAATATTACAGACTTTTTTAATCAAATATTGAGATGTACTTTAACGGGAGGAGGAAAGGATGTTAAGTAAGAACTTCATGGTGGTGACTAAGATAACTAATTTGTATTACCATAGTAGAAATGCCTGAAAAATTTATAAAATGCCTGAAAGTAAAAAAAAAATGCCTGAAATTGATAAACAAAAAAGGGTATTTGAAGAATATTGTTTGCAAATATGGAAGTAAATACCAGAATAAACAGATAAAGGTTGGATAAAGGAACAGACTTGGGAAGATGTATGTCACAATGTTGGTATTTCTGATTATTAACCTTAGAGTACCATTTTTCTTAAAATCATATTGACCTATTTCAGCTGAAGTTAGGAATGGAAATCTCAATCATTCTGTCTCTCCCCTCAACTCTAGCCTGCCCCCACGTCTCACACACACACACCAAGGCCGTTGTTATATTAATTTAGCACCATCAACTTCTGGGAATTTTGAGAACCACAACTATAAAACAAACAATTTATTGCAACTCAGATTTTACATTTGAAGTAACTGATCGTGGAGATCATACATGATTTATCCAGGGTTATTAATGTAATTCAGTCAAATGTCTTACTACTAAGTTCTATAGTTTTTCTCAAAATGCCTCCTTTATTCCTCCTTTTCATTCAACTCAGTTTTAATTCAGATACTCTTGGTTGGTTTCTTCATTTAATTTCTCCCACATACAATTTATTTTGTGCTTTTCAACCAAATCCACTTTCCTAAAACACTAATATGACATTTACCATGTTATGTTTTCTGTGTTTGCTAACTTTGTCGCTGAAAAAGTAGGTTTTAATAAGGTTCGTATAACTCTTTGCATAGTGATGGTCTTTTTCTATACTATTGAAAAAATGTAATTCTTTTTAAAATTTTTAAAAATAGTTCCCTATAAATGTAATACATTACTTTTATATGTAACTTAATATTTTTATTAATGTTTACACAGTTATTGCTCAGGTTTTTATGTCATATTGAATCAGTTTAAGGAAATACAATGTATATGTATTTTTCATTTTATTATCATAAAAAGTATTTTCTGTTGCATTTTTGTAATTTCTGTCATATGTTATTATATTTTTTCTCCTACTTTTAATTATTTTAAATTGCTCTTATTCATATTTATTTAGATTTGTTGATATTGTTTGCTAGTTGCTTTACAGAATAAGGTGAGTCAATGGTTAATTTACTCAATTATCTACTCAATCATTCCTTAGTAAAATTTTATTAAAATTAAATTTTTTTAATTAATAAAGAAATATACATTAAATTAATAAAAGTTCAAACAACAGTGAAAATCAAAAAATGAAGAAAATGGTTCAAACGGACAGAAATAACCACCACTAACTTTTTGATGTACAGTCTTTCAGTCTTTGTTTTGACCAGACAGAGAAAGCCACACAGAGAAAAAAAGACAGAGAAAATCGTTACTTGTTTTACACTGTTAGAAGCTACTTTACAACCTTGCATTATAACTTAACACTATTTCAAGAATATATTTAAATATAAATATAGACGCATACACACATATGTATCTCTCCATAATAAAAAGTTAATAAAATATTATTAGAATGCACCTTGGTTTATTTTACCAGTCCAGTTTTTTGGACATTTAGGTTGTTTTTAAATTTTTACTCTAATTAATATTCCACTAAAATGAACATCTTGATAGAGACATTTTTTGCATGCATTGGCAAGTATGTACTTAGGATAAATTTTTAAAATCTCTCTTTCAAAATTCTCTTTCAAAGGAAATGTTCATCTATAAATTATTCCATATAATTACAAAATTGACTTCTGCCAATACTAATACCGACCAGATGATATATGTGTTTCAATAAAATAAGGAAAGAAAATTATCCCTATATATTTGAAACTTGCCTAGGTGTCATTACTGGGATTGGAATTGTTTTACATAAGATATTTGTACATTTCTTCTTCTGTATTATGTCTTTTTTCTCTTTTAAGAGTAATATTCTCTTTTTAATTAATATGAAAAGTGATTGATATAAAAGTGTAGTTAGCCTTTTCCATGTATATTTCCAAGATCCATTTAAAATTTGTTGATGGCCTTTTAATACAATCAAAAGTTGATTCACTTTCAGTATGAAAGTAATGTTTATAATGCAGTCAACTAAAGAGTTTTCCTCTATGATTTTTGGTTTTGAGGAGATACTTTAAACGGTCTATTTCTACAAGATTATATATTTACTTATATTTTATTCCAATACAATAGTATTTATTTTTCTTTCTGAAATTAATTTTTATTTGTGATTGAAGTATTGTTTTGACTTAACTTGCCCTAAAATATTTTATTTTTCCTCAAATGCCAATAAATAACCCATTAATTTTCTACTAATTTACAATAACATTTTAATTGTATACTGTCAATTTTTCTAGTATAAATTAATTAGGTAATCAATGATTAGCAAAAAGAAGACATACTATCAGTAAAATATAGAAAGCCAATTGGTTCATATATGAAATTTTTAGCCCATTAAGAGTTTATTAAATCAGGTAATAGTAGCTAAAAACACTATTGTAGTTTAACACATTCTGACACAGAGCAAACACCCATTAACCACAGCTCCTGTTGAACCTAAGCTTTCTCATTTTGACCTAATTTGGTCATTGCTCTGCCTTGCTAGTGAAGCTCTTTCAATCTTTGCATATGTTGCCTCTATCTTCACAAATTAGCAGGCTTAATCCTTATTTAGAAATTAAGTTTTACCCATCATACAAACTCATGTGAAATTTGGAAGAAGGAAATGAAAGGAGGGGCATCTGCTTATTGTTGCTGATGACAGCAAGGTTGTAGAAATGTGAAAATAGAGAAGCAATTGCAGGAATCACACCTTACTTACACTCTTGTCCAGGTTCCTCATTGAGGCTCATGAGAGATAAATTAGGTGGAAATGCGGGTACTATGAGACTTTTTGAGTTCTGAATTGCAGCTATGGGGTGGTTTTTCTCCAAAGATGTTCTATGACTTCTCTTCCTTTCCAAAATTTGGGAAGTTAAAAAATGCCTTATTTATTAGTAGTGGCATTGCTTCAGATATCTAGAATGATTTCTGTTTGCTGCACTGTCGGTGAATTATATGCTATTCAGTTTGGCTCATTTTATTCATTAAAGCATGTGGGGGAAAACAAAAGACAAAACCAACCTTGGGTAAGTGAGTACATTAATCAGGGTACTCCAGAGAGACAGAAGAAATGTGATTAGACAGATGGATGGATGGATAGAAAGTGAAGAGGGGACTTATTAGGGGAATTGTTAAAATTATGGAGGCGGAGAACTCCAACAATATGCTGCCTGTAAGCTGGAGAACTAGTGAGGCTGGTAGTGTGGCTCAGTCCATATTCCAAGGCCTCAGAATCAGTGAAGCCAATGCTATAACTCTCAGACTGAGGCTAAAGGCCTGAGGGACTGGGGCAGGGAGTTTGGGGGCAGTGGGGAAGACTGGTATAAGTCCTGGAGTCCAAAGGCCAGAGAACCCAGAGTTCTGATGTGGTTTTCTCCAAAGATTAAGGAGGAGAAGAAGGTTTTCCAGCTCCAGGAGAAGTAGAGATCAAAGTTGCCTTTCCTCTGCCTTTTTCTTCTATCCTGTCTCCCCAACAACTGGTGGTGTCCACCCACACTGAGGGCAGATCTTCCCCACTCATCCACTGAATCACCTGCCAGTCTCCTCTGGAAGCACACTCACAGAGACACCCCGCAGATAATGCTTTAGGAGCTTTCTAGGTATCCCTTAATCCAGTCAAGTTGACAGCTAAAATTAGCCATCAAAATGAGCAATGCCCACAAGATAGGAAAAGAAATGGTACATTGGTCACTTCAGAATGGAGAAGGCTGATTGGCAATGTAATCCCTACCTTGGAATACATGAAAGATGGTTTATTATGATAATTACCATGGTAGTCACTGAGTAAGAGAAAATGAGCAACTAAAAGTGAGAAAGAGTCATTTGATATTCAGAAAAACATCTTAAGTCACTAAGAAACAAATAACTGAGTGACTAATGACGTAGGTTATAAAATGTGGATCTCTGAAGAGCTTAAAAAATTCCCAACTATCTGCCTTTATTTGAATGACCTGAAGTGAAGGTATGGGATTAGGATCCTTCAAATTTTTTTCATTTCTATTATCCAAGCATAAAGATAATAAAACTCATACTTGAAATAGAAAATATACACACTTCTTTCTTACGTATTTATTATCTTTACATGAAAAACATTAGTGACATTATTTGGTTTGTGTTATGGTATAGACATTTTGTTCCATCAATCTTCTAAAGCCAAGGGATTAGGGAACAAATTTAAATCCCCTAGGGAAAACATTTAAAAAATTTATTCAGTTAGTATTTTGAAGATGCTTATTATCTTATTTCAGTAATGATTGTTGATTATGGTAATTGATCATTTCAATAATTTCTTATATAGATAATTGGTAAGAGTAATTTACGTGCACTCTTATTTTAAATATTCTTAATTAGTAAAACATATTTAAATAAATTACCATATTATTGAAGGTCACAAATAACTATGGTTCACCAAAATTGTACAAAGTTATAGCAAACTTATTCTGTGAAATTTATCTTTGAGAATAGCTTCGCAAAATTTTAAGCAGATATTTTAGGGGTAAATAATTCTTATAATAGAGCACAACTCTCAGTGATATAAACAAAACAAAGCACCTTTGGTCACCAAACTTGTTTTACTCCTTTACTTATGATGAAAGAATGGTTAATGTACACAAAAAAAGAAGTTTTTTTGTTTGTTTGTTTTTATTTTTTTTTTTGAGACAGAGTCTTGCTCTATCATCCAGGCTGCAGTGCAGTAGCATGATCTTGGCTCACTGCAACCTCCGCTTCTTGGGTTTAAGTGATTCTACTACCTCAGCCTCCCGAGTAGCTGGGTTTATAGGCATGCATCACCACGCCACGCTGTGTTTTGCAGAAAAGGGTTTTGGCATGTGTGCCGGGCTGGTCTTGAACCCCTGACATCAAGTGACCCACCCATCTAGGCCTCCAAACTGCTAGCATTACAGGTATGAGCCACAACACATGACCAGTAATTTTTTGAAGTGTTTAATAAAAGAAACAGAAGTTGATAGAGGGAAAATATTTAACTCCCAAAAAAGGATTATTTATGTAAATATCTAATTATAACTGTATTTATAACAATATCTTCAAATTCCCTTATTTATATTTTCAACCAACATTTTGACAAAAATTGTTAAAATTTTGGTATGAATTTGTTATACGGTCAGGGTATAGGAACTAATAACATGATTTTCAAACTTCTAATTCATATTGTTTGTAGTACACAATAAGAGACATATCCTAGTTATAAGATTAAGAGCTCCAAACATGGCTGAAATGGCTTGACTCTGTGTCCCCACCCAAATCTCATCTCAAATTATAATCCCCATGTGTTGAGGGAGGGACCTGTAATCCCCACATGTGGAGGGAGGGAAGTGATTGAATTATGGGGGTCATTTCTCCAATGCTGTTCTCATGATAGTGAGTGAATTCTCATGAGATCTGCTGGTTTTACAAATGGTAGTTTTTCTTGCATTGACACATGCTCTCTCTCAACTGCCACCATGTAAGAAGTACCTATTTCCTCTTCCACCGTGATTATAGGTTTCCTAAGGCCTCCTCAGTCATGCGGAACTGTGAGTCAATTAAACCTGTATCCTTTATAAATTATCCAATTTTGGGTACTTCTTTAGAGCAGTGTGAAAATGGACTAATACAATGACATTACAGGATTATAAGATAATATCTCAATTTTTATCATGGAAGTTATTTTTTAACATTTTTAGAAAACTCAAAGATTAAATTTGTAATTATTATTGTGATACTATAGAAAATATAGTTCCTTTTAAATATAATGCTTATTGATACCAAAATATATTTATTACTTTGAACATAAGTTTCTTTTTACAATTGGAGTTTGGTATTTTTTTGGTGAAAGAATAAATGAATATATTATATTTATATATTAGAACAAAGAATTTGCTCTGAAAGTCATAGCTTGAATTATTCATTTTAATCAATATAATCTTCACTAGTACTCTTAGTTAAGAACCATTTATATTATTTTGGAAAGGTAACAACAAAAATATTGCTTACATATTGAAGTAATGTTTTCTTTATGGAGACTTTCCACATAAAATATCAGTGTTCAGTCTTTCTTTACATTAAAATGTTAACATCTTATAGGTTATAGATTATTCTAAGATTCATACATCATTATGCTTGTAACTAAAATATTGAGGTTATCTTAAAACAATAATCATTAAACTCTAAACAAAACTTCCCAATCATTTGAAAGAACAAATAAAGTGCTAGATGTTAAAAATACAATTTGGAGTTTAGAAAAACTATAATGGTATTTAATCAAAAAATAAAGAAAGAAAATAGTTAGCTTGGTTGCCCCCAAGGAAATCAGTGGGGCTGATAACTAAATAATTAGAATTGGGATTTTGTGAACATCTTTATTAACCTTATATTAATTTGCAAAGTGAGGATAGAAAATAAAGAAAGCTTGATTCCCAGAAGTTACTTTGAGCTATGCACAAAATAAATAGGAATAATAATAAAGGTAATGCTCATCTAATGTTTAACCAAATCAAATCTTGACTCAAACTTCTAAAATCTGATTATCATTGTTTTTATTGAGAATGGTGAATCTCATAATGTGCTCCTGTGTAAGCTGAAAAGATTCTGTTATATTTGGTGTACATAAAAATAGTAGATACAGTGGTAAGTAATAGATACACTTATGCAAATGTATATGTATAAGCTTATATATAAACATGTCAAAATACATACATTATGTCCATTGAACCATGGTAAATCTCTAAAGTTACATTGTTGTTCATGTTTCTCAGGACTGTGAATGACAAATGAGAGTAGTTTACATGTCTTAAGCAAAGCAAGACGGTCAACATGTAGCTACAGGCATGAAATAATAATCAATGTAGTTAAAATAAAAAGGTATATTAAATTTCTAGAGAATTTTGAGTGAAATTATTATACATTTTTGGAAACAAGTTTTTTTCCTGGATTACTTGTCAATTTCATTACTGTACATAGAAAGAGGAACACAGCAATATATACATTCAACAGAATATTTACAAACAATATTATAATTACCCAGTATATTCTACCATATAGGTAACTTGTCAACTTCTTCTGCATCTTGACTATCTGAAAGAATGAATGTATTCATCCATTTTCACACTGTTAGTAAAGACATATCTGAGACTGGGAACAAAAAGAGGTTTAATTGGGCTTACAGTTTCAGATGGCTGAGGAGGCCTCAGAATCATGGCAAGGAACTTCTTACATGGCGGCGGCAAGATAAAATGAGGAAGATGCAAAAGCAGAAACCTCTGATAAAACCATCAGATCTCATGAGACTTATTCACTACCACAAGAGCAGTGTGGGGGAAACTGCCCCCATGATTCAAATTATCTCCCACTGGGTCCCTCCCACAACATGAGGGAATTATTGGAATACAATTCAGGGTGAGATTTGGGTGGGGACACAGCCAAACCATGTCATTCTGCCCCTGGCCCCTCCAAATCTCATGTCCTCACATTTCAAAACCAGTCATACCTTACCAACAGTCCCCAAAGTCTTAACTCATTTCAGTATTAATCTAAAAGTCCACAGTCCAAAGTATCATCTGAGACAAGACAAGTTCCTTCCATCTATGAGCCTGTAAAATCAAAAGCAAGCTAGTTACTTCCTAGATACAATGAGGGTATAGGCATTGGGTAAATACAGCTGTTCCAAATGGGAGAAACTGGCCAAAACAAAGGGGTTACAGGATCCGTGCAAATCCAAAATCCAGTGGGGCAGTCAAATTTTAAAGCTCCAAAATGATCTCCTTTGACTCCAGCTCTCACATCCAGGTCATGCTGATGCAAGAGGTGGGGTCCCATGATCTTGAGCAGGTCTGCCCTGTGGCTTTGCAGGGTACAGCCTCCCTCCTGGCTGCTTTCATGGGCTGCCATTGAGTGTCTGTGGGTTTTCCAGGTGCACAGTGCAAGCTGTAGGTGGATCTACAATTCTGGGATCTGGAGGATGGTGGCCCTCTTCTCACAGCTCCACTAGGTGGTGGCCCAGTAGGAATTCTGTGTGAGGGCTCTGACCCCACATTTCCCATCTGCACTGGCCTAGCAGTTTCACCATGAGAGGGGTGCTTCTGCAGGAAACTTCTGCTTGGGCACCCAGGCGTTTCCATACATCTGAAATTTAGACGGAGGTTTCCGAATCCCAATTTTTGAGTTCTGTACACCTGCAAGCTCAATACCACATGGAAGCTGCCAATTCTTAGGGCTTACATCCTTCTGAAGCCATGGCCCCAGCTCTATGTTGGCCCCTTTCAGCCATGGCTGAAGCAGCTGGGACACAGGGCACTAAGTTCCCAGGCTGCATGCAGCACAGTACCCTGGGCGCAGCCTATGAAGCCATTTTCTCCTAGGCCTCCAGGCCCTTGACTAACGGGAGGGACTTCTGTGAAGACCTCTGACATACCCTGGAGACATTTTCCTCATTGTCTTGGAGATTAACATTCAGTTCCTCTTACTTATTCAAATTTCTGCAGCTGGCTTGAATTTCTCCCCAGAAAATGGGATTTTCTTTTCTATCACACTGTCAGGCCACAAATTTTCTGAACTTTTACGCTCTGTTTTCCTTTTAAAACTGAATACCTTTAACAGCACCCAAGTCACCTTTTTGAATGCTTTGTTGCTTAGAAATTTCCTCTGCCAGGTACACTAAATCATCTCTCTCAAGTTCAAAGTTCCACAAATCTCTAGGGCAGGGGCAAAATGCTGCCAGACTGTTTTCTAAAACATATCAAGAGTCACCTTTGCTTCATTTCACAACAAGTTCCTCATCTTCGTCTGAGATCACCTCAGCCTGGATTTCATTGTCCATATCATTATCAGTATTTTTGTCAAAGCCATTCAACAAGTCTCTAGGAAGTTCCAAACTGTCCCACATATTCCTGTCTTCTTCTGAGCCTTCCAAACTGTTCCAACCTCTGTCTGTTACCCAGTTCCAAAGTTGCTTCCACATATTTGTTTATCTTTTCAGCAAAACCCCACTCTACAGGTACCAATTTACTGTATTAGTCAGTTTTCATGCTGCTGATAAAGACATATTCAAGACTGGCAAGAAAAAGAGGTTTAATTGAACTTTCAGTTCCACATGGCTGGGGAGGCCTTGGAATCATGGCAAGAGGTGAAAGACACTTGTTACATGGCAGCAGCAAGAGAAAATGAGGAAGGTGCAAAAGCAGACACCCATGATAAAACCGTCAAGTGCAGAGAGATGTATTCACTACCACAACTGCCCCCATGATTAAAATTATCTCCCAGCACATCCCTCCCTCAACATGTGGAAATTATGGGAGTATAATTCAAGATGAGATTTTGTTGGGGACACAGCCAAACCATATCAATTAATGTTTTTGGTTTTATTTATCTAATATGCTTGACAGAAGGAATTTAGGTAAAAGTCACTGATGATAAAATCAGTGTATAGTCATCATCTTAATGAATACTTTTAAATATTGTTTTCAGTTCCACAAACTCGTTTAAATGCTTCACATATATTATCCCTTTTAATCCTGTAACTCTATGAAATAGAGTTGCCTTATTAATTATATTTCACAAATAAAGGCTTAGAGAAATATGTTAAGTCAATTGCCCAAAGTTACTTAAATTAGTAATGTGTCTGGAACAGGAAGTCTCTTAATCCAAAACCCATGCTTCTAATGACTATTCCTGTTAGATGTGACAGTCCTTAGAAATTACGCTATTTTGCAGATAAGAAAGCTGAATCCCACGATATTTTATAACTTGTCCAAAGTTGCACAAATAAGAGAATAACTAAAATAAGAGTCTAAGTCAAGTAGTTTGTTAGTCTATGGCTATTTTAATAATACTCTTTTATTTATATAATTTCTTTGAAAGCCCAATTTTGTTTTTGATATTTTAATCCAAAAAAGTAAATTTCAAAGAGTCTTTAGAAATATTATGTATCAGCCAAATAAATTCTACATATTTTGCCCTTACTTCAATTAAAAAAATTGCATGTATTACTTTCACATTAAATATTCACTCATATTTCCAAATTAAATTTATGTCACCAGAAAAAAATATTGGCAGTCATTTAAATTTAATTCTATTGAAATTATGGAAGAAAATTTTAAAGATAAATATCAGCATATTTGTGATTAGATTATGTAGTCCAAAATTTGTGGAGTCTATAAATATTTACTGTCCTGCTTTTCCTACATAATAAAGACAAAATTAAAAACAGGCAGTATTTTAAGAACTTTAAGTTTATTCTATACTTTAATCTTCCAAGCAAGTAGTAGAATCTTATTATCCTTGTTTTACAAAGAAACTGAGATTTAGAGGAAGTTAAGTCACATACCAGAATCATACAGCTGAAAAGGGGAAGGAACAAAAATCAACCTCACAACCATCTCCTTTAAATATATATATTTTATGATCAACATCATTTCTTACCTCAGGAAGAGTAGGGCAAAGAAAATAACATATTTGTATAATAGGGATACGACATTTCACCTTTTAAAAGGGTTGTTTGTTCAACCACCAGGAAAACACATTCTTAATTATTAAAACACAACTTAATTATGTTACCTCATTAATGAGTTCCAAAAGGTTAATAAGATGCTCTTACTTGTTACCACCAAGAGACACTTTAAATCAGAATACTGGTCAAAATTTACTGAACATGGAAGCTGGAAATTTACATTAATATAAATATACTTTAATTATTTAGGGTTCTCTGCCACGACAATGTACAATAAATTAAAACTTGAATTATTTTTGGGAGATGCCATATTTTCTTATGTATTTTGACTATATGTATGGTTTAATTATAAATAGAATGATCTTTTATTTACATAGGCCTTGGAAAATCAGCCTCATTATGACAATTTTTCTAATTTTTGCAAGAAATCTCCTAAAATGATCACCCACTTTATTAGTTAGCTTTGTTTATAATGACTTTGAGTACTTACAAAATATGTGACTCATCCTCAAAGGACAATGCTTTAAAACATTCAAATCTAGAGAACAGTTTTCTTTAATGCAAAGAAATAAAGTTCAAAAAAATATGAAAAAAGACAGTTGTTAGAATCTGTGCATAGTTTTGGAAGGCAACTACTTTTTAAATATTGATATCATTCAGATGTGAAATTTCTGGAAAAGTCATTTTAAAAATCTGTACATTCACTTTAAAATAGTTACAGATTACAAGTTCAATATTGAAATAATAATTGTTTTGATGTCATAGTTGACTAATAAGCCCAATACTAACCTTCTGGAAATATATAATGATAGTCTGGTTATTCTTGGTTTTTCCTCCAAGAATTATTTATTTATTTATTTATTTTCTCTGCCTTCTCCATAACCAGGAGGACCTTGTCATCCATATTAGGTTTCTGATTAGTTCTGCCGATGGAAGCCATCAGCTGGAGAGCACACTAGGGAAGACAGAGAGGTTGGCATATCTATCTGCACTACCCTATTCTGCCTCATCAGTGTCTGGAAGTATCTAAAGCTCTGGTTTGTTGATCCTCAAACAATGCAAGTAATGTAAGAGCTAGAGGTACATTGCTTCAGTTACATCACTCCCTCCCTTTGTCCCTTCAACTCTATGGATGGAAACTATTTGCCACTATTGCTAAACTCTGGATGCCTCGAAATTTCTTTCTGGCTCTCTTACTATGATTATCTTACTGTAGATCATACCTTCAGTACATTACCTTAAGTTTAACCATTCTGAGCATTCCATCTGTCTTTGTACATGACTCATACATTTGCACACAAAATATACCAAAAAAAAACCCAGAAACCTTCCTTTGCAGAATATCTTCTGTGATATATAGAAATGAAGAAAGAGAAAATATATCTGTTTTGTTAGAGTTCACATTTTGGTTGGAGAATCATCAAACACATATTATGCAAGATGGCAATAGTGCACAAGCAGTACATATAGTGATAAGGACATAGGAAATGTCAGAGGTCAGGGATTGCAATTTATGATGGGTTTTCCACTTATGACCTAACTGAGAATGTGATATTTGAGAAAATATTTTAAGGAAGTTGTGGAAATATCTGGAACAAAATTATTTCATAGAAGAGACTTACTTTAGTATTTTTGTGAAGTTGGCTTGTGTGTAACGATTTATCTCAGCCTTTGTTTAACTGAGAATGTCTATTTTATCTTGATTTTTGAAAGATCATTTTGCTGGATATAAAGTTCCAGGATTACCAATTTTCTTTTTCAACACATTGAATATGTTGTTCCACTGCTTTCAGGCCTTCATTTGTTCTGAAAGTTAGTCAGCTATTAAGCATATTGTTGTATCCCTTGATGTGATTATTTTCCTTCTGCAAGTTTCAGAATTTTCTCTCTTTTTAAAAATTTTTTAGCAGTTTGAGTATGATGTGTCTATATTTGGGTCTCTTTGTGTTTATCTTATGTTGAGTTTGTACTTTATGCATCTGTAGATAAATAGTTTTAATGAAATTTGAGAAGTTTTAAGCTATTAATTTTTAAATAGTTTTCTTTTCACTTCTCTGTCTTCTTAATTGACTTCTACTATGTGTATATGGACTGTCTTACTGATCTCTGAGGCTTTCTTTTTTCTTCATTTTTTTCTCTCGACTATTTAGACAATTTCTATCGATTTCTCTTCAAGTTAATTGATTCCATCTTTCACACTTCAAATCTACAACTTAGTATGACTTGAATTTATTTATTTATTTGAGTCAGAGTCTCACTGTCACCCAAGCTGGATTGCAGTGGCATGATCTTTGTTCACTGCAACCTCTGTCTCCAGGGTTCAAGCAATTCTTCTGCCTCAGTAGCTGGGATTATAAGCATCTGCCACCACACCCAGCTAATTTTTTTGTATTTTTGGTAGAGATGGGGTTTCACCATTTTGGCCAGGCTGGTCCTGAACTCCTGACCTCAAATGATCTGCCTGCCTCAGCTTCCAAAAGTGCTGGGATTAGAGGCGTGAGCCACCATGCCCAGTCGATTTTTTAATTTATTTTTAAAATACATAATTGCCATTTTGTTCAATGTTTATACTTTTGATTTCATCATTAAATATCTCTTTGCATTGAGTTAATGACATTATGCTTTCCTTTACATATGGTTTCCTAACTAAACATATTATGATAGCTTCTCTGAAGTTTTTTTCTGCTAAGCTTACTATCTGAGCATACTCAGAGACTATTTGCAGTGATGGCTCCTTTTTCTGAGCATGGATTACACTTTTCTATTTTTTGCGCATCTTGTAAATTTTTGTTTAAAAGGGAACATTTTAGGTAATATGGATTTGAATCATGCTCAACTTCTCAAGAACTGTTTTCATTGCTTTTTGTTTGCTTGCTTCTTTAGAAATATAATGGAATTAAATTTGTGAAGTCCATCTGCAGTGATTGGCTACTGATGACTCTGCTTAGTGTGTTTATTTGTTTGCTAAAGTCGGGATCCCAGGAGTTGCCCTTCTCTTTACAAAGTTTTATAGTCAGGCAATGATCAGTGAACTACTATCTTTAAAGATCTCAAGCCAGTAAAGTTTCCATCATTTGTTGATGTGTCTTTGTGTAGATTGTATGTGTCACCATTCTCTGTGTGTAACCTCTTGATCAGCTAGAGATGTACGGATATATCTCTACACATGTCCAGTCTTCCCTACACATGAATACAAAAGGCAACCAGGTATATGTTGAGGCCTATTATTGTCTCTGAAGCTGCTGTATTTCCAAGATTTTTCTATTAAATGTTTCTAGTCTGACGGGCCATTGTTTAATGCAAATGGTAATGTAACTTTAGCTAGCATAGTCTCTGGTCTTCTTTCTTTTTACAAATGAAATTGCTACTTTTACGGAAAATGCCACCAGAAATGCACTTTTTGTAGATTTTTCTCTTTCCTACAAATTGACTGTGATCTTTCTTGTATTAAAGCTGCTGGTTCTTTCAGCATATCTCTAGTAGAACTACAATCCTACCAAACTAGGGATGATGGGTGCAGCACCAGGTAATAAAGCCACAGACACTTATTATTCTTACCTGGAGATCAGAAGTATTTAATGGATAAATACTTCTCAATATTTCTTTGACTTTCATCTATTTCCGGAGGCCTAAAATTGTTACTTTTGACCATTATTATTTGGTTCAGTTTTATAGTTACATAGGAAAAATATTTGCCAAGCACTTCACTACATCAGACCAAATCCCTGCCTGTCACCGAAGGGTTCTGAGTAGAAAAGTGACTGATATAACTTGTGTTTAAAAATAATCACTATGAATACTTTCATCTTAAGGGTAAAAGGGGGAATAAAGGATACCAGTTAATAGACTATTGCAATAACTTAAGCAAATATGTATTGCCTATTGACATAAAGGTGATGGCAGTGAGCTTCTAGAGAAATGATTATATTCTGATATCTTTAAAGGTTTTGATGGTGGATTAATGTGCAGTATGAGAGAAAGGCAAAGGATAATCCCAGATTTATGTATAAAACTCAGAAAGAATAGAGTTTTCATACAAAGTCAGCTTTCTGTACCCATGAGTCTCTTCTACAGCCATGGATTCAACCGTGTTTCAAAAGTATTTGAGAAAAAAATAATTCCACGAAGTTCCAAAAAGCAAATTTTGAATGTGCTGTACACTCAGCACTATATTGAATCCACTCAAATAAAATGATATATAGGACTTGTATCATGTAATATAAATGAGTTAGAGATTATTTAAAGTATACAAGAGGATGTGCATAGCTTATATGCAAATACTGTGCTATTTTACTTAAGGGACTTGAGCATCTGTGGATTTTTATGTCCACAGGGAGTCCCAGAACCAATCTTCCAGGGATAACAAGGGTGACAGTATTGTAATGGGACAATTTTAAGAGGAAAAACTTTGGGGGTGCTTCTGTATATCATTTTAGTAGTTTAGTTTAGCATATAAAGTTTTAATATTTATTTTATTTCAGAGATGTCAAGTTAGTGGTTGACCATGAAGGTTTAGAGCATAGGGGCAAAGTCAAGGTTAAAAATAAAGATGTAACATCCATTAGAATGTAGGTGGTATTTAAAATCATAATATAGATGAGATTACAAACAAAATCAGAGTAGTTTAAAAAGAAGAGATTCAAATCATGATGCATGGGTCACACCAATATTTAGATATTGTTAAGTTCAGTAAGAACCACTGATAAGGTTTTGCTGTGTCCTCACTTAAATCTTATCTTGAAATGTAGCTCCCACAATTCCCACATGTTGTGGAAGGGACCTGGAAGGAGGTAAATGAATCATGGGGACAGGTCTTTCTTGTGCTGTTCTCATGATAGTGAATAAGTCTTATGAGATCTGATGGTTTTATAAAGGGGAATTTCCCTGCACAAATTCTCTTCTCTTGTCTGCTGCCATGTGAGACGTGCCTTTCACCATCTGCCATGATTGTGAGCCCTCCCCAGTAATATGGAACTGTGAGTCCATTAAATCTCTTTCTTTTGTAAATTGCCCATGCTTGGTTAGGGCTTTTTAAGCAGCATGAGAATGGACTAATACAGTAAGTTGGGACCAGTCGAGTGGGGCACTGCTAAACAGATACCCAAAAATGTGGAAGTTCAACTTTGGAACTGGGTAACAGGCAGATGTTAGAACAGTTTGGAGGGCTCGGAAGAAGACAAGAAAATGTGGGAAAGTTTGGGACATCCTGGAGACTTCTTGAATGGCTTTCACCAAAATGCTGATAATAATATGGACAATGAAATCCAGTCTGAGGTGGTCTCAGAGGAAGATGAGGAACTTGTTAGCAACTAGAGTAAAGGTGACTCTTGCTATGTTTTAGCAAAGAAACTGGCAGCATTTTCCCCCTGCCCTAGAGATTTGTGGAACTTTGAACTTGAGGGAGATAATTTAGGCTATCCGGTGAAATAAATTTCTAAGCAGCAAATCATTCAAGAGGTGACTTGGGTGCTGTTAAAAACATTCAGTTTTAAAAGGAAAACAGAGCATAAAAGTTGAGAAAATTTTCAGCCTGAGGATGCGATAGAAAAAAGAAAATTCTGAGGAGAAATTCAAGCCCACTGCAGAAATTTGCATAAGAAATGAGAAGCCAAATGTCAATCCCCAAGAAAATAGGGAGAATGTCTCCAGGGCATGTCAGAGGTCTTCACAGCAGCCCCTGGCATCACAGGCCAGAGATCTAGGAGGAAATAATGGTTAGGTGGGCTGGGCCCAGGGCCCCCCTGCTCTGTGCAGACTAGGGACTTGCTGCCCTGCATCCCAGCCACTGCAGCCATGGCTAAAAGGGGCTAAGGTACAGCTTGGGTTGTTGCTTCAGAGGTGCCAAGCCTTGGCAGTTTCCATGTAGTGTTGAGCCTGCAGGTGCACACAAGTCAAGAATTTAGGTTTGGGAACCTCAGCCTAAATTTCAGATGATGTATGGAAATCACTGGATGCCCAGGCAAAAGTTTGCTGCAGGGGCAGGGCTCTCATGGAGAACCTCTACTAGGGCGGTGTGGAAGGGATGTGTAGGGTCGGAGCCCATAAACAGAGTCCCTACTGGGGAACTACCTAGTGGAGCTGTGAGAAGAGGGCCACCATCCTCCAGACCCCAGAATGATAGATCCAATTACAGTTTGCACCATGGGCCTGGAAAAGCTGCAGACACTCAATGCCAGCCCATGAAAATAGCCAGGAGGTGGGTCATACCCTGCAAAGCCAAAGAGGTGGAGCCACACAAGCTCATGGGATCCCACCTCTTTCATCAGTGTGACTCAGGTGTGAAACATGTAGTCAAAGGAGATTATTTTGGAACTTTAAGATTGGACTGCCCTGCTGGATTTCAGACTCTCATGGGGGCCTTTAGCCCCTTCTTTTTGGCCAGTTTCTCCCGTTTGGAATGGGTACATTTATCCAATGCCTGTACCCACATTGTATCTAGGAAGTAACTAACTTGCTTTTGATTTTATAAGCTGAAGGGACTTGCCTGGTCTTGGGTAAGACTTTGGACTATGAAATTTTGAGGTAATTCTGAAATAAGACTTTGAGGGATTGTTTGGAAGGCATGATTGATTTTGAAATGTAAGAACATGAGATTTGAGAGGGGCCAGGGTCAAAATGATCTGGCTTTGCTCTGTGTTCCCACCCAAATCTCATCTTAAATTGTAGCTCCCACAATTCCCAGGTGTTGGGGAAGGGACCTGGTGGGAGGTAATTGAATTACGGGAGCAGTTCTTTCCCATCCTGATCTCATGATAGTGAATAAGTCTCATGAGATCTGATGGTTTTCAAAGGGGAGTTTCCCTGCACAAGTTCTCTTCTTTTGTCTGCCACCATGTGAGATGTGCCTTTCACCTTCTGCCATGATTGTGAGGCCTTCCCAGCCATGTGGAACTGTGAGTCCATTGAACCTCTTTCTTTTGTAACTTGCCAAGTCTTGGGTATGTCTTTATCAGCAGTGTGAGAACAGACTAATAACAACCACTAAGGGAAACTGAAAAGGAGCATTCATAAAGGGAGTTCTTAATCCTGGCAATTCTACTGGGATCTAGGTGAATATTTGTTTCCAGAATGAGATTAGGATTAACTTTGTCAAATGTTAACACTAAGTTAGGAAAGATAAAGACTGAAATGTGGCCATACATTTAGCAGTGTAAAAGTCACTGGTTATCTTGATAAGAACAGCTGTGGAACATAAGCCTGATTAGAGTTAAGAGTACAAGGGAGGTGAATGGGAAGTATGGTTTATGAGCAATTTTTTTCAAATTTGTTGTGCTATAAGGGAATAAAAACAATTGAGTGCAATAGGATTATTGCTGGAGGATTATTAAATTACTGGAGAAATTTCTTTTGTTTTTAAATATGAGAGAAACATTTTTGTTTTTCAAAATGTGATCATTCATTAGTGTGGGGGGAAATAACAATTGAATATTGAAAAACAGAACAATTAACAGGAATATGTAAGAGGGGAGGAGTTTTATTGCATAAGTAAAGATACTGGCCTAGGCTAGGAGCAAAGGCAGTTGATTCAAAAGACCAGATAGGATGTATGAATAGAGATTCATATAAAAGGTGACTATAGCAGTGGGAACTGTTTTATTTGATATATTTTTATAAAATAAGAATTAGAGTCATCAAGTGTGAATGGGAATTGGAAAATATTGCAGGTTTGAGGAAAGAGGGGCTGTCATTTAGAAAAATTAAAGAATCAATAGACAAAGGAAAAATTGGTTTGATAGGTAGCTTTACTGGTCCACTAGAAACACATTTAGAAGTTTAAAGTCATATTGGTAAGCATGATTGGATTTCCAGTGTACTCGAGGATGTTTCCTAGGACAATTGTATAATTACAAAGTAAGCTAAATATATGCTGTCTAAACAGGTCCACACATATTATATTACTGTTTCCCAGTTGAAGACAGTTAGTTTCAGTTATAGTCTCTTATACTGCTATTTAAAATTACTTCACAAGGTTTTAATAAATTAGAAGCATACAATAGAACTTAAATTGTTCATCTTACAAGTGAAATAGAAAATTAATACAATGAAAATTACGTCATTAATTTAATTTAAAAAAATACAATAGAGCTGAAAATTGAGTTTTCCGAACTTTGTTCTAAATTACAGTTTCAACAGCAACCCTGTGTTTTTAATACACAGCTAACTGAATTCATAGTTCACAGAAATCATGACTACAAGAAGCAACTAAGAATTCTAAATGCATTTATGCTAACAACTCTTCATTTACATTCTTTCAGGCTAATAAACAAAAAGAAGGGATAGTTTTATCATAGAAAGCATCTAATTAGCTGAAGTAAAATTTTCTTAGCTCAAGGGTAAAATATATGTATGTCTTTGTTAATCATGGTTTTTGTTAACTAAACAACTAGCATTTTATTGTATTAAAAGAGCCTGAATTACGTTAGTTAATATTTCAAGCTATAGGAAAGAATATAAACAGAACAATAGGTTTGTGCACTTGAGAATATGTGTTTATTTCTGAGTTTAATTAAGTATGAAGCTCAAAGAAACCAGTAAACAAGGTAAATTAAAGATGGACATTTTAGCACTATGACATTTAAAAGAATATAAAATGTATTTGTGTATAATTTTTAAAATGAAAACATATGAATATCACTTCTGCCATATTCATGTACATTCATATCTCTCTTTTAATATAGACATGTATACAGAACACATATAATATTTAATATATCATAGATCTCATACATGCAACAGAAAACTTCAATATGTTTTCATATACTTTATTTGTGACAGTGAACCCTCACTTGTGCCACATGTCATGGGCCAAACTAATACTCCTTGTGGATAAAATGCACCCATTTTAGTGTGTTTCACCAAAAGCAACTGATTTGCTCCCTTTGTAAGAAATCTTATTAACTACTTTACTTCATTTATTGTTATCTTCTGAAATTTCTAGGTATATATGTTTTTGAATACTTAATATACCTTCTATTGTTTCCCCAGCAACATTAAAATTGTTTTGCACGCTTTATTTATATGACATCATTTATATTACTTGACAAGTGACTACAGTTAGCTAAGATAAGATTGCATTTAATTGATACTATTTTCACTATATTTGTAAAAAATCAATTTCATTTAACCAACTCCTCATTTGTATGCCTGACACATTCTTAAGACATGAATATCATAGAGAAAACTTAGGAATAAGTCTATCCTATTAGTAATATATATATCATCATGAGAAAATGCAATAATAGTTACATATTTTAATGTTTGTAGTTCCTACCTTTAGGGCATAAGGGAGCTTAAATATGCTATGTAGCAATATTTATTATAAACATAATGTGAATTATAATTTTATTTATTGTAAAGTTATTTGTACTAAGACTGCTTTTAACCTACATTTAACTCATGAAACAACCATAAATACTATACTTCCAAAATAATTTAATAACAGTTAAATATTCTGAAAATCCTTTATATTTCAAGGAGACTGCAGTCACGTAATGGTACATTTAGACCCAACAGTAACTTGAAAAACACATTCCCCTCTGTTATAATGAGAATACATTTCAGGATCATGACAGAATTTAAAACTCTGTAAATTCTTTTCCAAGGTTGCTTATGCCTATTTATAAACACAATATTGACTCCTCTTATAACATGCTTGCCATCACTTGTTTTAGGTAAAGTTTAACTTGTTTACATTTTGCTTAATATGTTGTAAATAAAACAAATTGATTAATAAAATATTTTAGAAAGAAATCTTCATGGTATTTTAGATACATTATTATAACTCTAAGGTATAATTTTAGTTTCTGATCAATAATATATAGCTTCAAAAGTTAACTCCGCTTCCTCCTGTTAGTATGTGCTCAGTATGAAGTTTAAGCAAACACATAAGAACAAAGCAAATGGTATAAAATCTTAAAAATAAAACCTTTTTGAGGATGTCCCAATGTATTATGTTATTTGCTTGCTCCACTCTTTCTGGAATAATCTGAACAAATTAAATCAGGTAGCTCAAAGGTTCCTCTGCTCTAATGTTTGACTTCCATTCTGGCACAATGACACTGGACTCTCCACTGATTTCTAAATTGCTTTATTGTGTAATTTGGGAGGACTAGAGGAATAGAATCTACAATCAGAGGCAGCTGGTCGAAACAGGTGCTGCAGAAAATTATAATCCTACTTTGATTAATCCTGTTTTTTACAGCCGCCCTCTAGTTATGCATGACAGGTATCCAGATAATCAAACATACAGTCTTCATTGCAACAATCTGAGTTATTGTCAGGAGAAACATCAGGAATTACTGAAGCATTGATGCCAACATAATGTGTGTTTCATGAAATAGGCTTTTGTTATTTCATTATTTCTCCAATGTTCTGGGGGAAAATATGTGTGTGTGTGTGTTCGTGTGAGTGTGTGCATGTGTGTGTGTGTAATTTTTGTCAGAAAGCTGCACATTTTTCTGGTGATAATGGTGATTTTAAATAACCCATAAATTTAAAATTTGCCTTTTCAAAATAATTTTAAAACACAGCTATGTGTTAACAAGTCCATGGTAATTGTTTTAGGCAGCATCTGGAATTATAAATGCATCTGTAACGAGGCATATACAAGATTAAGAATCACTATGCAGTTATTAAAGCACTGTAGTATTTTCATTTGCGTATCAATATGCCATTAAAGCAGTTCTTCTCTTGCTTCTTCTTTCTCAGCTTAACAACAATCACCATCCTGAGTCACACACAGCTTACTGGAGCTGTCCAGCATTCAGCCTTCTTGAGAATAGTCTATTGGTATATTTGGTATAAGGAGTAGCTCATAAGTGATTTTGTGGGGTCTGAAACTAGTCCTCTTACAACAGTCAAGGCAGGAAAAAATTTCACTGTCTCGTTTTGTAGATCAACTCTGGTTAAGTAAGTGTATAATTAGAATAAAAACAGAAGAGTTAAAATAGACACAAACAGCTGGGCACGGTGGCTCACACCTGTAATCCCAGCACTTTGGGAGGCAGAGGCGGGCGGATCACCTGAGGTCAGGAGTTCGAGACCAACCTTGCCAACATGGTGAAGCCCCGTCTCTATTAAAAATACAAAAATTAGCCGAGCGTGGTGGCAGGCGCCTGTAATCCCAGTTACTCGGGAGGCTGAGGCAAGAGAATCGCTTGAACCCGGGAGGCGGAGGTTGCAGTGAGCAGAGATGCTACCACTGCACTCCAGCCTGGGCAGCAGAGCAAGACTCCATCTCAAAAAATAAATAAAATAAACTAAAATAGACACAAACAATTGTGTATTTACTAGACATAGGTAGTAGTGTAACTTAGTCATTTATAAATCTATGATCTAGCTTTCCTTGCTTTGATCATATTATTCCTCTGCTTAAAGCCCTCCAATGCCTTTCCATTCTCCCCAGATAAAAGCCAAAGAAAGGACCATGGCCTTCAATGCTTAATATCTGCTCCCCAATACTGCGCCCCACTATTATTCATGAATACAATGTAATATTCCCCTCCTCCTTCTCACAACATTCCAGATACACAAATTTCCTTGATGTTTTTTCTGATATTTATCTTCCCCTAGATATACACACGATTTACTCCCTTATCTCAAACAGGTCTTTGTGCAAATGTCACCCTCACAGTTCAGTACTTCCCTAACCTCCCTACTTACTATTACAGACCCCAGCATCACTTTTCTACCCTGCTTTTAAGATGCTCCTACTTGTTAGTTTGTAACAAGATTTTACAAAAGAGATTTAGAGAAATGTTGTAACAATAGATTTAGAGAAATGATTTAAAGATATTACAGAATCTTCATGAACACCCTTTACCCAGCTTTCTCTAACCTTCATGTGTAACCATAGCATATTTTCCAACACTGAAGAATTAGTGCTTCTACTATACTACATTGACACAATACTATTTAACAATCTAAGCCTTTATTGTTTTTTCAGTTTTCCTATGAATGTCTTTTTCTGACTTCGATCCAGTCATTGTGTTTAGTCTTATCTCCTTATTGTCCTCTTCTGTGTGACAATCACTGAGTTTTTCATGACCTCAAAGAATACTGAACAAATATTTTGCAAAGTATCCCTGGAGTCATCAATTTTTTTCTGTGTAAGAAGAGGCAAAACATATCTACATGAAATATTTAGATTTATTCTGTAAAGATTTATCTCTTCTTCCTCATTTATGGACTCAATCATTTATTTCAGTATACATTCATGGATATTGTTTTATTATTTGGGTTTTAATATAATACTTCCATTATTTATTTTGTTAATCAGATTATTCCGGATTTGGCCATTGGAAGGTCTTCTCTGTTGTCATTTGTGTTCTTTTAAAATGACCCTTGGCCCTTTCTTCAGCACTTTTTACTTTGTGACAGTGCAAGGTACCTCAGGCCAGTTTTGATTTTCCCTTCCACAATATAAGACTCAACTATTTTTCCAAGAATGTACTAATTCTAGGATTTTTAGTGGACAATTCTAGGAAATATACAATGTCTACTAACCCATGTATATTCACCCACACACATCTTTATTCCTCTGTTTATGTCTCTGTATTTATACTGAAGTAAACACGAGATCATATTGATATCTCTGACTTTACTCCAGACAGCACACAGATTTCATTTCAGCCTTTAACCCTTTGTCTGAAGGTAAGAAGCCTGGCTCCATTAACTTCAATTTATTTACTTATTTGTTTGATCCTAGATGTAAAGTGACTTTAGAACTGTTTTGAGTAAAATACGTACCAACTAGAGTATAATGTTTATGTACAATTCTTTTGCATTTAGCCTTACAATATCCAGTCAAAACACCATTTTTCAAAGTTACATATGTCAGTACTTTATTTCTTTATCCACTTCAATAAGGTTATTTTATATATTTGTAATGTTTATTTGTCACAGTCTGCATTCCATCTTGTATATGCTAAAATCCTGTTGTTGTTGTTGTTGTTATCGTTGGTGTTGTTCTGTCATTGTTGTGTTTCCCATTCAGTAAACGTCATCCCTTGTGGTATACAGTTGTATGAGTTTTAACAAATTGATTAAAAAATAAAACATCCTAATACTGCTAGAAAACTTTTACTACTCCAAAAATTTCCTTTTGAGGCTTTTTGTAATCAATCCCTGACATATTATCTAACATCTGCAGCAGTGGAGGAATGTTAGGCATTTGGGGGCCTGGGATAAGGCATGGGATGAAGAAATTAACTCCTTTTAGAGCCTTTATCCAGTCATCTCATTTTCAGCCTAAATCCCTGCTTTCAGATGTACACAGTATTCTAATTCCTCATTCTTGCTAGGATTTTGCCTATAAAATGAACGTCTCTTAAAATCCCGCCCTTCCACCACCCTACAGAGTTAAGTTTGAGGTTTTCCAACTTTGATAAGTCACCACTTATTCATCTATTTTAAACCTACACTTTATTAGCTCTTTCTTTTTCATTATCACCATAAAGCATATGCTCTTTGCCCTTTGAGTTTATTATTTTACTAAAATTTACTGGAGATTAAGACAGAAGCAGACATTAATATGTGTACTTAATATTTTATATTTAAAGAAATATATAACATGGATAGAATTTGAAAGTGAAATTATTGAGTAAAAAAAAATCAAGTTCCAAAAAATGCACAGATGACATCACCAATTATGTAAATACATAGATATTTTTAAAGGAGTGGACAAGTATACACATGTATCTCAGTATTTTCTTATGAAGATGGTGTAGGATGTGCGTAAAATGGAAACAACAGGAACACTAATGTTCACTGTAATGTTCTACTTTGTTTAAAAAATATTCTAAACTAAAAAGGTAAATTATTATAATTTTTAAATTTAATACAGAGGGGTATGTATGTCTATCATAATATTATTTTTAACTTTGTATATATTTTAAGTATCTCATAATTTAAAAGGTAAAATTTATCACGGTAAAGTTTTCTTAATGGTCAATAATATATTTAGGTCCCTGATGATTATATATTTATCATGAGACAGACTTCTGGGAATTAGTATCAGATAAGATGACATATTAGATTTCTATATTTTGTCCACTAGCTTTCAATTTCCAACATGGAAAATGTCACCAATTTATACATGCAGCAGATAAAATTATAAATAACATTTTCTTAAAGACTAACCTGAGACATTCTTTATAGCAATATAGTAAGTGACAGTAATGAAACCAAATATGCCACCTAATAAGCAGAAAGAAAAAAAAAACCATGCTTCCTGGACAGATATTCAATATCAATGTGCTTTTGGATCTCTTTTCTTTACTAAGAATCCTATAATAATCCAGAATAATTTGGCTATTATTTCATAATCTATAGAAAGAATGCTATTACAGACATTTACAACTGCTTAATTTTCTTCATGTAAAATACCAAATTTTTCACAAGTTTTAAAAGTTATCAATATCCTTAGCTGGTAAGAAATGGGACAGAAAAAAATCACACAAAGGCATGACACATTTTGCTTAACTCCAGTAATTATACATTATAGGTATAAAACACATATGCCCACCATTTTCATCACTGTAGCTAGTAAGTTTTCATTGTCATTGGCCAGGTGGCAGATCTGTTCACATTCCAAAAATTTACTTTTGAAGATCCCTACAAAGGGCTCCCCTTGGCATTAGTCAACAGCAGAGCTATGTCTGCTTTAATGTGAACACTTGGTCTCAACATCTGTCATTTTCTTTGCAGCTCATGCCCAGCATCCTTGCTTTTTCTCTTTGTTTCCAGGCATTTGCTGTCTGTATTATGTTACTTTGCCTTTATCTTCTCCTTTGTTTTGAAAGATACTTATTTCAATAGAAAAATCTCTAAATTGTCGACTGTAAATGTAATTAATGCTGATTAAAACATTCAAGTAATGCATTTATACAATTGAATATAAAATGCCCCTGAGTAACATGCATTGGCTGCAACCATTGGATTAATATACTATATGCTAAATGTGAAAGATTCACTTTATTTTCAATGGCACAAATAGATTGAAAGTAAAAGTATGGAAAAATATAGTCTTTGCAAACAGTAACTAAAAGAGATCTGCTGTGGCTGTACTAAAATCAGGCAAAATAGAGTTTAAAACAAATCATAATGCAAAGAAAGATATTTTATAAAGATAACAGGAGGAATCGATGAAGAATATATAAGAACTATAAACACTATAAGCACTTAACAAGAAAACCTTAAAATACACTAAACAAACACTGACAGATTTAGATTTAAGGAGAGAAATAGCAAGTTCAACAAGAGTCACCCTGTTGTGCTATCAAATTGTAGGTCTTATTAATTCTTACAATTTTTGAACCCATTAACTATCCCCACTTCCTTCCCAGCCACCCATTGACTCCCTCAACCTTTACCATCCCTCTACTCTCTATGTCCATGAATTCAGTTGTTTTGCTTTTTAGATCCCACAAATAAGTAAGAACATGCAATGCATGCCTTTCTGTGCGTGGCTTATTTCACTTAAATTAATGATCTCCAGTTCCATCCATGTTGTTGAAAATGACTGGATCTCATTTTTTATGGTTGAATAGTACTCCATTGTGTAGATGTACCACATTTTATTTATCCATTCATCTGTTGATGGACACTTAGGTTGCTTCCAAACCTTAGCTATTACAAACAGTGCTTCAACAAACATAGGAGTGTAGATTTCTTTTTGATATTCTGATTTTCTTTCTTTTGGATATATACTCAACAGTGGGATTGCTGGATCATATGATAGCTCAATTTTTAGTTTTTTGAGGAAGATCCAAACTGTTCCCCATAGTGGTTTCACTAACTGTCATTCCCACCAACAATGGACAAGAGTTCCCTTTTCTCCACATCTTCCCCAGCATATGTTTTTGCCTGTCTTTTAGATATAAGCCATTTTAACTTGAGTGAGATAACATCTCATTGTAGTTTTGATTTGCATTTCTCTAATGATCAGTGATGTTGAGCACCTTTACATATGCCTGTTTGCCATTTGTATATCTCCTTTTGAAAAGTGTCTATTCAAATATTTTGCCCATCTTTTGATTGGATTATTAGATTTTTTTCCTATAGTGTTATTTCAGGTACTTTTATTAATATATTTTGTTTGTTAATCATTTATCACATAGATAGTTTGAAAATACTTTCTTCCATTGTGAGGATTGTCTCTTCACTTTGTTGATTGTATCTTTACTGTCCAGAAGCATTTTAAACTTCATGTGATCCCACTTGCCCACTTTTGCTTTAGTTACCTGGGTTTGTGGGATATTGCTCAAGAAATGTTTGCCCAGGATAATGTCCTGGAGATTTTCCCCAATGTTCTCTTGTAGACATTCATGGTTTGAGGGTTTTAGATTTAAATATGTAAGCCATTTTGATTTGATTTTTGTAAATGGTAAGAGATAGGCATCTCTTTTCATTCTTCTGCATATGGATATCCAGTTTTCCCAGCACCATGTATTGAAGAGATTGTCCATTCCCCACTGAATGTTCTTGCAACCTTTGTCAAAAATGAGTTCACTGTGGGTGCGTGGATTTGTTTCTCAGTTCTCTATTCTGTTTTATTTGTTTATGTGTCTGTTCTTATGCCAGTATCTTGCTGTTTTCATTACTATAGCTCTGTAGTATGATTTCAAGTTAGGTAATGTGATTCCTCCAGTTTTTGTTCTTTTTGCTTAGGAGAGCTTTGTCTATTTATTGTAGCCTTCACCCTCGGGGATTATTTATAGCCGTTCTTCTTAGGAAGGCTTTCCAGATATTTGAAAGGACTTTGATGCTGTAATCTAAGCTGTTTCTGCTTTAGGGGGCACCCCAAGCCTAGTAATGCTGTGGTTCTGGCAGACTTGTAGAGGTACCACCTTGATGGTTGCATTAGCCCTTTTTCATGCTGCTGATAAAGACAGACCTGAGACTGGAAAGAAAAACAGTTTTAATTGGATTTACAGATTCACATGGCTGGGGATGCCTCAGAATCATGGCAGGAGGTGAACAGCTCTTCTTAAATGGTGGCAGCAAAAGAAAAATGAGGAAGGTACAAAAGCAGAAACCCCTGGTAAAACCATCAGATCTCGTGAGACTTATTCACTACCATGAGAACTGTATGGGAGAAACCACCTCCATGATTCAAAGTATTTACCACCAGGTTCCTCCCACAACACATAGGAATTATGGGAGTACAATTCAAGATGATATTTGGGTGGGGACACAGCCAAACCAGATCATTCCGTTGCTGGCCCCTCCAAATCTCATGTCCTCATATTTCAAAACCAGTCATGCCTTCCCAATAGTCCCCCAAAGTCTTAACTCATTTCAGCATTAGCCCAAAAGTCCACAGTCTAAAGTCTCATCTGAAACAAGGCAAGTTCTTTCCACCTATGGGCCTGTAAAAATCAAAAGAAAGCTAGTTCCTTCCTAGATACAATGGGGATAAAGATATTAGGTTAATACAGCCATTCAAAATGGGAGAAATTGGCCAAAACAAAGTGCTTACAGGGCCCATGAAAGTCTGAAATCCAGCAAGGCAGTCAAATTTTAAAGTTAAAAAATGATGTTCTTTGACTCCATATCTTACATCCAGGTCATGCTGATGCAAGAGGTAGGTTTCCATAGACTTGGGCAGCTCCATCTCTATGGCTGCCCCTCCTGTATAGAGGAGTATAGGACCCCTCCTGACTGCTTTCATGGGCTGGTGTTGATGTCTGTGGCTTTTCCAGATGCATGGTGCAAGCTGTTGGTCGATCTACCATTCTGAGGTCTGGAGAATGGTGGTCCTCTTCTCACAGCTCCAACAGGAGTTGCCCCAGTAGGGACTCTGTGTGGAGCCTCTGATCCCACGTTTTCCTTCCACAGTACCCTAGGAGAGGTTCTCCCTGCTCCTGCAGCAAACTTTTGCCTAGGCATCCAGGAGTTTCCATACATCTTCTGAAATCCAGGTGAAGGTTCCCAAATATCAATTCTTGACTTCTGTGCACCCACAGGCTCAACACCACATGGAAGCTGTCGAGACTTTTGGCTTGCACCCTCCAAAACCATGGGTTGAGCTGTAATCTTGGCCCCTTTTAGCAGTGGCTGGAGTGGCTGGCACTCAGAGCACCAAGTCCCTAGGCTGTACACAGCATGGGAACCCTGGGCCTGGCCCCCAAAACCATTTTTTCCTCCTAGGCTTCTGGTTCTGTGATGGGAGGGACTATGATGAAGACTTCTGACATGCCCTGGAGACATTTTCCCCATTGTCTTGGGGATTATCATGTGAATCCTTTTTACTTATGCAAATTTCTGCAGCCAGCTTGAATTTCTCATCAAAAAATTAATTTTTCTTTTCTACTGCATCATCAAGCTGCAAATTTTCCAAACTCAAATTTTCAAGTCACCTCTTAAATGTTTTGCTGCTTAGAAAGTTCTTCTGCCAGATACCCTAAATCATCTCTCTCAAGTTCAAAGTTCCACAGATCTCTAGGGCAGGAGCAAAATGCTGCCAGTCTCTTTTCTAAAACATATCAAGAGTCACCTTTGCTCCATTTCCCAACAAGTTCCTTATCTTCATGTGAGATCATCTCAGCCTGGATTTCATTGTCCATATCATTATCAGTATTTTGTCCAAGCCATTCGACAAATCTCCAGGAGGTTCCAAACTTTCTCAAATTTTCCTGTCTTCTTCTGAGCCCTCCAAACTGTTCCAACCTCTGCCTGTTTCCCAGTTCCAAAGTCACTTTCACATTTTTGGGTATCTTTTCAGCAGCACCCCACTCTACTAGTACCAATTTACTGTATTAGTCAGTTTTCATTCTGCTGATAAAGACATACTTGAGACTGGGAAGAAAAAGAGGTTTAATTGGACTTATAGTTCCACATAGCTGGGGAGGCCTGAGAATCATAGTGGAGGGTGAAAGGTACTTCTTACATGGCAATGGCAAGAGAAAAATGAGGAAGATGCAAAAGCGGAAATCCCTGGTAAAACCATCAGATCTCATGAAACTTATTTACTACCACGAGAACAGTATGGGGGAAACCTCCCCCATGATTCAGATTATCTCCCACCAGATCCCTCCCACAACATCTAGGAATTATGGGAGTACAATTCAACATAAGATTTGGGTGGGGACACAGAGCCAAACCATATCAACGGACTTAGAAATATATGGGACAATTATATGGATTACCTGGCAGAGACTTGTTCTTTTCCCTTACTTTCTCCCAAACATACAGTCTCTCTCTCTATTCTGAGCCACCTGAAGCTGGGGGTGTAGTGACATAAGCGCCTCTGTGGCCACCACCACTATGACTGCACTGGGTCAGGCCTGAAACCAACACAGCACTGGGTTTCACCCAAGGCCTTCCGCTTTTGCATCTTCCTCATTTTTCTCTTGCCATTGCCATGTAAGAAGTGCCTTTCACCCTCCACTATGATTCTCAGGCCTCCCCAGCTATGTGGAACTATAAGTCCAATTAAACCTCTTTTTCTTTCCAGTCTCAAGTATGTCTTTATCAGCAGAATGAAAACTGACTAATACAGTAAATTGGTACTAGTAGAGTGGGGTGCTGCTGAAAAGATACCCAACCATTCCCTGGCTGCTGCTTATGTTTGCCCAAAGCCCTGGGGCTCTGCAATAAACAGGTGGCAATGCCAGCCAGGCTTGTGACCTTCCCTTCAGGGCGACGAGATACCCCAGGCCCCAAGTGGGTCCAGAAGTGCTCTCCAAGTGTCACGGACTAGAATCAAAAACCTTAGAAGTCTACCTGGTATTCTGTTGTATTGCAACTGAGCTGGCTCTCACACCACAAAACACAGTCCATCCTACTCTTTTCTCCCCTTTCCAAAGGCAAAGGAACCTTATCCCATAGCCACCATCACCCCTTGCCACAGGAGTACTGCCAGATTACCACTGATGTTTTCTTAAGACTCAAGGTCTCTGAAGTCAGCTTGTGGTGAATGCTGCCTGGCCTGGGACTCACTCTTTAGTGCAGTGGGCTCCCCTCTGGCCCAGGGAATGTCCAGAAATGCCATACAAGAGTCATGTCCTTGAATGGAAAACCACAAGAACCTGCTAGGTGCTCTACCCCATTGTGGCAGTGTTGCTGCCTGAAGCCAGCAAGTCTCAGAGACTCACCAAGGCCCTCTAGTACCAGATATCACTGCTGGTTAGTCAGGGTCCAAGCGCCCTTCAGTTAGCAGGTAATAAATGCTGGAAGGACTGGGTCATTTCTTTCAAGGAGGCAGGTTCCCCTCTGGTTTGGGGTGTGTCTATAGATGTCATCTGGGAGCTAGGGCCTGAACAAGGGCCTCATGGCTCTGACTGGTACCCTATCCTGCTGCACCTGAGCTGGTATCCAAGATGTAAGACAAAATCCTCCCTGCTATTCCCTCTCTTCTCTTCAAGGAAGGGATCTCATTTGGAGTCAGGAGCTGTGCAGCCTGGGGTTATGGGAGGAGTGATGCCAGCACTACCTTGGCTGCCCCAGCTCGTGTCTCTGTATGTTGCCTGCCCCCACAGTCCACCGTCTCTGGGCCTAGTTCAGCCCTTGGACTCACCTAAGAGTTTCAGTCCTTATGGCCCAGACTGATTTCCAAGTTTACTTAGGGACATAGAGCACTTTGGCCCTCTGTAGCAAGGTTTGCAGGCACTCAAGTTCTAACCGCTGACATTGGCAATTCCTCTCTAAGGGCTGGTTTAAATGCTCCCTCCATGAGCGGGCGCCATCTGAATTTGGTCTAGTTTTCTTTTTGCACTAACAGAACAACACAGAGTTTAATTCCTCACAATTACTGTTTTCTCCTTTCCCCAGTGCCCAGAGATGCTCTCTGCATCACACTCCTGCCAGGAATGGGGAAGAGGTGGAGTCAGTGATTCAGGACTATTTTATCTATCTCTTCTGTGCCTCTTTCAGCTATATGAAGTTAAAATCAGGTACTATTAGTACTCACCTGATTTTTGGTTCCTATGAAGGTGATTTTTCTTTTTTTTCTTTTTCTTTTTTTTTTCTTTTTCTTTTTTTTTTTTTTAGACGGAGTCTCGCTCTGTCGCCCAGGCTGGAGTGCAGTGGCGCAATCTCGGCTCACTGCAAGCTCCGCCTCCTGGGTTTGCTCCATTCTCCTGCCTCAGCCTCCCAAGTAGCTGGGACTACAGGCACCCGCCACCATGCTGGGCTAATTTTTTGTATTTTTAGTAGAGATGGGGTTTCACCGTGTTAGCCAGGATGGTCTCGATCTCCTGACCTCATGATCCACCCTCCTCGGCCTCCCAAAGTGCTGGGATTACAGGAGTGAGCCACCGCGCTCGGTGTTTTTTCTAAGTAGATCGTTGTTAACTTGGTGTCCCTGCAGGGAAGATGATAAGTGGAGCTTTCTATCCCACTGTCTTGCTCTGTCTCTCTCCAAAATACACATTTTTCTAACATGTACATGGAATGCTCTCCAGGATAGGCCACATGTTATGTAGCAAAACTAATCTGAATAAATTTTAAAAGATTGAAATAATTAAAAGCAAGTTCTTCAAACAAATGGAATTAAGTTAGAAATTAATACAAATGCAATTTTTAAAATTCAAAAATACGTGGAAATTCAAAAACACACTCTGTATTTATCTTTTTCTGCTGCTGTTACAAAGTGTCACAAACTTAAAACAATGAAAATTTACTGTCTCACAGTTCCAGAAGCTACATATCTGAAATTAAGCTGTTAGCATGATCGTACTTCCTCTAAAACCAGTAAAGATGCCTTTCCTTGCCTTTTTCTAGCCACTGGTAGTTTGCTGGCAACCTTGGTTTTCCTTGAATTGCAACTACATAACTCTAATTTGTGCATCATCACCACATGGCATTTTCCTTGTATGTCTGTCTTCATAAAGCCATCTTCTTATAAGGACGCTGGTCATCATGGATTACAGGCCTATCCTACTCCAGTATAACCTTGTTGACTTAACTAATCTCCTCTGCAACAACCCTATTTCCAAATAAGACCACATTCTGCAACAGTGGATGCTAGAACTTCAGTATATCTTTTGAGAAGAGTGGTATTATTAAACTTATAACACACTGCTGAGTAATAAAAGAGTCATAAAGAAATTGCAAAATAACTTAGGGAAAAAAAAACAAGTGCCAATGAATATCTCTTATGAATATAGACATAAAAATCCTTAATGAAATAATAGAAAACAGAATCCAGCAGTACATTAAAAAGATTAAACATGACCTTGTAGAATTTGGCTAGTTTTCAAGTTTAACATATGAAATTATTCAATATAAGACACCACAATAATAAAGAAAAGAAGAAAAAACATCTCAAAATATGCAGAAAAACATTTTACAAAATGTTTTCATTTGTTCGGTATTAATAAAAATACTGAACAAAGAATAAAATGGAATTTCCTCAACCTGATAATAAGCATCTATAAAAACTCCACAGTTAATACCATATTTAATGATGAAATACTAAAAGTTTTACTTCTGAGATAAGGAACAAATCATGATATCTGTTATTTTCACTTCTATTCAACATTATCTTAGAAGTTCTAACCAGGGAAATTGGCAATAAAATGAGATAAAATCATCCAGATGAAAGAAAAAAAGTATCTCTATTCACAGGTGACAGGATCTTATATATACAGAAATCCTGAAGAACACATAGATACACAAACTATTGCAATGAATATATGTGTTCATAAAAGCTTCAAGATATAATATTAGGATACAAACATTAGTTGTATTTCTATGCATTAGCACTGTACAACTCTATATTGAAATTTAAAAATCAATTCCATTTTAAATGGAATCTGAATTAATAAAATACTAAGGAATACATTTAACCAAAGAAGTATGAGGCCTGTACATGGACAACTAAAAAATATTGTAAAATAAATTAAAAAGAATATTTAAAATGCAAGATATCCATCCCATGTTCATGAATTGTAAGACTCAATATTGTTAATATGGTTATACAAAACTAATTGTTCCACAGAGTCAATGCTACCTTTTCAAAATTCCAGCTACCTTTTTGAAGAATTAGACAACCCTTATCAAAATTCAAACTGCCTTTTTGTAGAAATAGACAATATAATCCTACAATATAAGTGCAAATGCAAGAAACACCAGATTGTTAAAACAATATTGGAATTAAAGAACAAAGTTATATAAATCATACTTCATAATTTTACAATGTAAAAGAAAGCTACAATAAGCAAAGCAGTGTTGTACTGTCATAAGGATAGACATATAGATAGATGGAATAGAATTGAGTAATTAGAGACTGTTATTGAAGAAGGTCTATTGCTTTTCAAGAAGGCCAAGATTATTCATGGGAAAAGAACAGTCTTTTCAAAAATTGGAACTGATATGCCTAGATATCCACATGCAAAATAATAAAATTGTAGCCCTAATGAATCTAATATGTAACTGTAAGAGCTACAACTGTAAAACTCTTAGAAGGAAAAATAGGTATAAACCTTTATAAGCTTGCATTATAAAAGTTTCTTAAATATGAGACCTAAAGCACAATAAACAATAAAAAATTATTAACTTGGAAGTTATCAAAGTGAAAAATGTGTGTCAAAAGTCACTGTCAAAAAAGTAAGAATACAACCCCAGAATGGGAGAAAATATTTGCAATTTATGTATCTTTTAAGGGTTTAGTATCCTGAATATATTTTTAAAACACCACTCAACAATAAAAAGACAACCCAATTTTTTTACATTGACAAAGGACATGAAAAGACATTTCTCCAAAGAACATAAACAAATTGCCAATAAAGACATGAAAAAAAATGTGATAAAAGTTATTAGTGAAATGCAAATCAAACCCAGTGTGAGATACCACTCCACACATACTAAATTGGTATAATAATGTTACAAAGAAAAAGAAAATAGCAAATGTTGACAAGGATGTAGAAAAATCAAAACCTTCATCCATTGCTCGTGGGAATATCAGTGACACTGCTGTGGAATGGTATAGTTTGGCAGTTTCTCAAAGAGTAAAATACAGAGTCACCATACAGCCTACCAATTACACTCCTATGAATATAAACAAGAAGATTCAAAACATATGTAGAACAAAAACTTGTACACAAATGTCCATGGCAGTATTATTCATAATAGCCAAGGGGTGGAAATAACCCAGCGGCTCTCCGACTGAACAACGATAAACAAAATGTGCTATACCCATACACTAGAATATTGTTAAACCATAAAAAGGAAGGAAGCTCTAATACATGACTTTGGTACAGATGCACGTACAAGCACTAAGCTAAATGAAACAGTTCAAACACAAAATACATTTATGTGAGTCCATTTTAAAAATAAACATCTATAACAGGCAAAATCATAGAGACAGAAAGTAGATTAGTGACTGCCAGGATATGGAGAGAGGGCAAAATGGGATTGACTGCTAACAGATATGAGTTTTCTCTTTGGAGTAATGAAAATGTTCTGGAATTAGAGAGTGATGATTATTTTGCAACATTTTAAAGATTCTAAAAGTCAACTGATTGTACTCTTTCATATGCTTGAAATAATGAATTTTATGTTATATACATTTTATCTCAATAAAACATATCTAAAAACAAACAATGCCTCAAGAGATATCTCTGTATTTTCCTAGTGGTCTGTTGAATAAATAAAATTTGTCTAAAAATGAAAATAATAAAACTCATTATCATACCTGTTGCCAAATTGCCTTTTTGAAATTGAGATCTAGTTTATGCTTTCATCAAAACGAAAGTACTTTCCACCAAGAAAGCAAAGCGTGTATTCTTGTTTTTATAGTTCTTTCACAAATTGGCACTTCAAAATGCTATTAAATATTTTAATTTGTATGTGATTCATTTTAGTGAGGTTTAGACCCTTTTTATATACTTATTACCTATCTTAACTTTTATGAGTAGCCTGTTTAGGTGTTCACTGTTTTTTAAGTTATTTGTTATGTTTTACATTTTAAACTAGAATATTCTTATTTTCAAAAATACTCCAATACAGAATGTATGAAGAAAAAAGGGAATTCCTGGGTTTGCACACCCAGCTCAACTTCCAAAAGCAAAACATGAATTTAAGATCTTTTGCTTTGAATATAATAAGCTATCCTCTTTATCAACACTGCATTAGAATATCTGTTTTGCACACCATTCCTAATATTGTTTTGTTAAAATTTTAATGTTTTATAATATTATTAAGAAAATGTTATACTATGGTTTGCTATCTCTATCATTTGTGTGGCAGAATATCCATTGTGTACTTATTGTTATCTGTATTTTCTGTGTGAATCACCTCTTTATAGCCTTTGACCATCTTTCCTTTCAGTTAATAGCCTATTCATTTGTAAGAGTTCTTCATATAGTATGACAATTAGTCAATTTTCTGTTAATACATGGCTAATATTTGATTCTAGTCTCAGTTTTCACTATGTTCATCATTCAAAATATTTTAATATTTTTGGGTAAAATCTGAATATATTTTTCTATATGGCTGGTAAGTTTCATGTCCACCTGCAAATGCCAATTTTTTCCAAGATTATGAGTCTTGTACATTTTTTATTTAGTTTGCAGTACATTTCAATATACTTTGAAATGTATTGCTTTTGGAACTCATTTGATATAAGTTATTATTTAAGTCACCTTTAATCCCTCTTTTAATATAACCTTGTCCAAGTTATACTGTCCATGATGTTTGGACGATAGGTGAATTAAGAAACTTATTATATTGTTTCCTTATATAGGTTGAAATAACAAATTGTTTAGAATATTTAAAATGTTCTCCTCTGAACCACATAAGTTAGCCTTGTTTACTTTTGCTTTTATACAAGTCACATTTTGAAGAATACCAACATTTCCCCAAGGTTTCAAAATGCCAATCTTTCCAAAAGTTTTTTCTAAAAAATATCATCAACAAAATAATTGTGGTTTTTTTCCTGTAATTAGAGATAATTTTAGATTTTTTCTCTATTACCATAAACAAGGCTTTCCAGAAGAAACCTGAATAATAGTAATAATAACAATGATAATAAGCAATTTTTTCTTCATTCCATTTTTTAATTAATTTAATTTAATTTATATTTTTAGAGACAGGATCTCACTCTGTTGCCCAGGCTGTAACCTCAAACTCCTGGGCTCAAGTGATCCTCTCACCTCAGCCTACCAAGTAGCTAGGACTGTAGGTGTGCACTACTATGCCTGGATATGTTTTTAAACTTTTAGTAGAAACAGAGTCTTTCCCAATCTGGTCTCAAACTCCTGGCCTCAAGCAATCTTCGCATTTTGGCCTCCCAAAGTTGTTTCTGATTTTAATGGAAACAACTGCTTTATTTTCCATCACTGTGAATATTCAATACATTTTTAAGCCTTTCTTTCTCCTGTCAGCAAACAATAGTTCGAGCACAATTTTACCTCACTCACACCATCCCCTCAAATTCTTTATCCTTTATATTACAAGTGTTTTTTGATATTCTAAAAAAATGCTTCAATATGCCTTTGATTTTAAAAAGTACATTTTAACTATTACTTTTACCTTTACATTTATATTTCTAAAATACGATATGATTCAATGTTTTGATAGTTTTATTGCTCATTACTCTTTTCAGCATACTCTTATCTATTTCAGTATTTCATTCTTTTCTTTTATTCATTCAGGTGGAATCTCAATTTTATCATTCTAAGCAGCACACATTCACACATATTTTTCTGCATTTTCACACATTAAAATTTATTTTCATATATCTTCAAACAAAAATTAAGTCCATATACAATTTTATACTCACAATTTATTTCTCTCAGAAAGCTATTTTCAAGTATTTATTCTGCCAATCAGAACTCTGTCCTCAGTCTGCCATACTTCTCTGTGATTTTTATGTGTGTGTAATAACAATGGTTTATTTTTACATCTGGACTTTAAATTTTTGACTGAAGAGCATGGGACATATTTCTTTGTAGCAGACCAGCATTCCTCAAGATATAATACAAAACACGTTTTTTAAGAGCAGCAACGTCATGAGGACCAGAGAGAACAAGATTTGGGATGACGGAGAAATGTGAGCAATAAGCTGGTATCTGTAATTATTTGCTAGAGGAATTTGCAAATTCTGAACAAAATGAAACAGGCTGAGAATCCTAGCTTTGACAAGCAATGAATAGCTTCTGGAGGATAGAGACTAAATCAAATATTAGAAACCTAATGAGGATGAATATAAATTGGTACTCTGAAGGTCTCAAACTCATGGACATTTCTTTTCTAGAAGACCTTTGCAGAATTCTAAATCCACACGAAGTAGAAAGGGTGAAAAGTAAACGGACACAATGGAAAAAATAAAAATAAAGAGCTGAGCTTTTGGCAATCTTGCAATGCTGTAAAAACAAGGATTTAGGTTTAAGACCCGCCAGAATAATGGGCCTCAGTGAACCCATCAGGATTTCAGTTAGAAGGCTTGGGAGATATATTCTTGGAATGAATTCAAGCAGCAGTAAGTTGAGCCTTACCAAAACTGGAAGTCAGTCTCAAATCAGCTCTACCTTTAATTGAATTAAGGGAATCAGTGTCTGTCTGCTTAGCAGAGTAAAAGATAGACATTCTCTGGTAAAATAAAAAATCATCTGAAGCCTCTGCAATATTTTCTTGTATACAACATCTGGCAGTCACTTAATAATTAGTAGATGTGACAGAAAACAGGTGCAAATAAAAATAAACAAATATGTTAAATAGATACAATGATTCAGTTATAGGGACTAGCAGACAAGTGCTTTAATAATAATCTATTAAAGAAAATATAAAAAAATAAGGACAGTATAGAGAAAAAGTTGAATAATTTCACAAGGGAACTGCATCTAAAAAGATTAAAGAAAATTTACAGACCTTAACTTACATGAGCGTAATCCATGGGAAAAGGCATGAACAAAATTACAGAGGAGATGGCAAAATTTAATGTCTTAATTGGGCATCGTTTACACAGAGGTGTGGATTTGTCAAAATTAATTGAACTGCATATTAAGATTTGTGTATTTCACTGTATGTAAATTGTGTATGTACATACAGTGTATGTACATCTAGTGTAGGAAATCACTAGATGTGATAAGGGAGTGACACAGAGGCAGGGGACCCTCCCCAGCTCAGGGAAGCAGTGAATGAGTGAGTGACCTCGGGAACCTATGCTTCTCCCATGCATCTTTGCAAGCCTGGGGTCAGAAGATCCCCCAGTGAACCCACTCCACCAGGGCCTTCCGACTGACGTTCAGAGCTCTGTGGAGTCTCGTCAGAGCAGCTGCTCGGGCACACATGGAGCCCCAGGAAACTTAGAAACCCGGGCTTCCCAGCAAAAGTGGCTGCAACTCCAGCAAAGTGGAAGGTTAGACCTCCATACATACTCCTGGGAAAGGGGCTGAGCAACAACGGTCTGCAGGACCTGCTTCCATGGCACCTCACAGGATAAGACTCGCTGGGAACTCCTGTAACAGCATTGGTTCTCACTGAGAGGAAGCTCCCAGGGGGAGGAGCGAGTCACTATCTTTGCTCTCTCACAGGCCTAGCCCCTGTTTCCTTAGGGTTGTAGGGAGTTCGAGGCAACTAGGGACTGGAGCAGTCCCTCAGTGCAGCCCAGCAGCTCTACAGATAAGTGGTCAGATTGCTTATTCATGTGAATCAGGAATCCCCTTTTTCTTCACTGTGCAATCTCCCAACCAGGGTCTCCAGTTACCCCTGATGGTGGTTTCCAGTTTCAGACGTCCCTTGGATGGAGCTCTCTGTGGAAGGGGTGGCCCAGGCAACCTTGCCCTTTGGCCTCCTTAGTCATTCTTGCCTTAGGGCTTTGGCAAGTGAGAGGTAAATGGGGGCTGGAGCAGACCTCCAGCACAACACAGCTTCTCTAAAAAAACGTGGTCAGAATGCTTTTTTAAGCGGGCCCCTAATCCCATTCCTTCTCACTGGGTGGGTCTCCAGGTACCCCAAATGATGTTTTTCAGTCAGCAGTGGCTCCAAACCTCCCTGAGGATGGAGCTTCCAGAGAAAGGGGCAGGTTGCCATCTGTGGTGTTTGGCTGCCTTAGTCATTCTTGTTTTCCGGTTTTGGAGAGTCCGGGGTGACTAGGGGCTGGAGCAGACCCCCAGCACAGTTTCTCAAAGAAAAAAGTGGCAAGACTTCTTTCTTCTGTGAGTCCAAAATCTCATTCCTCTTCACAGGGGAGGATCTTCTGACCAGGGTCTCCAGCCACCGCCTGCAGGTGCATTTGAGTGGGCAGCAGGTTTGTACCTCCCTGGGACAAAGCTCTCAAAGGGAAGGGCAGACCACTATCTTTGCTGTTTTACAGCTTTTACTGTTGATAGCTTTGATACTGGAAAATCTGAGGTGATTTGGAACTGAAGCAGACGCCCAGCATACTGCAGCAGATCTATGGAAAAGTGACCAGACTATTACATAAGTACCCTTCCCATATCTCCTCACTGGGCAAGTCCCCCAGGGCTAGATCTCCAGCCATGGCCTGCAGGGGCTATTGAGCCAGTAGCAGCTCTGTAGCTCCCTGGACAGAGCTCCCAGTGTGAGAGGAGCATTGCCATCTTTCCTGTCTCACAGCACTTGCTCTTGCTATCTCCAGGAATGAGAGACTCTGTAGGACCAGGGGCTAGTTCAGACCCTCAGCACAGAGCAACCACCTCAGAAAACTAACCAGACTGTTGTTCTCCATGCAGATGGTGGTCCTCACTTCTCCTCACTGGACAGAGCCACCTTACCTGGGACTCCAGCACAACCACTCTGCCTCCTCCTGATCACCACAATCAGAAGCAGCCCAACATTTCTCCAAGGAAGAAATCCCAAGATCAACCCACAACTCCTCCTCCACTACGGTACAGCTCTAACATCTCTCAGGCTGGGAAAGGAACAAAAGGCCTAGTCACTATGCTGGTACCTCCAGCATACTGCATCCATTATATGGAAAGGAGTCCAGCCCATCTTCCCTGCGAACCCTCAATCCCTTCACCAGGCAGGGCCCCTGGCTCATGAACACAGAACAATCACCCCACCCATGGCTGAGCATACCCACTGATAGTGGTCCAGTGTTTCCCTGGGGAGAGGCTCCCGGAAGCATTTGACAGCCCTTCTGCCACAGCCACAGCAACAGTTCTATTCCTGCTGCCCTTGGTCTGGGGAAGAAACGAAGAGCTTAAAGGCTGCACACCACAGCCACCATGTGGAGAGATGAATCTCTCCTCCCTGTGAGCCTTTGAATCTCTGCTCCACAAAAGTGGAACCCCAAGATGACACCAGCAGAACAGCTGCCCTACCACACTAGCTGAACACTCCCAGTAACAATGGCTCTGCAGTCCTTGGAGGTGGAGAACTGAGGGGCAACTGAAAGCCTCTCTGCCACTGCCTCTGCTGTGGAACTGCCCTTTCCTCCCTCGGACTAATGAAGGACCAAAGACCCCAGCGTCTTATCCACACCTCCAAAAAAGCTGCAGTTGACACAAGGAGGGGAGGCCAGTCTTTCTCCTATGGGTCCCACCCACCACTCATACTTGTCACCAATGAGAGAAACCTCATCATGGACTCTCAGAATAGGCCCTCCATTGTGGGCTAATTGCACTGAGCCAGCAGTCCCCAGCATTTATGGCACCAGGAACCACTTCCCTCCATGACAATTTTGCCATGGACCAGTTTGGAGGGAGATGGTTTCGGGATGAAACTGTTCCACCTCAGATCATCAGGCATTGGTTAGATTCTCACAGGAGCATGCAACCTAGATCCCTCACATGCACCATTCACAATAGGGTTCACACTCTTATGATAATCTAATGCCACTGTTGATTGGAGAGGAAGCAGAGCTCACCCACTTCTCTCCTACTGTTGTGCAGCCTGATTTCTAACAGACCATAGTCTAGTACCAGTTCATGGCTTGGGAGTTGAGGACCCCTGCACTGAGCAATTGCTGACCTGCATCTCTCTGGTGTGGAGCCCCCAGGAAGCAAGCAAAAGACCCTCAGCCATAACCACTACTAAGGTACCTTTCTTTGCTGCCTCCAAGTTGGGGGGAAAACATAAGTACATACCCCAGAGTTGTGGTGGACAGCCCAGGAGTGTCAAGCCATAATCTACAACCAACACTCAAAGGGGAGAGGAGCCCACACTTTCAGAGCACTGAAAGAAAGCCTGGCTGCAACCTTGAGGAAATATAGGGGAGTCACAGGACTGAGCAAGAGCCTAGCAACTGATCATGCCTAAGCGTCACCTACTGGATCACATCCCAAAGCTTTAACACCAAAAATACCTCAATAACAGACTCCCCTGTGAAACCAAAGAAAATAAGTCAGCTACAAATAAGGACTCTGCACAAAGCCTTGGCCCTGTGAAAACATCCAAGAAGAAGTCTACTTCCTGTACTCAATTTACGTTGTAAATAAAGGAACACGGCTCCGGCCGGGCTGCGGGGCTCCGCTCAGTCCGGGAGCGCCCCCGGGCCGCGGCGCTCCTACCTCTGCTTTCCCACCGCCCGCAGCTGAAGCACATCCCGCAGCCCGGCGCGGACTCCGATCGCCGCAGTTGCCCTCGGGCGCCATGTCGCAGAACGGAGCGCCCGGGATGCAGGAGGAGAGCCTGCAGGGCTCCTGGGTAGAATTGCACTTTAGCAATAATGGGAAAGGGGGCAGTGTTCCAGCCTCGGTTTCTATTTATAATGGTGACATGGAAAAAATACTGCTGGACGCACAGCATGAGTCTGGACGGAGTAGCTCCAAGAGTTCTCACTGTGACAGCCCACCTCGCTCACAGACACCACAAGATACCAACAGAGCTTCTGAAACAGATACCCATAGCATTGGAGAGAAAAACAGCTCACAGTCTGAGGAAGATGATATTGAGAGAAGGAAGGAAGTTGAAAGCATCTTGAAGAAAAACTCAGATTGGATATGGGTTGGTCAAGTCGGCCGGAAAATATTCCCCCCAAGGAGTTCCTCTTTAAACACCCGAAGCGCACGGCCACCCTCAGCATGAGGAACACGAGCGTCATGAAGAAAGGGGGCATATTCTCTGCAGAATTTCTGAAAGTTTTCTTTCCATCTCTGCTGCTCTCTCATTTGCTGGCCATCGGATTGGGGATCTATATTGGAAGGCGTCTGACAACCTCCACCAGCACCTTTTGATGAAGAACTGGAGTCTGACTTGGTTCGTTAGTGGATTACTTCTGAGCTTGCAACATAGCTCACTGAAGAGCTGTTAGATCCTGGGGTGGCCACGTCACTTGTGTTTATTTGTTCTGTAAATGCTGCGTTCCTAATTAAGTAAAATAAAAGAATAGACACTAAAATCATGTTGATCTATAATTCTACCTATGGGATCAATAAGCATGTCAGACTGATTAATGTCTACTGTAAAAAATTTGGTAGTAAATTTTCATTTGATATTAGATATAAATATCTGAATATAAATAATTTTAATATACTAGTCATGGTGTATTGTATTTTAAAAATTATCTGCAACCTTAATTCAGTTGAAGTACTTTATATTTCAAAAGAATGAATAACATTGATAATAAAATCGCTACTTTAAGGGGTTTGTCCAAAATAAATATTGTGGCCTTATATATCACACTATTGTAGAAAGCATTATTTAATTTAAATGGATGCAGGTTGTCTACTAAAGAAAGATTATACATAACTATGCTAATTGTTCATAATCAACAGAAACCAAGATAGAGCTACAAACTCAGCCGTACAGTTCGTACACTAAACTCTTGTTGCTTTTGCATTATAAGGAATTAAGTCTCCGATTATTAGGTGATCACCCTGGATGATCAGTTTTGTGCTGAAGGCACCTGCTCAGTATCTTTTCGTCTTTATCACTCTGCATTGGTGAATTCAATCCTCTCCTTTGTGCTCAACTTTTGTGTGCTTTTAAAATCAGCTTTATTCTAAGCAAATCTGTGTCTACTTTAAAAAACTGGAAATGGAAAAAAAAATAAATCTTTGCCAAATCCTTCAAAAATAAATAAATAAAAAAAAATAAAGGAACACGAACATGCAGATATGAGAAAGAACCAACATGAGGACTCCAGTAATTCAAATGGCCAGTGTCTTATGTCCACCAAATGACTGAACTAGTTCTCCCACAAGGTTGTTTTAACCAGGCTAAGTTGGCTGAAATTACAGAAATATATTTCAGAATATGAACAGAAACAAAGATTATCGAGATTCAGGAGAATGGCAGAACCCAGTCCAAGAAAACTAAAAATCACAATAAAATGATACAGGAGCTGAAACATGAAATAGTCAATAAAAAGAACCTAACAGATCTGACATAGCTAAAAACACACTGTAAGGATTTCACAATGCAATTGTAAGTATTAACAGCAGAATAGACAAAGCTAAGGAAAGAATCTCAGAAATTGAAGACTAGCTCTCTGAAATAAGACAGACAAAAATAAAGAACAAAGACTATAAAAGAATGAAAACTCCATTGAGAAATATGAGATCATGTAAAGAGGCAAAATGTATGAACCATTAGCATCCCTGAAAAAGATGGGAAGAAGGCAAACAACTTGAAAAACACATTTCAAAATTTTGTCCACGAAAATGTCCTCAACCTTGCTAGAGAGGCGAACAGACAAATTCAGAAAATACAGAGACCTATGCAACATTCTAATCAAGATCATCCCAAAGATACATAATTATCAGATTTTCTAAAGTTGAGGTAAAAGACAGAATGTTAAAGGCAACTAAAGTGAAAGGGCAGGCTCACCTACAAAGGGAGCCCCATCAGGCTAACAACAGTGGACTTCTCTGTTGAAATCTTACAAGCCAGGAGAGATTGGGAGCCTATACTCAACATTCTTAAAGAAAAAAAATCTTGAGACAAGAATTTCATATCCTGCCAAACTAAGCTTTCTCAGTGAAGGAGAAATAAGACTCTTTTTAGATAAGGACACGTTAAGGGAGTTTGTTACCACCAGGTCTCCCTTAAAAGAGACCTTGAAAGGAGTATTAAATATAGAAAAGGAAGACACTTGCTTGCCAATACAAAAACACACTTAAACACGCAGACTAGTGATACTATAAAGCAACTACACAAACAAGCCAGCATCATAGCCAGTTAACAACACAATGATAGGATCAAAGCCCCACATTTCAATACTAGTCTTGCAAATGGGCTAAATGTCCCCACTTAAAAGGCACAGAGTGGCAAACTGGATTAAAAAAGCAAAACCCAACTGTATGCTGCGTTCAAGAGACCCAACTCACAGGTAATTACACCCACAGGCTCAAAATAAAGGGATGGAGGAAAATTTACCAATGAAAATAATAACAAAAAAGGCAGGGGTGGTGAATCTAATTTCAGATAAAACAGATTTTAAACCGACAAAAAGAAAAAAAGACAAAGAAGGGCAATACATAATGGTCAAGGGTTCAATTCAACAAAAAGACCTAACTATCCTAAATATATATGCACCCAACACAGGAGCACACAGATTCATAAAGCAAGTTCTTAGAGACCTACAAATAGACATAGACTCCTGCAACAATAATAGGGGGAGACTTCAACACTTCATTGTCAATATTAGGTTATCAAGTCAGAAAGTTAATGAAGATATTCAGGACCTGAACTCAACTTGGACCAAATGGATCTGATAGACCTCTATAGAACTCTCCAACCCAAAACAATAGAATATAAATTTTCGTTGCCACATGACACCTACTCTAAATTTGACCACATAATTGGACATCAAAGAATCTTCAGCAAATGCAAATGAAATGAAATCATACCAAGCACACTCTTGGGCCACAGTGTAATAAAAATAAAAATTAAGATTTTAAAAATTGCTCAAAACCATGCACTTACGTAGAAGTTAAGCAACCTGCTCCTGAAAGACTTTTGGGTAAATAACGAAATTAAGGCAGACATCAAGAAGTTCTTTGAAATTAATGAGAGCAATATACAACATATATATATATAACAAACTCTGGGACTTAGCGAAGACAATATTAACAGAAAAATTCACAGTAATGAAAACTCACATCAGAAAGTTAGAAAGATCTCAAATTAACAACCTAACATCATAACTGGAAGAATCAGAGCAGCAAGAGCAAATAAACCTCAAAGCTAGCAGAAGACTACAAATAACCAAAACCAGAGTTGAAGTGAAAGAAATCAAGACACAAAAAACCACTCAAAAGATCAATGAAGTCAGGACTTAGTTTTTTGAAAATACTAAGAGGTAGAGAGGCTGCTAGCTAGAATAATAAGGAAGAAAAGAGAGAAGATCTAAATTAACACAATTAAAACTGACAAATGGGATGTTACCAGTGGCCCCACAGAAATAAAAGTAACCATCAGAAACTATGAATACCTCTATGCACACAAACTAGAAAACCTGGAAGAGATAAATTCCTGAACACACACACCCTCTGAAGATTAAACCAGGAGCAAATTGATTCCCTAAAGAGACCAATAATGAGCTCTAAAATTGGATCACTAATAAATAGCCTACCAGCCCCCCAAGAAAAGCCAGGACCAGATGGATTCACAGCTGAATTCTACCAGATGTACAAAGAAGAGATGGTGCCATTTCTAAGGAAACTACTCCACAAAATTGAGGAGGAAGGACTCCTCTCCAACTCACTCTATGAGGCCAACAGCATCCTGATGCCAAAAGCTGGCAAAGACACAACAAAAAAGAAAACTTCAAGCCAGTAACCTTGATGAACATTGATGCATAAAGCCTCAACAAAATGCTTGCAAGCCAAATCTAGCAGCACATGAAAAAGCTAATCCACGGCAATAAAGTAGGCTTCATCCCTTGGATGCAGAGTTGGTTCAACATATGCAAGCCAATAAACATGATTCATCACATAAACATAATTAAAGACAAAAAAACTGCTTATTATCTCAATAGACACAGAAAAAAGCTTTTGATAAAATTCAATATCCTGTCATGTTAAAAATCCTCAATAAAATAGGTATTGAAAAACCATACCTCAAAATAATAAGAGCCATCTATGACAAACCCACAGCCAATATCATACTCAATGCAGAAAAGCTGGAAGCATTCCTTTTGAAAGCTGGCTCAAGACAAGGATTCCCTCTCTCACCACCCCTATTCAACATAGTTTTGGGAGTACTAGCCAGAGCAATCAGGGAAGAGAAAGAAAGAAAGAAATGAAAGAAAAGAAAAGAAAGAAGAAGAAAGGAAGGAAGGAAGGAAGGAAGGGCAGGCATCCAGACAGGAAGAGAAGTCAAACTATCCCTGTTTGTAGACCACATGATTCTATATCTAGGAAACTCCCTAGTCTTGGCCCAAGGGGTCCTTGAGCCAATAAATAACTTCAGCAAAGTTTCAGGATGCAAAATCAGTGTACAAACATCACTAGCATTTCTATACAGCAACAACAGCCAAGCTGAGAGTCAAATCAGGAACACAATCCCTTTCAAAATTTCCACAAAAAGAATAAAATACTTTGGAATACGGCGTATGAGGAATATGAATGATCTCTACAATGAGAATTAAAAAGCATTGCTAAAAGAAATCAGTGATAACACAAATTGAAAAACATTTCATAATCATGGCTAAGAAGAATCAATACCATTAAAATGGCCATACTGCCCAAATTAATTTACAGATTCAAAGCTATTCCTATCAAACCAGCAATGACATTCATCACAGAACTAGAAAGAAAAAACCATTTTAAAATTCATGTGGAACCAAAAAGAGCCCAAATACCCAAGGCAATCCTAAGTGAAGAGAAGAAAGCAGGAGACATCACATTCAACTTGATGCTATCCTACAGGGCTACGATAAACAAAACAGCATGGTACTGGTACAACAACAGACACATAGACCAGTGGAACATAATAGAGAGTGCTGAAAAAAGGCCACACACTTATGACCATATTAGACAAAGCTGACAAAAACAAACAGGGTAGAAAGGACTCCCTTTTCAATAAACAGTGCTGAGATAACTGGCTAGCCATATGCAAAAGATTGAAAGTGGACCACTTCATTACATCATATACAAAAATCAACTCATGGTGGATTGAAGACTTAAATGTAAAATGCAATGGTATAAAACCTCTGGAAGACAAAATAGATAATACCATTCCAGACATAGGAACAAGCAGTTTTCATGATGAAGATGCCGCAAGCAATTTCAAAAAAAGTAAAAATTGACGAACGGGATTTAATTAAACTAAAGAGCTCTGCACAGGAAAAGTAACTATCAGCAGAGTAATCAGACAACCTATAAAATGGGAGAAAAAATTTGCAAACTATGCATCTGACAAGGTCTAATATCCAGCATCCATAAGGAACTTATAAACAAAGTTAATAAACAAATTTACTAAGTTGGCGCAAAAATAATTGTGGTTATGGCCATTACTTTTAATTTACTCTTAATGGCCCAAACCGTTATTACTTTTGCACCAATCTAAAATAAACAAAAACTAAAGAAGCACATTAAAAAGTGGGCAAAGGACATGAATAGATATTTTTCAAAAGAAGACGTCCATGCAGCCAACAAGCATATTTTAAAAAGCTCAATATCGCTGATTATTAGAGAAATGCAAATCAAAATCATAATGAGATACCATCTCACACCAGTCAGAATGGCTATTTTAAAAAGTCAATAAATAACAGATGCTGCCAAGGTTGTGGAGAAAAAGAGACACTTATACACTGTTTGTGAGAGTGTAAATTACTTCATCAAATGTGAAAAACAGTGTGGTGATGTCTCAAAGAGCTAAAAACTGAACTACCATTCGACCCAGCAATCCCATTACTGAGTATCTACCCAAAAGAATAGAATTCATTCTACCTTAAAGACACCACGTATGTGAATGCTTTTTGCAGCACTATTCACAATAGCAAAGAATAAAAATCAACCTAAATGCCCATCATTGGAGGACTGGATAAAGAAAACTCGGTACATATACACCATGGAATGCTAAACAGCCATAAAAAGAATAAGATTATGTCTTTTGCAGGAATATGGAGGAAGCTTATATTAAGCTTTTCTCACCCTGCTAAAAAGAACTTCCCAAGACTGGGTAATTTATAAAGGAAAAAGGTTGAATTGACTCACAATTCCACATGACTGGGAGTCCTCAGGAAACTTACAGTCATGGCAGAAGGGGAAACAAGCGTCTTTCTTGCATGGCAGCAGGAGAGAGAATAAAAGCCCAGCAAAGGGAGAATCCTGTTATGAGACTATCAGATCTCAGGCCAGGCACAGTGGCTCATGCCTATAATCCCAGCACTTGGGGGGCCAGGAGTTTAAGACAAGCTTGGCCAATATGGAAAAACCCTGTCTTTACTAAAAATACAAAAATTATCTGGGCATGGTGGCACACATCTGTAATCCTAGCTACTCAGGAGGCTGAGGCACACGAATTGCTTGAACCTAGGAGGCAGAGGTTTCAGTGAGCCAAGATCACGCCACTGCACTCCAACCTGGGTGACAAAGTGAGATTCTGTCTCAAAAAAAAAAAAAAAAAAGCTATCAGATCTCCTGAGAACAAACTCACTATTACGAGAACAAGATGAGGGAAACCACCTTCATAATTCAATGATCTGCACTTGGTTCCTCCCATGACATGTGGGGATTGTGGGAACTATTACACATTTCAAGATTAGATTTGGGTGGGGACAAAGCCAAACCCTATCATTCCACCCCCGGTCCCTCCCAAATCTCATGTCCTCACGATTCAAAACACAATCACGCATTTCCAGCAGTCCCCCCAAAGTCTTAACGCATTTCAGCACTAACGCAAAGTCCACAGCCCAAAGCCTCAGATGAAACAAGGCAACTCCCTTCTACCTATGAGTCTGTAAAATCAAAAGCAAGTTAGTCACTTCCTAGATACAATGGGGGTACAGGCATTATGTAAATACAGCCATTCTAAATGAGATGGACAAAACAAAGGGCCTACAAACCCCATGCAAGCTCGAAATTCAGCAGAACAGTCAATCTTAAAGTTCCAAAAAGATCTCCTTTGACTCCATGTCTCACATTCGAGTCAGACTGATGCAAGAGGTGGGTTCCCATGGTCTTGGACAGCTTTGTCCCTATGGCTTTGCAGGGTACAGCCTCCCTCCTGGCTGCTTTCATGAGCTGGCATTGAATGTCTGTGGCTTTTCCATGTGCACGGTGCAAGCTGTTGGTGGATCTACCATTGTGGGGTCTGGAGGATGTTGCCCCTCTTCTTGCAGCTCCACTAGGCAGTGGCTCATTGGGGACTCTATGTGGGGGTGCCCACCAACCCCACATTTCTCTTTCACACTTCCCTAGCAGAGGTTCTCCATGAGTGCCCCAGCCCTGCAGAAAACTTCTGCCTGAACTTCTAGGAGTTTTCATACATCCTCTGAAATCTAGGTGGAGGTTCCCAAACCTCAATTCTGAACTTCCATATACCTGCAGACTCAACATGTGGAAGCTGCCAAGGCTTGGGCCTCTCACCCTCTGAAGCAATAGCCTGAGCTGTACCTTGGCCCCTTTTAGTCATGGCAAGAGCAGCTGGAACACAGAATACCAAGTCCCTAGGCTGTACAGAACAGGGGGACCCTGGGCTCTGCCAACAAAACTGTCTTTTCCTTCTAGGCCTCTGGGCCTGTGATGAGAGGCGCTGTTGGGAAGACCTCTGACATGCCCTAGTGACATTTTCCCCATTGTCTTGGGGATTAATATCCAGCTCCCCATTACTTATGCAAATTTCTGCAGCCGGCTTGAATATCTCCTCAGAAAATGAGATTTTCTTTTCTATTGCATAGTCGGGCTGCAAATTTTCTGAACTTTTATGATCTGTTTCCCTTTTAAAACTGAATGCCTTAACAGCATCCAAGTCATCTCTTGAATGCTTTGCTGCTTTGAAATTTCTTCTGCCAGATACCCTAAATCATCTCTCTCAAATTCAAAGTTCCACAAATCTCTAGGGCAGGGGCAAAATGCTGCCAGTATCTTTTTTTTTTTTTTTTTTTTTTTTTTTTTTGAGATGGAGTCTCGCTCTGTCGCCCAGGCTGGAGTGCAGTGGTGAGATCTCGGCTCACTGCAAGCTCCGCCTCCCAGGTTCACACCATTCTCCTGACTCAGCCTCCCCAGCAGCTGGAACTACAGGTGCACGCTGCCACGCCCAGCTAATTTTTTGTATTTTTGGTAGAGACGGGGTTTCACCGTGTTAGCCAAGATGGTCTCGATCTCCTGACCTTGCGATCCACCCGCCTCGGCCTCCCAAAGTGCTGGGATTACAGGCGTGAGCCCCTGCGCCCGGCCCAGTATCTTCAATAAAACATAGCAAGAGTCACCTTTGTTCCAGTTCCCAAGAAGTTTCTCATCTCCATCTGAGACCACCTCAGCCTGGATTTCATTGTCCGTAACTTTATCAGCATTTTGGTCAAAGCCATTCAGCAAGTCTCTAGGGGTTTCAAACTGTCCCACATTTTTTCTGTCTTCTTCTGAACCCTCCAAACTGTTCCAACCTCTGCCTGTTATCCAGTTCCAAAGTTGCTTCCACATTTTTGGGTGTCTTTTTAGCAGAGCCTCACTCTACTGGTACCAATTTACTGTATTAGGCCATTTTCACACTGCTGATGAAGACATACCCAAAACTGGGCAATTTACAAAAGAAAGAGGTTTGATGGACTTACAGTTCCATGTGGCTGGAGAAGCCTCAAAACCATGACAGAAGGTAAGGTGGAGCAAGTCACATCTGGCATCGATGACAGCAGGAAAAGAGAGCTTATGCAGGAGAACATCTCTTTATAAAATCATCAGATCTCGTGAGACTTATTCACTTACTGCTATCATGAAAACAGCAAGGAAAAGACATGTCCCCATGGCCTCCCACCAGGCCCTTCCCACAACAAGTGAGAATTCAAGATTAGATTTGAGTGGGGACACAGCCAAACCATATCACCGTATAACCTAAAAATTTCACTCCAGCCTATGAGACATTAACCAGAATAAAAGCCAAAAATGAAAAACTACCCAAATGTTTATGTCTATCAATAGTAGAATGGATAAATTGTGACATATAATATTTATACAATGAAATATTAAAAAGCAATGAGAAGATATAAGCTCCTACTTCAAGAAATATCATAGCAGAATCTCAAAAGCCTATATATTTAACAAAATAAACTAAAATTTTATTGCATTTACATAAAATTATAAAAGAAGCAAAAAGAATTTCTGGTGTTAGAAGCAATGTTAGTAGTGACCCTGTTAGGGTGGTAGTGACTGAAAAAGAAGTGACAGATTTCCCCAGTGCTGACACTCTTTCTCAATCCAGGTGCTTATTGCATGGGTGAGTTCTTTCTGTGAAAATTTGTAATTTTTTAATAGTTTGATATCTGCCCAATTCAGTCTGACATATATTTAATAAAAGGTTTTGCTGGGGCTCAGAAACTGATCTCTAAAAATGTGGTGTTTTGAATATGCTGAACTGAAGAAGAAACCTTAAGGTCTCTTTGACCTTTCTCCTCCTATGTCTCAGTCCTCTGTCTCTCCCTAAGCTCAGGATGGAGTTGTTCTCTGAAGTTACATTACCTACCTAAAGTTCAGACCTGCCAAAGAAAACGTTTGCTTCTGGTCCCTTCCCTGAGTTTTCGTTAACTAAACCCGTATCATAGGAAGAAAGGCTGAAGTCTGTCCACACACCTGTACAAACTTTTGTCACAAACTATTGTCTGCTGTGTGGGCCCAGCAGACTTTTTCCAGGCCATTGTAAATGTACTTCCTGCCCATTGAATTCCTGTAACGGGCACTTACTACCTCCCTAAAATCATCCACACTTCCCCATCTCCCCTTCCCCAAGAAGAAGAGCATATCAGCATTTGTACCCATTGGATGGGTGGAAGTAATCACTCTGTGGTTTTCCTCCTATCTATGGTAATAAAAATTGGCATCCCCTTTCTCCTATTAATCTGTCTTCTGTCACTTGATTTTCAATGAACCTTTAAAGGACTAAGAGGAAGTTTTCCCTTCACCCCTGCAGCTTCTTTAAAAATTGGTTGCACCTAATTTTCTTTTGTGATGACAGAATAAAATTTATGATAGACAAGGAAGTTCTAAAATAGTGCAGTAGGATAAATTCCATTGTGGCGTATTGTCTTCAGTTTCAATACTGCATAGTTACAAGATAAATAATGCTATAGGCACAAAATTAATTTCTTACATTTATTAATAATAAATACAAGTATTTCCATGTTTTCAATACTTACTTTTTTCAAAAGAAACAATACTAATTTTCAAAATACCCTGCGTATATTTAGAGTAAACTTGCCATAGTAATCAATACCAGTAGTAGAAGTTCTTTAATGCAAAACTCAAACTGTCTTCCACTAACAAAGATTTTATTTTATTATTTTTCTAATTTATTTATTCCTTCTCTCTGTGCAATTCTGTCCAATAGAAGTTTGGAAAATAATGGAAATACTCTAATAAAATTGCTTCTAGACATGTGGTATTGAATAATTGAAATGCAACTGGTGCTACTGAGGAATGGAATTTTTAATTTTATTTAATGTTAACAAATTTAATTTGAAATAATCACGTGGTTAGTGCTGCTATACTGGGAAGCATAGATCTAACACTTCTGTTTTTAAAAATGCATTTAATATTCTAAATCTGGGTTTTAATATCTTCTTTTCTGTCTCAGTATTTTGCCAAGAAAAAGTAATGCATATGTTAAAAAATAAAAAATAAAAAAATCTGCCAGGCATTGCATGCAATTGGTTCTCAGAAATCCTAATTCAGTTTTCGAAAGTGCTTTTACTGTAAGTCACTAACATTACTTTTCTGTTGTGTTGTCATCATTGGTGTTCATCTTTGTTAATAAATTTTCATTTCAGTGTTTCTGAAACTGGTTTATGAAGTTCTTAAATCAGTATAATCTGTAGAATTTTTATTACAGATTCTAAAAAGCCCCAACTAGACCTAATAAATGAGAATTTTGAAGATGAATTCTTGAAATTTGCATTTTTGAAGAGTCTTCCCAGTTAATCTTATACAAGGCACATTTTAAAATCTCTAAGATACAACATTCACTATTTTAAATGGTGTATCTATTTTAGCATCTGTGATGTTTATTTTACTATAGCACTCACCTAATAGATGGGAGTAGCATCTTTTGTGAAATGTCCAGGATTAACACCTAGCAAAAATATCTTTTCCTGAGCAGATGATTAAATGTAGTCAAAGAAATGGTCTACACAAACATGAGCTATTTTTTAAAAGACCTAAAGCTACCCAAATTTGTGTAGTGAGATTTTTTTAGACTTCAGAATATTCCCTTCAGTGTGAGCATTGTGGGTTAAATAATATGGGCAGAAATTTTAATGAGCAGGAGTTGAGGCTACATTCCTTTAAGCCTTTCAAATGATGTTTCTTAAAAACTATGTTCCTTCAGTTCAGTGATTCTTAAATTTCAGTGAGTATTGGGACCACCTGGGAAACTTGGTGAAAATACAGTGGTCCAGGCCCTATCCTATTTAAATGAGCCTGATTGTCTGTATTCCTTATTAGCTTTAAGGTAAATCCAACACACACTAATATTTGGAAATTCTGCTCTAGCTGTCAGAGTCAAAATGGATCCTTTTGAAACTGTTTATTTTATATATAGTTTTTCCTTCCTCTCACCACCACAATCCTTTGTATAGTTTTCCTCATGGATTTTTATTATCTTATTACATTTTTCTACACTGTCTTCTGAAAGCAAACAAAAAGACAAGGCACAGTGCCCTGCACCCATAATTCCAGCTACTTGGGAGGCTGACACAGGAGGATCACTTGAGGCCAGGAGTTGGAAACCAGCCTGAGCAACACAGCAAGACTCCATCTCTAGGTGGGAAGAGGGGAGGGAAAAGACCCAGACAATGCTATGTCTTCCCCCGCTCCCCATGTATGGTATTAATTCTATCATGAAATAGCCAGTGGTGGTTCCTAACACATTAGTTGCATTAACTCAATTTCAATTATAAAAGCTTCAAGTACTTTTTAGTATTTCTGTTGACATGGTTTTTTATTCTCTACCCATATACATTTTCTCTATTTATCAACCTATAAAGAAGAAGGATTGCTTTTGCCTTACCTCATCAGCTTGTGAAAGCTGACATTCTCACTCAAATGCATGGCTGGAGGAAAAATATATATAGCTTCCCATCCAATTCTCATGTACATCCAATTCTCCTGTGCTAATAGCTTTTACCCGGTGTATCTTCTCCTTCACTCCTGTTTGATTTTCTCATACATTGAATAAAACAAGCTCATAAAACATTTCAATTCACAGCTCCAATTCATACTGTGGTTTTTCTGAAAGCCCACCTGTGACAATTTATTTGTGGAGCTAAAATTCCCAGAAAATAATGTGCCTCTGCCATTCTCCACCCTCATTCCTATATCTTGTTAAGTTGTTTTCTGGGAACTACTGTTTCCTATTGGACATAAAAGATAACTAACAGAATATAAAATGAATCCTCATAAAGTAGGAGAAAATACAAATAAACCAATAAAAGTATGGACAGAGGGTATCAACAAGTAATAATAAAAAGGGAAATGCAAATGACAAGATGCTTAATTACATTAGAAATCAACAAAAATGAAATTAAGGCATAGCAATACTGTCTGCCTTTAAGATTGGCCAAAGTTGAAAAAATATTCATAAAATTCATTTTTGATAAGAATATAAATAAATGGTTAGCCTCATCCATTTCTGATGAGATGATAGACTGATAAGGCCGTTTCTAGGTATTTATTCTATACTATCTACCTTATGGAGAAATATTTGTGCATGTGAACAAAAAGGCTTGATTTAGGCACTAAGATTTTGTAACTTAAAAAAAATTAGAAGGCCGGGAGCGGTGGCTCACGCCTGTAATCCCAGCACTTTGGGAGGCCGAGGCGGGCGGATCACGAGGTCAGGAGATCGAGACCATCCCGGCTAAAACGGTGAAACCCCGTCTCTACTAAAAATACAAAAAAATTAGCCGGGCGTAGTGGCGGGCGCCTGTAGTCCCAGCTACTTGGGAGGCTGAGGCAGGAGAATGGCGTGAACCCGGGAGGCGGAGCTTGCAGTGAGCCGAGATCCCGCCACTGCACTCCAGCCTGGGTGACAGAGCGAGACTCCGTCTCAAAAAAAAAAAAAAAAAAAAAAAAATTAGAAATACCTTAAAGTCTTTGTGTAAATACACAAGTGGTTAAAGAAACTGTGAGACATCAATATTGCAGACTACTACACTGTTCTTTTCTATTGACAAAAGATTCGCTCCCAAAATATGTGTGTGTTATTAATGGAAAAACAAGAAGAAGAGAAAGGTCTCAAGTCATGTGGTTTTATACAGCCAAAAATGGTTATGTGTATGCTTATACAAATAAATATAACTATTACATGTTTGCATATGCTCATACATTCATATACATGTAAATGTATAGTAAAGTAATCTGTAATGGCCTACCATATTAGTAAAAGGGGTTACCTAGTGCAGGAGAGTGGGATTGAGTAGAGTTTAAGGAAACTTTTTCCTTTACCAACACACTGTTAATTCATAAATGAAAATATATTTTATCTACGAGAGTGTAATTAAAAATATTTGTCAGGCAAAGTGAGCAATACTAACCAGACTACTTCGGAAATTGGTGCAGAGGTGCAGTTGCCTAATATTCTGCATGGTAAAGACACTGGGTTGAGGTAAAGAGAGTAAAGAAGGATTCTGATGTCATTCTCTCCTTTCTCAGATGGTCTGAATATAGTTTTCTCATTCTGGCTTCATTTATATTCAATGCATTTTCAGATTTTTTTTCTGGATTTTAGTCTTACATAAACTGTCGGTTGTAGGATTGGGAATATTGCTCTTTTCTTATCTATTCTGATGGGAAGCTGGGGAAGCTAGCATTAGGGGCTATAAGCCAGATATTACATTAAATTAAAAGTTGGATAAATATTTATATTCTGCACTTGAATATGCTGAAATATCCCCCTTGGGAATTCATCCTGAGATCATCCTTTGATACTAGACAAGCACAAATATATTAAACAAGATTCAAATCACCATACACCAGGAATCAATACAAAGCCTGTTATAAGTAAAAAGAGGCAGTAAGAGTGAGAAGGGAGTGAGGGTTGTGTGGGCAAGTGTGGCAACAGATGCTACAGACTATTGCAATTCAAGACTGAGAGTGCCTGAAACCCAGGACATGTCAGTAGGTAAGTAGGTTGCTACTTCAAAAAGAAAGTTATTGAAAAAGATTTACAGAATTAAGCTGCTAAGTCAGGGAGAATTTAATAAAGTCCCGTAAGATATATTTTTCAGATTTTAAATTAGTTGTCCTTTCATATTTCAAAAAAGGTTAGACTTTGCATAATCTTATTTTCCATTCTATATGTGATACATTAAGAAGAGAGCTACCAAATGTGGAAACTTGTTACTGCCCTTTAAATTTTATTGAGAATTATATTTGCCCTATATAAATTTTAATCTCCCTCATAGTCCCTGACCAACTAACTTGAAAACTAACCTCCAGATGTGCTGTGACTATGAAATCTCCTCTCGGATCAACATAATGACCAGCAAAGCTCTGTTATTTTCTTTGTTCCTTTACTCTACACTGCGATTAGCTTCTCTTTTTCTAGTAAATGTTGAACCAACTCCCTTAGCAATGGACTCAGTTCCTTGAAGAGCTACAACTCATCATAAACTGGAAAACCTCTAGTTTGCATTATATATTAGTAGTATCCAGTCAATACTACTGTGTGCATTTAAGACAGGGCAAAAAAAAATGCTTAATGTGAAGTGGTTTTATTATAACAAGCTGCTGAATTATTTAGACCAATAAAAATTTATCTGCTGGAGTCTCCTGAAAAAAATTATTCTCTTGGTATGTACAATTTGTCTGCAGTGAAATAAGGATGCACAGCATTGTCATTCGACATGTACCACAGGAGCATTCAAATTGTTCTCCTATGTCTCATTGCCTTTTGTGTTTGGTAAAGGGAATTTAAGGAAGCTAATGCTTAGTTGTACTAAAAGTAATGACCACAATGCAGCATCCTTATATCTGAAAGGTTTTGCATGTTACACAGTTTAAAGAAATAGTTAAAACTCCCAAGTTTCACAGAACAGTGAATACCTACATATAGTTTGAAATGACCATGATAACATACTGGGCTCCAAACAATGAGAAAATTGGCCATTTTATTTATATATCACACAGTGTAACAGAAAGAGAATAATTCAGATCACTAATTAAATCAAGAAAAATTCTTATAGGTTTGAGTTTTAGAAGGCTTATAGGTTTGAGTTTTGTTTTAGTTGTATTGATGCCCTCCTTTACATTCAAGGACAAATGTCTATAGAATTATTAGTTAGAAAACAAGCCTAATAGTAAAGGGTATTTTTCATTTTGAGAAACAAGCATTCACTGCAAAAACTGTCAAAATTTAGCAATGCCTTTAGTCTCCTGATTTAAAAACACTGATTTTAAAACAATGATGAGAAGTTGTTTTTTAACTAATTTATTCCTAGAAATCAAAAGCTCCTGTTTAAGATCTGAAAGAGCTCACAGAAATTGTTTCGTTATGCTCTTGTGAGTATATGCTATATAAAACTATGTTTCTAAGAATGAAACATTATGGAAACGGCATCTTTAGAATAGTGGTTTTCAACTGGGATGATTCTTCCCTTTAGAGGGCATCTGAAAAGGTCTGGAGACATTTTCCATTGTCGCAACTGGAGGTGGGGAGTTTTTAGTGACTGGGAGCAGGGAACGTAGCTAAATATCCTAGAACACCTAGGCAAACTCCCCACACAGAGGAATTATCCAGTCAAAAATGTCAATAGTGCCGAGATGAAGATATCTTGCTTTAGAATATTATCTTCTTTAACATTTTAATCTAAACCTAAAATTTAGTTTATTTACTTTAAAAAGCTCAGACTCAAACATTTGAGCATTAAATTCATGAAAACCAAGGCATCCTAAGTGAATACTAAAATTCACAAAAAGTTAATGCTTTTTTGTGTAAAATGATATAAATTTTCAAAGCTAAGAATAACATTTTGTACATTAATTTTCTCCTTTTCCCCAGCCAGTTTCATCTGCTGCCCACCATCCACTAACCCCACCCAGGAAAGAAATAGAAAACCTTAGTTTTATAGCTTTAAATTTAGAAATAGTATTCAGTTTTACCTGAGTTGCCTCTATTACCTGGGATTTGTTATTAGATTCACACCACTTGGGGCATAAGGTCTTTAATTTGAGTTTATGACTCCATATTTCCTATATCTTTTGACATTTAAAATAATTTTTTTGTTTGCTTCTATAGCCTTTTGTTTCTTACCATCCAAACTTTAGTTTCCAGGCTCTGCTTGGTAATCTCTTGGGACTTCAATTCAGAATTGGGAAAATATTCCAGATTTGACAAAAAGAAACCAAAGATAGAAGTCTGGCGCTGCCGATTACTACACACTGTTCATTAATAAGTTACTTCCTTAAGAGTAACTTTGATTACTTCATCTGTTAAATATTAGCTTTGATTATTTCATCTGCTAAATATTTTATCTTACAGGTTTATGTGAGAGTCAAATTAAAATAAAATTAAATATATATTATAAACACTAAAGTTCAATCATGTTAACTTACAGTTAGTATTTAAAATTTTCTCAATGGAGTTTAAATGGCTCTTGCTCTCCATTTTGATTTCTTTCTCTGTGATTAACCTCTGCTCTAATGAATGAATGAAAAATGCCAGTCACTATCTTAACTAAGCTATATCCAATGGCATAGCAGACCACTGAATATCTTAGTCTACACTATAGATCATGTAATTCTTAGGTGAAGTAACAGTGACTTATAGACCTTAACCCAGAAACGGAATTGAATTTAAACCAAATACGTTAAAATATTTTAACTTGATCTTGTTTTGCTATCATGGGTAACAAAGACCTATCCTAAGCTTTATGTTTTTTTAGACCGCTAATGTTCCACCATTCATAATGTGTATAGTGTGCAATTCTCTTTAGCCTGCCATTTCTATGATTAATTTATTATATGATTGTGCTTGAATAAATTTCCCACGAAATACGAAGTTTCTCTACAAATGCTACATGCACTAATAGCCATGTGAAATATTAAACCATTAAACTATTTTTCAGACTTTTCACTTGTTTATTCACATCCCTCCATATTTACCAACATCTTACTTAAATCCAAATATGCAGATAGAGCTTCAAAATCACAAACTAAATTTAGTTCTAAACTTGAAAGTAATTATTTCAAATGATTTTCTTCAACAACAACATTGAAGGAATCTATTTTAAGTAATTTTAACTTGTGTGTTTATTATACAAAAGCCATAAACTTTTTTGTTTTGAAATGTATTAATATATTAAAAGCATAAAATACCAGATACATAGTACTACATAAGTACTTAATAAATGTATTAAAATGTATGCAAACATTTTTATTTATTATAAATGTTGTTATACAATTGTTTAGAATACACATGGCATATTTAACAGCATAACATTTTAATTATTGACATTATTATCAATTGGATCCATTTACTCCATCACACATTCATTCAATAGAATGTAGTGAGAATAAATATGCATCAGGGCAGTGTCACATTCTAGAGATAGAAGTATGACATAGTCCGGCCATGGAAAAAAAATAGAAAACATATTTAAAATGCAATTATTAGGTTGATCCAAAAGTAATTGCAGTTTCCATCATTACTTTTAATGTAACATAATAGAATATAATATATAATATTTTTAATATAATAGAATAGGTCAAGTGGTATTATTAAGATATGAATACATGGAAAAGATCCCTTATGTATACAAGAGAGAATCACAGGTAGATTCAGAGGGAATGCAACATTGAGGTTGAACTTCCCAGCTGAAAGACATTCATTCACCAAGAAAATAAAGTGTAGGCACTACAGGCTGTATCCTCAAAGTGTGATTCTAACCTTTTATGTTTTTCTCACTGTATATATATTCTGGCCAACTTGCATGCCTAGGGAAGTTAGTGAAATTAAGATTCAGTATTTGGTAGGAGCAGGTAAGAAATCTTTTATAGAAAAAAATTAGTTACTTGGTTGATATATAATGTAATTTATCAATTGGAAGTCTAGTATTTTAAAAATAATTTTTCTCTTTCACCACTTCTTTTCAACATCATATAGGAAGTCCTAGCTAATACTATGCAGCAAGAAAAGTAAATAAAATGTATACAGATTGGGAAGGAGGAAATGAAACTGTGAATAAGCACAGACAACATGAATGATTAAAGTTTAAAAGAATCAACAACAGCAACAAAAACTTCTGAAACTAATAACTGATTATACAAGAATGTTACAAAATACAAAGCTAATATATAAAAGTCAGTTGCTTCCCTTTATATCAGCAATAAATAAGCAGAATTTAAAATTAACAACAATACCATTTATATTAGCACCCCCAAAATAAAATGCATAAGTATAAATCTAATAAAATATGTATAATATACCTATGAGGAAAAATATAAAACTTTGATAAAAGACACAAAAGAAAATCTAAGTAAGTGGAGAGAGGTTAAATACTCAGAGACAGGAAGGCCTAATATTTTCAAGATGTCAGCTCTTCCCAGCTTTATCCATATATTCAATGCAATCCTCATCAAAATCCTGGGAAGATATTGTGTAGATATTAATGAACTCAATCTAAAGTTTTCATGAAGAGGCAAAAGGCCCACAATAACCAGCACAACACTGAAGGAAAAGAACAAAGTCAGAAGACTAATACTAACTGACTTCAAGGCTGTCTTTAAAGTTACAATAAACAAGACACTTTGGTATTGGCCAAAGAATAGACAAACAGATCAATAGAAGTGAATAGAAAGCACAGAAAAAGAACCACGTGGATACAGTAAGCTGATCTTTGACAAGAATGTACAGGAAATGGAATAGAGAAAGGATAGTCTTTTCAACAAAGACTATCTGGTGGTAGAACTTGATATCTACATGCTAAATAATAATAATAATAATAAAATCTAGATCCTGATATTACACCCTTCATAAAAAATTAACTCAAAATGTATCACAGACCTAAATGTAAAATGCAGAACTATAAAACTCCTAGAAGATAAGATAAGAGAAAATCTAGATAACCTTGCTTTTGGTAATTCCTTTTTAGATAAAATAATGGAAACATGATAAATAAAAACAAGAATCAATACATTAGACTTCATTAAAATTAAAAATACCTGCTCTGTGAAAGACACTGTCAAGACAATGAGAAGTCAATTACAGACTTGGAGAAAATATTTGCAAAGATAAAGGACTGCTATCGAAAATATACAAAGAACTCTTAAAACTTAACAATAAGAAAATGAAAAAAAATTTAATAAATGGCAAAATACCTGAACAGATGCTTCATTAGAAAAGACATACCTATGGAAAATAAGCATATAAAAAGATGTTCAACATCATATGCCATCAAGGAAATGCAAATTAAAACAGCAATGAGACACTACTACTACACTACTAGGATGGCCAAAATACTGGCAAAGATGTGGCACAATAGGAGTCAAATATAGGAAAGAATGTACAACAGCAGGAGCTCTCTTCTTTCGCTGGTGGGAATGCAAACTGGTACAACCACGTGGAAGAGAGTTTGCAAGTTTCTGAAAAACTAAACATATTTTTTACCATGTGTCTTAGTCTGTTGTGTACTGCTGTAACAGACTACCTAAGACTAAGTAATTTATACAAAGTTTATTTGGCTCACAATTCTGGATCCTGGGAAGCCCAAACTTAGGCAGTTCATCTGGTAAGGGTCTTGTGCTGCTTCAACATATGGCAGAAAGTGGAAGGAAAAGTGCAAATTTGCAAAGACACCAAACACTAGAAGGAACAACACACTTTCAAGGTAACTAATCCAGTCCTGTGAGCGTGAGAACTCACTCCCTCAAGATGACGTTAATCTATTCATGAGAGACCAACCCCATGACCCAAACACCTCTCATTAGGCCCTACTTCCCAACACTGCCACATTGGGGATCAAATTTCAGTATGAATCTTGGTTGGAGCAAACCACATCCAAAACGTAGCACCATGCAAATCAAGTCTTGACTAAGCAGTTGCTCTTCTTGGCATTTACCCTAATGAGTTTAATACATATGTCCAGGCAAAACCTGCACACAGATATTTATAACAGATTTATTCACAATTGTCAAAACTTTAAAGCTACCAAGATGTCCTTCAGTAAGTGGATAAATAGAGATACATTCAGACAACGAAGTATTATTCAGTGCTAAAAAGAAATGAACTATTAAACCATGAAAATACATAAAAGAAACTTAACTGCATATTACTAAGTGAAAGAAACCAATCTGAAAAGGCTATATACTGTATGATTATGGCTATATGCCATTCTGAAAAAGGCATAACTATGGAGACAGTAAAAAAGATCACTGATTATCAGGGGTTGGAGGGGAGGGAGAGATGAATAGAAGATATACAGATGACTTTTAGTACAATAAAACAATTTTCTCTGACATTATAATCTTGAATGCATATAATTATACAAAACCCATAAACTGTGCAACAAGAGTGAACCCTAATGTAAACTATAAGCTCTAGGTGATAATGACCTGTAGGTTCAAATTGTAACAAATGTACCTCTCTTGTGTAGAATACTGATAGTGCGGGAGCCCTTGCCTGTGTAGTGTGTGAGAACTCTTTGCACGTTCTGCTCAATTTTGTTGTAAAACTAAAACTGCTCTTAAGAATAAAGTGTATTTATAAAATAATTATTGGTAGTACTATAGTTCAGAATAAGTCGTTCAAGTTTGTTTTCTTCTTTTCCCTCCTAGGGATCTCTTCGGAAAAGGTCAGCTTTACTTTCCATGCATTTGCATAAAAGCATAATTAAGTTTTAACTGAGTTAACTCCTGACCTTGAACCCCAAATAGCCCTCTATAAACAAGTCTCTAGATGGAAAGGGCCAAGAGTATCCATGTGGCATTAGTTTGCTAGAATTCAGATCTGAATTAGACATGACTATCTTTAGAATCTTCCTTTCATTTCTCCCAATTGCCAGTGGTTGTGCTATTAAACTAGTGCTTGGGGAAAAGAGAATTCCTGCTTTGTGGCATTTGCACATTTTCATGCCATCAATGCTTTCATCAAGGCTGATTTCAAAGTACCAAATGACTTGCAAAATTCTTCCCATCTCATATTCTTTCACCCTGTTCCATTTTATCTGTCTTCTTCATATGTGTTTATACTAAAGCTTCAAGAAATTTCGTGGTTGTCTCTGAAGCTGACCTTCAAAACTATAAAGAGATTCAAATAGTCAGAAGCATTAATAATTGAAAGAGTTTATGGGATCTCCTTCTCTAGTCAAAATATTTGAACATAAAATACTAAACTTAAGAGTCAAAAAAGGCATTCGTCTAAACATTAGTTTCTAGTTACATGCCAAATATAACCTTCTTCACCCTCACAAACACTTCTGAAACCTTAATAGTATTTTAAAATATTTTGTTCCTAATCACACTTTTGAGAAAAGTGAAATAATACTATAAAGGAGAGGAAAATGACAATTTTTTATGAAATACAATCATAAGGCAGATAAGCAGTTATTTTTCCCCTGTCATTATGAATGTGATGTATTAAGTTTTTATTTGGCTCCTTCCAGTGTGCATTTCAGGATATCTAGCATTTAACCACATTACCTTCCAAATAATTATATGTGAATAAGCAAGGCTGATAATATCAAATGATTATCTGGAATCAACTCCAATTTCCAGTAAATATTACCTGCAAATTATAGAACATTATTAGAAAATAATGGCATAATACAATTCACAGTAGATTGTCATCATATAATTTGTTTCAAAGTAGCTCTTTAAAGCAAACAGTATTATTTTCACATGACTGATAAGAAATAAAACAGTAAGAAAGATAACATAACACTGAGTGATTTGGGTCATTTTTTTAACCCAAGGTCACGTAGCCAATGAATGGTAGAACAAAAAATTATTCATTCAACAAAAATGTATTGAGTGCTAAACATATTGCTACAGATAGAAAGGTCTTTGTTCTGTTTAGCTTACAGTCTATTGAAGGGCAAATAATATTAATTAACAATCACAACCCAGTAATAAATGCTGTGGTACAAGCATGAACAGAATATTTTGGAGCATATAAGTGGACACAAATCATATTGAGAACAAGGGAAGAAAGTAAAATATAAGCTGAGATTTAAAGAACTATTAGGAGTTAGGTTGATAAATAATATTGGGAAGGACGTGTCCAGAGGTAACAATACATTGTAAGGCAGGGGAAAAATATGGGCCATTTGGATAACTTCGGTAAGTTCAATGTGACTGGAAAAAAAATGCATAAATCTGAATTGTGACAAATAAAGCTAAAGAGGTATGCAGAGATCAGTATTATGAGTAATATCATCTTTTATGTTTGGCTCATTATACCTCACTTGAAAAATATATACTCCAATTAGAATCTACATCTTGTGATAGCACTGATTCTAAATTGATACTAAAAGAAGAAGTCTCAAACTCTACGCAGCTTTTGATTCTTAAAATTCTCTCAGAAAGTTACATGAGGCCTATTGGTGAATTTTTTTCAGGAAAATAACACAGGTATGAAATCTAGAAAGGATATTTTAACAGCAGCATAAAGGACAGATAAGAGAGTAAGAATGAAAGATTGGTCAGTAGACATTGCAATTATTCAGATGACAGGTACTGATAATCTCAAGTAAGGCTGCAGCAATGGAACAATAGCAGATGATTAATATATTAGTCTGCACATGTTGATAACTCATGGAATATAGGGATTTAAGTAATATGAAATAGAATAGCTTCACTTTTCTAGTTTTTTCCATAATGCAGTTTTTCTTAGCATTTTTGGGATCACAGACTTCTTTAAGTATCTGATTAACCCCTGTCCTATGACTAAAAGTGATTTATAGTATTTTATGGGTTTCACGAATCTCTCCAAAGACCCCAGGCTAACCACCACTGTACTGGATTAACCTATGATGAAGTAAATACAAAAGGAAAGAATATTCTGGGGAAGAAGTATGATAGCTCATTCATTTTAGACATACTAATGTGCTTATGAAACATTCTAAAAGATATTTTAAGAACTTGGGTTATGTTTTTCTGAAGGTCAGCAAGGATGTCGTTGGTGAAGATCATTGTAATTAACTTTTAAGTATTTGCTGAGGCTATACGTTTGGATAACCTCATATGAAAAACTGTGTAGAGTGACTGGAACAGAAAAAGAAGGTCTGAGTCTGAAAAACATACTCATTCAAGGAATGATTAAAGGATAGATGTGCACATGAGAAAAAAAGGCAAAAAAAATCTAGACATCAAAGCCAAGATCTCAACTACCATTGTTAGACTCTGAAGGTTAAATTCGATGTTGTATGTGAATTTATACAATCCCAATGTTGCTTATAGATGTCTCTAAAATTTTGATCCAGTAAAAATTTTGTTATTGTTTAATGCTCAGAGTGCAGTTTTATATGGTGCTATGTTTACATATTTGCATTTCCTAAAATTTTAAATCATTATTTGTTAACATTTTTGATGTGTGTGTATGTAGGTGTGTATATATAGCCATTAATCTCCCATGTGCTCTATTTTATATTTGAAGATAATGAGGCTCATGTTCAAACCTGAATTTGACTCCAGCATGAGAATCTTCACACTGTATCACAAGAGAGAAAGATAAATGTAATCAGTATCAAAGTCTATTTAACATTGCTAGTTATTGCTGTGCAATGATGAGGGAGGCACTGTTGTTTGTTTCTATATAATACACAGTATAGAGTTAAAAAAACAGTTAATAGAAGTACAGTCTAATAAAGGTTCCTCTAACCCCATCTGTTTTATAGAGGTAAATCATGGTCTTCCTTTACCAGTGGATAGAAAGCTAATATTATGGAGGAAAGTAAAATGGCTCATAGTATTCAGAATGTAGATAATGAATCTGTGATATAAAGTATTCACACATTTCATATTTTAATAGCTTCTCTTGACAAGAAGATTCAAGATTGATTAAAAGTTTTCCTCAAGATCTATGCAATAGACATTTTATGTAAAAATATAGATGGCAGCAATGTATACTTGATATACTTAAATAGTTTTGAAGTCAACACACACTATGCCATACTGTAGTCAAAATTCCTTGAACTATATAGATATTACTCTTGATGAAAGTAGCAGCCTAACAAAATTGCTATATAAATATAGTAAGGGATAAAGCTCAGTACTGACTCTGGTCAACTAAACTTACCTTTGAATCTCACTGACTTTTTTTTTTTTTACCTTTATTTAGGTTCAGTGGAACATATACAGGTTTGTTATATAGGTAAACTCATGTCATGAGGGTTTGTTGTAAAGATTTTTCATCACCCAGATACTAAGCCCAGTACTCAGTAGTTATGTTTCTGCTCCTCTCCCTGCTCCCAACCTGCAAACTCTAGGAAACCCCTTGTTCTCCTTTTTGTGCTTTTGAGTTCTCATCCTTTAGCTCCCACTTGTAAGCAAGAATATTCAGTATTTGGTTTTCTGTTCCGGTGTTAGTTTACTAAGGATAATGACCTCCAGCTTTATCCATGTTCCCACAAAAGACATGGTCTAACTCTTTTGTATGACTGCATAATATTCCACAGTGTATATGTATCATATTTTTGTTATCCAATCTGTCATTGATGGTCATGTATTTTGATTCCATATCTTTGGTATTGTGAGTAGTGTTGTGTGTATGTGTCTTTATGGTAGAATGATTTGTAGTCCTCTGAGTATATACCCAGTAATGGGATTACTGGGTCAAATGGTAGTTCTGTTTTTAGGTCTTTGAGGAATCGTCATACTGCTTTCCACAACAGTTGAACTAATTTACAGTCCTACCAATAGTGTATAAGTGTTTCATTTTCCCTACAACCTTTCCAGCATCTGTTATGTTTTGACTTTTTAATAATAGCCATTCTGACTGGTGTGCAATGGCATCTCATTGTGGTTTTGATTTGCATTTCTCTAATGATCAGTGATCTTGAACTTTGTTTTTCATATGCTTTTTGGCCAAATGTATGTCTTACTTTGAAAAGTGTATATCCATGTTCTTTGTCCACTTGTTAAGCAGTTGTTGTTTTTTGTCTTGTAAATTTGTTTAAGCGCCTTATAGATGCTGGAGAGTAGACTTTTGTCAGATGCATAGCTTGTAAGTATTTTCTCCCAGTTTGTAGGTAGTCTGTTTATTCTGTTGATAGTTTTTTTGCTGCGCAGAAACTCTTTAGTTTAATTAGATCCCATTTGTCACGTTTTGCTTTTGGCATCTTCATCATGAAATCTTTGCTCATTCCTATGTCCAGGATGATATTGCCTAGGTTGTCTTTCAGCATTTTTATACCATTGCATTTTACATTTAAGTCTTTAATCCACCTTGAGTTGATTTTTGTATATGGTGAAAGGAAGGGGTCTAGTTTTAGTCTTCTGCACATGGCTAGTCAGTTATCCCAGCACCATTCATTGAATAGGGAGTCCTTTCCCCATTGCTTGTTTTTGGCAGCTTTATTAAAGATCATATGGTCGTAAGTGTGTGGCCTTATTTCTGGGCTGTTTTATCTCATTCGTCTCTGTGTCTGTTTTTGTACCAGTACCATGCTGTTTTTGTTTATTGTATCCCTGCAGTATAGTTTAAAGTCAAGTAACATGATGCCTTCAGCTTTGTTCGTTTTGCTTAGGATTGCTTTGGCTATTTGGGCCGCTGTTTCATTCCATATTCACTTCAAAATAATTTTTTTCTAGTTCTGTGATAAATGTCATTTGTTGCTTGATAGGAATAGCTTTGAATCTGTAAATTAATTTGGGCAGTATGACTATTTTAACTATGTTCATTATTCCTATTCATGATCATGAAATGTTTTTCCATTCGTTTGCATCTTCACTGGTTTCTTTGAACAGTGTTTTGTAATCCTTATTGTAGAGATATTTTACCTCCCTGGTTAGCTGTATTCTCAAGTATTTTACTCTTTTTGTGGCAATTGTGAATGGGACTGCATTTCAAATTTGACTCTCAGCTTGGTTGTCATTCATGCAGAGGAATGCTAGTGATTTTTGTACATTGATTTTATGTCCCAAAACTTTGCTGAAGTTTATCAGCTCCAGGAGCTTTTGTGCTGAGGCTATGGGATTTACAGAATCATGTCATCTGCAAACAGTGATAGCTTGACTCCCTTTGTTACTATTTGGATGTCTTTTCTTTCTTCCTCTTGCCTAATTGCTCTGGCCAGGACTTCCTATGTTGAATAGGAGTGGTGATAGAGGGCATACTTTTCTTGTGCCAGTTTTCAAGGGGAATGCTTCCAGCTTTTCCCTATTGACTATGATGTTGGCTCTGGATTTGTCATAGATGGCTCTTATTATTTTGAGGTATGGTCCTTCAATATCCAGTTTATTGACAGTTTTTGACATGAAGAGTTGTTGAATTTTATTGAAAGCATTTGGTGCATCTATTGAGATAATCATGTTTTTTGGCATTAGTTCTGTTTATGTGATGAATCACATTAATTGATTTGCATATGTTGAACCAACCTTGCATCTAAGGGATGAAGCCTACTTTATTGTGGTGAATTAGCTTTTTGATGTGCTGCTGGATTCAGCTTGCAAGTATTTTGTTGAGGATTTTTCCATCAATGTTCATAAAGAGTATTGGCCTAAATTTTTTGTAGTTGTTGTCATTGTGTCTCTGCCAGGTTTTAGTATCAGGATGATTTTGGCCTCATAGAATAAGTTGGAAAGAAGTCCCTACTCCTCAATTTTTTGGAATAGTTTAAGTAGGAATGGTACCCACTCTTCTTTGTACATCTAATAGAATTCAGCTGTGAATCCATCTGGTGCTAGGCGTTTTTTCATTGGTAGGCTATTTATTACTGTTTCAATTTAGGAGCTCATTTTTGGTCTTTTCAGGAATCAATTTCTTCTTGGCTCAGCCTTGGGAGGGTGTATGTGTCCAGGAATTTATCCATCTCTTCTATGTTTCCTAGTTTGTGTGCATAGATGTGCTTATAGTAGTGTCTGATGGTTACTTTTATTTCCTTGGGGTCAGTGGTAACATCCTCTTCATTATTACTAATCTGTTTATTTGGATCTTCTCTCTTTTATTCTTCATAAGTTTAGCTAGCAGCCTGTCTCATTAATAATTTCAAAAAACCAACTGCTGGATTCGTTGATCTTTTAAATGGTTTGTTGCATCTTGATTTCCTTCGGTTCAGCTCTAATTTAGGTTATTTCTTATTTTCTGCTAGTTTTGAGGTTGATTTGCTCTTCCTTCTCTAATTCTTTCAGCTGTGATGTTAGGTTGTTAGTTTGAGATCTTCCTAACTTTTTGATGTGGGCATTTAGTACTTTGAATTTTCCTCTTAACAGTCTCTTAGCTGTGTCTCAGAGATTCTAATATGTTGTATCTTTGTTCTCATTCATTTCAAAGAACTTCTTGATTTCTACCTTAATTTCATTATTTACCCAAAAGTTATTCAGGAACATTTTGATTAATTACCATGTAATTGCATAATTTTGAGTTATTTTCTTAGTCTTGAATACTATTTATATTGCACCGTGGTCTTAAAGTCTGTTGAGTATGATTTCATTTCTTTTACATTTGCTGAGGATTGTTTAATGTCTAATTATGTGGTCAAATTTACAGCATGTGCCTGTGGCAATGAGAAGAATGTATACTCTGTTGTTTTGGGGTGGAGGGTTCTGTAGAGGTCAATCAGATCCTTTTGGTCCAATGTGGAATTCAGGTCCTGAATATCTTCAATAATTTTCTGCCTCGATGATATATGTCTAATACCGTCAGTGGAGTGCTGAAGTCTCCCATTATTATTGTGTGAAGTTTGTGTTTCCTTGTAAGTCTCTTAGAACTTGCCTTATGAATCTGGGTGCTCCTCTGTTGGGTGCGTATATATTTAGGATGGTTAGGTCTTCTTGTTGAATTGAACATTATACAAATACGTAATTCCCTTCTTTGTTTTTTTTTTTTTTTTTTTTTTTTTTAGACAGAGTCGCACTCTGTCACCCAGGCTGGAGTGCAGTAGCTTGTTCTGAGTTAGTGAGAAGCATAGCCTGTGTGGACATTGGAAACAACCACTTTTTCTTTTACTTTTTTTTTCCCCCCGAGATGGAGTCTTGCTCTGTCACCCAGTCTGGAGTGCAGTAGCATGGTCTTGGCTCACCACAACCTCTGCCCCCGGGGATCAAGCAATTCTCCTGCCTCAGCCTCCCCGAGTAACTGGGATTACAGGCGCACGCCAGCACACCTGGCTAATTTTTGCATTTTTAGTAGAGACGGGGTTTCACCACGTTGGTCAGGCTCATCTCAAACTCCTGATCTTTTGATCCACCCACCTTGGCCACCCTAAGTGCTGGGATTACAGGCATGAGCCACTGTACCTGGCCCCTTCTGTATCTTTTAAAAATCTTTTTTGGTTTAAAGTCTGTTTTATCTGAAATTAGGATTGCAATTCCTGCTTTTTTTCTGATTTTCATTTCTTTTGTAGATTTTCCTCCATCTCTTTATTTTTAGCCTATAGGTGTAATTACATGTGAGATGAGTCTCTTGAAGACAGAATACCATTGAGTCTTGCTTTTTTAAAAAAATCCAGCTTGCTACTCTGTGCCTTTTAAGTGGGGCATTTAGCCCATTTACATTCAAGGTTAGTATTGATATCTGTGGTTTTGATCCTGTTCTTGAGTTATTAGCTGGGTAGTATGTTGGCTCATTCTTGTGGTTACCATATAGTGTCACTGGCATGTGTACTTAGGTGTGTTTTTGCATTAGTTGGTAGTGGCCTTTCCTTTTCATATTTAGTGATCCTTTCAAGATCTCTTTTAAGGGAGGCTGGTGTTAACAAACTCCCTCAACATTTCCTTATCTGAAAAGGATCTTCTTTCTCCTTTACTTAGGAAGCTTACTTTAGCTGGATTTGAAATTTTCGGTTGAAGATTTTTTTTTTCTTTAAGCATGTTGAATATAGGCCCCCCAATCTCTTTTGGCTTGTAGGGTTTCAGTTGAGTGGTCTTCTGTAAGCCTGATGGGGTTCTCTTTGTAGGTGACCTGCTCTTTCTCTCTAGATGCCTTTAACCTTCTGTCTTTGATTTTGATCTTGGGAAATCTGATGATTATGTGTCTTTGGGCATGGTCTTGTGTAGAATCTTGCAGGGGTTCTCTATATTTCCTGAATTTGACTGTTGGCCTTTCTATGTAGGTTGGGGGAGTTTTCATGGATGATATCCTGAAATGTGATTTTCAAGTTGTTTGCTTTCTTCCCATCTATTTCAGGGATGCCAATGATTCATAAGTTTGGCCACTTTATATAATCCCATATTTCTATGAGGTTTTGTTTATTCCTTTTCATTCTTTTATCTTACTTTTTTCTGACTGTCTTCTTTCTGAGAACCAGTCTTCAAGTTCTGAGATTCTTCCCTCAGCTTGATCTATTCTCCTATTAATACTTGTGATTGCATTGTGGAAGTCTTGTATTGTGTTTTTCAGCTCTGTCAGCTCTGTAAAATTCTTTTTTATACTGGCCATTTCATCTTTCAGCTTTTTTATTGTTTTATGGTGATTCTTAGTTTCTCTGGATTGAGTTTTGCCCTTTTCCTGAATCTAGACAATCTTTGTTTCTATCTGTTTTCTGAATTATATTTCTGTCATTTCAGCCAGCTCACCCTGGTTAAGAAGTCTTGTTGGAAAACTGGTGCAGTTAGTTATTTGGAGGACACAGGACACTCTGGCCATTAGAGTTACTGAAGTTCTTGTGTAGATTCTTTCTCATCACTGCATGTGGGTGTTCCTTTAACTGAAGGGTAGATTGAGCACATTCAATAGACTTCTTTTCTAGATGTTTTCACAGGGCTGAGGCATGGTGCAGGGTCTTTATTTATAGCTAACTCCATGACGTCGGTTTCAAGAAGGTACGTTAACGAAGTATTTTTGGTGTTTAATATTTTGAGTGTGATCCAGTAGGTGGCGCTGAGTCATGTTAGTCAGTTGGTAGGCTCTTGCTTGGTTTTGTGGTTCTCCTATATTGCCTCACAGTTGCACACTTGCTTCCTTTCAATGCTCTGAAAGTGTGGGCTCCTGTCACCCTTATGGGCTGGCTTTAGATCATGGCTGGGCACTCCCAGGCTTCCTACTCCAGTTCTTGGGCGATCTCAGGATTTATGTTCCTTCCCAATTTGGAGGCAGCAGAGCAAAAGAACTTAGTAGTGTTTGTGGCCAAGGGTTTTTTGTTTCTCTCCTGGGGGTTCCACCCCAGCAAGATGCAGGTCAGCAATTGCTCAGTGCAATTAGCCCAGAATGGAAGGTCTGTGCTGTGGGCCTAAGCTAGGGGTTCCCTGTTTGATGATGAGCAAGGGGATGTGGGTGGAAGTTGTGGGAGAAGGACTGTCTTTCTCTCCTGAGTCAACTGCCATTTGTTGAAGGTGTGGATAAGGCACTTAGGGTCTTTGCTCCTTCATTAGTCAGAGGGTAGCAAGGACAAGTCCACTCCAGAGGCATTGGCAGAAAGGCTATCAGTTGCCCCCTGGGGTTTCACCTTCAAGAAACATGGAACCACTGTTATTGGGGGAGCTCAGTCAGTGGGGTGGGGTGGCTGCATTGCTTGTGCCAGATTGGAGTTCTGCTTTTTAGGGAACAGGGGGTTCAAAGGCTCACAGGGAGAAGAGAATGGTCTCCTCTCTATGTGACAGCTGTGGTGTATTGTAAGCTTGGGTACAACCCTCAGTCTCCTTATTTCTTCCCCAGCCGGGGCCCCTGCTTGGTAGAGTAGGGGTTGTTGTTTCCCAGGGGTGAGGAGCTGGACTCTCTCCGTATTGTGTCTGCAGTGTGCTGGAGGTGCCAGCCTAATGACAAGGCCCTTTATTCCTTCCCCAGCCTAAGGGCTGTTAGGACTGTACGCTGCAATTGTAGTGGTGGAGGAGCTGTGGATTGACTCTGGGACTTCCTCCTTGGAGAAATGCTGGGCTTCTTCTGGTTGTGGTGATCAGGAGAGGCAAGGAGATTGTGCTAGAGTCCCAGGTAATGTGGCCCTGTCCAGTGAGGAGAAGTGAGGACTCCAATCTGCATGGACAACAGTTTGGCCGCTTTTCTGTGAGTTGGGTGCTTTGTGCTGGGAGTCTGGACCAGTTCCTGGTCCCCACAGACTCTCCAGAGCCTGGAGACAGCAAGGGCAAGGGCTGCAAAGCAGATGGCAACCCACGTTGCTCACTGGGAGATCTGTCCTGGGAGTTTCAGAGCTGTTACTGGCTCAAGAGCCCCAATAGAAAGTAGCTGGAAGCCCAGACTGGTTGGACCTGCCCTTTGTGGAGATATGGGAATGAGAATTCATGTAACAGTTTGGCAACCTTTCATTAGGGCTGTTGAGATATGCTGGGGTTCCGCTCCCATCCCAAGTCACCTCGAATTTTTCAGTACCTGAATCTATCAACATGAAGGCTACAAAACATCAAAGATGTGGCCTTCCCCTCCCTCTGGGAATTTCATCCCAGGTAAGTATAAATCCGTTGTCTGCAGGAATGCACATGTAGGATGTTCCTGGAGACCCTGACTGGGAGGTTCTGCTCAGTGGAGAGGAACGGGAATGGTGTCCTGCTTTAAAAAGTAGTCTGGCCACATTTTATAGAGCAGCTCTATTGTGCTGGGGTGCACTCCAGTGCCTGGTTGCCTCTGACTCTCCAATGCCTGAAGACTGGAATGGGTAAGTAGCCCAAACAGCAAAGATAGCAGCCCATTCCTTCATCTGAGTGTTCCATTCTAGGAGTTTGAAACCTCTGTCGGCCAGAAAACATCAGTGGGGTTATATGGTCTGGCTTTGTATCCCCACCCAAATCTCATCTTCAATTATAATCTGAATTGTAATCCCTATGTGTTGCAGGAAGGATTTCCTGGGAGGTGATTGAATCATGGGGGTGATTCCCCCATGCTGCTCTCATAATAGTAAGTGAGATCTCAGGAGATCTAATGGATTTGTGAGCAGCTTTTTCCCCTTTTGCCCTGCACTTCTCTAATTCTTCTCCTTCCCACCACCATGTGAAGAAGGATGTGTTTACTTCCCTTTCTGCCATGATTGTAAGTTTCCCGAGGCCTTCCCAGCCATGCTGAACTGTGAGTCAATTAAACCTCTTTCCTTTATAAATTATCCAGTCTCAGGTATTAGCAGCATAAGAACAGACTAATACAGTAAATTGGTACCAGTAGAGTGGGGAGCTTCTACAAGGATACCCAAAAATGTGGAAGCGACTTCAGAACTGGGTAACAGGCAGAGGTTGGAATAGTTTAGAGGACTCAGAAGAAGACAGGAAAATGTGGAACAGTTTGGAACTTCCTAGAGACTTGTTGAATGGCTTTGACCAAAATGCTGATAGTGATAAGAACAATGAAGTCCAGGCTGAGGTAGTCTCAGATGAAGAAGAGGAACTTGTTGGGAACTGGAGCAAAGGTGACTCTTACTGTGCTTTAGCAAAGAGATTAGTAGCTTTTTGCCTCAGCATTAGAGATCTGTGAAACTTTGAACTTGAGAGAGATGATGTGGTATATCTGGCAGAAAAAATTTCTAAGCAGCAAAGTGTTGAAGAGGAAGCAGAGCATAAAAGATTGGAAAATTTTCAGCCTGATGATGCAATAGAAAAGAAAAACCCATTTTCTGAGGAGAAATTCAAGCCAGCTGCATAAATTTGCATAAGTAATGGAGAGTCAAATGTTAATCACTTAGACAATTGGGAAAATGTTTCCAGGCCATGTCAGAGACCTTCACAGCAGTCCCTCCAATCACAGCGTTACAGGCCCAGAGGGCTAGGAGAGGAAAATAGTTTCCTGGTCTGGGTCCAGAGCCCATCTGCTATGTGCAGCCTTGGGACTTTTTCCCAGCCATACCAGCCATGGCTAAAAGGGCCAAATTACAGCTCAGGTTGTGGCTCCAGAGGGTGCAAGCTCCCAGCCTTGGCAGCTTCCACATTGTGTTGGTTCTGCAGGTGTGCATAAGATAAGAATTGAGGTTTGAGAACCTCCACCTAGATTTCAGAAGATGTACGGAAATACCTGGATATCCAGGCAGAAGTCTGCTATGGGGGCAGGGCCTTCATGGAGACCATCTGCCAGGGTAGTGCAGAAGGGAAATGTGAGGTGGGAGCCCCCACCCAGAGTCTTCACTGGGGCACTGCCTAGTGGAGTTGTGATAAGAGGGCCACCGTCCTTTAGATACCAGAAGAGTAGATCCACCAACAGCTTGCACCACATGCCTGGAAAAGCTGCAGACACTCAATGTTAGCCATGAAAGAAGCTGAGGTTGGCAATGTTCCCTGCAAAGCCACAGAGGCAGAGCTGGCCAAGGCCGTGGGAGATCATCTGTTGCATCAGCATGACCTGGATGTGAAACATGGAGTCAAAGAAGATCATTTTGGAACTTTAAGGTTTAATGACTGTCCTGTTGGATTTTAGACTTGCGTGGAGCCTGTAGCCCCTTTGTTTTGGCCAATTTCTCCCATGTGGAGTAGTTGTATATACCCAATTCCTGTACCACCATTGTATCTGGGAAGTAAATAAGTTGCTTTTGATTTTACAGACTCATAGGCTGAAGGGACTTGCCTTGTCTCAGACCAGACTTTGGACTTGAACGTTGGGTTAATGCTGGAATGACTGAAGATTTTGGAGGACTGCTGCAAAGGCTTGATTGTGTTTTGAAATGAGAGGACATGATATTTTGGACAGGACAGGGATGGAATAATATTGTCTGGTTCTGTGTCCCCGCCCAAATGTCGTCTTGAATTGTAATCCAAGTTGTAATCCCCACGTGTTGGGGAGGGACCTCATGGGAGGTGACTGGATCGTGGCATGGTTGTGGTTCCTCCATGCTGTTCTCATTCATGATAGTGAGTGAGGTCTCATGAGATCTGATGGTTTCATGAGAGGCTTCTCCCCCCATTCACTCTGCACTTCTCTCATTCTTCTCTTTCCTGCCACCATGTGAAGAAGGATGTGTTTGCTTCCCCTTCTGCCATGATTTTAAGTTTCCTGAGCACACCCTCCCCAGCCCTGCAGAACTGTGAGTTAATTAAACCTCTTTCCTTTATAAGTTACCCAGTCTCAGGTATGTCTTTATTAGCAACATGAGGATGAACTAATACAGAGGGGGTCTCTGGAAACCCTGGTCAGAATGTCCCACCCAGTGAGGAGGAACAGGATTTGGCACCCACTTAAAACAGCACTCTGGCCACATTTTATCAAGCAGCTGTGCTTTGCTGTGGGGCCACTCCAGCCCCTGGTCACCTGGGCTCTCAAAAGCCTGAAGGTCAGAATGGCTAACCTGCCCAAACAGCAAAGATGGCAGCCCGCCCCTCCACCTGGTAGTTACATCTCAGGGAGGCGTAATGCTACTACTGGTGACTGGCTGGAGTTCCAAGCCAGTGGTTCTTATCCTGTGAGGTGCTGGAGAAGCAGGACCCGAAGACTGTCGCCGCTCAGCCCCCTGGGTTCAACCCCTTTTCTAGGAGTATGTACAAGGGGTCTAACCTCCTTCTTTGCCAGAGTTTCAGCTGCTCTTGCCAGGTAGCCGGGAAAGTCTTGATATCTAGGGCTTCCAGGCTCTCCATTTATGCTTGAGTGGCTACTCTGCCAAAACTTTCCATTGCTCTGTGAGTCAGACCGAAGGCCCTATGGAGTAGGTTTATGAGGAGGACTCTTCACCTCAGGGTTGCAAAAATCTGTGAGAGAAATGTGCATTCCCAGGGTCGCTAATTCATTAACAGCTTCCCTGGGTGGGGGAGGTTCCCCAGCTCTGTGTCACTCCCAGATGGGCTGTTGTCCTGCCTTGCTTTTCTCCATTTTCCATGGGTTGAGTTGTTTCCTTGATTAATCTCAATGCATATACTTGAATGTTTCAGTTGAAGTTACTGTATTTACCAATCATTTCTGTTCCTCTCTGTGAGAGCAGTATATACTAGCTGCTTCTAGCCGGCCATCTTGGCCACTCCCCTCACTGAGTTTTTAATATTGTAGGTGACAGTATTTTATTATATCAGTTATTCTATTCAGAAAACTTCCATTTGATGAAGTACAAGTATGGCGCCATGTTATTTTGTGTTCTATTTTATTGTAATCATGTAACAAAGTTTCAGTAAAATCCACAAAAATAGTAGCTTCTCAGTGTCACAGTCAGCACGTAAGTACAGATTGCCAAGGTAAACTCCTATTTGAAAATAAGAAAGGATCCCATGAAAAGTGTTACAGCTATAAAAAGCAACATAATGACATTTTAAAGGATGGTTTTAATTCCATAAATGATAGAAGTAATGTTATAAAGTGTTATTATTTCAAAGAATGAATAACTCCATGCTATTCAGATGAAAGGAAAACAAAATTTCAAGTTTAATGTATCTTCAGGTCAGATCTACATCACTATTTCATCCCAGAATGCTTTAGCAATGTCACTTTATCTCAAACATTCCTCAGGCTATACTGCCAAATAGAGCTGCTAAGCACTTCAAAATAGCCTAATGGGAAAAGTGAGTTTGTATGAAAGTATTGGTTGAAGTAAAATCCAAGGTCTCCAAGAGAAACAGTAACTCTAGTTTTAAAGATCTGAAGATGACTCATTTTGAGCTCTGCTACTTGATAATTTATTTCCTTGAAGTTTCTGAAGAAGAGATCTGTTTTCACCAAACTCTGAAATTCATAAACCCAAAGTCAAACTATCAGTGAAAGGCTCATACATACACTGTTGATAGGAATTTGACCGCTTCACCAATATATTCTTCATAGTGACAGGAGGCAGACAAATCCTAGGCAGATAGGGACAGGTCCCTGGTGAAACCCGACTTTCAAGTCAAAAACATCCTGAAACCTGAAAACTGGGCTGCTGGTACCAGATGAGTGGGAACTTTTATTCCTGTTTCCCCAGTCTTTCCCAATTTGTTCCTTCTGAATAATGCTTTTTAATCAATGAAATGTTGCCTTTTCCAAGGCTACCTACGGCTCTCACCTCCTGCATTCTGAGCTCATAAAAGCCCCAGGCTCAGCTACACTTGGGGGGACTACCTGCCTTCAGTTTAGGGAGACTGTCCAACTTCAGGTAAGGGGCTGCCCATTTTGGGTCCTCTCTCTGCTGAGAACTGTTGTGTTGCTCAATAAAAATCTCCACCTTGCTTACCCTCCAGTTGTCAGTGTAACCTCACTCATTTTGGACACAGGACAAGAACCTGGGACCTGCTGAATGTGGGTACAAAAAAGGCTGCAACACTGTAGCCTTCCACCTCCTGCTGGTGCCGGGCAGCCACCGCATGTGACAGAAAACAGTGGTAGGGTCAGGCCAGTCCAGGACTTGTGGGCTGGAGCAGAGCAGTGAGGCTGAATGAGCTGTAACACAAGCGGGCTGAAACATACTGTCCCCAGTGTCACCTTTTGCTGTGCTGCAGGTGGCAGGAAGGAGAGAAGAGCTACAAACCTTCTGGATGCCCGGACCTCAGTGGTCCCCAAGCCAGGGTGGTGACATGCTGTAACATCCCAAATAGATCAAATATAAAGTTAACTTTAACATCAAAATTATCAAAAAGAAATGTCAATATTTCTTTTTTATATAATTTCAACTTTCATTTTAGATTCAGCAAATACACGTGTAGGTTTGTAACATGGGTGTATTTTATGATGCAGAGGTTAAGGGTATGATGGCACCCATCACCCAGGTAGTGAGCATAGTACTCAATAGGTAGTTATTCAGTCCTTGCCCCCCACAGTAAGCTTTTGGAGTTCCCAGTGTTTGTTGTTCCCATCTTTGGGTCCATATGTACCCAACACGTAGCTCCCACTTAGAAGTGAGAACATGCAGTATATGGTTTTCTGTTCCTGTGTTAATTTGCTTAGGATAATGGCCTCCATCTGCATCCATGTTGCTGCAAAGGACATAATTTTATTCTTTATTATGGCTGTGTAGTACTCTGTGGTGAATATGTACCATATTTTCTTTATCTAGTCTACTGTTGATGGGCATTTAGTATAATTCTATGTCTTTGCTATTGTGAATAATGCTGCAAGGAACATACATATGCATATGTCTTTTTGATATAATGATATCTATTCCTTTGGGTACATACCCAGTAATGGGATTGCTGGGTCAAATGGTAGTTCTGTTTTTGGTCTTTGAGGAACTGCCACACTGTTTTCCAAAATGGTTGAACTAATTTACACTCCCACCAACAGTGTATAGGAGTTTCTTTTTCTCTGCAACCTCGCCAGCACCTGTTATTTTTGGACTTTTTAATAATAGCCATTATGACTGGTGTGAGATGATATCTCACTGTGGCTTTGATTTGCATTTCTCTAATGATCAGTGATGTTGAGCTTTCTTCCATATGCTTGTTAGGCAAATGTATGTTTTCTTTGGAAAGTGTCTATTCGTGTCCTTTGCCCACTTTTTAATGGGTTTTTTCTTGGAAATTTAAGTTTTTTATACATGCTGAATATTAGACCTTTATCAGATGTATAGTTCGCAAACACTTTCTCTCATTCTGTCGGGTTCCTGTCTACTCTGTTGATAGTTTCCTTTGCAGTGAAGAGTTTATTTTGCAGTGAAGATTCATTTGACTTCAAACTACTCTAAAGGCTACAGTAACCAAAATAACATGGTGCTGGTACAAAAACAGACACAGACCAATAGAACAGAATAAAGAACCCAGAAATAAAACCACACACTTACAGCCATCTGATCTTTGACAAAGTTGACAAAAATAAGCAATGGGGAAAGGACTTCTTATTCAATAAATTCTGCTGGGGTAACTGGCTAGCCATAAGCAGAAGAATAAAACTGGAGCCCTACCTTTCACCACATACAAAAAAGTAGCTCAAGATGTACCAAAGATTTAAATGTGAGACTTCAAAGTATAAAAATACTAGAAGAAAAACTGAGAAATATCATTCTGGACATGAGCCTTGTACAAATAATTTGTGGCTAAGACCTCAGCAATTGTGACAAAAATAAAAATTGCCAGTTTCTTAAATTAATAGTGTAATATCTCAAAATACATGAAGTAATTTTGTAATGATTAGCATTACTTCCATACTTCATGAAATATTCTCAATGAAATATAAAATGCTGCACATGTTTTTATCTAGGCCATATTTTATATATATATATATATCTTTATATTTATTTATATATATATATTGTCTTCCCACTAAGTCTCTTCCTTCAACTTTCTAATTATTTTCATTGGCACATCTGGTCTTTTTTCATGTTTTCATTTATTTTTCAAGCTCTAGAGATCCTTACTGTTACATTGAACATGAGTTTTGTGCAATGTTTCCCACTGTGCTTTAAATATTAGAGAAGTCTGTAACATCTTGTACACGAGTGAATCATGTACAAATGAATTTTTGTGCAAAATGAATCATCCCTTCATAAAGTTAATGCTAATGACTAATATTGTAAATAGAATGAGGAGTGAATTTGCCCTATCTCAATATTGTGAGGACAGTGATTGCAAACAATAGAAGGGTAGATATTAACAGACATTCATATTTACTCAAGATAGAGACCTATTCAATCTTCCAATTTTTCTAGTTTCATGTGGATACATTGCCATCTAAAACATTACAAAAACTAATACTGAATAATAATTTCAACCAACTCACAATGGACTCCCAATGTGGTCATTCACTTCATGTTTTCAAACCCAACACTTTGAAGATAAAAAGGGAAAGGGGAGAGAGAGAGGAACAAAGAAGACAAATTAAGTGAAATCCAAATGAATGTAATAAGACTGAACCATCTCAATTAAAATGCATGCTATTGGTAAAGTAACCAATTAAATTTATATATCTACTACACAGTGCTCCAAACAATTTAAGCTGTTTTAACTTAACTAAATAATCCTGAAAAATAGAAGTGTCATATTGTGCACTAAAATCTAGTTTTCCACAATTCTATGCCTAGTAAAGAAGAATTTATTTCAAAGTGAGTTATAAACATCTTCAACATTGGAGGATAAACTAAACTCATTTTGGCATTTAACTAAATTACAAATAATACATTGTTGATTGTATATGTGCAGTTCATTCATTTAAGTGTCTAGCACTCAAAACTGATTAAATCAGGTTATGCATTCTGAATATTAAATGTATTAGATATCATTTCTAGATTTTACTTCTGTAAATTAGAAAACTCAGTTTCATTTAAAAGCAGATAACAATTAAAATGAAATTTTATAATATATCACACCCACTCAAAATTGGTTTTTACAGGTAGTCTTCTGATAATTTATTTAGATCCAAATTCTACTGTATGTTATAAAATACATTAGACAAAAATCCAAGAGGAGAGTAAAAATGCAGTGGAGATGGTAAAATGTAATAATCCTGGCCCAGGAAAGAATTAAATTTGGTGAGATCCCATACCCTTTCTTTCCATTTCTAAATGTGTTCCAACTAAGCTGCTTTGAAATTGACAGCTGAAAATAATAAAAGTCCAATTATTTTGATGAGTGCTGCATACTATATTTGGTGTCTGGAGCTAAATTCAGGAAAGGCAATATTGGTCCATTCTCCATACTGCCTAATATCCTAAAATTCAAATAATTCATATCTATGGAACTATGATACTGTGAGATTATGAAGAGGAATTCAGGCATTATATTGTAACATAAAGGACAAAGTCAATGGTGTCAGAAGATCTGAGTTAAAATCAAGGCCGTAAGACATACTAGTTTTATGAATAAAAGTCCATTCTTTTGGTTCTCTGGACTTCTGATTTATTCAACAGAAAATGTTAATAAAAGTACTCCTCTGCTCTTCGCAGAGTTGTTGAATAGTTCAATTAAATAATGTTTATGAAAATGATTTTCAAGATATTTTCAGTAATATTAGATTTTAGTAGTAATAGTAATAGAAACTATAATTTAAAAAGACAGCAATGACAAAGAAGAAAAAGAAATGAAGGAGAAATTGAGTTTTCTGTAATTCAGTCAAGCAAATACTTCAACCCTGGCAATTTAAGAAAGCAACTTTCTCTAAAACAATTAGGTACTCAAATATCCTTGTGTATAAACATACAAGAGTTTCTTTTATAGCAGAAGTCACATTCTTTTTTATTTCTGTGGATAGTTGAGTTGTTTCTGAGGCCCATGCACCTGTTTTACTTTATATTTAATTTGCCCTGTTACTTTTATTAATTACCTACACCAAAAAAAACCCTACTTTCTAAACTTCTCACCCTTAGGTGCCGCCGATGTGCTCTAATAACATAAAATACTTAAGCCTTCAAAGAGTTTTTTACAAGTATTATTAGAGTCAGGAAATTATACTCTGTGTATCCATGGATGTATCTGGCACAGAGTAAGAATTTATTAAGTAATTCAAAGGATGTTGTTCAAATAAACCAGTCAAATGAGAATAAAGTTGCCGGATTTATCATATAAAAATACAGATGCCTACTTAAATTTGAATTTCAGATCAGAACACAATTTCCAGGACATGCTTTTACTAGAAAATTATTCATTATTTATCTAAAATTCAAAATGTACTGTGTCCTATATTTCTTCTGGCAATGCTAAATGAGAGGGAAAAATATGTTAGATGCCTTCAAGGCAATTGAATTCAGACAACCACATCAAGAAATCATTTAAATTCAATGAGAAGTTAGAAATAACACATGAAAGAAGTAGCAAAATCTTGTAAGTTAAAAAATGAGTTTACTGGTCAAAGAAGCATATAACTTTGTGAAATACTAATCCACCAGGAAAGAGACAAATATACATCTCTCCAAATTAGGATATCCATTTTGCCAGTGCTGTAGATTAGGTTACTGTTTAGTAAATATTCACATATCCTTTTTTTTTTTTTTAAGTTGGACTGGAACAAATAACTTTCTCTGGCCAAAGCCATGTATGTGCAAGTGACAGTGTTTGCCAATATCAAGCCTAGGCCTTAAAAATTTGAACATGTTTTTGCATATTTTTCTGAGAGAGTCCAACCTCTAAAATAAAAGGAACATCCCCCAGGTACCTGTTGCCTCTTCACCCTGCACTCTGGATTGAAATAGGAAGGACAAAATCCAGCAACCCACTACTTGAGGCAGAGTCAATCCAGCAGACCTGCATACCAATGATTGAGGAACAAGTGAGTATTGTTGAATGCCACTGAAATTTTGTCAGTATTTGTTATGCAGAATCACTGCAACAATAGCCAGCTGATCCAGCAATAGTTCTCACAAAATCATTCTTCTCCTGAAATTTCTACAAATTTTGTAATTTTACACATAGTATATTCCTGTAATATTTCTGTAGATTTTGTGTGTGTGTGTGCATGTGTGAAGGATTTTATTTTTGTATAAATTTAAGGGATACAAGTGCATTTTCTTACATAAATATATTGTGCAGTAATAAGGTCTCGACTTTTAGGGTAACGATTACCCAAATAATGTACATTGTTTCCATCAGGTAATTTCTCATCCCTCACTCCCTTCCCACACTTCCGAGTCTCCAATATCTATTATTCCACGCTCTATGTTATTAGCTCCCACTTATAAGTGAAAACATGTGGTATTTGACTTTCTGTTCCTGAGTTGTTTCACTTAAGATAATGACCTCCAGTTCTTTCCACGTTGCTACATAAGACATTATTTCATTTTTTGTGTGTCTGAACAAACACACACACACACACACACACACACACACAAAAGCACGCACTTAATGGAATACTATAAAACTATATACATAGATATATAGTACATATAGTATGGATATATATGTATAATTTGATAAAGGTGTAGATACAGATACAGATATCACATTTTCTTTATCCAATCTTCTGCTAGTGGACACTTAGGTTGATTCCATGACTTTACATGAAAACCACTGTGGAAAACAGTATGGAGATGTTTCAAAGAACTAAAAATAAAACTACTTTCTTTTAATTTTGCATAATATAATCCCCCTAATGGATGACAGGCATGAAGAAAGAAAAATAAATAAATCATTGATAATCTAGGGTGACCAATCATCCTGATTTGTTCAGTAGTATCCCAGTTCTATCACTGAAAGTTTCACTGGGACAGTTGGTCACCCTAAAAACAGTTAAAAGACAAGTGTAAAGCAACTTTTTTTCCTTTTTTCTGAGTCACAGGGAAAAATCTCATTTATTTTATTACCCATTTGTTACCCTGTATATCAAATAAGCTTGTCTTTCAGCGTATCCTAGGACATATTTGTAGAACTACAAATATTCTTTAGATTCTGTGGCCTAATGTGAATTAACTTTTTTAAAAAAAATCAAGCAGTTTTTGTAGTTGTGTTTATTTGTGACATACCTCCATACTGTTTTCCATATTGGCTATACTACTTTGCATTCCCACCAACAGTGTGCAAGGATTCCCTTTTCTCCACATTCTCTCCCACACTTACCTTTTTGATCACAGCCATTCTAACAAGTGTGAGATTATATTGCATGGTTTTAATTTGCATTTTTCTGATGACTAGGGATATTGAGCATTTTTTCATTTACTTGTTGCCCATTTGTATGTCTGTTTGTGAGAACTGTCTCTTCAGATCCTTTAGTTGTTCTTTAATTGGGTCATTTGTTTTCTTACCATTGAGTTGTTTGTGTTCCTTATATATTGTGGATATTAACCCCTTATCAGATGTGTGGCTTACAAATATTTTCTCCCATTTTGTAAATTGTCTCTGCAGTCTGTTGATTGTATCTTTGGCTGTGCAGAAGCTTCTTATTTTGATGTAATCCCATTTGTCTGTTTTTGCTTTTGTTGCCTGTGTTTTGTAATTAATTGAAAGCATTCTTTGTAAATTGAAGAACTGGATAAGTCAGAAATGTAATAGCATTACCTCATACGCTATATCATTGGTGAAAACAAAGAAATCATTAATCTCATTTTTATTTTTCTCCACACAAAATCATGAGCCAGTATTGCCTAAGATAGAGAATGCATTTATATTTCCAGGACAAATAATACTCTTCTTTAGATGAGCTTATCATAGAAAATATTTTCTTTGATTTTCTTCCTAATATTTGAAGTTGTATAAATGCTATAAAATTACCCAGGAACCATTATACATAGAGATGCATATTTGCTAGGAAATCAAATAATTTAAAAGCTACATTTATTCAGGCATTCTACAGAGCTCTGAGTAAGGAGCAACATATTAGGTACTGTGTCAAGTTACCTAAGATGTAGAAATCATCTCCCCACAAATGCAAAGATGACAAATTAAAGCCAGAGAACTCCTGCTTTTTAAACACCTTATGGTGAGGAGTAATAAAAGGATTTTTTCTTCCATCTATATATTGAGTAAATCGTTTCATATTGATTGTTTTGTGATATGAAAGACAGCTTCACAAAGTTAGTGGAAAAATAGAATTATAAGATGAAAATTTAAAAAAACAAAAAACTTTATTTCTCAGCATAAGCTCCATCAATTTCAAGATACCCTTGTAAGCAATACCAGCCATTAAGTTCATCCCTAAAGAACTAAGAGTCCTGGGAATTTAACCATTTCAATGCTGTCTCTCTCTCTTTCTCTCTCTCTCTATTTTTATTTTTTGCATTATTAACTGAAAGAAAATAAGCACACTTTACAGATTTTTTTTAAATTAGGAAACAAAAAGAAGTTAGAAGGAACCACCAAGTTAGGACTAAAAGGTGGATGCCTAATAACTTCCCATTAAAACTCACAAAGTTGCTCTTATTTGATGAGAGGAATGAGCAGAAGTACTGTCACAGCAGAGAATGACTCTCTGGTAAAGCTTTCCTGAGTGATTTTCTGCTAAAGCTGTGGATAACTTGCTCAAAACAGTCTCATAATAAGCAGATGTTACTATTCTTTGGCCCTCCAGAAAGTCAGCAAGCAAAATGCCTTGAGCAATTCATAAGAAATGTTGTCATGCCCTTTGCTCTTGACTGGCCTGCATTTGTTTAGACTGAATCACTTCCACCTCTTGATAACCATTGTTTTGATTGTGCTTTGTCTTCAAGATCCTACTGGTAAAGCTGTGTTTCATCTTCTGTTACAACTCTTTGAAGAAATGTTTCAAACATCTTGATCCCACTTGTTTAAAATTTCCGTTGAAAGTGCCGCTCTTGTCTGCAGTTGATCTGGGCATAAAGGTTTTGGTACCCATGGAGAGGAGAGTTTGCTCAACTTTAATTTTTCATTCAGAATTCTGTAAGCTGAACCAATTGAGATGTCCATGGTGTTGCGTATTGTTTTTGCTATTGTCAGTCTTCTTCAATTAGGACACGAAAAAGATTAATCTTTCTTTGCAAATCGAAGTGGTTGGTTTGCTGCTGCAGGCTTCATTTTCAACATTGTCTCATTCCTTCTTAAAACAAGTTATCCATTTGTAAAGTGTTGATTTGGATGGGGGCATTGTCCCATAAACCTTTCATAAAGGATTAATGATTTTGCCATTCTTCCACACACATTTTTCCATAAATGTGAAGCTTGTTCATGTTTTAATTTTAGCGGAATTTATGTTGCTCTAGTAGAAGATCTTTTCGATAGATGCTATATTCTTAGTGCCTCAGATTAGATCCTGTTCAGACATGTTATAACTTAGAATGAGTTTATTTTGGTGCAAAAAAAAAAAAAAAAAAGAGGCCCATGCATAGTTTTTTTCATGAACTTTTTAAAGACCCCTCACAGAACACTTGGCTCACCACAGGGGTTTCTACTAATAACCAGAAAACACAAGCAAAAAGTATTGCTGTACAACATATATACTTATTAATGTTTTATTATGTATTGATTGTTAGTCTGCAAAGAGTAGAGACCAAGTTATTTCATCTCTGCATCCTTCAGTACCAAGTATATAGCAAAGTTGACAGAAGTTGCTGGGTGAGCATATGTGAGGTGAATACTCTAACAATTTCCTGGGACCAATCCTGAAATGAAAGTATGGGTATTTAAGATGCTTTAGTGACACATTCCAAGAATTAATGTCAAATGTTAACCTAATTCCAAACGTGAATTCAAATCTCAATAATTTGCTATTTTTGGCTCACTTTAGTAACTTTTTTTCTGGTGTTTTAAGACATCTACTACTTTCAGCATTTACCATAGCACGTAGTTCAATTCTGCTAGTAGTTCCTTTTACTATGGTTCAGATTTTATACCTGGACTCCAGTTCCGGAGATCCAAATGTTGAAAACAGAAGCCCCTGAGATTTTCTTGCCTGTTTCTTGGTAAGGAATGGGGATCCTGTCTCTGAAACTTGATCTGTTATTTGCAGCCCCAGTATCTATAGCCAGCTCCTTGATGAGGAGAGCCTATTTAGCCTAATTTTTAATTTAGGTGATCCATATAATAATTGTTCCATTCTTGTCTCCTATTGAGATCTCCCACAGTCTCATTATGCACTTATATTATTAAATACATGGCTGACTGATCCTGCTGCTGCCATTTCAATTTGGATAACAAACTGCCTGTCACAGAAAATCTTTTTGCAACTCCTAAATATGGTGATTTCCACATTCGAACCCCTTGCAGTTTTCCTACCCAACTTAAATTACTTTTCCTTCTCAGTTTTTACTAACATGTTCACATTTAAGAAATTTAAACTAATTCATTGGCCAGCCTACTGAGAAGTATTTATAAGAAGATATTTATGGAAACTTTATTATAATAGGTTTATTATATGTAAGCTAATTTATGTTAATGTTATCTCAATTTTCATATAAGGTGTTATAGACATTGAATTCTTCAAATATTTATATCTGTTATTTGAAGGAGTACTCTTTGAGAAAGAGAATCACAAATAGAATTACCCATCCAGTCATTTCTGAAACAGAAAGAAAAATTGGGTTTTTGTATTACTGAAAGAAGATTGTAGACTGATAATGGATATCTTTATATTCCCCACCATTTTTGTGATTTGCTAGTACTTCAATCACGATTGTAATTTATTTTTCTCTAACTATTGAAACAAATCAATATTCTCTCTGAAAACAATTTTCAAACTCCCTATTTAGTCTTACCTGACTCTATCAAATTACTTTTCCCTCTATCTACTTTATTTCCAAATCATTACATCGAGCATTTGAGTCAAAATATATCTTCCTATTTAGGTATTCTAATTAAATTAAAACTGCCTTTATTTCATTTTCTAAGAGCAAGCAACCTTTTCAAACTTCTTATAGATAGTTGCACGTAGACATTATTAACATATATGTCATCCATCTTACCAAATTTCCTGAGAACCCTTTCATGACCATCAAGACATCTAAAGGAACTCCTACCTCATTATTTCCCAGCTTAAGGCTTTGTTTGTTTACAGTCAATACCAGTCTTATCTACAATAAGTTTTAGAAGAGCAAATAACTTTGCCTGTTTTGCTCTCATTTTATTCTTGGCATCTGGTTAATTTACTGGTATATAGTACGTGATTAGTAAATATCTATTGTACAGATCAGTGAGTGTGAGCAGTAGTGAACTAACACTATGCTTTGTAATTCATCATATCCTGAGGGTGCACCATAGATTTCACATGATAAATTTTTAAAGAACAAATTATAAGTAATTTATTTGTGTGTGAAATTCGTGAAGGAGTAGAATTTGATCACATAATTTTTATTACAGGATACATTCTTCTGAAAGCAGTAATCCAGTCTTTGACCTTCTGTTACTAAAACACAAGTGCTTTTCACATAGTAGGCACTTAAAAAACGTATTTTCATGATGGATGATAAGTAAATATGACAATACAAGTAATATATTATTTATGAAATATTATGTAAGAGTCAAGAACTCTTACATTTGACACAAATCATGTATGAAGGAAACTAGAGTAGTCTGATATAAATTCAATTCAACCTTGACTAAAAAAAAGTCAAAAAACTTTCTCTTTTACCTTAATAATAAGCATAGCACAATAATTTGGAACAAAAAATAAACACTAATATGCAGAAAATTTTCAACTTTTTATTTATATGAGAGTAAAAATCTATAAAGGCCTAACATTTAAGCAAATGGACCCAGTTCAAACAGCTCATGGAAAGAATATTACAGGTCACGATAGGCAGTGGAGCAATTGATTTTTCCAGAAAAAGAATGCATGCATACATATTACTTGTGCATGTTTGATAGAATATTTTCACAGTTCATGTATAATCGCAGCAATAGACAAGTGGTTGGAGGTTTCCCAGACGCTGGTACAATTTTATTTAAAAAGTATGATTGAATTATTATTTTTGGACTTAACTGAGATGCTTTACTATAACAGTGACAATTTACACATTGTTTGTGCCTTCAACAAACCGTTAGATGTAAATGATTTCCCATACTATAATTTTTAATGCAGAAAGATTTATCATCTGATTGCATGAGATTGGCAACTTATCAGCAAATAAAACATAAAAAGCTTAAATTCAGTTATTTTATGCACAATTTCAAGTAGGCTAAATTAGATGTAATTAGCAGTACAGTAGGTATTCCAAAGTTTTTTTTTTTCTTTTTTTTTTTTAATTATACTTTAAGTTTTAGGATACATGTGCACATTGTGCAGGTTAGTTACATATGTATACGTGTGCCATGCTGGTGCACTGCACCCACTAACTCGTCATCTAGCATTAGGTATATCTCCCAATGCTACCCCGACCCCCTCCCTCCTCCCCCCACCCCACAACACTCCCCAGAGTGTGATATTCCCCTTCCTGTGTCCATGTGATCTCATTGTTCAATTCCCACCTATGAGTGAGAATATGCGGCATTTGGTTTTTTGTTCTTGCGATAGATCACTGAGAATGATGATTTCCAATTTCATCCATGTCCCTACAAAGGACATGAACTCATCATTTTTTATGGCTGCATAGTATTCCATGGTGTATATGTGCCACATTTTCTTAATCCAGTCTATCATTGTTGGACATTTGGGTTGGTTCCAAGTCTTTGCTATTGTGAATAGTGCCACAATAAACATACGTGTGCATGTGTCTTTATAGCAGCATGATTTATAGTCCTTTGGGTATATACCCAGTAATGGGATGGCTGGGTCAAATGGTATTTCTAGTTCTAGATCCCTGAGGAATCGCCACACTGACTTCCACAAGGGTTGAACTAGTTTACAGTCCCACCAACAGTGTAAAAGTGTCCCTATTTCTCCACATCCTCTCCAGCACCTGTTGTTTCCTGACTTTTTAATGATTGCCATTCTAACTGGTGTGAGATGGTATCTCATTGTGGTTTTGATTTGCATTTCTCTGATAGCCAGTGATGATGAGCATTTTTTCATGTGTTTTTTGGCTGCATAAATGTCTTCTTTTGAGAAGTGTCTGTTCATGTCCTTCGCCCACTTTTTGATGGGGTTGTTTGTTTTTTTCTTGTAAATTTGTTTGAGTTCATTGTAGATTCTGGATATTAGCCCTTTGTCAGATGAGTAGGTTGTGAAAATTTTCTCCCATTTTGTAGGTTGCCTGTTCACTCTGATGGTAGTTTCTTTTGCTGTGCAGAAGCTCTGTAGTTTAATGAGATCCCATTTGTCAATTTTGACTTCTGTTGCCATTGCTTTTGGTGTTTTAGACATGAAGTCCTTGCCCATGCCTATGTCCTGAATGGTAATGCCTAGGTTTTCTTCTAGGGTTTTTATGGTTTTAGGTCTAACGTTTAAGTCTTTAATCCATCTTGAATTGATTTTTGTATAAGGTGTAAGGAAGGGATCCAGTTTCAGCTCTCTACATATGGCTAACCAGTTTTCCCAGCACCATTTATTAAATAGGGAATCCTTTCCCCATTGCTTGTTTTTCTCAGGTTTGTCAAAGATCAGATAGTTGTAGATATACGGCGTTATTTCTGAGGGCTCTGTTCTGTTCCATTGATCTATATCTCTGTTTTGGTACCAGTACCATGCTGTTTTGGTTACTGTGGCCTTGTAGTATAGTTTGAAGTCAGATAGTGTGATGCCTCCAGCTTTGTTCTTTTGGCTTAGGAGTGACTTGGTGATGCGGGCTCTTTTTTAGTTCCATATGAACTTTAAAGTAGTTTTTTCCAATTCTGTGAAGAAAGGCATTGGTAGCTTGATGGGGATGGCATTGAATCTGTAAATTACCTTGGGCAGTATGGCCATTTTCACGATATTGATTCTTCCTACCCATGAGCATGGAATGTTCTTCCATTTGTTTGTATCCTCTTTTATTTCCTTGAGCAGTGGTTTGTAGTTCTCCTTGAAGAGGTCCTTCACATCCCTTGTAAGTTGGATTCCTAGGTATTTTATTCTCTTTGAAGCAATTGTGAATGGGAGTTCACTCATGATTTGGCTCTCTGTTTGTCTGTTGTTGGTGTATAAGAATGCCTGTGATTTTTGTACATTGATTTTGTATCCTGAGACTTTGCTGAAGTTGCTTATCAGCTTAAGGAGATTTTGGGCTGAGATGATGGGGTTTTCTAGATAAACAATCATGTCGTCTGCAAACAGGGACAATTTGACTTCCTCTTTTCCTAACTGAATACCCTTTATTTCCTTCTCCTGACTGATTGCCCTGGCCAGAACTTCCAACACTATGTTGAATAGGAGCGGTGAGAGAGGGCATCCCTTTCTTGTGCCAGTTTTCAAAGGGAATGCTTCCAGTTTTTGCCCATTCGCTATGATATTGACTGTGGGTTTGTCATAGATAGCTCTTATTATTTTGAAATATGTCCCATCAATACCTAATTTATTGAGAGTTTTTAGCATGAAGGGTTGTTGAATTTTGTCAAAGGCTTTTTCTGCATCTATTGAGATAATCATGTGGTTTTTGTCTTTGGCTCTGTTTATATGCTGGATTACATTTATTAATTTGTGTATATTGAACCAGCCTTGAATCCCAGGGATGAAGCCCACTTGATCATGGTGGATAAGCTTTTTGATGTGCTGCTGGATTCGTTTTCCCAGTATTTTATTGAGGATTTTTGCATCAATGTTCATCAAGGATATTGGTCTAAAATTCTCTTTTTTTGTTGTTTCTCTGCCTGGCTTTGGTATCAGAATGATGCTGGCCTCATAAAATGAGTTAGGGAGGATTCTCTCTTTTTCTGTTGATTGGAATAGTTTCAGAAGGAATGGTACCAGTTCCTCCTTGTACCTCTGGTAGAATTCAGCTGTGAATCCATCTGGTCCTGGACTCTTTTTGGTTGATAAGCTATTGATTATTGCCACAATTTCATCTCCTGTTATTTGTCTATTCAGAGATTCAACTTCTTCCTGGTTTAGTCTTGGGAGAGTGTATGTGTTGAGGAATTTATCCATTTCTTCTAGATTTTCTAGTTTATTTGCGTAGAGGTGTTTGTAGTATTCTCTGATGGTAGTTTGTATTTCTGTGGGATTGGTGGTGATATCCCCTTTATCATTTTTTATTGCCTCTATTTGATTCTTCTCTCTTTTTTTTCTTTATTAGTCTTGCTAGCAGTCTATCAATTTTGTTGATCCTTTCAAAAAACCAGCTCCTGGATTCATTAATTTTTTGAAGGGTTTTTTGTGTCTCTATTTCCTTCAGTTCTGCTCCGATTTTAGTTATTTCTTGCCTTCTGCTAGCTTTTGAATGTGTTTGCTCTTGCTTTTCTAGTTCTTTTAATTGTGATGTTAGGGTGTCAATTTTGGATCTTTCCTGCTTTCTCTTTTGGGCGTTTAGTGCTATAAATTTCCCTCTACACACTGCTTTGAATGAGTCCCAGAGATTCTGGTATGTTGTGTCTTTGTTCTCGTTGGTTTCAAAGAACATCTTTATTTCTGCCTTCATTTCGTTATGTACCCAGTAGTCATTCAGGAGCAGGTTGTTCAGTTTCCATGTAGTTGAGTGGTTTTGAGTGAGATTCTTAATCCTGAGTTCTAGTTTGATTGCACTGTGGTCTGAGAGATAGTTTGTTATAATTTTTGTTCTTTTACATTTGCTGAGGAGAGCTTTACTTCCAAGTATGTGGTCAATTTTGGAATAGGTGTGGTGCTGAAAAAAATGTATATTCTGTTGATTTGGGGTGGCGAGTTCTGTAGATGTCTATTAGGTCTGCTTGGTGCAGAGCTGAGTTCAATTCCTGGGTATCCTTGTTGACTTTCTGTCTCGTTGATCTGTCTAATGTTGACAGTGGGGTGTTAAAGTCTCCCATTATTAATGTGTGGGAGTCTAAGTCTCTTTGCAGGTCACTCAGGACTTGCTTTATGAATCTGGGTGCTCCTGTATTGGGTGCATATATATTTAGGATATTTAGCTCTTCTTGTTGAATTGATCCCTTTACCATTATGTAATGGCCTTCTTTGTCTCTTTTGATCTTTGTTGGTTTAAAGTCTGTTTTATCAGAAACTAGGATTGCAACCCCTGCCTTTTTTTGTTTTCCATTTGCTTGGTAGATCTTCCTCCATCCTTTTATTTTGAGCCTATGTCTGTTTCTGCACGTGAGATGGGTTTCCTGAATACAGCACACTGATGGGTCTTGACTCTTTATCCAATTTGCCAGTCTGTGTCTTTTAATTGGGGCATTTAGTCCATTTACATTTAAAGTTAATATTGTTATGTGTGAATGTGATCCTGTCATTATGATGTTAGCTGGTGATTTTGCTCGTTAGTTGATGCAGTTTCTTCCTAGTCTTGATGGTCTTTACATTGTGGCATGATTTTGCAGTGGCTGGTACCAGTTGTTCCTTTCCATGTTTAGTACTTCCTTCAGGAGCTCTTTTAGGGCAGGCCTGGTGGTGACAAAATCTCTCAGCATTTGCTTGTCTGTAAAGTATTTTATTTATCCTTCGCTTATGAAGCTTAGTTTGGCTGGATATGAAATTCTGGGTTGAAAATTCTTTTCTTTAAGAATGTTGAATATTGGCCCCCACTCTCTTCTGGCTTGTAGGGTTTCTGCCAAGAGATCCACTGTTAGTCTGATGGGCTTCCCTTTGAGGGTAACCCGACCTTTCTCTCTGGCTGCCCTTAACATTTTTTCCTTCATTTCAACTTTGGTGAATCTGACAATTATGTGTCTTAGAGTTGCTCTTCTCGAGGAGTATCTTTGTGGCGTTCTCTGTATTTCCTGAATCTGAACGTTGGCCTGCCTTGCTAGATTGGGGAAGTTCTCCTGGATAATATCCTGCAGAGTGTTTCCCAACTTGGTTCCATTCTCCCCATCACTTTCAGGTACACCAATCAGACGTAGATTTGGTCTTTTCACATAGTCCCATATTTCTTGGAGGCTTTGCTCATTTCTTTCTATTCTTTTTTCTCTAAACTTCCCTTCTCACTTCATTTCATTCATTTCATCTTCCATCGCTGATACCCTTTCTTCCAGTTGATCGCATCGGCTCCTGAGGCTTCTGCATTCTTCACGTAGTTCTCGAGCCTTGGTTTTCAGCTCCATTAGCTCCTTTAAGCACTTCTCTGTATTGGTTATTCTAGTTATACATTCTTCTAAATTTTTTTCAAAGTTTTCTACTTCTTTGCCTTTGGTTTGAATGTCCTCCCGTAGCTCAGAGTAATTTGATCATCTGAAGCCTTCTTCTCAGCTCGTCAAAGTCATTCTCCATCCAGCTTTGTTCCGTTGCTGGTGAGGAACTGCGTTCCTTTGGAGGAGGAGAGGCACTCTGCTTTTTAGAGTTTCCAGTTTTTCTGTTCTGTTTTTTCCCCATCTTTGTGGTTTTATCTACTTTTGGTCTTTGATGATGGTGATATACAGATGGGTTTTTGGTGTGGATGTCCTTTCTGTTTGTTAGTTTTCCTTCTAACAGACAGGACCCTCAGCTGCAGGTCTGTTGGAACACCCTGCAGTGTGAGGTGTCAGTGTGCCCCTGCTGGGGGGTGCCTCCCAGTTAGGCTGCTCAGGGGTCAGGGACCCACTTGAGGAGGCAGTCTGCCCGTTCTCAGATCTCCAGCTGCGTGCTGGGAGAACCACTGCTCTCTTCAAAGCTGTCAGACAGGGACATTTAAGTCTGCAGAGGTTACTGCTGTCTTTTTGTTTGTCTGTGCCCTGCCCCCAGAGGTGGAGCCTACAGAGGCAGGCAGGCCTCCTTGAGCTGTGGTGGGCTCCACCCAGTTCGAGCTTCCTGGCTGCTTTGTTTACCTACGGGAGCCTGGGCAATGGCGGGCGCCCCTCCCCCAGCCTCCCTGCCGCCTTGCAGTTTGATCTCAGACTGCTGTGCTAGCAATCAGCGAGACTCCGTGGGCGTAAGACCCTCCGAGCCAGGTGCGGGATATAATCTCGTGGTGCACCGTTTTTTCAGCCCGTCGGAAAAGCGCAGTATTCAGGTGGGAGTGATCTGATTTTCCAGGTGCCGTCCGTCACCCCTTTCTTTGACTGGGAAAGGGAACTCCCTGACCCCTTGTGCTTCCCAAGTGAGGCAATGCCTCACCCTGCTTCGGCTCGCGCAAGGTGCGTGCACCCACTGACCTGCGCCCACTGTCTGGCGCTCCCTAGTGAGATGAACCCGGTACCTCAGATGGAAATGCAGAAATCACCGTCTTCTGGCGTCGCTCACGCTGGGAGCTGTAGACCGGAGCTGTTCCTATTCGGCCATCTTGGCTCCAAAATCCAGGTATTCCAAAGTTAATTTTTTAAATACTTTGGGAAGAATCTACCAGTGTTTCCAAAGCTGTGAGTCGTGTCTACTAGTTGTTTTTTTGTTTTCCTCCAAATGTTTCAGATGACATTCACGTGAAAATATATTCTAGGAATTCTATCACTCCCAATAATTAGAGCAAAATAGAGTAAAATTGTGCAATTTCTTTTTTGTCTATACAGAATTTATGAGGTAGTCAATTATAAAAAACTCCGTTACAATAATATTGTTGATATAACAACATTATATGTTTTTCAAAATCACCCATTCCCTTTAGGAGGCCAAGGCGGGTGGATCACCTGAGGTCAGGAGTCCGAGACCAGCCTGGCCAACATGGTGAAACCCCATCTCTACTAATAATACAAAAAAATTAGCGAGCAGTGGTGGCGCATGCTTGTAATCCCAACTACTCAGAGGCTGAGGCAGGAGAATCGCTTCAACTCAGGAGGCAGAGATTGCAGTGAGCAGAGGTCACGCGGTTGTACTCCAGCCTGGACAACAAGAGTGACACTCTGTTTAAAAAAAAAAAAATCTTTGATAGGGAATTTTGAATTTGATATGTCTGGTGATTACTGAAAATCAGCAGTCATTAAAAATATTTCTAATAGATATTCTTAAGAGATTTCTAGACATTAACAAGAAGAAAGTTTTGCTATATTTTTTAAAACTAGATCCAGGATTAGAGGAGATAGTACTAGTCTCCTCTAGTGTGAAAGGTCTCAGAAGAGAATCCTGTAGTTTTTCTGCTTATTTAACTTGGCCATATTCCTCCTATGGGCTTCTCTGCTTTTCAGACCCTTTCTCATGCACTTCAGATTCTGTGACACAGCTGATAACCTCTCTAATTTGTTTCTCTCATTTACACCGATGTAGTACATTTAAGTAAACAGAAAAAGAAAGATGAAAGGGAGGAGAAAAGGATGGGGGTGGAAAAGAGGGAGGGAGGAAGGAAGAGAGGAAGGATAGAAGGAAGGAGGGAAGGAAGGAGGGAGGGAGGGAGGGAGGCAGGGAAGGAAGGAAGGAAGGAAGAGAGAGAGAGAAAAGTTGTTATTGGTTCTCTCACATATTATCCCCTCACAATATACTGAATAAAGTATTTCTGAGGTTACATATACTTCTTCAAACAATGGTGTGCTCTCATTGAAGCTAAGTTTCCTGTTCAAGAATAACCTGGGATAAAATAACCATATGATAGAATAGGACACATATTTAATAATCTGTTGTAAATTTGCTACCATGCACAATTGGTTAAATAATTTCCATAGGAACTGCAATGTTTTATTAATATAATACAGGACTAATTTTTCTTTAAAATTTATTTAACATGTTTAAAATAAGCAAGTTTTAGAGAACAGCTTTGTAATGTGAAATAAAGTTCTCATTTTTTAAGAACATTTTTCTCATATTAAGTTCTAAAATTTAAGTTTAGTGTTATAATAGATTAAGTCTTCAACCATCACAATAAATAAAGCCATTACAATAGGTAAAATAAATTTATGTAAAGAAATGATTATCTGTAGAGTCTTACTTGCTGAAGAGTTTTAATCCACTAAGTACCTCTCATAACACATTCATTAGGATAAAAGAATATGAAATTATTTCCCAGGCAATCAAAATATGGTGAGTGATTCTATTCTCTAGAATCCACTTGTATAAATTTTATTTTTTGCAGTTGAAACTTTCAACCCAACCATCTGTTAGGATAAGTAGGATAAGGTTTTAATTACTTACAGCAATGCAATTATACCATTAATGTTCAGCTAAAATTGAGCCCATTCAATTTAATTAGCAATGCAGCTGTGAGAGAAAAAGGATGGGTTCTTTCAGATAGCCAACACAAGAAGTTATAATGGCTTGCTCTCTCTCTTTTTTTTTTTTTGTAGTTCCCTGGCCTGCATAATTCCTATTCTACCTTACTATTCTTTGAATGTATGTGAGTGTATGCATACTTAATGTATGGTAGAGATATAATATGTACCGTTCCATATGTGTACATATGTACACACACATCACACACACATACAGTTTTTTTGGGAAAGCAAATCTCTTATTTGTGGCTATTACTTTATATCTGCTCCACATATGGCATGAAAATGTAACTAATTCAACTCACTGTTAAGTCATCTTATGAAAATTAATGCTTATTTTAATAAATGCATTCTCAATACAGCAACTATGCTAGTCATGGGGTAAGGGGAAGATAAAAAATAACCATACTTTGAATATATCTAATGAATATATCTAATAAATATATTATGAATATATCTAATCATCTGAAGATGCCTATAATCTATTTAGTGAAATGAGGCACTCATGTATAAAGCAGTTAAATGCAAAGGCAAGAATAATATTTTTAAAACACAGAGTAATTGAAAAAAATAAATATTGTGTGCCATATTTTGAAGGGTTAAAAATAATGTAAACTTGAGAAGAGCAAATATTACCCTGGACACTGGGCTTTTTCTAAGCTTCAAAAAAGGCTTTGGATATTGATAAGCATATAAATAAGGGAAAAGACTCTTTAGGTGAAGGAGGTGATTTAGGGAGTGGCTAGTGGATGTCCTGAAGACATAGATGAGTTCAAAGGGACATCATTGTGCTAAGTAAAATAAGCCAGACACAGAAAAATATATTGTATAATCTCACTTATATGTAAAATATATAACAACACAAAGAGCTCAGATACACAGAGAAAGAGAATGAAACAGTGGTTACCACTGGTGGAGTTGGGGAAGGAAATGGGGAGATGTAGGTCAAAGGACACAAAATTCCAGATATGTAGAATGAACAAGTTTAGAGATCTAATATACCACATAAAGTATAAAATTAATACAATTGTATTATATTAGGTATTTTTGTTAAATGGATTTTAGTCTTATACAAAATGTAGCTATGTCAAATGATAGCTATATTAATCTGCTTTCCTGTTGTAGCGGTTTTACTATCTTTATGTATCTATGAGATTATGTTGTAAACCTCAAATATAAATGAGACAATTTATTTTACAAAAGAACAATCACCTGAAAAGAATCAATAAATAATTTAATGAGACATACAATGTAGTACAGTCATCATGAGCTAAGGCTTACTGGGGGAGGAAAGTCAGTCTAACTTGTTGAGTAAGCCAAATTCCATCACAGTTTTAAGCAAATAGATGTATAAATTAAATAAAGAAAACCAGGAGCCAGGTCTTCCTGGATGAAAGGTCAGTGATGGGAAGTAATGAAGAGTACCCTGAATTAGAGAGGCTGAAACCATTCTGAGAACCATGAGAAAATGTTCTGCTTCCCTGAAGCTTTTGTAAAATAAACTCCTGAAACGTGCAGTTTATAATTCCTTTTCTTTGATCCTGCTAACACTTTTGTTTTCTAAATAGAAATATTTTTTAAATGTTAACACTCTGAGCATAAGGAAGGGATTAACAGTGTCATATCTCTGAGGTTCCTCCTATCAAATACCTCACAGTTGCTATAGCAATGTTTTTACAAGCAGAGCCATAAAGAGAGAAAACTGACATGTTTGGAGAATCGAGCAGGATTGTTAGAACTGGAGGACATAAGATAAAATGAAGAGGCAGCATAGTGATGTGCTAAGAGCATGGAGTCTGGACAGGAACTGCCTGGGTTCAAATCCCAATAATAAGTAGCTATGTCAACTGGAAACTAGTAACTTAAACTCTCTATTGATAATTCTTCTTATCTGTAAAATAAGGAATATAATAGTACCTCATAGAGTTGTTGAAATAATTATGTGAATATTTTATGTAAAACTCTGAGAACACTGGCTTACACTATAGAATTATTATGCAAGTGCCAGCTGTTATTATTACCAAAAAATCAATTTCACAACTATCATTCAACTCGTAAGTGAATCCTCAGCAGTTTTTCTAATAACTAGCAAATTGTTTAACTTTGCATGTATCAGACCTAATGAGTATCACTACCAGTATCTAATTCCCATGATAGCACTATGGCAATTATAACTTAAGTTTTACTAGTAAGTCCCATATAAGTTGAATTGTGTATTTAATTGTTATCTATATGTTATAATTTCTTGAAACATTCTGAACAAAATCTCTAATTATTTTAGGCATAGATCATAAAGTCAAATGGCCTTACGCACCAGATTCTTACCATAAATATGCAAAGCAGCAGGAATTAAAGCAATAGAGAAGGGCAGGGGCTATGGCCAAGTAAAGAGGATGTCTGTACCAACAGGCAATGAGATTTGGCTACATTAATTGTGTTTGTAGTTGAATTTGGCTATTGGAATACCAATTTATAGCCCCATTAGTGCAAAACTTATATCAAGAAATAAGAGCTTCTCTAGTATTTAGTTATCCATTATTGCTAAACTTTCCTCAAGACAAGAGGAATTGGTTTTTATATTATCCTTTTACTCTTCCATCAGGAAATAGGAACGTGTATAGAAAACTTGAAAGAAAATATTTAGCAATCTGTTTAACTCTCAATATAATATTTAATTAGAGGAAAGGAGCATAGAGGTAAACTTCTAAGAAAAGTTTGAGAATATGTAAATGCTTTTTGCATGTCACTGTTCATAAAAAGAGAGGTTTGAAGAGTGAAAGGAGTAGCTGTGCAGATGATTCTTAACTTAGAATAAATTCAGCTCTCTGATGTTGACTATATTTCAAGCAGTAGGCTTGAAATTCCGAACCGACATGTACTGGGAAATGGAAATGGAGGGTAAAGTATGTGAAAGCTCCATTTTGGCTTGATACTGTGCCAGCCTCTCTTTTGATGCCTTTTGATTTTTTATTTGTACATCTGGTGCCACTGACATTTATAAAGTGACCTCTTTCGCTTTCTTACACACACACACACACACACACAGTGCAGAGAGCTGAACAATCATACATGCAATGAACACAGTACTTTACGGTTAATGTACCATTCTTTATGAGAATATGCTAGCATAATGATAGAGGGCTGAAGGATGTAATCTATAATTAATACAAAGTGAACTGTCATGGGGGATGGGGAGGGAAATGGGCCTTTCTGCAGAAATATAAGTGCAGTCATGGAAACGGCTATAGCTCCTTGATTGTAATTATTCAACCTCACTAGGGGTCTGAAACTAGCTATTAAAGTGCTAGTGGTCCCTTGTGGAGTGGTCTCCTATCCAATTAAACTTTCACAAGTCTATTCAAAGACGTGTGGGACACCACTGTGTTCTATTAAATAGTGTCAAGCACCTGCATTTCTAATAGAACATAATGCTTTTGGTTACCTTTGGCATATAGAATTTGACCAGAGAATTTTCTTTGTCTGGTTGGAACAATTTGAATCTCTAGACATATAACATTTGTAATTAGAACAGATAAAAGTCTTCAGTTTCTGATAGTTTGCAGGACACTGCCATTCTAGTGTTTTCTCTTATGTACAAAAATAAAGCATATGCAGAAGTCAGTGAGAAACAAAGAAATGTTAAATGTTAGAAATGATTGGCAAAATAAATGCAGGGGAAGTGAAAATCAATAAGCAGAGTATTTCACTGCATATTTAAGGGTTTGTACAAATTTTGACATCTAGGAAAGGTACATGACGAAATTGCCAAAACATTCTGTGATGTCATAAGTTAAGGACTTCCATTTAAAAATTTTCAATTTGCCTTGCAAATGTTAAAATGAAAATGGCTAAGTTGTCAATGTGTGAGATGAAATGGTTCCGAGGTAACTAGTGTGCAGCATGATATACTAGAAAAGGGTTTTGACTGATACATGTGTATGTATACACACTTGTATACATTGCATGTGACAATGATAATCAAATACTTCTTGTACACCGCTTAAAGTCTTCTCAAACTTACATCTTTTTCAAAACCCCTCGTTTGTAGTCAGCAGTTCTGCCCAGGTTTTACCTAGCTTCTGATAGGTAAATTAAGTCTGTGCTTCACCTCTACCTGAGCCTCCTACTTTTCACATTCCTCTCTGAAATCTCTGACTCACAGGGATGAGATGTGAGTAGGAAAGTATTTGGCTCTAACGGAATAGATCACAGAAATATGAAGGAGTTAAATGCTTGGGGCCACACTGGACCATTGGCATTCAAAAACCAGTAAGAGTAATCAAAATGCAATTCCACTGAATCTCAACCCCTGAACAAAAGCAAAGAGGAATTTTAAATTACACCTAACTTCTGAGTTGACTGTGTTTTTTTTAAGTTATATCTTTATTTCAATGAAAGTTATAAAATACATCTCATGCTTTCATTATTTATAGTTTGTTCTTAGCTTTCCTTCAGCCACTTTTTTACCCACATCATCCTCTTCTTCCTTTGATCTAGTTTTAGAGAAGACAATATGTATATATTTCACATGTATAGGTCATTTTATCCCATGAACTCACTGCCAATATGAGGCAGAAGCCAGTATTAGTAAATTTTTACTTTCTGTGATAGTTGAATTTCTTTTTAGTAGCGCATTCAAGAGATTATTTGAATTTTAAAAATGTGCCTATCAAGGGAGAATTAGCTTTCTAATACATGACTTCCTATCCAAAAATGAAATTTTCAAAAACAGATATGTCTTGCTATGACCTTAAGCAGAGCAACTATTCAAATTCCATTCCTAATTGCTCTGCTGCACATTTCTTCCTAGTATTTTGCACTCAGACTAGTAATTTTTAGTTTTTTTCTTGGCTTATGTCAGGAAGGAACTAAAGTAAACCTTTCTTAAAATTGCATTGGCTAGTAAGGAAAACTTGGCTTTTAATAGTGTAGACATTTCATAATATAGTGTAGACAGGAAGATGTGACAGAACTATGTCTTTTCAAGAAAACACTTGAGTTTTCTGTAAACATGTCATTATGTTAAACAAAAAGGATATTAAAGAGCACCACTTAAATCTTTAATGTTATTTCCAACAATAGTTTTAATATTTATTTTTTCCTGAAAATACAGGATTTTAATAATATGTTCAATATCCCAGAGTTGAAAGTTTTAGATTGAACCAATGTTAAGTAAAATTTTCATTAATATTCTTTTTAAACCTACTACTTAGTTGGAAATAAAGATTAACAAATAAGGTAATTCATGTGAAATTGTGCTTTGTTTACATATTTAATAATTAATTCATACAATAAGCTGTGATTGATTTCTTGCTGAGATAGTATGAAAAAGTGAAAATTTTAAATGCTGAATTTTGTATGTATTATTTTACTTTCTGCTAAAATAATCTCATTTCCATTTCAAGCTTTCCTGGGAACATTTGGAGACATTGACTTGTACTAAATACTGTTCTAGTCTATTTATACTGAATCTTAGATATCATTTCATGTAGGTTGTAAATATTAATTGATTTGTCTTTTTCACAGTGAGTGTTTTCTATACATTTAGCTATCAAGCATTTGCTACTACCTACTGCTAGCCCACCTCATTTTTGAAGTGTTATTTGAGTTAGTTCCCAGAGGCTTTCAACTAGTTGGATAGTACCTGTGTAATTTTTTCATTAGCTATGCAAAATTAAAAATGTAGATAAAACCAGGATCAGATTAGTCCTCTTTTGTCTTTTTTCATCCAATGCATGTTTTCATTTTATACAAATATTTAAATTTCAAAGTATTTCTCCAGACTTAGGCTTCTTGATCCACATTTAGAAGCCTGAAAGGGGAATGAACGTCCAACACTTTTGTATCAATAGGCAGTTGGCAAATTCTAGAAAACATACTAAAGATGATAATCACAGACTGAAGAAATGATTACAATGATAAGAAGAAGCCATCTTAGGTTAAAAAATACATTTATATGGCTCAAGACTGATACAAGAAATAGATAATTATTTAAACAGAAGTGCCGAGAAGCTTTTAAAACTATAGAACTCCTGGGTCTACCCAGGAGATCCATAATTAAAATCCTGATTTATTAAGTCTGGGATGGGATAAAGATTATAGCCTAAAATTTTTCCTCGTTTAATCTTGCTGATCTAATAGGTTCCTGAACCACTGTTATTCATTAAATGCTTAACTATGTGACAAGTACCACAGGACAACCATTGGCAGGGAATGCTGCTTCCTCACTTTGATGTTTCATTCTATGGGGAGGGATTTCCCAAAACAATCCTACTCCCTTTACATTCCCCCAAGAAATGTAAAGATTCTCCTAATTGCTAGGCAAGTAGCCATTAGTTCATGGTTCTCTCGTGGATAGAATTCATCTGAAAGAGGCCCAGGGCTTGAGAAGATTTTGTCTTTTTCCTCCATCCTCCACCACAGACATCCGTAGAGTATAGCAATCAAGCTGAGAGTGTCTGTTTTACAGACATACACTTTGCATTGTTGTTGCAAGGTCTACGCTCAGAAGGTTGTTGTAAGGTCTCTACTGAAGGAGTAAAATATCGGCAAGCCAATTTTGATACTGTTTTACATTCTCCAAACATGTCTTCTTAAATTAGAAAAAATTTTCTAGCTTTAGTGAAGTATAATTGTTAAAAATCAAATATAGTCAAGGTATACATGATATGCTATACATATATATTATGAAATGATTACCACAATCAAATTAATTAATACATCCAACACCACATTTAGTTATCAATTTGCAGGTGTGTGAATGTGTGCTGAGAATACTTAAGATCTACTCTCTTAGCAAATTTCAAGTGAACAATATATTATTATTGACTATAGTCACCATGCTGTACATTTGTTGGATACAATATTCTATGAAAGAAGTTTTTATCCTTCAGCACTTTGCATATCATCCCACTCTCTTCTGGCCAATAAGGTTTCCTCTGTGAAGTTTGCTGCCAGATGTATAGAAGCTTATTTATGTGTTATTTGTTTCTTTTATCTTGCTTCTTCAAGAAGCCCTTTTTAAATCCCTGACCAATGAGAGTTTGATTAGTAAATGCTTTGAGGTAGTTGTATTTGGATTGAATCTTCCTGGTGTTCTATGACCTTTTTTACCTGAATTTTGATATCTTTCTCTAGGTTTGGAAAGTTCTCTGTTATTATTTCTTTGAATACATGTTTTACTCTGACCTCTCTCCTCTTTAAGACCAATAACTCTTAGATTTGCCTTCTTGAGGCTATTTCATAGATCCTGTAGGCCCACTTCATTCCCTTTTATTCTTTTTATTTCCTTTTTTTTTCTCCTCTGACTGTGATTTTCTTTTGCTTAATCAGTTCTGCCATTGAGAGCTTCAGTTTGTCAATTGAACTTTTCAGCTCCAGAACTTCTGCTTGATTTTTTAATTATTTCATTCTCTGTTAAATTTCTCTGATAGAATTCTGAATTGCTTCTCTATATTATCCTGAAGTTCACTGAACTTCTTCAAGACAGGTATTTAGAATTCTCTGTCTGAATTATCACATATCTTCATCACTCTGGGATTGCTCACTGGTGCCTTATTTAGTTCATTTAGTGAAGAACTATTTTTCTGGATATTGTTGGTGCTTGCAGATGTTTATCAATGTCTGGGCATTGAAGAGTTAGGCATTGATTCTAATCTTAGCAGTCTAGATTTGCTTGTACCTATCCTTCTTAAGAAGACTTTCCACACATTCAAAGGAAATTGAATGATGTGATCTAAGCCTGTAGTTGCTGCAGCCCTTTGTGACTTGCAGACTCAGAGGTACCATATTGGTGGGCTTGGGTAAGAAAAGGAAGAATTTCCTGTGTTAGAGGATGGTCTCTACCTCTCTTGCCTCTCTATTCCTTAATTCAAAGGAGTGTCTGTGCTGGACTGCCTGGAGTTGGCAGAGAGATGAGACAGGCACTTCCCAGACTGACACAGCTGGTGTCTCACTAGGTCAAATGCACCCCAAATCTACTGCTTCCCCTTGCTGGGGCTAAAAATTCCCCTCTGGTCAGGGCTCCTCTGTGGGCACTGGCAGAATCCTGCCATGTGTCATATTCTGCTGTAATAGTGCAGCACTGAGTTCCAATGTCAAGTCCCAGGATCACTTCACTCTCTCTTCCTCAAGCACACAGATTATCTTTCCATGTGGCACAGCTGGGGGATGGGGAAGAGGTGGTTTAGGAAATGCAAGACTGTCGTTTCTACCCTCTTCAATGTCTCTTTCCTTGATGTTATATTAAAACCAGGTAATGTAATTGTTCACTTGATTTTTTGCTGGTTATAAAGGTGCTTTCTTGCATGATTTTTTTTTTCTTAATTTGGTGTTTTTAAATGGAGGGACAATAGCTAGAGGGTTCTATTCAGCCATCTTGCTTCACCTCCTCCTTTTTCTCTAAGATTAGAAACAAGTCAAGAATGCCTACTCTCACCACCTAGATTGAATATGATATTGGAAGTCCTAGACAGAGCAATTAGGTGAGAAAAAGAAATAAAAGTCTTCCAAATCAGAAATAAACAAGTAATTTTGTATTTCTGTTTGCAATGGCATTATCTTATAAGTAGAAAATTCCAAAGACTCCACCAAAAATTATTTGAACTAATAAATTCAGTAAATTTGCAGGATATGAAATCAACATCTGAAAATCAGTTGTGTTTCTATACACTACAACTATCTAAAAAAAATAAGAAAACAATTCCAAAACTTCTTTGTGTGTGATGAAGGTATATTTTGTTCCTCAAGCCTGTGTCTTATTTTCCCATTGATTCAGAAATCATATGAGGAAGAGGGATACTATATATAGGTTTCACTCAAAACTCTAAAAACAAAAATAAATTATGATGACTGTTGGAACACAAAAGAGTAAAATAGTTGAATAAATTATTTGTTAATGTAAAATTCTAGTAGTGTCCACATCAGGGATTTTTTATTTTAATGAATTACAGTGGAATTAAGGTATATATTTGGATATCTAAATTAATAAAAAATCATGAAAAACAATAAATTTTTTTTGTGTTTGGAAGAAAGAGCAAGAACTAGTCAAAATAACCAGTTATATATTCTTGTTCCATTTAATCATATATTATTCTTCATATTTTTCAAAGCATATTATAATATAGATTATACAAATTTATTTTAAAAGTCCAGAGGGTCATTGTACAAAAAATACTAAAAATACCTGTGACATCACAATACATATGAAATATTTTATTCTTCCATATGAACTATTGTCCTTCATTTTGATGCATTTTTAATTAAAAAACTTTCAAATTATATTATGAGCAATCTAAGTTATATTTAAAGAGGAATTAACTGGTCACACAATCTAGACACTATTTCTACCTGTGTTGTAGATAACTGGATATCCCGTTTTCTGCCAATGCTATTAAAAATGCTTTTTGTTTTGGATTCCTTCCATCATCTTGGATTCCTCATATTATTCAACCATTAAATCACAAGTCCTATTGACCCAACCTGTGCAAATATCTCCCTAAACTAATGCAATAACTTTTTAACAGGTGTTTAAATTTCTCATCCCTTTCATTTTCTATTTAATATTTACACCATTACCAGAGTAATCTTTTGAAAGTACAAATCTCATTAAGTCCCTTTTCCATCCTTCATTTTTAACAACTTTCAATAGCTCCATACTTTTGTAGGGTAAAAAATATATATAAAAACTATATATTATATATGCATATAATATATACAATTTAAAAATACCATTCCACTTAATTTGTAATTCTCTGTCACCAGTCTGCCACCATTCTGTCTCGCTAGAGCTACTGCTTTAATTACATAAGAAAACCAACAGTTCACTGAATATGGCATGCATGTGTATGCCTCTGCTTTTGTAGATAATACCTGTCCTTCTTCTGTCTGGTAAAATCTTAACACAATTTTAAAAACCCAGCTCCAACATCACCTCCATTGAAGCCTTTTTTTTGAATATCCCCCAGATAGATCATCTCCCTCTGGAATTTCGTAGCATTCTCATCTGAGTTTCTGTCTTTAACCTATGAGGTCATGGTGGAGAGATAGTATCTGTTTTGTTTCCATAGTGATTAGAACACCAACTATAATAATAGTGTAATGAAATCTGAATTAAATAAGTTTTTCTGAATTTTATTTTCCTAGTATATACAGAAGATAATATTAGCCTCCAGATTATTGCATAGATTAAATGAAACATACATGTATAAACTTTTATTGTAGAACCTACCACATAAGTGGTATCCAGTTAGTAGTATTAAAGTTGAAATATGTGATGCTTCAAGGCATCATTACACACAAAGTTGCTAGACATGCATTTTATTCTTACAACAAATCCGAACTAGGAAGGATAAATTTGATGGCCCCTCTTTTCATTGTGCATAGCAAAATGTTTTTATCAAGTGTATAACAGAAGGCATGATAATAGGTTCTTGTTAAATGAATAAATGTTTCCATTGGTTAAAAAATAAATGCACAGGCCGGGTGCGGTGGCTCACGCCTGTAATCCCAGCACTTTGGGAGGCCGAGGCCGGTGGATCATGAGGTCAAGAGATCAAGACCATCCTGGCCAACATGGTGTAATCCCCTCTTTACTAAAAATACAAAAATTAGCTGGGCGCAGTAGCATGTGCCTGTATTCCCAGCTACTCGGGAGGCTGAGGCAGGAGAATCGCTTGAACCCGGGAGGCAGAGGTTGCAGGGGGCCGAGATTGTGCCACTGCACTCCAGCCTGGTGACAGAGAGAGATTACGTCAAAAGAAAAAAAGCTGGAGGCATCACGCTATCTGACTTCAAACTATACTACAAGGCTACAGTAACCAAAACAGCATGGTACTGGTACCAAAATAGAGATATAGATCAATGGAACAGAACAGAGCCCTCAGAAATAATGCCGTATATCTACAACTATCTGATCTTTGACAAACCTGAGAAAAACAAGCAATGGGGAAAGGATTCCCTATTTAATAAATGGTGCTGGGAAAACTGGCTAGCCATATGTAGAAAGCTGAAACTGGATCCCTTCCTTACACCTTATACAAAAATCAATTCAAGATGGATTAAAGACTTAAACGTTAGACCTAAAACCATAAAAACCCTAGAAGAAAACCTAGGCATTACCATCAGGACATAGGCATGGGCAAGGACTTCATGTCTAAAACACCAAAAGCAATGGCAACAAAAGCCAAAATTGACAAATGGGATCTAATTAAACTAAAGAGCTTCTGCACAGCAAAAGAAACTACCTTCAGAGTGAACAGGCAACCTACAAAATGGGAGAAAATTTTCACAACCTACTCATCTGACAAAGGGCTAATATCCAGAATCTACAACAAACTCAAACAAATTTACAAGAAAAAAACAACCCCATCAAAAAGTGGGCGAAGGACATGAACAGACACTTCTCAAAAGAAGACATTTATGCAGCCAAAAAACACATGAAAAAATGCTCATCATCACTGGCTATCAGAGAAATGCAAATCAAAACCACAGTGAGATACCATCTCACACCAGTTAGAATGGCAATCATTAAAAAGTCAGCAAACAACAGGTGCTGGAGAGGATGTGGAGAAATAGGGACACTTTTACACTGTTGGTGGGACTGTAAACTAGTTCAACCCTTGTGGAAGTCAGTGTGGCGATTCCTCAGGGATCTAGAACTAGAAATACCATTTGACCCAGCCATCCCATTACTGGGTATATACCCAAAGGACTATAAATCATGCTGCTATAAAGACACATGCACACGTATGTTTATTGTGGCACTATTCACAATAGCAAAGACTTGGAACCAACCCAAATGTCCAACAATGATAGACTGGATTAAGAAAATGTGGCACATATACACCATGGAATACTATGCAGCCATAAAAAATGATGAGTTCATGTCCTTTGTAGGGACATGGATGAAATTGGAAATCATCATTCTCAGTGAACTATCACAAGAACAAAAAACCAAACACCGCATATTCTCACTCATAGGTGGGAATTGAACAATGAGAACACATGGACACAGGAAGGGGAACATCACACTCTGGGGACTGTTTTGGGGTGGGGGGAGGCAGGAGGGATAGCTTTAGGAGATACACCTAATGCTAAATGACAAGTTAATGGGTGCAGCACACCAGCATGGCACATGTATACATATGTAACTAACCTGCACATTGTGCCCATGTACCCTAAAACTTAAAGTATAATAATAATAAAAATAAATAAAACATGAAATTAAAAAAAAGAAGGGAATAAACTGAGTTATGCAGTCCAGGGGATATAAATAAAAAACCTTGAGGAAAAAAGAAAATGCACAAAGAAAGAAGAATAAGAAAGACAAAGGAGACAGAAGTGATCTCAAACACTATCTTATGACTGTTTGGGTCAAAGATTAAGTTGATATTGAACATAGATCTTGGGAATCCAAGAACATTTTCTGTCTTCATGCGGTGAATTCCTAAAGAGGTTAAAATAACAGAACTTTCCATTTGGGGATGATTCCATGAAGAATACTCATACCTGCATGTAATAGAAAACCTGACCAACAGTGGAGAAGTATACCAAGGTTGTTCGAATTGCAGAATGATGGCATCAAGAGACCATAATGCTGTCACGTATGCTTGTTACCTGAAAGTCACAGTGTGGCTACTATCTATCCAGGCATCATATCTTAATTACAGGACAAAAAAGTCAAGGGATAAATGAGTCTTTGAAAATTGAATCTGTCCTTTCACATAAAGAAAGCAAGTTTTTGCAACAGCTGCAGTAAAAGTACTTACACTTCACCAAAAACTATATGACATATTCACAGAATCCTAACTTCGAAGGAGGTTGATCAACTGAGAAACTGGCTTCTCAATATGTTTTATAGAGGAAAGCAATATAAAGCGTTTTAAAAATAGATGTTAAATGTGCCAATTTACAATCTCTACTATCTCAACATTTATGTATATCATTTTCTTTGTTACACTAACCCACTCTTCAAGAGATAGAGTGTCACACTAGAGATCTAGTCACTAAATCCAAATTGCATGCCAAAAAAATAAAATCTACCCACAGCATCCGCAATATACAATAGTTGGGAAGAAGCAAGTAACTGCAATAAAAATAGCATATTTGGCAAAAGGGAGAACAAAAAACATATAGCAGTGTCTATATTATATATTAAAATCAGCATATAGTACATCAAAACTTGCTGATAGGATTAGTGAGATTCCATGCTCTACAATGAAGTAGTTTTCCTAATCAGACGTATTGAAGTCTCTCTCATTTTCTCTGTAGGAAAATCTATATTTCCTCCTTGGTGGGCAAAGAGGAGAGAGATGTCCTTCCTGCATCCTGAATGGCCACAGAAACTCTTTCTGTGTATAATTTAAGGAATACAGTCCTTATATTAGGGATTTAAAAACAGAGACTATAGCTGGCCAGGCCTAGGGTTTTATAACTTTCCACTGCCAAAAATATAGCCAATTTGCAGTCCATTTGCTTTTTATCAATTCATTTTACATTTAAGGGTACTCAAACTGATCATCTGGGCATATCCTTAAGCCTGGTAAATGTTACCTTGTAAAGACACACTCTGTAGTCTCCCCGCAATCACACCCAGCAGTCTTTCTCATAAGTCTCATTGGCCAGAATCAGATCATACAACCTCTCCTAGCTGTGAAAGAGGATAGATAACTGAGATTTTCATTTCCTGAATTACCTAGAGAGGAAAGCCAGGAAGAAAGTGGTTGTGATTGGTGTTTGTGTAGGCAACTTCTGGTGACTGCCTTATTGGAGTACAAATAGAGTTATTCTTCTTTTATTGTCTGTTTTCAAAAAAGACACCGCAATTCTCTGTATCTTTAAAGATAGCTTTTTCAGATTTGATAAATAACCCATGCCCACCATATCTTTTCCTGATTTTATAGTCTTCAATTATAATCAATATATTCTTTGAGCATGACTAATGTTAAGTTTTAAAGGGAAATAATTCTATGAATACACAATATTTTACACAGGAATTTATACACAAAAATAAGTTATACAAAGATTTTATGCATTGTAAAAAAGTCCAAAATTCTTAAGGAAATCAACAAATCTTAAAACACATAAATAGCCATTATTAGCATCAATTTAACAGGAGTCCAAGTATTTTTTCTCTATATATATTTAAAGACAGAACAATAGAAATATAAGATTACATGCAGATACTAGTTATACAGATAGATAAGTAGACAGATAAACTTTATTTATATATATATAAACACATGCACAGTACATTAACTATATACCTTATACTATATATGTGTATATATAGTATGTATATCTGTAGATGTATATCTATATGTGTGTATTCACCTGTGTATTCATATATTAGATGTACATGTATATGTATTTATATGTGTGTGTGTGTATATATATATACACATACATATACATTTATGTATATATATACACACACACACATACATATACATTTAGTTGGCAGAAATCTGGTTTTGGTAACACAATTGATTAATAAGTTGAAAAAAGTTTAACTTATATAGTGCCAAGTATAACATAAAACATGTTCTTTTTTGGGGTACTACCAGAGACTAGAAATGAAGACAGAACTAAAAATGAAGGTGTTACACATATGAAATCACACAGTGATTGTCCTAAGAGGCTTAACACTTCTCAATCAGATATTACTGGCATTTGGGGCATGAAAGACATATTCAAACAATCAAAGGCAGAAAGAATTTGCCACTAAAAACTCCTCACTAGAAAAATTTCTGAAGTACAAATTTCAGTAGGAAAGAATTTCAACTCAGAAGGAAGATATGAGACTAAAAATAATGTTAAGCAAAGTGATCACTAATTATGTGGGTTAGTTTACCTAACAATCAGATGTGTAAAAGAATAATAAACACACACACACATATAATACATATATATATAATACATATATACATATATATAATACATATATACATATATATACACATAAAAAATACATATATATATACACACACACACACACACTTAGGATCTCATTCTGCCACCCAGGCTACAGTGCAGTGACACAATCATAGATTACTGCAGCCTTGCACTCCTGGGTTCAAGCAATTCTCTTGCCTCAGCCTCCCAAGTAGCTGAGACTACAGACACAAGCCACCATGTCCAGTTATTTTTTTTTAAGCTTTTGATAGAGATGGGGTTTCCCTATGTTGTGCAGGCTGGTCTCAAACTCCTGGCTTCAAACACTCTTCCTACCTCAGCCTCCCAAAGTTCTGGGATTACAGGCTTGAGCCACTGTCCCTGGTAGGATAGTAATAAATATTTTAAACAGCTTAAAAACAAGTTGGAACAAAATACTAAAATACAATAACAGATAAGATTAGCATGAGGGCATGAGAGGAGACTGGGATTTAAAAATCTTTATATTAAGAAGTCACTGTATCAAAAAACACCTGCACACATATGTTTATTGCAGTGAAATTCACAATTGCAAAGATATGGAACCAATCTAAGTGCCATCAACCAGTAAGTGGATAAAGAAAATGTGGTATACATACATCATGGAATGCTATTCAGCGATTAAAAAAAAATGAAATAGTATCTTTTTCAGAAACTTGGATGGAGCTGAAGGCCATTATTCTAAGTGAAGTAACTCAGGAATGAAAAAACAAATATCATGTGTTCTCACTTATAAGTGGGAGCTAACCTATGGGTAAGCAAAGACATACAGAGGGTTATAATGGACTTTGGAGACTCAGAAGTGGGAGGATGGAAGTAGCGTGAGGGAAAAGAAGCTACATATTGGGTATAATGTATACTACTTGAGCACAAGTGCATTAAAATCTCAGACTTCATCACTTATACAATTTATCCATGTAACTCAAAACCACTTGTACTGCAAAAGCTGTTTAAACATAAAGATTAATTGAAAAAATCTTTATATTATTTGGGAGACACAAATATTTATTAGATTTCAGTCAAGTGTGAGTAAACATTATAGATAATCATTTTTTAGAGTACCAATAAAATACATATATTCCAAACCAGCAGAGGGAAAATGTAGGAAATGAAGAAAACTCAATCAATTCAATGGGGGGACAAAACAGAGGAAAAAGGACACAAAGAAGGCACAAAATGAATGATTTCTATTCCTCTGGATATATACCCAGTAATAGGATTGCTGGGTCAAATTGTATTTCTGTCTTTAGGTCTTTGAGAAATCCCCACATGGAATACTGTGCAGCCATAAAAATGAACAATATCAAGTCTTTTAAAGGGACATAGATGGAGCAGGAGGCCATTATTCTTAGCAAACTAACACAGGAACAGGAAACCAAATACTGCATGTTCTCACTTATATGTGGGAACTAAGTGATGAGAACACATGGACAAAAAGAGGGGAACAACACACACTGGGGCCTTTTGGAGGGCAGAGAGTTGGAGAAGGGAGAGAATCAGAAAAAATTACTAATCAAGTAACTAAGTTTAATATCTCAGTGATGAAATAATCTGTACAACAAATCCCCATGACACAAGTTTACCTATATAACAAATCTGCACTTGTACCCCTGAACTCAAAATAAAAGTTTTAAAAAATGAAGTTTTATTAGAACAAACACAAAAAAGAAAGCACAAAATAGAATAAAAGAAATAAATTCAAATATATCATAATAAATGCAAATGGACTGAGCTTACTTCTTAAAGGACCTGTCTTTTCAGAATAAATCATTATTTACAAAAGTTAGCCCTAAAACCTACAGGCATAGAAAAAGAGTACATTCACAGATCACGATGCAGACTTCAGTATCAGGGTGGTTTCAGGCTTAAATCGTGATCATATTAGAAGAGATCATTCATGGCCAGGCGCGGTAGTTTACGCCTATAATCCCAGCATTTCTGGAGGCCAAGGCGGGCAGATTGCCTGGGCTCAGGATTTCGAGACCAGCCTGGGCAACACGACGAAATCCCGTCTCTAATAAAATACAAAAAATTAGCCGGGCTTGGTGGCGGGCGCCTGTAGTCCCAGCTACTCGGGAAGCTGAGGCAGGAGAATTGCTTGAAAGTTGTTGAACCCAGAAGACGGAGCTTTCAGTGAGCTGAGATGGTGCCACTGCTCTCCAGCCTGGGCGACAGAGCGAGACTCCATCTCAAAAAAAAAAAAAAAAAAAAAAAAGGGAGAGATAATTCATTAGGAAGATTTAACAATCCTGTTTAGTTGTATTACATTGTATCGCCCACTTTGCACAATTAGCAAAGATAAAATCTAGGTGAATGAAAATGTAAAATTGTTAAACTTGTAAAAAAAATTAAAGATTCATTTAGAGATTGAGATCTAAATGATAAGAAGTAGTTTGATGTTTAATTATAATAAATTCAAAACTTTACCAAAATAAATTACAATTAATTTAGTAACACAAATGGTATATTTAGAAAAACATATATACTTGGCAAAAGATTAACATAGTAAACATATTAAGCATCAATACAATCTAGTACAAGAGGGGGCAAATTGATATAAAACCCAAATTGCTAATAAACATATGGCAATGTTTACTTTCACTATTGAGTAGGCAAATGTAAATTGCATTCATGAGATACTTTTTCACCTAACAGGCAGGCAACACCAAGTCTTACAATACCTAACATTTGTTGTTGTTGTAGTAGTTGTTGTTTGTATAAGGCATTACATGGAAATATCTAACGTGGAAAATCATTTACCACAAGTTTTAACCACTGTCACAGCATCCTGAAAATATCTTGTGTTCATCCTCCTCAGCCTGGCATTTCAATCAAAGTGGAGAATTTTACCATGCATTTTCCCTAACAGATTGTGCATATAAATGCTAAATGAAACTGGCCAAATCTTTATCTTTGGTGAATTTCTCTGCTGATACTTATGCTGCTCTATTTATTCTTTCAATCTGATTCCTCTTTATGAGATATTTCTTTCTACTTCATGACAGCTATTTTTATTTAAATACCCTTTGCTGTGGGCATTTTTCAACGATTTCTTGAAAGTCTGTATCAATCACTTGCTACGGTTGCTTCTTTGAATATAATTTTACGTTAAACTAAAAATAATAGCCAGTTGGATCCAATATAATCATCTGTCTGTGCTTCATCAGTATATCTTCCATGAAGACAGAATCTTTACTTACCAATCTGGCTTAACACACAATCTTACAATAAATATTAAAAAATAAGTCCATATATAGAGATTGTATTATAATTTATGATTTCCCAATTCCAAAAAGGAAAATGTGTAAAAATGAAACTAAATGGTTAAGTTGTATATGTACAAGATTGGCAAATTGTTGGGTTGCCAGGCTAAATAAAGAAAAATAAACCTAATCATATTTTAATTTGAATAAACAATAATTTTAGTGAAAGAATGTCCTAAATATTACATGGTATATAATTATACTAAATAAATTGTTGTTTATCTGAAATTGAAATCTAATTAGGCATCCTTATTTTGTCCTGGCAGCCCTACAAACTGGTATTCTGTATCCCAGTGTGCATCTTGCTATGTTAAATCATGTTTTAAATTTCTTTTAAAACTTTAATAAATGAATCAAACAGTCCAGGTAATCTTTGTTCATTTAGTTTACTATAAGGTCTAGATAAATGCGTCCATATCCTCATTTATAATCTAACAGTACAACCCTGCATGCTTCAAGCATGTTTTGGAAAGTGGGATTTTTCTTTACCGTATGCTTTGCTAAAAATTATGACAAACTTTCAGTTCAATTTTATAGGATTTGTTTTCCAGAGTATACATTTTCTCCTTTTATTGTCTAGTTTTATAAATTGCAATAGTTTAAAAGCATATTTTATATTATTAGATTTGGTGTCTAATTTAAAATATAACTCAGTTACTTCTATCCATAGGTGCCCCCTCCCTTTGCCTCCACACTTCTAGGAAGGAATAATAAATGCATGCATTTTTCTCATTCTAGTTCCACTGAGTTTTTACCTAACAAAAAGTAATAACAGACTTTGCAATAAATTGATGTCAGTACTTATTTTTAGTGTTTTAATTGTTGATTTTTAATAAAATTTTTAAAACAATATTTTGATGTGAATTTGGGAGAAAATCGTAGGCTCTGCTCACCATTACTTTAAGCCAATTTTACCTTAGTAAGGTAGCTTTAGACTTTCTGTGATTAAGGTTAGGAAAAATCTTTTACCCTTTTTTTCTTTAATATCAATTGTAGTTGTTGTTGAATCAATAGACTATATTTTTAGAGTAGTTTGAAGTTTACAGAAAAATTGAGTGGAAGTACATAGGGTGCCCATATGCTGTCTCACCCTCATACATGCAGGTGCCTCTATTAATACCTTCTTGCACTAGTGTGGTATGTGGTTACAACTCACAAGCTAATATCAGTAATCTACTATTAACAAAAATCTATAGTTTACATTAGGAGTCACACTTTGTGTTGAACATTCTATAGAGTTTTGACAAATTTATAAAGACATATATCTGACATTACAGTATAATACAGAACAGTTTTACTATCTAAAAATTCCCGGTGCTTCTTCTGTTCACTGCTTTCTCTCCATGAACCCTGGCAACTACTGATCTTCTTACCGTCTCCATAGATTTTCCTTTTTCCGAAATGTCATATATTTGGAATGATAAAATATGTCGTCTTTTCAGATTGGCTTCTTTCACTTAGCAACAAGCATTTTTGGTTCCTTCATGTCTTTTCATAGCTAGATAGCTCATTTCTTTTTATCATTTAATAATATTCCATTGTAAAAATGTACCACAATTTCTCTATCCATTAACCTATTGAGAAATATCTTGGTTACTTACCAGTTTAGGTAACTATGCAAAGTTGCTATAAATATTTGTGTGCCGGTTTTGTGTGAACATTCATAAGTTTTTTACAAATAATTTTGGATTTGTTTTTTCTTCTTATACTAGAATACCAAATTTAGATAAGTAACTATTATTTTCCCTGATGGTTGACATACAATTATCTCTTGTGTTAATTCTTGTTCATCTCTCAGGAAAGGTGTTAATTCAGAGGATTATGGAATCCCTTTAGGGTACTCCACAGTTACGTGGTTGATTTTGATTTCATCTCACTCTTGAAATATAATGCAATACCTTTTTATGCTGCTTTCTGTTATCACGGCAGCATGAAAAGTGTTGCTATCTTTCTTTGGGAGAGGAAAGGTGTGGAGAAGATGGTTTGTTTATAGACTTACTTGAATTATATCTCCTCTCAATAACTTTTTAATACTACCCTTACTTCAGATAGTAAATCGTTACTAAACTAAAAGCCACAAATATATGATCAAGTGTGTTTTGAAATACCATATTTAATAGATAAGGATTTATTCATTGAAGCTGTATTATTTTGTGTTTCTATGTGTTACATAAAATAGCATATCAAGAAAATTAAGTCTGAATCAGACAAGTCTTCCAATGCTAAAATATTCTAATGTTAGAATTATTCCTAATAAAGAGCTTAAAATATGAGATAATCTCCATTTTTCATATTAAAATAATTATATACTGCATTGTGGCTTTTGCAAACATAGCTGTAATTACCCCTGGCACTGTATTGCTTACTGTCTTTTTTCCCACTTATTAAAGCTATTTATTTACAACAAATGCTTGGTATGCAAACATTAGTCTGCTGTTAACAAAAGTGAAGCCCAAATTTGTAATTAGCTACAGCTGTACATGCTGCTTCCTTTATTCAAAAGTCTTCTATCATTGTGAAGCTGCTTAGCTCATTTTATTCTTTGTGGGAACCAATCTCAGATACTAGATAAAGGCTTCATTCTCCATATGCTTAGTTTAAATCAACTATTGTCTGTTTCAATTAGGATGAAGAGTGTGGTTTACAGCAATAGTTGCATGGAAGGGAGAAGGAGAAGAAGACCCTGGATAAAGTTGTGCACACATTGCACTAAATGAGTATGAATATTATACATCAGTTAATACTTTTAGCACCAATTCAGACTTCTGTGTCCAAGCTATTTATCACTAAATGCCAACTAATTAAAATCAAGTGTATCTCTTACATCATAGAATCAAAATATAACCTGATGTTTTTCAATATCAGTTAATCCTATTATGTGTAGCATTGATAGAATAGAACATAAAATAGCCTGTGCCCTGTGACCATGGGTTAGTTACTTAACCTCTCTCTAGTTTTTGTTTCTTTATGTATAAAATGGAGATAATAATAACAAATGCTTTCTCGGGATCTGGTGAGGATTATATGAGTCACTATTAATCGAACACTTAGAACTCTGCCTGATAGGTAGCAAGTGATACCGTTAGTATTAGCTATTACTATATGATCTGGTATATTTTAGGATGTAAAAGTTATTATATCAATTGTCGATGTTATTGATCAAAAGGTAAAGAAATAAAGACATCTCAATGAAGTCCATTGAGTTGATAGTTTATAAAGGGAAAAAGTTGAACAACTGAGCACATTTTTTTTTGAAATCTTTCTTTACATATGGTTGAATCCTCTAATAGAGGAAAATGTCCTACCACTATTTCTTATGATTTTGGTGTTTGTGTTACTATATTAAAATAGAAGTATATTTTTACTACCTATTGACTTGCTTCAAAGTTACAGAAAATGAATACAAAATAACTAATGTTTTACCTTCCCAATTATCACTCCAGATATGCTCTTGAAAGAAAACTACAAAATCTACTGAAGTTAGGTTATTGCTAATGGCAGTTATAATTTTCCTGACATAACTTTATTTGATATTTGATAGATAAAATGTCAAAGAAAGGAGTCAAAGTTTAGGAGAATGGAAAAATCATATCATATTTTTAAAAACTAACTCCTAAAGATTAACCTGAAAAGATCAATAGTTAGAATTTCAACTTATACATGGACTTTGTTTAGATTAAAAGATGCACTCCAGGAAATTAAGAACTCATTAAGAAAACCACTTAGAATGAATAAGATCTAGTATTTGATACTACAACAGGGTGACTACCATCAGTAACAGTAATTTATTGTATATTTTAAAACAGCTGTAAGAGTGGAACTGAGATGTTCCTAACACAAAGTCATGATAAATGCTTGAAGTGATGCATATCCCTATTAGGCTGATGTGATTATTACACATCGTATGTCTTTATCAAAGCATCATATATACCCCATAAATATATACACCTATTATGTACCCATAATAATGTTAGCAAAAGAACACTATTTTTAATCTAAATATTTCGAAAGCTCGTGGATATACAAACCTCAATAAATTCCCAGGATTTTCAGAAGAATATTAGAGGCTAACATCTAAATTAAGATAAATACCCTAAAACGTAAAGTATAATAAAAAAGATAAATAATCTGAGATTGTTATATACTTGTTTTCTTTGCTATGGGCTTCTAATTTAAAATCAAGTTATCAAGCCTGAAAAAAATTATTAGTAAAATTGTACCAATCTTATTAATAACTATTAACACTAAACCCAATATTAATTTATGGAAAGGAAATATTGATGGAAAATAGGAAAGTGGTATAACAAGTGAGTAACTGGCATATGTGATGCTTGGCATTTGTTAATTTCAAGGTAAGATGGCTGCAAGCTGTGAGTGCAGGTTCCCAAGGTGGATGGTCAGGAGGAGAGAAACAATAGACAAGATTAGAGAGAGGCGTGTCTATTTTTCACAGGTCAAAGCCCAACATAGTAGTGAAAATGTCTGTGGTTCTGAACTTTAGTTTACTAATTATGTTTTCAGAAAGCTCCAACTCCAAGCAGCAGTCATGGATGATAGTCAAATACAAAAGTAGATTGCATCAGGCACCTATAATTTAGATTTTTGGCAGGTAGCAAATGTTTGATACCTATTCAGTGGCGATTTCATTTGAAAAGTTCATTGACTTCTGCAATCTTCTTTAGAAATCTAAATTCAGTTCAACAGTTGGCAGTTGGAATTTGGTTTGCCACCATGTGACACAAAAGCCACTATCACTACTGACAACATGAACAGAGAATACTCCTGTAATTATCTTATCTCAGAATCTCAAGTTTTGTGAGACTAGTTTGAGGGTTTGATATTCACATCTGAACTATAATTCACAGCTTTTAATTGGAAATGATCAGAACTCAAGGCACTAAAGGAAAACATGAGTCTAGGACTCTGGTAACCTTACAAGCTTCTAAACATTTTGTTCTTCAAAGCTCCTGTTACCTCTCCACTGATGGGCGAGTGGACTGATAATTGTGACAAAGTTGCCAGAGCTTCCACAGCCTGCTGATTTTTTGTTTCTCTGACTATAACTCTTTCCTGTTGTATACTTTGATCATCACATTGGATTTCCTGATTGAATCATGCCTGAACTTGCTTCCAGCTCTCTGGACTCTTTTCCATGGGCCAACCAACTGCTTTGGTTCTACACCAAATGGATAATTGGATGGCATCTATTTCGGCTTTTCATGTCTTTCTGCATTTTATACTCTTAAGAGTCCAGATGTTTTTTTGTGTCCTTGCCTTTGCAAGTCAGGGCAGTCAGAACTGTGTGTAGTGTAGAAACACTGTAACTGCCCAAAGTAGTAATATCATGGCTTTATTATTGCCATCAGTAATTTTTAATCACATTCTTGCACCCTGAGTTTAAAAAGATCTCTACAACATCTGTCAATAAACTGGTTTTCATTTACTTAGCTATATATGTGATTATTCATTTTTATTCCTACTGTTTGTATTAATTTTTTATGTGCTCACCAATTGTTTTTAAGAAGTCTTAAAAGGCAGCTTATATGTGGTTTGTTCTTACCATAAAATAATTCTTTCTATTTTTCCACAATATGAGTGCTATCATTTTATAAGAGAGCTACAAATAATAACAAAATAAAAAATAGTTAAAAGCTCTAGTATGATGGCTATACTTATGCTTAAATCTTCATACTTTTTATCAATATCAGATGGTGACCTAGAACTTGATTAAAATATTTATTTTCTGCTCAAGAAAATAAAATCAGTCTCTGTGTCACAAGATTATTTTTCTAAAGAGTAAATTAAAGAACTGATTGATATTAGAGTAAGTTGCAGGATAGCTTCTCCAAAATAGTCTACCCACATGTTTACTTACCAAGAAGGATTTTGGTGGTATATACCTGATCATGGTGCACTGACATCAAAAAGTTGAAGAACCAGAATCAAGGCCCACCACAACTATAGAAAGATAGACAGTGCATGGTGATTCACACATGTAGTCCCAGCTATTCAGAAGTCTGACACAGGAGGATCTCTTGAGTCCAGGAAGTCAAGGCTGCAGTGAGTCATGATTTCACCACTGCACTCCAGTCTGGGCAACAGAGCAAGACTCTATTTCCAAAAAAAAAAAAAAGAACAGAAAAAGGTAAGAAAACTTAGAAGTCAAAAACATTAAATCACAACTCACACAGACAGAAGCCCAGGTAAAAGCCTGTGGCATACCTCAGATGTTCTAAATGTATCAGGCCTTTAAGGACATCATATGCAAGACAGGATAACGTAACATTTACTTATTTCTTCCCACTTTTAATCTACTGAAGATAAAGGTGACTTAAAGCTGCTGAAAATAACATTTGTGGCTCCAAATACAATTCCTATCACAATGCCTAAAAATCTAATCAATCATTTTTGTTAGAAAACATTTAGCAAATGTTCATCAGTCTTTAATACTAGTCACTTTTCTACAATTTTACCCTTCCTATATTCGCTTTTTCCCTTTGAATCCTAGTTCTTGTCATCCCACCTAGCCTTTGGTTTCTGAAGCTCTTATTCTGCATCTACCTGATTAAAATAAATTCAGGGGAAAAGTACCAGTAATTTTGTATTAGCTCAAAATAAGTCCTCCTGTTTCTCTATAGGATCTCAATGATGCGTGCTCATATTATTTTCTAACTCCCCACAACAGCCTTACCAGTGTCCTCTACTCTTTACACCATATCTCAGCATTCTCCTTCACAGAAAAATATAAACTACCAGGCCGGAAATCCTTCAGCTTCTTAATTTCCGTTTGCTGAAAACAAATTAGAAACTGCTCTTATATTTATGTCCTTATAGTATCTATGACAAATTTATCCTCTTGTTCTAGGAATTTAATTTTCTCCCATCTTCATTTATCTTATGTCTCTACTGAATTGCTAACATGTCACTCTCTCCTACAATGGTTCTCAAACTTGGCTTTACATTGAAATCACGTGGAGAGCTTAAAAGAGTATTTATGGCTGGGTTTCAAATATAAAGATTCTTATGTAATTGATGTGAGGTGTGGCCTGGGCATTAGGACTTTTTAAAGCTCCTCAGGGGATTTTTATGTGCAACTAGGGTTTAAAGTCACCACTTTCCTAGCTCATTTTCTCAAAATACAAAGCATTAAAAATTATTTCTATATTTATAATTGTAAAAGACACTTCAAATCTGTGAGAATTTAAGCATCAAAATAAACAATACTAACAGTTCATAATAAAATTAATAAATAGAAATTTACAAGTTCGTGTTGATGAAAGAAAAAAAGAAAGAAAAATGAAGAAAGAAAGAAGAAAGAAGGAAAGAAAGAAGAAAGAAAGAAAGAAAGAAAGAAAGAAAGAAAGAAAGAAAGAAAGAAAGAAAGAAAGAAATTTTAGGTTTTCCTTATAATGGAATGAGAGCTAAAAAACTGAGAAAGTTGTCATTAGAAAAACACTATTCAACAACCATTGCAGTAATTATTAATTCAAGAAATAAACTCCAATGGATGTTAAAACTAGTGGGTGAAAGTTGGATGAGATACAGAATTTTCTGTATAATATAAAAGTTCCTCCCCACAAAATGATTATTAGTTTAACATGAGACAAAAGTGAGTCAAAAGAGTAACAAGTGATTTTGCAGTTCTAAAATCAAATGATCAAAGTTTAAATCACCAGTAACAGAGGAAATTAGTATCATGTATCATTCAATAGGAGCCAATGAGGGAAAAACAGAATTACTTCAGTGATATTCCAGCCAGAACAGTATTGCCTCAGCCTAGTCATGAAGAAACATGGGACAAACCAACATGAGGGACATTCTTTAAAAAAATCCCTGGGCTAGAATCTTCAGAAATATCAAAGTAATAAAATTCAAGACTGTGGGACTTTTATATTGAAGAAGGGATTACAAGACAACTGGGTATAATATTAGATCCAGAAATGGATCTTTTAGCTATCAAGATTATTTGGGATAATTCCTGGAACTTACATAAGATAATTAAATAAAAATTACAGGAGAATTCTTTGAAATTTCTTGCAACTTTTTAAGTTTAAAAATGTGTCAAAATAAAAAGACAGCAAAACAAAAACACTGACCCTAAAACTCTTCAGAATATGACCCTAACACTGCAACAGTTGTTTGCTTGTGTTTACTTTCAAAAAAATCAACTGTTCTTAATATTGTTTTATCTCCTTTCATTCTGTACAGCCTATCTTCAAAGAATACAATTCATTTGCTTTCTTCATTCATCTTTCCTTCATTCTTCAACTGTATGTATTTGAATTCTGACTTTAATATTGCACTAAAACTATTTCTATAACTGTCATCCCTGACCCCCTTTTTTGCCACATTCAATAAAACTATTTTTTGTTGTTTTTGATATCATTTGTCTTCCTTCTGAATGTTGTAGTCTAACTTTCTCCTGATTCTGTCTCTACCTAATACCTATCCTTCTAACTATATCCTTCTCACTACTCTAGACATCCATTTATTCACTAAATATTTAATGAGTTTATTTCATCACAAGGTACTTTCTAGGAGCAGGAAATCCAGTGGTGAACAAAATAGAGCAAGTCCTTATTCTCCTAAAGGTTGCATTCAAGTGTGAGAAAACAGACAACAAAGAAGTAACAGATAAACAAGATACTTTCAGGAAGCATGAAACAATATCATAATAAGACAACATAGTTTGACAGAATGACTAGGAGAAAAGACTGTGAGGTAGGGATTGCATTAGATAGGTAGATCAGAAAAAAACTTTTTGACAAGCTTCTGTTTGAGTATAAAATTGTAATGTGAAGTCTAGTAGAAGGCATTCCTGGAAAAACAAGCAATAAATGCAAATGCCCAGAATGTTGAGTGAGCTTTGATGTGTTTGTACAGGAGAAAGAATGGTGAGACTGAAGCAGAGTGATCAAGAAGTAGCATTGTGATAGCGAGGTTACATAGCGAGTTTGGATTTTATGTCCAATACAACAGAAAGCTACTGAAGTGTCCTAATCAAAGCTCATGGGGTTTTCTGATTTATATTTAAAGGTAAAACAAGTGCTTTCTTTTCTCCATATTCCTTTTGAAGGTACGTCTAACACTACAATTATTTTGTTATTGTTGGTATTTCCTGATAATTCCATCTTAATCTCTCCACTTTTCTTAAAGTACACATACTCCTTTGATAAATCATTCCCATAATCTTATCTAACACCTAAATACACTGATAACTCTTCAGAATCTCTTTTGAGCTCTAAACCCATTGTCTAGTAGTCACTATACGTATGCATAGACTCTGCTCACCATCTTTTCCTTTAGACCAGCTCTCCCTCCTACATTCCCTGATTTACTGAAAGACACCGCCATCCCCTTAGAAACCTTGTAGATAGCCTTGGTTACTCTAGGTACCCAATAAATAACCAACTCAAATGAAATTTTCTCATTGGAATCACTTTCACGCATCTTTTTTCTCACACCTCAGTGTAATACCATTGGTTTTGGCTCTCTCTTCATCATCACTTAACTGATCTACTGCAAATGCCTACTGCAAATCTCAGCTGTGCCACACTCATTTTGCTTATGCTGCCAGAATGAATGTTCATGAAAATGCATTTGTTCAGGGGGAGCTTATGCTGAAGACAGACACATTGAATTGGGGCAACGCCTTTCAATATGCCTCCATTAACAAGATGTTTAATATAGTAATAGTAACAATAATTGCAATGATGATGATAATGATGTTGATTATGATGATGATTGATGATGACTTACTGAGTGCTTGCTACAGGATAGACCCTTATCTAAAAGCTCATATATATTAATTCATTTGATCCTCATGTTGACCATAAGGCATAGATTCTATCATTGTGTCTGTGTTACAGATGAGGTAACTAACGCACAGAAAGACTGAGTAACTCATCCAAAGGTGTATGACCAGAGAGGGGCAGAAGTAGGACTTAAAATAACCTGACTCCAGATTCAGTGCTGACTACATTGAAACCTAGTATAACATGTAAGATTCTGCATGGTTTTCCCTTTCAAAACTTCTCCAGCTCTCATTCCTCGCATATCTTTCTCATATTATACTGTTAGGTAATATTTAATATTTTACAATTCTCAGGACAACATTATATTCTCATTATCCATGCCTTTTTTATGTATGCCCTTTGTACTCTTTAACAGCTGTCAAAGTCTATTTTGTCTACGTCCTGGAAAGCTACATGTCTATTTATATCTATATATATGTAAGCTACATATTTAAGATATATATATACACACACACACACACACACACCACATATATATATGGTGGGTGGGTGCATGGGTGTGGGTGTGGGTGTGGGTGTTAGAGAGACAGACAGACAGGTTCTGGTTCTGTTGCACAACTGAAAGGCAGTGGCCCGATATCCCAGCCCACGGCAATTTCCCACCCCCGGGCTCAAGCCACCCTCCCACCTCAGCGTCTTAAGTAGCTGAGACCACAGGCACGTGCCACCATGTCACACAGCCAATCTTTATGTTCTTTTGGTAGAGCTGGGGCTTTGCCATGCTCAAGTGATGGCCCACCTCAGCCTCCCTGAGTGCCAAAATCACAGGCTTCTGACTTAAAAAAAAAAAAATAGAGATGGAATCTCACTATGTTGCCCAGACTGGTCTCAAACTCCTGGCCCCAAGCCACACTCCCACCTTGGCCTCCCAAAGTGCTGGGACCATATGCATGGGCCACCACGCCCAGCCAGAAGCTAGCTATCTAAATGAACTTGGTCTCTTTATAAAATCCTGTAGCGAATTCGTAGAATTTTGTGTTACCTTATTCTTTTTTTTTTTTTTTTTTTTGATGGAGTTTCACTCTTGTTGCCCAGGCTGGAGTGCAATGGCGCAATCTCGGCTCATGGCAACCTTTGCCTCCCAGGTTCAAGCAATTCTCCTGCCTCAGTCTCCCAAGTAGCTGGGATTATAGGCATGCTCCACCAGGCTCGGCTAATTTTGTATTTTTAGTGGAGACAGGGTTTCTCCATGTTGGTCAGGCTGGTCTCGATCTCCTGACCACAGGTGATCCACCCACCTCAGCCTCCCAAAGTGCTGGGATTACAGGCATGTGCCACTGCGCCTGGCCACCTTATTTATTTTTAATCTTCCTCTAATTAACACACCTGAACTCCTTTTAAAACGCTTAAATTATCTCTCTGTGCTTTGAATTAAACGTAAATTTGCCACCATATTTTCTCAAATACTTTGTAAGGGCTTCGCTATAACTCGTTCCATTCACAGTGGCATAATTTAGAATAATACACCAATTTTTAACGAATGAATGAATGCATGCCATCACCAAACACTGCTATCTCATTTCAACTCAGTTTTCTAGCAGGCAAGTTGGTCTTTCAATATGGGTACATAAAATATTTTCAAAAATAAAAGAGAAGAATGAGGAAGTCACTGAGCATAGGGAAACTACCCAGTTTTTGATACATAGGTCAAGGTGATAATTACATATCTAGAGGGTAGCATTAGGACACTGTGTATTTGGGGATAGGGAGGAAGTTCAGAATGATATGAAAGAGAAAAGGGATACATGAAAACTTAGGTGTTAGGAGACAATGATGCAAATTTTATAGTTTTGTCTGGTGGGAGTAAATGCACTCAACTTTCCAAGAACTTAAAAACCATCTTTTGGTTTTGTAATAATAACTACCTTTCCTACAAAATGAAACCAACTAGGCACAGCCATCTCACCACACTAAACTGTTCTTTTTGTACAACTACTCTGTCAATATTCAATGATAACCAGAAAAAGAAGTCAATTATTTTTGACAAGTTGAAATTTGGTGATTAAACTAATGATTTATTTTACATTTAAATATATTGACCAGGGAGATAGAGAGCTATATAAAGAGGAATAGAGAGCTATATAAAAGAGGACTAGTGGCTCTCTTGGGAATAAAGCATTTAAAAAAGAATATAGGTGCTGGGAAAGAAGACTCAAGAATCTGAAAATCCACCTAAAATGAAAGTTTAAATATTTAGAGAACGTTGGTAGTTGGAAAGCTATTCAGTAGTCCAAGTATTTTAGCCTAAAAATGTGGAAAATAAAAAGCTGTTTACAAGTTTTTGCTGGTTTGTTATATAAAATGTGTTGTGCCTGTGATATCTAAATTTAAAGTAACATGATTTAAACTGCACTATGTGATGAAGAGTCCTCTGAGGTCACTAAAGCTTTGATTTTCCAGTTAGCTTATTTTATAGCTAGTGCTATGGAAGCCATCAAGTCCATAACGAGATAGATCAATCAGATTGTTTTTATTGGTCTACTGCGTACCATAGACTATACACAGCAGTACTCATTGAATCAGACTGCTTGGGAACAGCAGCTTTAACCTTGAGACTTGAACAGAGAAAATAACAGCTTCAAAATTAAATCTCCATGAATTATATATATTCTTATATAAAATTGAATTTTTAAACAGTGTCAATTGAAATCCATTGGTAACGAACCAAGTGCAGTTATTTCAAAGAGGAATCATGGTCTAAACACCACATTGTTACTGATTTAAAATGGCTTACTTCAAAGCCCTATATTCAAACATGAGGCTTTTCAAGTGATTCCAAGAAACCATATTTTTTAAATAGCTTAAGCAATACTCTAAAGATAAAGTGAAAAGGAATAAGTGACCTTCAAAAGTTGCTTGCAGGGCCCTTGATGGTTTTATTGTTTTATATTTGCTTATCTGTCTTTCACAAAAATCTGAGGTAAATAAAAGAGGTAACACAAGCCAATCATATAGTACAGTAAATGACATACTCATGGCACTCAATAAATGTTTATTACCATCCCCAGATTTTATAAATGTCTCAAATATTAGTGTAAAAATACACAAATTACCTGACGTCCTGATTTCCTATGTCCAAGTCAGTTTTATCAGTGTTCAGATTCCTCCAAAAAAAAATTAAGGACATGATGTGATTTTACTGGTAATAAGGGAAAACTGGTATAATTGGTGCTGGAATCACTAACTAGGAATAGTTTACCCTTAAGGATGTGGACAGTTCACATTACATTATCCAAATAAGTATATAACCACAGGTAGAATTTGTACCCCAAAGGTCTCTGCCGTGGAGTGGGGACATGGAAGAATCTCTGCAAAGTGATGATGAAGAGGGATTGCTTCAGTTTTTAGGAGTTCTTCATAGTTGAAGTAGATACACACCAAAACCTGGCCACATTTTAAGAAAAATAATTCTGTAACTGTAAGTCAGACAGTAGGGACTTGGCTGGTGGTCAGTGTCTCAGAGAAGTGACTGAAGTTTATAGCATGATGCTCCTCTTAGCAGGAAACTGGACACAAATCCAGAACTAGAAAACAAGTACTTGGCTCCAAGGAGCCCACCTGGAACTTCCAAAATGAACTCAATGCATACAAATGGTGTACGAGACTCCATATTCTGTATAAATTTGATTTACATTGATCCAGACACTGGGTAGCCTGAGATTTCAAAATGCAGATCTTCAACACCTACAACTGAACAAGGCTGAGGTGACTAGAGGGCTACCATACAGTTGTTGCCCAGGACACTATAAAGCATTGGTATTTTCCTGTCCCATCTGATACCATGCAGCAGGCACCACATTCAGAACTAATCATTTCTTATAATAACTTTCAGATTCCACCAAGTCTTATCCCTCAGCATCTATCAGTAAGAGTTTGTCTAAGAAATATTCTCAAAATATTTAAGAACCATTAACATATGACTTCTAAATTTTTGATGACTAGATTTACAAAGGAGCATAAAGTGGTATTTATCTTGGAGATGAAATAAAATTTCTCTGGCCTATCTTGCTTTTATTCTTCTCTGCCATAGATTATAAATGCCAAAAATGCAGAGCCAAGTCTGTTATATTTACCAGTATATGCTCATGCAATATTTATGAAATGGTAAATGCATAAAGGGACAGATAAATATTGCTACTGCTGAATTTGAAAAAAAAAAACTTGCTCTTATCTTCTTAAATTTTCTGGGACAACTTTTGGCAACTTTTTTTCTAGCAGTATTTTTAGAATGGCCCTTAATAACTTAACATCAACTTGTCGTTCCAGTGTTTTCCTTTATACTAATGTTTCATTTGTACTTTTTGGTATTTGATGAAAATATTTCATATTCTTCTCATGATCTTCTTACATTAAAGCTAGCCCTAAATAAATACTTGTTGAGGAAATTTCATGCATGCTATTTATGATGCAAAGCAAGGTATCAAATTAACTTTCTCAGCCTCCCCTTCTACTGAGATTTAACTGGACTAGGAATAGGGTCTTGAATTAATCTATGCCTGTCTCAAAGCCTAACTCAGTATCTTCTACATGGCAAATGTTCAAAAGATATTTCTGGATTAAGACAAGTGGTAAAAAGCACTAGTGTCACTAGATATTAGTGAAAAATAATCACAGTAATTTATAATTGGATCAAACATAAATCTGTGGCTTTATTCAATACAACTGACCTATTGACTGAGATATGGAGGCATCCAGGTATTGAAAAAAACCCAACAGCTGTAGGCAAAACATATGGTTGAAGTCAAAGAGTCGTGGTTTCCAAGAGCCACTACTTAGGCATTTTTCTTCAAAATTCTCTGAGTCCATGACAGTACATCAGTGAGGCTGTTAGACATATTAATAGAGCTGCAGCATTTAAGAAAGTAAATGTGACAGTGTCAATTTAAACCTATCTCTGAGCAAAACTTGGGGATAAAAGAGTGGTATACTTAACAAAGTTTCACATTTAAGGAAAAGCACCCCAAAATGCAAAAAATGTGCTATTGGATATAACTAAGTTTTGTAAGAGCCACTTTTCCAAAGAAACTTATATAGATTTCATGATGGAAGAAAATGGTCCATAGATTCACTGTAAATCAGACATCATTCCTCTGTGCCCTCTTTGCCCTCATACATGAGGTTATACATTTTGTGACAGACAATAGAACTCAAAAGAGCTACTGCTCATCAGAACAAGACACCCTAATGGGAAGAGTGTCCTCTATTATCTTCACAATGTATGGAAAGGTGCTGCAATGGAATGACTCATTCAACTGATGTTCTCAGTGACTCCTGAGTTTAATACCATTCGAGAAACATTTATTGATTGTCTACCATACAGCATACACTGAAGCAGCTGTGTATAACAGCATTGTAAGCATACATGGTTTTGCAAATATTTACTTTGACTTTAATCCATGCCTCAACACTTACTTACTACATGACCTCCTTTAATAATAATAATGCGGGCCAGGTGCAGTGGCTCACGCCTGTAATCCCAGCACTTTGGGAGGCCAAGAGGGGCGGTTCACCTTAGGTCAGGAGTTTGAGACCAGCCTGGCCAACATGGTGAAATCCCATCTCTACTAAAGATACAAAAAATTAGCTGGGCGTGGTGGCAGGCGCCTGTAATCCCAGCTACTCAGGAGGCTGAGGCAGGAGAATAGCTTGAAACCAGGAGGCGGAGCTTGCAGCGAGCCAAATCGCGCCATTGCACTACAACCTGGGCAACAGCACGAAACTCTGTCTCAAAATAATAATAATAATAAAATAATAATAATGCAACATTTGAAGGGTTACCAATTGTCCGACACTATGCTAAGTCATTTAATCCTCATAACAAACTATTTAGATAAATACTGTGATTATTATCCCCTTATACAAATGAGGAAACTGCAGCCTAAACTGGTAAACTGTTTTTCCCAGTTTCCTCATCTGAAAAACTCCTTCCTTTCAGCATTATTATGAGAATTTAAAATAATGTAGTTTTAACATCAGGAATAAGGTATAGAAAGCATTGAGGATAGTAGTCATTCGTTAAATAATCTCTATTATAACTCAGTATTACTATATTTCTCATTGATTTCATCTTCCTTGATATTTTACATGTTTAATGGTTTAAACTATATAATTTAAAATTTACTCACATACTCTCCTGTCATATTTGCTAACGATTTTTACACACTCTAGCCTACTTTCCCTAAACAGTTAATTGATACATTTAAAGGTAAAAACTATAATTTATATAGCTCATATTCCACTTACAATGGCCACTTTCAATTGAACATACCTTCATTTTATTTCTCTCTTTCCTCCTGACTGATTGCTGAGTACCCACTCCTTCCACTGTACCAATAATAATCCATTATGCCTAAATCTTAGGCATATAACTTTTTACTAACTACTATTTACTGCTGTTTTCCACAAGTACCATAGTAAAATGAAAAAATTTAAGTGTGCCAAGTGTTAAAATATTTCTGAAGACCTGTATTCCTAAGCTAAGCAGAGGCTGGCTGAGTTGGGTGTCATACAGTCTAGTGGTTTTGAGAAATACATTATTGCTTAATCAAAAATAAGACAATTATGACTTAATTTATCTTTAGGAATTGCCTGAATAAAGTTCTGATTCTCAGAAAGATGAGGCCGAAATAAAAAACTTACAATTTAACATTCTAGAACATTTAGAAGACACTTGGAAACTGAGAACAAAGGATAACTGCTCTAAGTAAATCATACACTTTTATAACATCTTTAATATCTTCCTAAATTACTCGCACAATGAATGCAACTCTCTGGAATGGGCTGTTTCCTCAATGCTTTTAAAAATTCATATTGATTTTAATCACTGAATATACTATACATACAAATAAAGAGTTGTTTCTGAAGGGAAAACTTATTTCCCATTCCTTTTGTTTCCAGGAGAAGGAAATTTTAATTGGGACTTCCCCAGAGTACATGGCCAGCTTCTTTTGCCTCAGGCTTTAATCAGTCCAGCAGGAGGTTTGAGGTATGCTTGGAGGGTGACAGTATTGGTCCCCATATTCCACTGGTGGGCATAATGACGGTTAGCATTGGAAATTCCATCTGTTTTTCCTTCCACCCCAGAAAAGTGTGGGTCACAGTTAAGTATGACTATTCCGTAGACTTAACTTTTCCACTCCAATGACTGCCTTTAGGTCTAAATTTGTGGAACAGGAAGAACCTGAAAACTCATTTGGCCCTCAGACCTGAATCAAGTTCACTAAAAGCAAATTTGGTAATGCAAATCCATTTGGTCTCCATCTGCCTAACTCCTACTCCTGTTAAGTGGTTCTAAACCCCAGATGGGTAAAAAGTGGGGCTAGGTATTCAATCCCTAATCTCCACCCTTCACCCTTAAAATCCACATCTAAATAAAATACTTCTTTATTTTCACATTTGCGGCTTTAAAAACTTTATTTCAAATGCTTATATTTTTACTTTAATAGCTGCCATATAATAAATGTAACTGAGTCTTTCATTGGCTTATTTAGAATCTTTCATGTGTCTTAGTGTACTACTAAATTACTTCAGTGAATGTACCTGCTAAAGTTCCTGATTCATAGCTGGTGTTTAATAAATCCAATTGACCTTATTGCACTCTAGATAAAAAACACATAGTTTTTAGGCCACGAAAAAGTTCTTTTTAAAATAGCTACTTAATCAAGTTCTGTTTGACTATCACATCTTTGTTTTGTTCTCATAATGTTTAGGTAGCATGGAAAACTTCTTTAATCTATTGACGTGCTTTATAACCCTTAGTTATTTTGTGTGAATCATGGTTAGCTGTAAGGTATAGTTCTAAACAACATGTGTCAATTATTTTAACAGAAAGACCCTCTGATAGCCTTTCATTTGCTTTCTTCAAACCTCACGTACACATTTCTGTCCTTTTTAAGTTCTCATCCCAGATTTCTAGTTTGAATTTCTGTAGTTCTAAAATTAGAAAGCTTAGAATTACAATATAAGGCCCCTTGCATCTAGGCTTCTGAATTCTAATTACTTCTCACCAACTAGACTACTGAACACAAGATCTGGAAGGTAGAAATAAGTTGAGAACTAGCTTCCTGCCACTTTGTCTACTGCTTCTATCAAAGCAGTTCATGATGCTCATACACTGTTGGTGGGAATGCAAATTGGTTCAGCCATTGTGGAAAGCAGTTTGGAGATTTCTCAAAGAACCTAGAACTACCATTCAACCCTGCTATCCCATTAGTGGATATATATCCAAAAGAAAAATTGTTCTATCAAAAAGACACATGCACTGGTATTTTCATCACAGCACTATTCACAATAGCAAAGACATGGAATCAGCCTAGGTGCCCATCAAATGTGGATTGGATTTTTTTAAATGTGGTACTTATACACCATGGAATAGTACACAGCCATAAAAAAGAATGAAATCATGTATTTTGTAGCAACATGGATGCAGCTGGAGGCCATAATCTTAAGCAAACTAATTCAGGAGCAGCTAACCAAATACCACATGTTCTCACTTATAAGTAGAAGCTAAACATTGGGTGCTCAGGGACATAATGATGGCAGCAATAAACACTGGGTTCCACTAGGAGTAAGAGGGATGGAAGTGAGTAAGGGTAGAAAAATTGCCTGTTGGGTAGTATGCTTACTACCTGGGTGATGCAATCAGTCATATCCTAAACCTCAGCAGCATTGCACAATATACCCCTGTAACAAATCTGCACAGGTGTCCCCTGAATCTAAAAGTTGAAAGTATTAAATAAATAAATAATACATTTGCAAAATTCATGGAGATGTTTATTTCTATTGCAATGTTCCAGTCTTCAGTTTCATAAGTAATGAGAAGCACGTTTATGGCAGTGATGATGACAGAATTCAGCCTTCTACTGAATAATCAGTGGTTATGTGAGTGTCAAGGGGGAGTTGCAGCAGTGGTGATGTTAACTATTAGCTGGATTGTAGTTGCAGAAGCATGTTCTTGAACTTATCAGTCCTGACCTCAGATTTCATCTTCTTCTGGTAGATGTAGCATACATCTCTGAGTGTTATTAGAGGACCAGACTAGAGCCTCATCGTACTCCTTCAGTTACTTCATAATCATCCAGCTCTTTATATTAAATGTTTTTCTGTTTAAAATGGCAGCAATGTTTTTTATTTTTTGAAATGGTCCCTGACAGCAACAGATCTTCTCGTGTTTAATTATTGAGTCTGTGCTGATTACACAGAATTAAGGATATAGTTTCTAAAGTACTTCCATTTTTATATATTTTAGCATTATTCTGAAAGGCCTGGAAAAAAACTATTTTTTATTCGATTTGAAAGTGAAGTGACATAGGTGGGTCGCTATAGCAAGAAATTACCCTGTATTTTTCCATCTCTATCATCACAGGCATCTCACAGAATTAGAAGTCGGACATTATTGATGGATATATTAGTCATGAATAATTAAAATACATTAAATATAAAATGGTCAGATACGGGCAGATTTTACATAACTGTCTTCAATGTTCTAAATGTGAATAATATTGAATGAATGCCATTAAATATACAGTCCATCAATATTTTTCAATGGTTACAGGAACCTAAAGAGTCATTCAATTTTCATTAATAGAAGAAATTTATTAAAATGGGAATCATGGAAAGGTTGGTTAGCTTTGGAAAGGATAAGAAGCTAACCTTTACAAAAGGGAATGCTATTTTTTTTCTGGCAGCTAGGTTTTCTGGGCCATTTCCAGATATACTGACAACAACAGATGTCAGCTGCAAAAAAAAAAAAAAAAGAAAAGAAAATCAAACCAAAGTAATATTTTTTTTTTTTTTTGAGACAGAGTCTCACTCTGTTGCCCAGGCTGGAGTGCAGTGGCACGATCTCAGCTCACTGCAACATCTACCTCCTAAGTTCAAGCGATTCTCCTGCCTCAACTTCCTGAGTAGTTGGGATTACAGGTGTCGGCCAACACACCCAGCTAATTTTTGTATTTTTAGTAGAGACAGGGTTTCACCATGTTGGTCAGCCTGGTCTCGAACTCCTGACCTCGTGATCCACTCACCTCGGCCTCCCAAAGTGTTGGGATTACAGGCATGAGCCACCGTGCCCAGCCTGGAATTTTTAAAGTCAGAGCAAAAAGCAAAACAAGGCAATAGATAATAAAAACTATGTGCTCAACTAGACAATAGTCATTAAACGTGTGAAGGGGTGATACCATTAGTTGACACATAAAATGAGTCTTTCTACTTAAAAACTTTAAGTTAAGATTTTATAATTTTGATTAAACCTAAACTATATCTAGACAGTGGCAAAAATGCAGAATAGGTTGAAAGCCAAGGTTGAATTTTATTGGGAAATCAAGAGACCATAAAGTAAAAGGCAGAAACAGTGTAAACCAGATACATTAGTGATTTGCAGCATTAAGGGAAGTTTATTCATCAAGCTTTTTACAATTGCTACTGACTTTATTTTTTATAGAATAGCTATAATGTGTTCAACTTGTTATATATTGATTGGTTCCTTTTTATATATTACAATAATATGTTAGGAAATAGATCTCCAACATTTTATATTGCTGGGTAAATTGCAAGCTGCCACAAACAGAAAACCTTGTAATACAAATTTCAAGATTCTGCGAATATATTGTATTTAGGTAGATTTTAAAAACAAGGTTGCAGGGGTTAGGCAGGATAAAATGGGGTTCTAATGGCCAAAAATTTAGACCTGAGGTAGCCAATCACCTTGTCATTCTTCCAAGGCATTTTTTCCACTTAATGACTTTTAGTGCCCAAAATAGTGTTGTTTCAATTACGGGCTTCAGTAAAGAATTAGAGTTGATAGAGAGCCTTATGGGAGAAGAAAAAGACAAGATAATGGATGATTTGCATGGAAAACTTGGACCTTTGAGTTGACTGTTTTATATCTATGTTATTTTGTTCCTGAAATACTTAAATGTTATCACATAACTTGAATTGAACCTTGTCACTTCGAAACACTGACATTAAAATAATGGAAGAAAAAAACTAAAGTCTGTTTAAAGAAGGGAATAATCTAGATTACATGTTGAGTTTTTATAAGATAATTCTAGATTTCTTATGTGGGCTTCCTATCGGCTGGATAAACAGCATTTGAATAACAGCCCAGCAGATTCATAGTGTGCCACGGTAGGGCTTGTCAGAGATTTGCTTCCACTCCACCAAAAAATGCTCTTCTACCTTTTCTGCAAAGGACATAGTCCATTCATGTACTTATCTTTTCAATCAAATGCAAAGTGTTTTCTTTAATCAGAGATCCTGAAAACTGTAAAGGAACCAGTCATGTAATAAGTTGTACAATTCACAACTATTAAAAAAAGGAAAAAAAAAAGTATGTTGACTTATTCTGTCAACAAAATCAGCAGGGATATTCTACTAAGGAATAAAAACGTTAAGGACAAACAACTGTCCAGGCTGAGGCATGTCTTATTCCATGTAATTTGAGTGAGATGTGTAATCAGGGGTGAAGTCCAATTTTTGTTTACCTATTTTAAATTGCAACTCTATACAAATTTTATTTTCAAGTTGCTATATCAAATTTTTACATGTATCTTGATTAGTTGAGGGAAAGAAGTAGTAACAAGTTTTTTGGCTTTGATAGGCAACACAATATTACAAAAACATCTTAACTATTTGCTTAACATTCTGTTCATTGCCCTAATCAAAGATTACTTTTCTCCAGTAGGAAGTATGACAAGAAATAAGTACTAATTATTTTTATATAGTTATTGGGCATTACTAAAATATGACTGTATCCTTAAACCATCTTTGCCTTAGACAAGGTTCAATAAGCTGTGAGATGTCGTAATTTATTTTAACTGTAATTTGAAGTTATTTCGATATTGTATCTCCATCATACCACCTCAACACAAATTAGCTTTGGTTTCACTCCTTATAGTTAGTAAGTAGAACAAATCAGCAGAATCCCCATGACGTACGACACGTATTCTACAAATGTAAATAAAGATTTGAAACATCTTTTCACATTTTGACTTCTCTGACTTAAATATAAACTATATTTTCGTTTTGAATATATCATTTGTCCTCATTTTTCTACTCATTACTGACTTCTTTTGTATTGAATTGATTTTTATGGTATACAGTTTTGATTCCTTTCTCCTTTTCTGTTCATTTTTATTATCTTAGGGATTACCCTGAAGATTACAATCGGTTTCTTAAACTTGTAGCTACGTTCTTCGAATTAAAACCTTTTTAGGTTCAATATTTTACAAAAACTCTCCTCTTATATAGTTCTGCACCTCCTCCCTTATGTTGTGTCATCACAAATTTTATCTTTCTATATTGTGTGTCTACTAATACAGATTCACGATCATTGGTTTTTGTACTTGTCTCTTAAATCATAGGGTTTGAAATGTCAAAAGTAAAAAAATATATACAATACTAGCTTTTGTATTTACCTTGATAGTTAACTTTATCACTATTTTTCATTCCATCACATAGTTTGAGTTAATTTCTAAATTCCTTTCATGCCCACGTAAAGAACTCCTTTAGCATTTATTGTAGAGGAGTTCTATCAGTGATGACCTTTGTTTATCCGGGAATGACAATTTCTTCCCCAATTTTGAGGGGCAGTTGGATAAAAAAATATGGTACATGTACACAGTGGAATACTACAAAGCCATAAAAAGAATGAAATCATGTCTTTTGCAGCAACATGGATGCAGCTAGAGGTCACAATTCTAAGTGAATTAACACAGAAACAGAAAATCAAAGGCTGCACGTTCTCACTTATAAATGAGAGCTAAACATTGCGCACCTAAGGATGTAAACATGGGAAAAATAGACACTGTGAGAACTACTAGAGCGGAGAGAAAGGGAAGGGTTATATGTTGAAAAACTACCCAGTGGACGCCGTGCTCACTAACAGTGCAATATACCCATGTAACAAATCTGTACATGTAGCTTCTGTATCTAAATTAAAAGTTGAGAAGAAAGGAAAAACATTCCCCAAATAAATCACTCCTTCCTACCTCCAAATAAGATTGTATTCCCAGAAAAAAAGTAGACAATGTGTAAATTTAAAAAGGATAAAATTATTGATCTGACTTTTCTTTATAAATAATGCCTGAGAAGTTAAATATGTAAATCATAATGAGGTAAAGCCAAACTCAATATTAGTATCTTTCTTCCTCAAAATGGAAAGGATTCATCTCAGTAATTTGCTTTAATGAAACTCTTTTAGTTTGCATTTTCGAAAAAAAGCAAATTCTTGGATGATAGCTTTCCCTCCCCTTTAGCACTTAAAACATGTCATCCCAATGTCTTCTGGATTCCATGGTATCTGATGAGAAATCAGGTGTTAATCTTATTGGGGAGATATT